>NC_000002.12:64792625-65417625 GCF_000001405.40 Homo sapiens | reverse complement strand
CTTTGAGTTACTGAACCCTCAGGAGATAGGAAAAAGATGGTGGAAATTAATTGAGATAAAGGTGGCCCAGGTAGATGTTGAACCACCAGCATTGAACAGATGGCTAGCCTTGGTCACACCCTGCATGAGGTGGAGGTAGATGAGCTTCCCAGATGCTCTTCTTGTGTAGCTCTCCTGAACATGGTAGGTAGGGGTCTTAAGCTTTGGTTTCCGCATGTCTGTGTTCCAGGTACAGGAGCACTGGGAGTGGAGGCAGGGAAGGGCCTTCAGCTCACTATCCTGGGAGAGAGAAGGTGGGTCCTTAGATGATCAGCTGAAATACATGTGAAGTTCCAAGGTTTTTGCACCTGGGCACCAGAAAAATGTTTATGAAACATTACCTATGCTTGTTCTTCCCCCGCTGCTCCAGTGCCTTCTGTTCTCCCCATGTGTTTGCTTTTGATGTTAACTGCCAAGGTGGTGTGGTCATAGACAGCAGGAAGTAATATCTGATATGCAGGTCTCCTGGGGTGGGGGGAGGTGGGTGCCAGGATGGGAAGGGTGGCGGTTTTGGCACATTGTTGTGAGAACTCTGTGCACTTAGAAGCCAACAGGTGCTGTTATAGCAAAGAGAGAGAAGAAGGAGGAGTTGACCGTCTGGTCATACATATAACCAGCATTTTTTATGGTAGCTTTTTACTCTTAAGTTTTTCTAAGGCCACTGCACCATAGGTTAACTCCGAATAAAGTGGGGCTTGTCCTCTGTACTGAATCACACAGCTAGTAAGTATCATGGCCAAGGGCATCTACAAACCTAGGCTTGAGACAGAATGAAAATAGTCCCCAAACCAAGACACAGTATCCGGAGAGCCCAAGGTCCCACAGACGCCTAGGAGGTCCCACCCAGCTTTGCCATGGTAAGGCTTGATCCATTTCCCCATCCTACTTTGAAACTAGATTTTACCATCAGGACTCCCGTTGGGATAACAAAATTCATACTGCTTGTGTAGGACAGGAAACTTGTATTTTTTAAAAAATTTCCTTCTCTTGGGCTTCCAGCGACCCCCCTCCCCTCTGCTTTTCTTGTTAATCCCCATCAGCTGGGCATTCTTCTTAGCATAAAGGATCCCTTGTGAGGCTAAACTGTGAGGGTAGTTTGGTTATAATGGCTTACCTGTAGACCCACTCTTCCACACTCTCTTGTTCAGGATGGAGCAGTACAACAGTGACCAGGAGAACTAGATGTGTGTGGTTCATTTCCCATCCCGTCCCTGGGCAGTGTGTTGGTTGGCATGCAGCCTGAAATATACACCCCCCCAACTGTCTCAACAAGGACAATTTAGCAACAAAACCAGAGGCCCCAAGGAAGAGCATATCTGAGGTTGCTTGGGGATGTCACCAAGGAGAAACAACACTCTTCATCTCTCCCATCTTAACCTTTCTCATCCGTAGACCGATTGAATCTGAATGTCACCCCCATCCTCCCATCCTCCCGAGTTGGTATTTTAATAATCCAAGAGATTCTAACATGCTTTAGCTAATCCGGGATTTAGAAGGGGCAACACCCAAATCAAACCTAGAAGGTTGCAACCAACCTGGGCAGTATTGACCAGGGAGCATTTAGTCTTTTTAAAGATCCTCCTCTCTCTCTTCTGCCTATTAATTCATTCCGATTAATCTGTCATACTGGGTGGTATTTAAAAGGTGACACACATTCGTATTAGTGAGCTGAGGAGAGGAATGTTGCTCCTTTTCTTTCGCCCTTTGTTCTTTCTCATTTCAAATTAGATGACCAATAACCTCCCAGGGAGGCATATACCAAATGGATGTTACATGTGAAGCAAATTGTAAGAGCCAATAAAAAATAAATTCTAATTGTTGATCCAAAGAGTCGCTTTGAATAAAAAAAATTAAAAAATAAAAAAAAAATCACCTACAGCAGTCCAAAATTATAACTGGTTTTTATTTTTATTTTAAAAGGTTCGGCTGAAACTTTAAAAGGTCTATTAATGTTTTCAGAAATTTTCCTTGGTGATGTAACACAGATGTCTTTAGGATATGAATTTAGCTATTTTAATGGTTAAAGCAGTAAATATAGAGGTGTTTTAAAATGTTGCCCCTTTTTGGTGGAGTGGGGGCCAGTTACTTTGCAGGGAACAGGAATAATTCCTTATATTTGAATTTTTTTTTTTTTAACAAAACTTTGTTAACATAGGATTGGTATTTGCTTGAATTTAAAGGAAAGCAGAGCTATAAAATCATATGCTTTTACCTAGAAATGAAAATACATTGACTTAAAACAGATGTCTCTAACAAAGACTGATGCCAGGTTTTAAGATTGTATCTTGTCACCCACAAGTGTGGCACTGCATGCAAATGTGGGGAAGGCCCAAAAGTTGTTTTAATGTCTTAGGAGAAAATGTGAAGGGCATACATAAAAATGGGACAGAGTCTTACACAACAGCGTGAATGTACTTAATGCCACTGAATTGTATAAAAATGGTTAAAGTGGTAAGTTTTATGTTATGTATATTTTAGTATGATTAAAACATTTTGTTTAGGCTAGTTGTGATGGCTCACACCTGTAATCCCAATAGTTTGGGAAGCTAAGACAGGAGAACAGGAATTCAAGACCAGCCTGGGCAACATAGCAAGACTCTGTGTCTACCAAAACAAAAAAAAATTTTTTTAAACGGGATAGAGTCAACTAATGACTCAGAGAAACACTTCCCTCCTGAAAAATGGAATCCTGGACACAACTATCTGGCTTTTACATCCTTATTTATAGATTTCTAGCTCCCAATCAATTCCTGCCTAGTCCCCTCTGCAACTCTGTTCTCCCTGTCCCGCCCCAAAAGCTCCCTTCACAGAAATTTAAAGAAGATCAACTTTGAGATTACTCCAGTAATGGCCAAAGTCTTGCATCTCCTTAAGGTTCCTGCAGTTCACCAAGCATGTACATTACTTTCTATAGTACTAATGCATCTTGACAAGGGGTTGGAACCTCTGAGAATGCTGTAGAAGTCTGAATGACCTGGCAGTAGAGCAAACAGCAGAGCTGGGTCTTAGTTGTGGGTGGTGGGAATGATGGCCCCTTCCCAGACATTCAGGGGACCAAGGTTGAAGAAAGACTCCTCCATGACAACTGATAGGCCCTTGGGCAAGTACTTCACATTCACAGCCTCCGTGGTTCTCAAAGGCAGCAGGAATATTAGCTTCAGAGGTTATACTGATGATAGGCGATGATACTCCGTGGTTCTCAAAGGCAGCAGGAATATTAGCTTCAGAGGTTATACTGATGATAGGCGATGATAATGTGAAAAATGTAGTACTCACACACGTGTAAAAACCAAGCAAGGCAGCCCTTCCTCCTTTCCCCTATTTGGAGAAGGGACAATTCAGCATTTAGCAGATGAAATTAAGAATCACTTAATTCAAACAAACATGTTTGAGAATGAGTATGTGCTGTCATGCATGCCTGTGAAAAAACAAATTGTTCTTTGAAAATGCTCAGCCTCCCACCTTTTTAATTTTTTTAAGACTTAATGTTTCTCTCTTTAAGTAGTTTTACTAGTAGCATGTTGGTGTAAATTGGATTGTTAGCATTTTCTGGGACGGTATATCCCTAGAGTGGGAATGTTAACAACTTAGAGTTTTTTGTGACTTTTTCAATAAAACTACACACACTAACTCTTACCAACAAGTACTCATTCTTGATTGTTGAAAATTTATACTCATTCATAAACTGTTTATAGATTTGACGCTTTCTGGCCTTGGGAATACTTAAGTCACCACATTTGGCAGTCTGTATGTTCAGTAGAAAAAACAAATGTCTTGATGAACCACTCTGATAAGCTTTGGAGTTAGGGCTATTTGTGATGGAAGCACTCAGACCCCCCAGGGACTGAAACACAGGATCAGAAAATATGCCAATCAAGGGAGCTGAGAAGGATGCCCTGTCTTACCACACTGGCTGGCCCTGCAGCTTATGCTTAGATGTGTGCTTGATGTGGAATGCCTGGGTCCCACTTGCACGGTGACTTGGGTATGCAGCTCTAATCGTCAGCAAGTTCTTCTGTGGAACCACTGCCCTCTGCAGCAGCGATAACCAATTCTCTGTTGTTTTGACCGCCCTGCAGACAACACAACACAGAGGGTTTCCTCTCTTCTCTTCTGTTGGCCAAACATTATCCTGGTTTCCTGATCAGTGGACAGATACAGCCACATCTCTTCATAACGTGGGAACCCAGAAATGAGATGCTTTTCCAGAGGCCTCAGCCTCTTAGGCACTGTGGGTATTGGCTGGCCTCCCTGTGCAGTCTAGGGTGGCTTTGAGGCCACCGTCAGGGTAAAGGCTCCAGGCTGTTGGCATGGAAAAAATGCATGCTGTCCTTAATGGAGCCTGCACCACTGGTTTTCTCTTGAAAGTATGTTGGTCACCATCAGCACCTGGGCCTTAGAGGAGAAACATCTCTCCCCTTGAGAGGGGTAGGCAAAAAAGAAGGTCCTCTTGGTGTCAGTATGGTCACTTGCTGGACAATTTATTGGTTCTGAGGCAAGGATGGGGAAAGGAGTTCCCCACTGTTCCAAGGATCAGCCCACTTATAGGTGAAGGACTCTGGTCTTTGAATTCCTGGGTGGTATTCTTTGGTGGGGAAGAAGGTGAATGATCTGCTTATAGTGCCAAAATTGTAACCATAATAGGTCAGTTGCTGATGTGCACGCAAGTCAATGCAATGAGACACAGGGTTGCAGCAGAGAAAAGTTTAACTGTAGGACTGCCAAATGAGGACATGGGAGGAAACTTCAAATCCATCTTCCTGTGGAGTTTGAGACTAGGATTTTTAAGGGTTTTGGAGTGGGCCAAAATGTGAAGATCATTGATTGATTAAAGAGTGCAGCATAAAGTCTCAGGGCAAGGAGATGAAGAAGCTGTATTCTCATACTGATCTCATTCCTCTTGGGGTGGGGGGTCTTCAAACTGGTTGCTGAAAAACAAAGGATCATTAAACAAAAGCCTCTGACTAATGTCAGAGATCCAGTCTATAGGAACAACAGGGATGCAAATCCACTCTTAAACAGTCATATGACCCTGTTGCCAGAAATCTACCTCTAGGAACAATGGGATTGCAAATAGTCAATATCTAGTGCTAGGTGACTTTTAGCAACAAGGAAATGGGCCAGAGTGCAGCCCAATTAGTCCTTAATTACAACTGTATTTCTGTCCAGAATCTGGCGTGCAATTCTTGTCAGCCCTGTAGGGATGGTTTCAAAATCATTTTTTCTTGAAGCTGGTCCTAGGCCACCTACTCAGAGTCAGTACTCCAGTGTCTGCTGCCCACCCAGGCCTCCTGAATCTGCCTCCATGAGTATGGGGTCTAGGGAATCTGCGTTTTTGAAATTATCTCCAGGTGATTCCTCTGCCTACATCCACAGTTTGAGATTCACCTCCTAAATTGTCATTGCATCCTTGCTGTTCATTTTCTTTTTCTTTTTCTTTCTTTCTTTTCTTTTTTTTTTTTGAGACAGTCTCACTGTGTCGCCCAGGCTGGAGTGCAGTGGTGCATGTCGGCTCACTGCAAGCTCTGCCTCCTGGGTTCATGCCATTCTCCTGCCTCAGCCTCCTGGGTAGCTGGGACTACAGGCGCCTGCCACCACACCCGGCTAATTTTTTTGTATCTTTAGTAGAGATGAAGTTTCACCGTGTTGGCCAGGATGGTCTCCGTCTATTGACCTTGTGATCCGCCTGCCTCGGCCCCCAAAGTGCTGGGATTACAGGCGTGAGCCACCGCGCCTGGTCTTGCTGTTCATTTTCTTAAATGTTAAACTACGGAGTACTCAATCCTAAAGGCCACCTCTGTGCCTTACTCTAGCCACCCAGTGCTTTTTAATAGTTCCTGAGTATGTGTTTACACAATCTGAATTTTATGAAGTCCATAAAGACATATTTACCCAACAAGTCACCAGCGTTCCAAAGGTCAGCTTTCCTTGATTTGTATGAAAGCCACTTAACTCAAAGTCAATTAACACTAAGATAGAAGCCAATTAAAGCAAGGAAGTGAGCTGTTCAGGCCAACATTCCATCCCTCACTTTTGTCCCCTGTTGTAGCTTAATTTCACAAGTCCCTTCAAGCCATTTACTTCACACAACCTATGCATGTGTGGCCCGTTTCAGCATATAGGAATAAGTACCATTTGTCATGTCATCATGTGGGAGTGCTGTTTAAAAGCATGTAATTTAAGTAACTATTAAACGATGCCATATTAGCACTTTTGCAACCAATTCAATCGCCCTCCCACCGCAAGCAGCAGGGATATCACAGCAATGTTAGGAAAGAAGGAAAGAGAGGCTCGGTGTCCCTCAATGTTGCTATCAGAGCCTGCTGTTGAATCTGAGTCTTGCCTGGGTCCAGAAAGTACACAAAGTAATTCCTCAAAAGATTGCTGGAGGATTAAATGAGATAATGTGGGCCAAGTGCTCAGCACAGCACCTGGTACGTGGAAAGCAAACTTTTTTTCTTTTAAAGGTAGCTGCTGCAGCAGATGATGATTATAATATAAAAATGGAAAACCCTGAAAGAGAACTAACCCTTAGAGTTAGCAATTGCAGTAGGTCAAGCGCATCCTCTGATAGGTTTTCCACAGTGAAGGCACCTCGAACAAACAGTCTGAGGTCCTTCTGTGCAGACCATGACCCCTGTCCCGATGGCAGTTGGTTGCCCTGCACTGAGAACCACTCTCCAAAGGAAAAGTCTACAAGTACAATAGGCTCCTTCCCGTCTCACGATAGACCCTCTGCATTACATCTTTCAAGCTAACTGATTATCTATAAAAGCCTCATCCTTTAGGTTCTTTTTTGATTGGGAACCAATTTTTTTTTTTTTTTTTGAGACAGAGTCTCGCTCTGTCACCCAGGATGAAGTGCAGTGGCGCCATCTCGGCTCACTGCAAGCTCCGCCTCGCGGGTTCACGCCATTCTCCTGCCTCAGCCTCCCGAGTAGCTGGGACTACAGGCGCCCACCACCACGCCCGGCTAATTTTTTGTATTTTTAGTAAAGACGGGGTCTCACCATGTTAGCCAGGATGGTCTCGATCTCCTGACCTTGTGATCCGCCCGCCTCGGCCTCCCAAAGTGCTGGGATTACAGGCCTGAGTCACCATGCCAGGCCAGTTGGGAACCATTTTTACCTAGTGAGTGGAAGAACTGGGATGACGAGTATAAATAGTGATTTTAAAAGGAGATTCTGCCTGAGAGGTATAATCAGATGCCATGAACGATGCTAAAGAACCCAGCATGGGCAGGAGAGAGACAGAGAGAGAGCGAGAGAGACACCCCTGTGTAGGCTGCTTGCAGATCATTTGACACCTGCACATGAAGGATTTTTGTTTGTTTGTTTTCTTTTCAGTTAAGAGACAAGGTCTCACTGCATCATCCAGGCTGCAGTGCAGTGGCATGATCAAAGCTCACTGCAGCCTCGAACTCCTGGGCTCAAGTTATCCTCCTGCCTCAGCCTCCCAAAGCATAGGTATTACAGGCGTGAGCCATTACGCCTGGCCTTGCACAAGATGTTATACTTTTTTTTTGCATTTAAAATTATTCTTTTTTTTTTTTTTTTCCGAGGCAGAGTCTCACTCTGTTACCAAGTTGGAGTACAGTGGTGCAATCTTGGCTCACTGCAACCTCCACCTCCCTGGTTCAAGCGATTCTCCTGCCTCAGCCTCCCAAGTAGCTGGGACTACAGGCACGCGCCACCACACCTGGATAATTTTTGTATTTTTAGTAGAGGGTTTCACCATATTGGCCAGGATGGTCTTGATCTCCTGACCTCGTGATCCGCCCGCCTTGGCCTCCCAAAGTGCTAGGATTACAGGCGTGAGCCACCATGCCCAGCCTAAAATTTCTCTTGAAAGTCTTCATCAGAACACAAAATTCTTTTTTTTTTTTTTTTTTTTTTGCAGGAAACTGGAGTTTTATTAGCACTCAAATCAGTCTTGCCAGGAAACAAAATTCTTGTTACTAGAAGTGAGGATGTCAAGGTGGCTTTATTCATTTTTAAATAGTGCATGAGATGTAAATTGCTAAAAGCTGTGTTATTATAGGGAGGCAGTAGAACTTGGTAAAATCATAGGATTTAGACTAGTGCTGTCCAATAGAAATACAACATAGGCCACATATGTAATTTTAAATGTTCTGATAGGGGTGTTAAAAAAGTAAATAGAAACAGGTGAAATTAATTTTAGTCTATTATTTAGTGTATCTAAAAATTCTCATTTCAACAGTTAATGTTTTAAATTGCTAATGAAGTATTTCACATTCTTTTTTTGTACTACACCTGCAAAATGCCGCTTGTATGTTATAATTGGAGCACATCTCCATTTTCATGTGCTCAGTGCCACTTGTGGCTGCTGGCTGCTACTGTGTTAGACAGTACCTCTTAGACTAGGACAGACCTGGGTGTGAATTTCCCTTTGCTGCTTATTAGCTGTGCGACCAGTGTTAAATTACCTGAACCTTTCAAAAACTTCAGTGTCCTTGAATATAGAAAAAGGGCTCATAATACTTCCTTTTCTGGGCTGTTGTATTAAGTCAGTTGATTTATGTGCATAAAGGTCTGGGGTCGATGAAGAGGTGATCTGTAAATGACATCTGTGACTTTTGAGATATCTACAGGTAATTGTGGTCTCACACAGGCTAAGGACTATAGGATATAAGGGTTATGATGAAAGGCAGAATTAGGGCAATATTTATGGGCTATTAAGAACTTTAGAGCCAGGTGCAGTGGCTCACGCTTGTAATCCCAGCACTTTGGGAGGCCAAGGCAGGCGGATCACAAAGTCAGGAGTTCAAGACCAGCCTGGCCAGTATAGTGGAACCCCATCTCTACTAAAAATACAAAAATTAGCTGGGTGTGGTGGCACGTGACTATTGTCCCAGCTACTCAGGAGGCTGAGGCAGAAGAATTGCTTGATCCCAGAAGGCAGAGGTTGCAGATCGCGCCACTGCACTCCAGCCTAGGTGACAGAGTGAGACTCCGTCTCAAAAAAAAAAAAAAGAACTTCAAAAGTCCCCTTATGTAACTGACTAATTCCTGTGGCTGGCGACTGGGATTATACATACAGACATTGGAAGGGGGCTCTGGTTCTGGTCCGAGCAATTTGCCTGGAGCTCTATGATCAATTCAGAGAAGAAGGGATACAAGGAATTCCTACAGGAATCTGTGGCATCATAAAAACAGCTTCTGCCTCAAAGTCAGGGGAGCTGATTTTGAATTCTGACTCTACCTTATACTGCATATTTATCTTCCCAAACTTTAGCTTTCTTGTCTGTCAAATAGGACTCATAGTATGAGGCTTGTGAGGATTAAATTACATGTAGCACATGAAAGTGTCCGCAGCAGTGTCTGACATGTTTGAGGTGCCTAATACATGCCGGGTGATCATTACTGGTGTCTGGAAAGAAGTTTCAGCCTAAAGCTTTGTTGAAAGGACCCAAGGTCTGGGCAGAAGGGAAGGATCTTGCTCCTCTGATAAGATCTTAAGAAGATGGAACCAGCAGGCAAGGAGAGAAGCTCAAGAGACTGGTTTTATGAGGAGCTGAAATCAGACTGATGGGTAAAAGGAAGATAGCCTGGGTTGGTGGCCTATTAGGGAATGCCTCTCTACACAGGGACCATGTCATAATCGTTTTGATAACATTCTTTCTTCTTGCCCCTTTAGACCTCTGGCTCCCTTGCCCAGCTTTTGATATTTTGTTGTTGTTTGTTCTGAGAAGTAAAAATATAGCTAGAGCTTTGCACTCGGTCATGTTAGTATTTTAAGACACTCCCAAGAGTGGAAGAGAGAACTGTCCTCCAGTTGGAGTTATGGGGAGGTTCCCTGTGCTCCACCTTTCCCACCCTTTTCTGTCTACCTGTGTGCACGGAGGCATGAGTGGATACCGCGTCTCCACGGGTGAAAGGACAAGTGATCCAGCTGAGGAGAGTTGATCTTTTGGTTTAACCAAACCAGACACCCAAACCTAGATTTCCAAGGCATGTGAACAGGGATGTGCATGACAGTCATTGACATGAAGACTCAGAATGAGATAAGCTTTAAGTTGGCAGCACTTCCCACCCCCTGCAGAGAGGAAGTTTGCATGCCATGCACCTACCTTCTTGATTGCAGCTCTCATGGCTACACAGCAATAGATTAGAACCCCCTCGTGCTGAATCTTGACTTGATGAAGACAATCAAAATGCCCCCCAAAATGCCCCCCAATACACAACACACGCACACACACACACCTGCAGCCACCTCAGTTTCCTGTTAAGTTATTGTGGTTTGGGAGTCTTCATTGTCAGTTCACATTAGCTGTGAAGTCAGAATCCTTCTGTCATGGGACTTTTAGCAAAAAAAAAAAAAGGAGCCAGCGCCCCATTTGAGAAAGAGACTATGGCTCACACCTGTAATTCCAGCACTTTGGGAGGCCAAGGCGGGCAGATCATGGGGTCAGGAGATCGAGACCATCCTGGCTAACATGGTGAAACCCCATCTCTACTAAAAATACAAAAAATTAGCCGGGCATGGTGGTGGGTGCCTGTAGTCCCAGCTACTCAGGAGCTGAGGCAGGAGAATGGCGTGAACCCAGGAGGTGGAGCTTGCAGTGAGCCGAGATGGCACCACTGCACTCCAGCCTGGGCGACAGAGCGAGACTCCGTCTCAAAAAAAAAAAAAAAGAGAGACTAAACTTTCCACTGTCCAGTAACTTGGACCAGAGCCCTGCCTGAGCCTCCAAGGCAGGCAGCTTGATGGAGGGCCCTGCCTCACTCTCAAGGCTGAGCTCTCAGGAAAGGTGGATTTTATCTCTAAGGAAGTGCGGCTGCCTTTATCAGGCCATTCTGGTGGAACAGGTTAGCTTCCTGCAAGGGTGGAAAGGAAAACGATGTTACTATTTTTAGCCTGCCTCTTGTGTACAGCAAGGTGGGCTGATGTGCTAAGCAGAAGGAAAGTGAAGTGTGAGTTGCTTTCTGCCCCCAACCTTCCATTTCCACCCCTACTTCCCAAAACCTCCCCCAGAGGTGGAATGTCAGGACATCTCACATGTGGTGCACGAAGAGTATAATGACCAACTTTATTTCTACAACTAGTGAGGCTCCTTGTCACTGCCTTTCTAAAAGCTTGCAGTCTTACAAACAAACTTGTGTGCACAGACATGAGTGGATAAAATATTGGGTCCTGCCTAGCAAAACCAGGATCTTTGATTTGGGGGGAAGGGTTGGTGTTGCTCTCTGTTAACATTTCCATTTATTCTTGACCTCTATAAAGAGTAAATTATAAGAATGGGGTGGGAGGATTGGAAAGTTGGTGGATGGTAAGTTTGGGTGTCAAGTATTAAGAAATCCTGGCTTCTCAGCATTTTCTTTGCAGGGCACATTTAGCAGAATTTTCTGCCTCCAGCAGGGTCTTTGTGGCTCTGAAGGACCTGCCACCGTGGGGTGGTTCGCTTTTATAATCTCATGGTAGCACTCTCAGCCCAAAGAAGTGTCATCACCAACATAGAGGCCAGGAGCACCATTTAACAGATGAGGACTCTGAGGCCTGGGGAGTTAAACCCAGGTCACACAGTTGGATAGTGGGAGAGTCTGGTTGCCTGGTTGTTTTTCTACAGGGCTCCTCCAAATGAGTGCCAGGAAGAAAGTGCGGGGGTGTTCTGCCCATTGCAAGAGGGTCAGCTTGGAGAAATAGGTTTGAATTATGGAGTGCCTGACAGAAAGTGGGAACAGTCACTTAGCAAAGAAGTCCGGGTCTTCTCAAATAGGAGTGCTCTGGGTGGGAGGAGAAGGGCTGGTAAGCCTGAGGACTTGTGGAGGAGCTCAGATGTAGCTGCTTAAATTAGTTCAAAGTGAGAAATGTAATTACTATACTTGCTCAAACCAAATGTCTGAACATTGTTATAAAATGAGGTGTAATCACAGAAAAGAGGATTGCAGTGCCGTATCACTCCCACAAAATAGCCTTTGTGTTCTCAGGAGCCCCATGGTGCTGATTAATCTTCTGGGGGCGTTGAAGCCCCAGTAAGTTCAGGTGTGTGTATTGGACTTAATTGGGGGAGTTTTGTCCTGCTCGTTTGGACAGTCATTCACAGTTATTTGCATTTGTAATGAGTGTGTGATGAGAGGGGGAAAAGACTCAGCCTTAAACATGTTAGCTAGGAATATTTGGGATCAGAATAAAATAAGATCCAAGCAAGAGGGAAAATCGAGGATGATTTGCAGCAATTTGTCCTTGTTAACTGCTATTTGAATGATAAAAGGAAGGTTGAAAAGGACATTTCAGTAACTCCCTGGATAACGACTTCCTCTATCACTATCACTATATATCACCTCAATGACTATGTCATCTCCATGCTCTTCTCCACCAAGGTGGAAAGTACCATAAGAAGGTCATTAAGTCCTGATTCTGCCACTTGTTGGTCATGAGACGTAGGGTAGTGACATAAACGCTAAGCCTTAATTTTCTCTCCTGGAAAATGGGCTGATGTATATACATTTAGATGAGCTAATGCTTGGCACATAAGAAAAGCACACGGTAAATATTAGCAAATTGTCATTATTGTCATAATTATTGTTTATAGTATCTCTACAACGTGTTTATAACGTGTGACAGAAGAAAAACACCTTGCCAGATGTAGTCACAAGGCAGGAGGGAAAGTGAGGAATTAAAGGCCTGTTAGGGAGCAGGTGCCTGGAGCTAAGTGAGGTTAGATCATAAAAGGGCCCAGGGGTGTGCTGTTGTTGGGGGAGGTGTTTGTTTGGCAGAAGGGAAAGGTGGTCTGTTCATGCTGGGGAGGTAGTACATGGATAACTGGGCTGTGCCCTCATTTGTAAGAAACAGGCACGTGTTTTTTATAGACCTACAGCCAGTCCTGTTTGCTCGCTAGGTGGCTTCTCTTTGATCTTGTGTCCCAAAGTTGGGGGTCTGTTGACACTCCAGCTCCTGGGGACCCCAGGTCCCCTCTCTCTGCACAGGAGGCAAGGTGTCTGCCTGTTTTACTCATTGCTGTCTTCAGTGCCTGGCATAATAGAGGCTCAAGAAGTATCTGCTGAATGAATGAATAGGGTATAGTATGAATGAATATCTGCATTAAATTATGTGCTCCTAGAGAAAACTCCCTGAGAAACTCATTACTGAGACTGTTTAGCCATCCAATAAAGAGATGAGAGGAGATTTTGAAACAACTTGGTTTGGCATAGACAAGTAGTATATACTTGCGCTTATATCTAGTTTCCATGCAGTTCACTAATACATGTAATATATATGGTTAACTTTGTGAGTATATTTGATTACAGACTTTCCCTTTATTTAACATGGTTGCCTGCCTACACATAATTCTTAAAACAATTAAGGAGAACATTACTAGCACAAATGTTTCTTCTTTTTCTTTCTTTCTTTTTTTTTTTTTGAGACGGAGTCTCACTCTGTTGCCCAGGCTGGAGTGCAGTGGCGTGATCTCGGCTTACTGCAATCTCCGTCTCCTGGGCGTTCAAGAGTTCTCCTGCCTCAGCCTCCTGAGTAGCTGGGACTACAGGCATCCGCCACCATGCCCAGCTAGTTTTTGTATTTTTAGTAGAGACGGGGTTTCACCATGTTAGCCAGGCTGGTCTCTAACTCCTGACCTAAGGTGATCCACCTGCCTCGGCCTCCCAAAGTACTGGGATTACAGGAGTGAGCCACCACACCTGGCCACAAATGTTCCTTTTTAGGAAACTGATTCTCCTGCTGCTTCTGGAGTAGAGTGTTGTATATGAAATTTTGAGCATGATATTCACCTAATTATGGCTCAGAACAGGCAGTACCAAGCACCTGAGGTCTAGGCCTTTCAGACCAGTGCTTTGATATGCATGTGAGTCACGTGGGGTCTTCCTGCTAAGTTGCAAGTTCCCATTCAGCAGGCCTGGGGTGGGGCCTGAGATGGTGCTTTTTTCTTCAGCTTTTGGGTGCTGCCCATGATGCTACTCCTTGGACTACATTTCCACTAATGCGATTTCAATTAGTCTTTAGTATTTTGAGGATTTCTTTGTGTCGTAAAAATGTCTATCCCAGATGGGCGTAGTGGCTCACGCATGTAATCCCAGCATTTTAGGAGGCCAAGGTGGGGGGATTGCTTGAGCCCAGGAGTTCAAGACCAGCCTGGGAAACTCCACTTATACACAAAGTTTTAAAAAAATTATCCAGGTGCAGTGGCACACGCCTGTAGTCCCAGCTACTCAGGAGGCCGAGGCAGGAGGATCACTTGAGCTCAAGAGTTCGAGGCTGCAGTGAGCTTTGATGCATGCACCACTGCACTCCAGCCTGGGCAACAGAGTGAGACCCTGTCTTTTAAAGGAAATGGATGTCTATCTGATCTTATTCTAAATGTTGACTCTACTATCCGTAACCCCTTCTGGAAATATTTAATAGTTGTCTCCTTAGGAGGCTGTTGTTTGGTTTGCACATGGTTAATGTAGTACTGCCGAGTTTATAGCCGGTCCTGAGCTTGGACGTTTCAGCATTCACTGTGGACCTTTAGTGAAGTCTGAAGCTTTGTATTTGGCTGGCTTTTGGGAATGTATTTTGGCTTTTGGATGTAAATCAAATGTTATTAGTTCAGTGTTGGCTGAAAGATTGTGCCGATAAATTCTTTGGCAGAAGTGTAAAATGCCCCAAACATAGATTCATTTATATTTCTCAATTCAACCAAATGTGCTCATCATTGTGTAACCCTTTTTTGGTTAATAATGAAGCAAATCTTCTGTAGTCTTGCAACATTAAAACCCTAATTATGATTTTCTGCATGTCTGTACCATGCCTATTGATTTTAAAAATTTCTGAATTATCAGAGGATTTCTTCAGACACAGCTCTTTATGGAATTATATTAATCCAATTCAGGCAATTACATAGGTGTGAGTTTAACTTCTAGTTTGTTTTGAGATGCTGTGATTCCATATGAGCTCTGATAGGAATTCCTATGCCTTCACTATGCCTGCTTTAGGCTCTAGAGCACCCCAGGGGCTCAATCCTACCCCCTTCTCCTTTCCCTCTGCAGGCCTGCCTGGATGGAATCTAGTCCTATGACTTCACATCCCATCTGTGTGCAGATGACTCTCAGATTGATTTCTCCAGCCTGGCCATTCTCAGAACTCCAGAGTTATATCAGTATCTCCATATGGTTGTCTAACAGGCATCTAAACTTAAATATCCAAAAGAGAACTTCTCATCCCCTACAGTGGGCAGCCCGCTTACCCGGCCTTTCCTGACTTGACAGATGGCACCACCCTTCACTCAGTGATCCAGATCCCCAATAGCATTATTTTGTTTTTGGTTTTTTTTTTTTTTTTTTTTTTTTTTTGAGACAGAGTCTCACTCTGTCTCCCAGGCTGGAGTGCAGTGGCCAGATCTCAGCTCAATGAAACCTTCGCCTCCCGGGCTCAAGTGATTCTCGTGCCTCAGGCTCCCGAGTAGCTGTGATTACAGGTGCATGCCACCACGCCCAGCTAATTTTTTGTATTTTTAGTAGAGATGGGGTTTTGCCATGTTGCCCAGGCTGCTTTCAAACTCCTGGCCTCCCTGCACAGACAAGCCTGTATGAAATACCTGATCCTCCTGGTGATGAAACCTGTGTTCCTTTAGAATTACCTAAGACAAATTAACAGGTGTGTGTGTGTGTGTGTGTGTGTGTGTGTGTGTGTGCGCGCGCGCGCTAATATTCTGATCGTTTTACAATTTATAATCTGAGTAGTGTAGATGTTAGCATATAGTTAACTAAAATATTGACCAACTGTTAGTAGTAAATACTTCCTTTTTTATTTATTTATTTATTTATTTTTTGAGACAGAGTCTGGCTCTGTCGCCCAGGCTGGAGTGCAGTGGTGCGATCTTGGCTCACTGCAAGCTCCACCTCCTGGGTTCATGCCATTCTCCTGCCTCAGCCTCCCGAGTGGCTGGGACTACAGGCGCGCCCGCCACCATGCCCGGCTAATTTTTTTGTATTTTTTTAGTAGAGACGGGGTTTCACCGTGTTAGCCAGGATGGTCTCAATCTCCTGGCCTCATGATCTGCCCGCCTCAGCCTCCCAAAGTGCTGGGATTACAGGCGTGAGCCACCGCGCCTGGCCAATACCTTCTTGAGCTCTCACTACTTATAAGTCTTTGTACTTGATGCTACCAGGAAAAAAAAAATGGTATGAGACATGGCAACTAACTGTAAATCTGTTTGTAAACATTTGATATGCATGTGAGTCACCTGGGGGGGTCTTCTTGCTAAGCTGCAAGTTCCCATTCAGCAGGCTTCTGGTAAACTGAACAAGTGTATATATCTCTGCTTCCTCCCAAAACTGTAAAATGGAAATAAGGGGCTGGGCGCAGTGGCTCACACCTGTAATCTCAGCACTTTGGGAGGCTGAGGCGGGTGGATCACTTGAGGTCAGGAGTTCAAGACCAGCCTGGCCAACGTGGTGAAACCACGTCTCTACTAAGAAATAAAAAAAAAAAAAAATTGCCAGGCGTGGTGTGGTACGTCTGTAGTTCCAGCTATTCAGGAGGTAGAGGCAGAAGAATCACTTGAACCTGGGAGGCAGAGGTTGCAGTGAACCAAGATCACACCACTGCATACCAGCCTAGGCGACAGAGTGAGACTCTGTCTCAAAAAAACTAATAAAAATTTTAAAATGATGATAAGGAATAAAAACAGTATAAGCCCAGAAACTTCCCAGAGAAATACCAACCAAATCTTGTAAGATGGAAGGCCAGCGTGTGAATTTAGTAGAGCAGAGAACGCTAGAACTGAACTGCCTTCCAGGGTGGGTGGCGCAAAGCTGAAGGTGGGATAGCTGGAGTTTTTGCTGCAGAATCCTGAATTCTGGATTCCAGATTCAGGACTGAACCAGAAACAGGACGTGAAAGGACCTTCCATCAGAGCAAGAAAGGAAAAGGAGAGAGAGAACACCAAAGAATCTAGGAAATAGGGACGAACACAGAACAGAAAGGAAGGGAAGAACCCCCATACCCCAGCCCACACACTGAGGCCCTGAGCACAGTCGGCCTAGATGGAACATGGGGCCACCACTAAAGACCTTACTCATGTAACCAAATGCCACCTGTACCCCAGTAACCTATGAGGATAAAAAAGATGGGGGATGAGGGCCAACGGTCCCAGAAGGGATGGCATCAAGCAAAAATGCTTTTGATCCTATTGAGAGAATAGTTTTTCAGTTTCTCTGACAACTTGTTTTTTTCTGGCCCTATTTGTGGATGAAACAATAATTCACACATAGAAAACTAAGCAAAAGTAAACAGGGAGGCAATATTTAATATAGGAATAAAGCAGAAAGTTATAAGAAAGAAAATATAACCATGGACTATTCCAGGGTTGGCCCTGAATATTTATATAATCATAAGTTTTATCACCAAATCTTGACTTAGTTAAAAGTGTCATATAACTATTTAAGAAGGATTGAGGGGGAGGATTGTGGAGGGACCAGAATAATATAAGAGCTAAACCTCAGAAAACTAATAGGTAATCACTGAATTTGATGTCAGAAGGATTGAGTATCAGTAACTTCATTGGAGAAGAGTTTATACCTGTGTATACCCTGCAGTGCTGAGACTAGCTCAGGTACTTTGTTGGGGGTTTTTGTTTTTTTGTTTTTTAATTTTTATATTTCAATAGGTTTTGGGGGAACAGGTGGTGTTTGGTTACATGAATAAGTTCTTTAGTGGTATTTTCTGAGATTTTGGTACACCCATCACCTGAGCAATATACAGTGTACCCAATGTGTAATCTTTTATCCTTTGCCATCCCCACCCTTTCCCCCAAGTCCCCAAAGTCCAATGTATGATTCTTATGCCTTTGTGTCCTCATAGCTTAGCTCCCACATATGAGTGAGAATATATGATGTTTGGTTTTCCATTCCTGAGTTACTTCACTTAGAATAATAGTTTCCAGTTAAGGCCAGGCGCAGTGGCTCACGCCTGTAATCCCAGCACTTTGGGAGGCCGAGGCAGGCAGATCACAAACTCAGGAGTTCGAGACCAGCCTCGCCAACATGGTGAAACCCCGTCTCTACTAAAAATACAAAAATTAGCCAGGCGTGGTGGCGTGCACCTGTAGTTCCAGCTACTAGGGAGGCTGAGGCAGAAGAATCACTTGAACCCGGGAGGCAGAGGTTGCAGTGAGCTGAGATCGCACCACTGCACTCCAGCCTGGGCGACAGAGAGATTCCCTCTCAAAAAAAAAAAAAAAAAAAGAATAATAGTTTCCAGTTCTATCCAGGTTGCTGCAAATGCCATTATTTTGTTCGTTTTTATGACTGAGTAGTAGTATTCCATGGTGTATATATATACACCTTTTTTTTTTTTTTGAGACAGATTTTCGCTCTTGTTGACCAGGCTGGAGTGCAATGGCGTGATCTCGGCTCACCGCAACCTCTGCCTCCAGCTTCAAGCGATTCTCCTACCTCAGCCTCCCAAGTAGCTGGGACTACAGGCGCCCGCCACCACACCCGGCTTATTTTTTAAGAGAGACAGGGTTTCACCGTGTTAGCCAGGATGGTCTCGATCTCCTGACCTCGTGATCCGCCCACCTTGGCCTCACAAAATGCTGGGATTACAGGCATGAGCCACCGCGCCCAGCTATACCACATTTTCTCTATCCACTTGTTGGTTGATAGGCATTTGGGGTGGTTCCATATTTTTGCAGTTGCGCATTGTGCTTCTATAAACATGAATGTGAAAGTATCTTCTTCATATAATGACTTCTTTTCCCAGTAGTGGGATTGCTGGACCAAATGGCAGTTCTGCTTTTAGTTCTTTAAGGAATCTCCACACTGTTTTCCATAGTGGTTGTATTAGTTTACATTCCCACCAACAGTGTAAAAGTGTTCCCTTTTCAGCACATCCACACCAACATCTATTATTTTTGGATCTTTTGATTATGGCCATTCTTGCAGGAGTGAGGTGGTATCTCATTGTGGTTTTGATTTGCATTGCCCTGATAATTAGTGATGTTGAGTATTTCTCCATATGCTTGTTGGCCATTTGTATATCTTCTTTTGAGAATTGTTCATTCACGTCCTTAGCCCACTTTTTGATGGGATTTTTTTTTTCTCGCTGAGTTCTTATAGATTCTGGATATTAGTCCTCTGTTGGATGTATAGATTGTGAAGATTTTCTCCCACTCTGCGGGTTGTCTGCTAACTGTGCTGATTGTTTCTTTTGCTGTGCAGAAGCTTTTTAAGTTTAAGTCCCATATATCTTTGTTTTTGTTGCATTTGCTTTGGGGTTCTTGGTCATGAAGTCTTTGCCTAAGCCAATGTCTAGAAGGGTTTTTCCAACGTTATCTTCTAAAATCTTTTTGGTTTCAAGCCTTAGATTTAAGTCTTTGGTCCATCTTGAGTTGATTTTTGTATAAGATGAGAGATGAGGATCCAGTTTCATTCTCTACATGTGGCTTGCCAATTATCCCAGTACCATTTGTTGAATAGGGTGTTCTTTTTCTGCTTTAAGTTTTTGTTTGCTTTGTCAAAGATCAGTTGTCTGCAAGTATTTGGTTTTATTTCTTGGTTCTCTATTCTGTTCCATTGGTCTATGTGCCTATTTTTATACCACTACCATGCTGTTTGGGTGACTATGGCCTTACAGTATAGTTTGGAATCAGGTAATAGGTTGCCTCCAGATTTGTTCTTTTTGCTTAGTCTTGCTTAGGCTATGCAGGCTCTTTTTTGATTGCATGTGAATTTTAGGATTTTTTTTTCTAGTTCTGTGAAGAATAATGGTGGTATTTTGATGGGAATTGCATTGAATTTGTAGATTGCTTTTGGCAGTATGGTCATTTTCACAATATCGATTCTACTCATCCATGTAGCTCAGGTACTTTGGAGTGGGGGATATGTCTAAAGGAGTCTAGCTAAGATGAGGCTCCTGTCTTCAGGAAGTGGGCAATCTATTTAGAAAGGCCTGGGTCTGTGGATTATACATATGTTACCTTGTATTGTGAGTAAAGGGCAAAAAAAAAAAAAAAAAGTGATGCTAGAAACAGATTGTAGAAATGTGAAGGGTCAGGTTGGGACATTCTGCCCACAGCTGGGCAGGGTTGGACCTAGTGATGGACCAAGAAATTATCTTGGTTTAGGTAGTTGTGAAAAGCTTGACAGAAGAGAAAGGAATTGAGCTTTGCTTTGAGTGATTAGTAGGGTTTAGGTAAAAAGGAAAAAGAGAGACATGTCATAAGCCACAACCCATTCTGGTTGCCAGTGAGAAAAGTTAACCCTGCTCATTTGTTCAGGATGGGGGCGGTGAGGGCTGGGTTTATTACTTGGCGCTGTCTGTGGCTAACTTGTGACAGGCCTGAGTCATTTTCAGGGTACTCAGGAGTAAATACTGTGATAGGGGTCTCAGAGGCCAGGCCATGCAGATGCATAAGCCTGGTGCCAAGATGTAGTGTGTATCTGTTTCTTTATCAAAATTTTTCTACTTTGGTATTTCATTCAAAACAAGGAGAGAAAAGTCAAATCTTTTTCCTTTTCCCTTTTCTGATGGCTATGACTGAATTTTTTTTTTTCATGAACGATTCTTGTGTTCTTATTTAAAAGAAGAATTTGGCATATGGCAGACCTCCTCAAGCTATCTTTAGTTGGTTGTGGGGTGTAAGTGATTAAGAATGCAGCTGTACTTGCTACCAGCACATGCTTTTAAGGAGATTGCTAAGCAGACAGGCCTGGTTAGAAGTTTAGAATAGCCTCTTGGAAACAAAGATCTAATTTTTCAAGTGCATGGTATACAAGAGTCCCTCCCTTCAGGACTGAAGCACTGAGGGCTGTTTGCATCAGAGCAGGGTGACTTATTTGTTTAAAATGGCAACACCCTTGGCTCTGGGGAGGCGGCCATGCTTCACTTGGAGGAGACAGGGGAAGCTGGCTTCACTTCACTTTGTATAGTTTGGCTTCACTGCTCCTTTGGAATAAAAAAATTCTTTACTTCTCTAGTATGTCCCAGGACAAACCCATCTCTGTCCTGTTGCTCAGTTATACTACAGTGCTGGTTCCGTAGTCTTCAAAGCTTGGAACTCCCTCTTGCCTTTGCTCCAAAAATTTGTTCTTTCACTCAGCAAATATTTACCAAGTTTCTGCTATATGCAGGACCGTGTGGAGAACTCAAAGATGAATCAGACGTGGGGCCTGTCCACAAATGTTGTCAGTCAAGTGTAGGACATAGGGCAAGCACACGGGAGCTTTTGCTGTTGTGTCCAAGAATAGCATGATGCGCCGTAGGTATTTGGTGGGGGAAGGAAATTAGTGGGTGGGTTTCAAGTAAACCCACATGGAGAAGGTGACATTTGAGTTGAGCCTTGAAGGACAGGTTTATCTGTGCAGAGAGGGAAGTTTTAGGCAGAGATATAGCACAAAAGTTAGAAAACAAAACCAAAACAGGTGGAAGAGAGGAAGAGTAATCAACCTTTAACTGCGTTGCCATGCCCTTGACTGAGGCCTCACCCACATTATCCCATCTAATCCTCCTCATAAGAAAACTTTTTTCCTCATAAGAAAACTAAGGCCTGCAGCATTAAAATAACTTGCCCGAGAAGGCTCATAAGTGGTTAGAGTGGAGATTTGAACCCAAGACAGTTCAATTCCAGATTTGAACTGAGCAGGCTTTAGCCAGAGCAAAAGATATTTGAAGAGAAAAAGGAGTAATTTGAAGAGATAAAGTTTAGGAAAAAAAAGTGACTTGAGGCAGATGGAAAAAAGGACCCTGAGTCCTGAGCTAATTACTCTGTAAGCAGCAGGGAGCAATTGAAGGTTTTTAATGGAGTGTGACGTGGCCACAGCAGGACTTCCAGCAGTAACTGCAAAAATATTTGATATTTGAGTTCATTACTGTGTGCTGGACACTATCCCAGGTGCCCGATACCCCTAACCTGTTTTAATTCTCATAACTGCCCTATGAGATAGGTGCTGTTGATGCCCACTTCTACCCATAAGGAAACCGAGTACACATTTAGAGACCTTAAATGACTTTTTAGAAGTGGATCGAATATGATGTGCAAGATGAATTGAGGTCAGAGGCAGAGGTAAGTCAAGACACTACAGGAAGCCATGAGAGACAGGTGATGCGGGGTGTGGTAGAAAGGAATGGATGAGTGTGAGGGAGTTGGGGTTCAGCTGAATGGATGAGTGTGAGGGAGGTGGGGTTCAGTTGGGGCAGAGGCTTCTAACTTCCACTGCGTAGGGTACTGCCGTGGTGAGAACCCTGGAGAGAAGGGGAAGGGGGAAAGTCCTCTTCTTTTTCAACCCCACACACAGACTTGAAGGTCAGGTTGGGACACTCTGCCCATTCAGCTGGGGCTGAAGACAGGTATCAGGGCTGGACCTAGTGATAGACAAAATCCGTGGAGGGTTAACGTTGGTAAGGGAAGAGTGTGTGGAGGCCAGGAGCCGGGGCCACGGAGCGAGAAGTGCTGGAGATCGTGGAACACTTAGATCCGAGGCCCAGTGGAATGACAGGGGTCAGGCAGGGACACGGGGATGAACAGTCAGTGGGCTGGATACCTCGGGCGGAGTTACCTTGGGTGATGGAGAGGTACACCCAAGGTTACTGGGGATGGCAAATCCTGGCCACCGGATATCTCTTGTACCCTTGCTACTAGAATCAACCCCAACCCACAGCAGTCTTCTATTTTCCTCGGTCAGAAAATAGATAAAAATCACTACAATTAGCATACATTTGCCTAAGAAAAAGACAGAAGTAGCATAATGTGAAAATGCAGTTGTTGTTGTTTTATTTTCTCTTCATATAAAAATGAAAAAGCCTTTTAGCCAGCACTTGAATATCTAGTCCTTTGCATTCAACCCTCCCTGCGCCTCACTGTGATCGGAAGCGGACTTCAGTGTCCCGGGAAATAGAAATAGTAAGCAAAACCCCTCATGGCTCCTAGCAATCTTCGTACCGTAGCAGAAAAGCAAGGAGGCCTGGGACTGAGGTGCACACACAGGGGACAAAGCCCTGTCCTGATGGGTGTTTGTAAGCACCAGGGAGGGGGCAGGGCACGTGTTTGTTCTTCTCTAAGTTCCAGTGGTCCGATGAATGTTGGATCTAGCGTCTGTGAAACCTGTTGTCATAAAGTATGTGTTCCTCAGTTAGATTTGACCCAGAGGCCTTTCTCATTCTCAGTTTTTGTGTTCATTGAGGCTGCTTTTAAATGGAAGGTCCATTAAGCCCTTGTTCCTGTCCATTCACAGCTGCCTCTATCCGAGTGGTCTGTGCAGGGCGCCAGCAGCCACCCTGATGGAGGGCAGGTCTCTAAAAGCAGCATCCTTTGCCAGGCACCTGAGAATTTTAAAGTGAGGATGCATCTGTGGCATCATCTTCCTAAACCAAATGATGTGTAATTGCATAGTTGTTGAACTGTGTGGTTGGTCTATTTCTAGCAGAGTAGCTACCTGAGAGGAAATGAGAATTTAAATTGTTTGCTGGACTTTAAAAAATTTACATATGAGGGAGACATCTCATCCAGAGATGCACTGGGCACAGGGAAAGCTTTTTTTTTCAAGTAGCAGCTGCTATTCATTGAAATGTTACAATTTTCCTGCCTTAGTATTTCACACGTCCTTATACTCCTCATAACATTTTTTGCTTGTGTAGTTTTAGCCCCATTTCAGAAATGAGGAACCCAGGTTCAGAAGGTTTAGAAGCTTGCTCAAGACCCCCCAGCTATTAGGTGCCAGAGCTGCAACTGGAATGCAGCTTTGACTCCATTGTGGGTTTCTGTTCCATTATCAAGAGTAGCCTGACAGTTGGCAATAACAATGACTGAATGAATGAATAAATGAATTCTCCAAAGAAAATAGTTCATGTTTCCCTAGTATGAGGGAATACTTGAGATAGTTGTTTTGAGAAGGGGGCCACAGACCAGGAGACACCAATAAGTCTTTCTCATTTCTGGTAAATCGCTTTATAATGACCGTTATTATAAAGTGTAAAAACAACAACAACAAAAAATAATAGGCGCAGTGGTTCACACCTATAATCCTAGCACTTTGGGAGGCAGAGGCGGGCGGATCATTTGAGGTCAGGAGTTCGAGACCAGCCTGGCCAACATGATGAAACCCTGTCTCTACTAAAAACACAAAAATTAGCCGGGCGGTAGTGGCACGTGCCTGTGTAGTCACAGCTACTCGGGAGGCTGAGGCAGGAGAATCACTTGAACCCGGGAGGTGAAGGTTGCAGTGAGCCGAGATTGTGCCACTGCACTCCAGCCTGGGAGACAGAGCCAGACTCCATCTCAAAAAAAAGAAAAAAAAAAAAAAGCCTTATGATTAATCACTAAACAGGTATTGCATAAAATAGCAATTTTCAGCTCTGGATTTTGGGGAAGGGAGTAGAGGCTGGAAATGTAGGTGGAGAGTCAGGCTGGGGAGAGATGCCACATTCGCAACATTGGGTTTTTTACAATAGTACTGCATCTATCTCTGTGCAGGAGTCTAAAAGTGGTTGGAAGCTACATTTAGGATTATTTAAAATAACATACTGCCTTATTTTTATCTCTGTAGCAACAACTTTTTGTAAGAAAAATAGCTAGTTCCATGATCTTTTGCCTTTTGAAAAGGAGAGATCTATTTTAAACTCTTTGCAGGCTCCTCGAAGTTCCTTTTCTTGCTGTTGAGTAGCAGGTAGAATCTCTAGTTCATGGAGGTCTGACGGATCCATGGTCCCGTGCTGGTCCATGTGCTGCCCTCTGCTTCCGTCCCTCATCCTTGCCACTCTCAACAGTCTTCCCCGACAACCCTTAGGAAGACAAGGGCTTGGAGGAGGGGGAGGACTGAGTGTCCCTGGCATGTTCTGATTAATCCTATTCATTGTCAAGTACAGCTTTTTAATGAACTGATTCATTACTGAGAGTAGGTCTCATGCAAATCCCTAGTTTGTATCCTGTGGATTTAATTTCTAACAATTTCCTCATTTCAACACAACTCCATTGTACCATGGGCTTTGTGATTTTGTTCTAATATAGAGCTTGACCTCACATTTTAAGACTATAAGATGAATACTAAAAAAACGAAATCCTTAAAATAAAAAATAAACTAGAAGAACATGTAGGTGGATATTCAACTCCTCTCTAAAGGAAGAAGGGTTGTCCACACATAAAAGTTTTGGAAGAGACTGGGTTTAGTGGCTCACGCCTGTAATCTTAGCACTTTGGGAGGCTGAGGTAGGAGGATCACTTGAGCCCAAGAGTTCGAGACCAGCCTGGGCAACATAATGATACCCTGTCTCTACAAAAATTAAAATTAGCCAGGCATGGTAATGCACACCTGTTGTCACCTGTGGTTGGGAGGCTGAGTGGGAGGATCGCTTGAGCCCAGAAGGTTGAGGCTTCAGGGAGCCATGATTGCACCACTGCACTCCAGTGTAGGTGACAGAGCAAGACCCTGTCTCCAAAAAAAAAAAAAAAAAAAAAGAAATTCTGGAAGAAATGACAGAGGAAATCACTGATAAATTTCGAAACATAAGTTTGTGCAATATCAGAGACAAATTTAACAAATATGTAAAATTTGCCTCCATTATGAGTTAATATAAAACTATGAAGAGTTCAGGAGATTATAAAAAGAGACAAAGACAACCAGGAGAAAACAGATAACTTAATACTTTTTAAAAAAACACCAGGCTAACAAAAAAGAAATATATAGTTGACTAAATAAATATAGCACAATATATTTAACCCTACAAATTTCAACTAATGCAATGAAAACATAATAGCAGCTTTTCAACTGTTATTATTACCAGAAAGAAAAATATTTTAAAATGCTATTGTGGTTTTGGTGAGGGAACATTTTTCATGCCCTGTTGTTTGAGAGTAGAATTCAGTGCACCCTTTCTGGAAAGCAGTTTGGTAACCTGTAATACTTCTTTTAAAAAAAAATTCATCCTCTTGTCTAAAAATTTCTCCTCTAGAAACTTAAAGATAATAGTCAAGTGAAAACACATTTATGGGCAGTGTTTAAAGTTTTGTGAGTGAAACTGTTGATAAGAACCTATTACAATGGTTAAGCCACCTGGAACATTCTATTGATATATTATGCAGCCTTGGAAAATAGTACTTTTAAGGAATGTTAATAAGATGGGCAATACAAAACTGAATGAAAATCCAATACAGAATTCTGCCTACATAACATGATCCAAATTTTGCCTAAAGTTTGCCTAAAACGTGCATAGCAAAAGAATTTCGGGAACTACACCAGAATGTTAGCATGGGTCCATCATTTCTGAGCTGTGGTGTTACTGGCATGACTCTTGTTTTTCTTGTTTATTCTTTTATGTTATATTAAGGTGACCACCTGTTCCCGTTGGCCTGGTACTGCCCTGGTTTTAGCACTGGAAGTCCTACTCTGGACAATTAATGATTCGTGTGTGTGTGTGTGTGTGTGTGTGTGTGTGTGTACACATTAAGGTGAGGTTGTGCCCATTTGAAAGGAAGGGCCAAAGATAAAGTGACAAGCTCATGGGGCCTGTGTGGTAGTCAGGCAGTAGATTTTTTTTTTTTTTTTTGAGATGGAGTCTCGCTCTGTCACCCAGGCTGGAGTGCAGTGGCATGAACCTGGCTCACTGCAGCCTCTGCCTCCCAGGCTCAAGCGATTCTCCCACCTCACCTGCCCAAGTAGCTGGGACTACAGGCATGCACCCCCACACCCAGCTAATTTTATTTTGCATTTTTTGTAGAGACGGGGTTTTACATGTTGCCTAGGCTGGTCTCAAACTCCTGAGCTCAAGTGATCCACTACCTTGGCCTCCCAAAGTGCTGGGATTACAGGCATGAGCCACTGTGCTTGGCCCAGGGAGTAGATTTTCTGATGATAAAATTAAC
Organism: Homo sapiens; assembly: GCF_000001405.40. Classification (NCBI taxonomy): domain Eukaryota; kingdom Metazoa; phylum Chordata; class Mammalia; order Primates; family Hominidae; genus Homo; species Homo sapiens. The sequence goes on along the minus strand of NC_000002.12, from coordinate 65,390,771 downwards.
GTGACTTGTTCTAGAAAATACAGGGAAAGAGTAAATGTGCAAAGACTTAAATAGCATTTACATGTAGCCCACAGTGCTCTAAATGCTTTTGGTGGTTCACAGTTTAATCATCATAACCCTATGAACTAGATACTGTTGTTGCATCCCCATTTACAGAGGCATAGAGACATGGAGTAATTCACCCATAGCCACACAGCCCTTGACAGAATCTGGATTTGAACTCAGGCAGTTCGGATCCAGAGTCTGGGCCATTGACCACCTCCTGCATCTCTGTAGATCCCCGACTCCAGCCTCTCCTCTTGCTGCCTCTCTCAACAGTAACGATGCTGTTACTCCCCACGCCAAACCTCTGGGCTGGCCAGGCTCACTCCAGTCCCACAGTCATTGCCAGGACTGCCTTTGACCTTACACAGAGGAAACATCTTCCACCTGTCGGGAGGGAGCCGGGGCGGGGATTTCCATGGCAGAGTTACTGTTCTCTGGTGATAGAGTTCTTTCAGTTTTGCTACATGGTCTTGTGGCAAAGGACTGGGTGCAGGTGCAGCCTTGGTTATTTCTGGAAACACTTCTCCTTTTCTTTTATTTTGCCAGGTCTGGCTCATCAGTCACCTTCCTCTCAGAAAGGTGATTTTGGCTCCTCTGCCCAGACCATCAAACATTTCTGGAGGTGTCACAAGCTTCCGTGAGGGTTCTGGTCTCTGCGAATTGCAGGAAGAATCCAAACATAGGAAAGGGGTGATGTGTATCAGGGTGTCCATCCTCAGCTTTGCTCCACAAAGACCCTCACACTTGCACATTGTTTTGTTAACAGTATTATCTCTGAGTAGTGGGTTTATTGTTTTTGCTTACCTGTTTTAAACACTTCTTCAACAAACTTGCTTTACTTTCCATTTTTTAAAAGTGTATTTCAATTTTTTATTAATAATGCCATTTTACTCCTGCAAAATTTCTCACTCCTTCAAAGTCTGTGTATGGCAAAGATCTTCCTAACCATCATTCAAGTTAGAGCAACTCCATTTCTGTATCAAAAAGAAATACCTTTAGTTATTGTCTGAACTTGTCAGAATTTCTGAGAACGATGCCAGAAATTCTATAATTGTTTTGTCACATTAATTGAACAATGAGAGGGCACCAGCATTCCTCACTCATGAGGTAGAAGCACCACATCTACATTTCTTTTTAGCTATGGGTGATGTTTTTGCTTTTAAATCTTAGAAATCTGTTAATAAACAAATAACACAACAAAGTTTGGGGTACTTCCTTGTGGGGACTGGGATGCTTAAGCTAAAACAAAGTTTAAATTTGGACTGTGTGTGTTATGTTTCGCAGAATCTATATGTTTCTCAAAAGTGGGTGTCACCCTCCTTCCTCCCCCAACACACCCTTCAGGGGTAAGAGGAGAAGTAATGTAGAAAAATTAACTGTTTCTCCACTGTAAAAGTAGGGTGTCTTTAGAATGTTTCATGTTCAAAGGAAAGATTGTGCTTCTCCCAAGGCAAGGTGTTCCCTTAAAAAAAAAAAAAAAAAAGGTTGAGCATGTCTTTGTATTGCTGTCTCTGGAAGAGGAAATGAGGCATCTCTTGGGGTGAGAACAAGGGAGAATTGAACTCTCGGGCCTGGCCAGATGGATTCCTCACACTGGCACAGAGCTGTGAAGGGAAGGGCCTTTCATCCTCCAGAGGAAAGAGGGCTGGGGTCTCAGAGGCCAGAGCATAGGGACAGGCAGGAGTCCTGCAGCCCTGATGCCTGCCCCTCCCAGTACAGAATCTCTGTCCTGACCCCCACCTGTTGAACCTTTCAAATCCCAGTGACTCGCCAGCTTTCTCTGTGGATATTGGCTGAATTGGTGGCTTGTGTGGCTGCCTGGGAGAGCAATTTACCCCTGAGCCAAGGAGGGGGTGGGCTACAGTGAGATGGAGAAAGACCATTTTAATTAAAGAATAGGGCCTTTATAATATGAAACCACATGCTCAGGGTTTGGGTTTTGCTTTGGGTACCTAGGAAACATCCGTGAACACAACAGTAGTGTTTTTAGTTGGGGTGTGTGTGTGTGTGGTGTGCCTGTTTTGGGGAAAAATTGCTTTTCACCACCCCCCTCCTGCTTTTGGTCCTTTGTCTGCCCTGGAAGAATCACTGGAGGGGACTGAGGGACTTCCTGCCTAATTGATAACAGCCCCTAAGAGCACATGGTAAACCCTGCAGTAGGAGACCAGGACATCTCCCAGCCACCCTCACTGTACTCACTATACTCTTATGGGCTCAAGAAGTCACTGAAAATGGAGCCGTAAGCCCATGGGCCTTGGCTAATTTTTCAAGGCCCAGGATCAAGTAGGAGCAGGTACTTTAGCTGGGAGCCAGGCACTGGGCAGGCAGGGCGGCCCTGCCCACATGCCGCCTAGGGCTGGCATGACCTCACCGTCATTTGTTGGGCACTGATAATGTCTTTGGCCCGGCCCCTAATAGGAGACACGCGATCTCTACCTTGAGGGCTCATATTCAGAGTTTCATAAGCACTGGATTCACTCAGGTTGAACTTTCTTTTCCCCATACACGCTTTATTAAAATAAGTGAACACAGCATGTGGGTGAGGCGCTGGCCCAGCTCTGTGCGGCTGTGTGATGTGCTGAAGCTGAAGACGCGAGCTGCATGGCTGCATCGTGGTGGTTTTTAGAAATTCGTTCTCCGCTGGGCGTGGTGGCTCATGCCTGTAATCCCAGCACTTTGGGAGGCCGAGGCAGATCACTTGAGGTCAGGAGTTCGAGACCAACCTGGCCAACATGGTGAAACCCTGTCTCTACTGAAAATACAAAAATTAGCCAGACATGGTGGTGCACATGTGTAATCCCAGCTACTTGGGAGGCGGAGGCAGGAGAATCGCTTGAATGTGGGAGGCGGAGAATGCAGTGAACTGAGATCATGCCACTGCACTCCAGCCTGGGCAACAGAGCCAAACTCTCAAAAAAAAAAAGAAAAAGAAAAGAATTTGCTTTCCCTAGGTTTTCAGTGTGTATACATTTCCTTTCATATACATGTATATATATTATATGTTTATGGTAAATCGGCATTTTTAGTTTCATAGTCTTTAGATCTAAATTGGAAATGCATTTATATATTTAAATTTTTAAATTTGTTTTAACCAAACTCTATAGTATCTTCACTCTGGAGTTAGTATGCACACAAATACCTAACCTTTCCAATGTAGGCCCTAGTTACTTCCAAAATAATTTAGAAGTGTTTACAGATATGTTTTGACGATTTTGCTATGATTTTTCATTTATTGGTATCAGAATTGAATATATTTAGCTGTTGCTCTCTGCTAAGTAAACTGAGACCTAGGTGTGCTTACCATTGTTTTCTGTGAAAACCAGCTGATCCGTGTTACAAATGACTGTTTTAGCTATGGAAACAAGACACCTCTGTGAATATGATTCCTTGTGTGGTGGGCATCACTAGAGAGCAATGACTGTATTCCCTAAAGAGAAAGTGCGAGAGCGGCAGTACAGACCAAGGCAGAGGTGGCTGAGGAGATTGTTCCGGTCAGCAATGTAGAATTCCTGCCCCTGTGTTCTGTGACCCCAACAGAGGGAGCCAGCACCCACTGTGCACCTCCCACACAGCCCACACTGCACAAGGCATTTAGACAGTGCCTTAAATTCACTCCATCAATACTGTGAGAGCCCCACTGGCTTCCCCTTTGGGGTTTTAGACATTTAGGGTATTCACTGAATACTTTACGTTGAAGTGTTTTTCTATAACATTAGAACCAGGTTCAACTTAAAAAAAAAAAAAAAGCTCTTAGCCATATGTAGAAAACTGTTCATCCGTGTGAGTTCTAGGTGAAGTATGGTGGGAAAGCTGGGTCTCTAAAGCAGACATTCTTATTTTTTGTTTTGTTGTTTTTTTAAATTATACTTTAAGTTTTAGGGTACATGTGCACAACGTGCAGGTTTGTTACAAAAGTAGACGTTATTTTTAAAAGATGCTTTTATGCCCAAGACTTCTGAAACACAGAGTGCTCTGAATATACAGAATGACAGCTGAAGAGCCCAAACCTGAAATTTCCTTCCTTATATAGATAGTCCGAGCTTTACTTGATCTCTCTTCCTCTATAAAAATGGAAGCCATACTGTAAGGATGAAGATGATGTATATTTGTCAAATTCATGATTGCATTATGAGCTTACTAAGTTTGCAGCACTGTTCTGGGTGTTGCATAATCAGAAGTGACCTTACATTCTTAAGGGGGAGATACACAATATGCATAGAAGCATGTAAACAAAAAGAGTACAGATGGTACCAATGCCATGAGAGGTACGATAGAGAGGACGTGACCTGGCCCTTACCTAGTGAATACTTGTCTCCATAATTGTTAGCTGCTGCTACTACTATTGTGGTTGCTGAATGCCCTGCTGGGGTAAGAAGGTCCCTTGATTAAATCTAGTGAAGACCTTCTGATACCAGTGCTTTCTTTTTTTTTTTTTTTTTTTGAGACAGAGTCTCACTCTTGTCGCCCAGGCTGGAGTGCAATGGCGCGATCTCGGCTCCCTGCAACCTCCATCTCCCGGGTTCAAGCGATTCTCCTGCCTCAGCCTCCCGAGTAGCTAGGATTATAGGCACCCGCTACCACGCCCAGCTAATTTTTGTATCTTTAGTAGAGATGAGGTTTCACCCTGTTGGCCAGGCTGGTCTCAAACTCCTGACCTCAGGCGATCCTCCCGCCCCCGCTTCCCAAAGTGCTGGGATTACAGGCGTGAGCCACCGCACCCGACCAGTCCTGTGCTTTCTGATACAATATCATCCCCCTTCTTTGCCTCACCATCTCCCATGGGCATGATCAGTTAACAATTGCTGGAAAAATCAACTTTACCTGAACATTTAGGAAGCTATTTGGGATGTCCAGTGTTTTTCTTCCTCTTGAAAAACACTAACGCAGGTCTGCATTTATTAGGGGAGTGGGGATCATCATCTGTCTCTTCTGCCGCTTTGCTCTAAAGGAACTCAAGAGCCCATAAGCATTTTCCCTGAAAAGGTCATCATTTCCAAAGAAATGAGAGCTCATTTAAAGTTTCTAGGTATGAAAATCCTAGGTTCTTGCCCTTCTCCTTCCACTTCTTGGTGGCAGTGGGTAGGGAATCAAACATCAGATGACCTTCTTCCTCTCTGGTTTCTCCCCACCGCTGTATCAGACCAGGAAGGTGAAAGAGGGTCATGCTGACTCTCCTAACTCCCATCCCTCTGCCACGCCTCCCCTCCACTGCAGCACTGGCATGGTTACCTGTGAAGCAACTGCCAAAGACAACATGGGCAGCCTTTGTGTCTGGGTAGCCCAGTTCACAATGGCGGTTAATGGAAGTTCCTGTTCAGACGCCCTCCAACTCCCCAGAGGGCGTGGGCATCTCCTCTTATGTAAAGGGGAAATCTTAGGAAATTTTTAATTTTTCCTTTAATCAGTCAGCAAGGTCATAAGAGGCTTTGTAAGTATTCATTAGAAGTGGAAAGCAGGCCGGGCGTGGTGGCTCACACCTGCAATGACAGCATTTTGGGAGGCCAAGGCAGGCGGATCACCTGAGGTCAGGAGTTTGAGACCAGCCTGGCAAACATGGTGAAACCCCATCTCTACTAAAAATACAAAAATTAGCCAGGTGTGGTGGTGCGCCTGTAGTCCCAGCTACTCAGGGAGGCTGAGACAGGAGAATTGCTTGAACCTGGGAGGCAGAGGTTGCAGTGAGCCGAGATGGCGCCACTGCACTCCAGCCTGGGTGACAGAGCAAGAGTCCGTCTCAAAAAAAAAAAAAAAGAAGAAGTGGAAAGCAAAATTTCTAGTGAACATACCATAGAAATTTATAGCAGATCTACTGTGTGTCAAGTTTTGTTCTGAACAGGTGGAGAGGAGGGCACAGAAATGAACAGGCAATGAACAAGGAGCCTGGAACTCTTGGTGAATCGAGGTGTGCATGAGAGACAGGCAAATGAATAAGCATACTGTAAATCAAGGCCAGAGAGTGCCTCTGAATGGGGACCTGACAGGGTGGAAACCGATCTTCTTGTCTTGAAGTCTTCCTTGAGGGAAAGGATGAGTTTCACTGGAGTGAGGAAGAGGTAAGGAGGGCTTTTCTCCGTGGGGGTAGCATCTGCCTTCTGGGGTCGGTCTAAGGGAGGTGTGGGGAAGGGGCTGGCCTCACGGGCCTGCACCCTATGCTACCACACCGGCTTGCTCTCAGAAGGGCCCCACACTTGGTTTAATGCTCTGCTGTTGCTGCCTTGAAATTCTTACTAAGTTTTGAACTAATTATTATTTAGTTAATAAATAACAAATTATTTTCATTTTGTACCAGGCCCTGCAAATCATGCAGCTGGTCCTGCCTATGGAGATGGGACTGTAAAAGTAGATTTGGCTGGATTGTGAAGAGCTTTGCCCGTCAAGCTTGGGAACATCTGACTTTATTCCATAAGCAGTAGGGAGCCATGGAAAGTATGCTGACAGGGTTGGGAGAAAGGGGCACTGGAGGCTGTGAGACCAGGGAGGCCAGCAGTCCACCGAGGGAGGCTGATAACACCACGCTGGGATAGACACCGAGAGCTGCAGTTCCCACACCTGGTGGAGATAGGCCGGCTCTGGGCACTGGGAAGGAGGCCGAGAGCGGCCGTTGCAGGTGGCTGAGGCTTCTAGCTGAGCAGATCCTGCACATCAAGAATGCAGGAGAAAGAAGTCCCTCAGCCAGTGGCAGCGAGGCAGATGTTTTGCAGGAGTGGGGCAAGGCTCTTTCCAGAAAGACCCGGAAATCTCTGGTGGGACAGCTTGTAGAAACATGCACTGCAGCTGCTCAGCTACAGCAAATGACCTGCAGATCAAGGTTTTTGTCAGTATCGAGAGCTTCACTAGAACAAATATTCATCCAAAAATAAACTTCCCGTTCTTCCTGTTTTTATAACTTGCCTATTTCCTCTGAGTTTGAGGCTGGGCTCCAGTTCCATGGGTTATTAATCTTCAGAGGATCAAGACCTCTATAGAAGTATTTCCTGTACATGTTTATCTACCCAGCCCTAAATTATATTCTCCAAATGATAAGAGAACTTTTCCATACTCGTGTGTCAGACTTCTCCTTAGGGAGATTTCGATTAGGCACCACAGCAAGTAGGGCCAAACCAGAAAGCCTTATCTCAGAACATAGGGAACCCACGTAACGGTGGGGAGCGGCCTTTGGTGGGTTTTGATGGGCACTCAGCCTCCCTCCTCCATGTGAAAGGTAGCTTCTTTCTGGCCAGAGTTCTAAGGACATAAAGTAATAGCTGAAGAGGGCCCTATCTGAGGATATTTTAAATTCCCTGTTGAATACCACAGGGGATATTAGCTAAAGAAATTCTGCTCCTTTGAAGAGCTCAAAATACCCCTCATTGGACCATCACTTGTTCTTACAGCATCTTCCAACTAGAAACAGGGCCCCGGCCTCACAGACAAGGGAACTAGAGTGAACTTGGTGCTCATGACAGCACAGAGCAAGAGGGAAAAGCTCTGTTGAAGCTTGGGCCGAGTTCAGACCTGATAGACAAGTATGGTTAAGCAGGCGTGGGCGCTTTACTCATCGGCCCGGTCCACCTGCCTCTGGAGCCCTTCCTTGCTCTCCTACTTTTTGTGCTTACAGACGCCAAGCTAGCATGCCGGTGGTATTTTTAAAACGTAAGCCTTCTTGTATGACTCTTGCAGAGAGGCGGTGGTGACCGGGCTGCGTGGGTGGCGGCTTGTGCCGCAGCGGAACTTGGAGAAAGGCCAGCTGCCTTTTACTGAGGCCTTCCGAGGTGGGGCTGGGATGCCACATTTTTCAAACACACCACCGCAAGGCAGCACCCCTCCCCCTTAGAGATCCAGGTGACTCCACTGAGAATTACTGCGCCACACCGTGGCTTCTAGACCCACACTGTCAAGTATGTAGTCCTTGCCACCTGGGCTGTTGAACCTGGAAATGAGGCTTGTACGAACTGACTAAAAGTGCAAAATACACATTGGATTTTGAAGCCTTATTACAAAAAGAAAAAAAAGAATGTGAAGTATCTCATTAATGATTATTTTATTTTGGTTACTGTGGAAACAAATATTTTAGATATCTTGGTTTGTGTCAACTATGTTATAATTAATGACACCTGCTTTTTAATTACTCTTTAAATGTGACTACTAGAAAATTTTAAACTGTGTATGTGGCTCAGTTTCCATTTCTATGGGACAGTACCGCTAGTCTGTGCTGTGAGTTCAGCTGCCAGTTGTGGCTTTGAAACCAGTACATTCCCAGAGGCTCCTCTCCTTAGTGGTCTGGCTGAGGGGGGGTTACCCAGCCCTAACCCTAGACTGCCTAGGGTAGTGTGTGGGACAGCCTGCTTCCAGGCAAAAAGTTAATAATTTAATAAGCAGCAGCAAGAATTTCTAAAAATCCTTTCCAAAGCACCCCCCCTGGCTTTTTTTTCTTCTTCTTCTTCGTAGCCTTCTTCCTGGACCAGCCTTCTTCCTGGAAATCTTTTTTTAAATGCAGAACTCTTCCCTTCTGTCCCACATGGGACCTGTGGAGGTGATGGTGTCCAGAGGGGCTATTGTTTTATTTTATTTTCTTGTTTAAATTGTTCTTTTGCCCACAGGTCAGGCTGCTCCAGTAGCTGCCTTTTAACCCTTCCTCTGCAGGACCATCTCAGAAACCACCCAGCAAAGACTGGGAAGCCACTCTTTTAGACCAGTTCCCCCTCCCTTCTCCCTTTGGAGTGGTTACTCAAGCGCAGACATATATTGGGAAAACACAAGGTGGATGTGAAACCAAGGAAACTCCTGCTTTGAGAAGTACAGAAGTGCAGACCCACAACCAACCTCCTAATGTCAAGCTGGCATTTTAGGAAAAAGGTGTGTGTGGTGGGGGGAATTCCACTGGTGTCTGAAAGCCCCCAAGTAATTCCCTGTTGCAAGGAGGAGTCTCATGTTGACTTCAGAGGTCCAGGCAGAACCTGTTGAATTGCACAGTTCCCATTTGCTAGAGGATATTACACGGTGAGATCTCTCTGCTCAGGGACCGGGGCTGAGGGCTTCTGTCATCAGCCAGTGGAGCGGCCCTGCACCGAGGCACCTCCCTGCTTTTGCCACATTTTGCCCACCCTGCTGTCTGTCATGTACTGAACCTTTGCTGGAATAATTGCCATAGGTGTCAACATGTATTAAGGGCTTGCTGTATGAAGGTACTATGCAAAGTGCCTTTTGCTATGTGCAGCTAACTAGCATAACAAACCCCAAGATGCCCCAGAGGAGATACTCTTGTTTCCCTGTTTTGCAGATAGAGAAACTGCAGGTTAGAGAGATGAAATAAGTTGACCAAGCTAGAAATTGGTGGGCAGGGAACACAACTTGGGCCATGCTGCTTTAGAGCTGCCGAGTGTTTAACTGTTAAGGTGTCATTCTGCACTGCCTAGACCAGCCCATGTATGTTACCGTTCCATTCTGCATGAGCATTTGTCTATTATCAAGACATCTGCTGGTGCAGGCTGGGACACAACACCAAGGGAGGGTTAAATTCTGGGTTGCCAAACCAGCTGAGCTACGAGTTGAGGAGCACTGAGCGCCTCTGAGCTTTGCTGGGCTAACTTGGTGAGGTTTGGAAATGAGCAAAGGGGTAAGAAAGAGCCATGTGTCTGGAGTCAGGCTGCCTATTTGGTTTGACCTCTCAATGGCTTCATAGGTTGGGCTACTCCTTCTCTGGGCAGCAGTTTCCCCAGTTCTAAAATGGGGATCCTAAGAGCGCCTTCCTCAGAGAACTGCAATGAGAATTAAAGAGGACACATAAAGGCAAAGTGTACTTGGCATGTCAATGTCATTAATATCATTAATGCCATTTAATGCTCTTTGATGGAGCATAATCTATATAACATGTAATAGAAGATATAATCGTGGCTTGAATTTTTTGTTGTTTTAAGGCAAACACTTCAGAGCATGTACCTTTGCATCTGAACACATACGTCTGTATTTGAATGTTATATCTTTCAAAGCCATGACCTCACCTCAGGAGACTCCTCTCTCAACTTGATCTCACAGCCATTTACTGGAAACATTTTCAGAAGCCTTTGTGGAACTCTTTTCAGAAGAAAAAAAGAGAGAAAGTGGGGGCCATACTTGGCACTAGTAAGTATTTATCTTGTAAAGGTAGATTTTTAAGTTTATTAGAGCTAAGTTTGGTAAATAAGTCCAGAACAAGCTTTGAGCCACTGAAATTTTAAAAATGGTGTTTAACTAACAGTAAGGATGGAATTTTTTTTAATGGCTGACTCATTCATGATTGACTAGCCTCGAAGGCAGTTCCATAAGAAAGGTTCCAGACAGCTTTTGACTTCTGACAGCGTCTCTGGAACGCCAGTAGAGTCTCCTGGGGCAAAAGCTTTAATGACAGGGGTTTGGGGATGAGTACGCAGCCTTGACTAAGATCTATAAGGTTGAGTCTAGAGAGAAAAAATTAGTCTTATTTACACCTACGGTATTAAGTGATACTGGCACCTGAGTCGACCTTGTCTTTGGGGCTTGCATAGCTACAAATGGGACCAGTAACAGAGAAGGTTCTCTGCATCCAAGGAGTAGAGTCCAAAACGTGACTTTTGACTTAGGTTGACTTGCACACCAGGTTTCTCTATACCTTATGATATACAGAATTCAAACCTGAATATGTGAGTGCAGGTCAAGGGAAGGACCCTCAGGTTGGTATCCTCAGCAAGGACTTTAGAGTTGGGTGTGTAAGAAGCACTCAACCTCCTTGTATAGTGCCACGGACAGAGCAGCCAGGGCAGCTGGAAAGCAACACCCAGCTGGGGTGGGTGGAGGAAGAATGCATGTCCCCATGGAACACGATAAAGCAAAGTTCAAGGCTCATGATGACTAATAGGTTCATCTAGGAGGATGTGTGACCAAGCAACCTTTGTATTATTTCCTACAGGTGGAAATGAGAGGTGCCATGTTCATTCTATCCTAAAGTATCTCTTAGAGGACTTTGCTGTGGAGAAAGTGTAGTGCCTTGGAGTTTGGCTGGGTCAGATTCCAGCCCTGCTCTCTATTGCAGTGTCGACTCAAGCATAGTAACTAAGGTTTCATGAGCCTCATTACGCTCATCTATAAAATGGAAACATGATTACACTTCAGGGTTGTCATAGGAGGGAAGGTCATAGGAGTTACACAGATGAGGGGACTCAACAGAGCAAGTGTTCCACCTCTCCCAGGCTCTGAGAATGACACCAGAATCTATCTTTTTGCCACAAGAAAGTAGGCAGAGGCTCATCGTTGCTCGTCAGAGTATGCCACCTGCCACAGGAAAATGGCCCCAGTCTCTTTGTGAGGAGAGGCTTGCCCTCCTAAGAGAATTCTCCTTCCTCTTTGCTTGAATAAGACCAGCTGTTAGGGCCCCAGTACTCAGCAGCTATGACAAATTTCACTGCTTAAGACCCCTCAGCCTCTTAAAACAGGAGTTTTTCTGTAGCTAACATAAGCTGCTCTCAGCAAGATGCACATTAGCACTTAATGCTCAGGTGGGTGAGGGGGAACACTCAATGGAACACTTGGTGTATCCACTGCAATCCTGATATTGGTAAAAAGTCACTTCTCATCTGGCTTTAAAGTAGGTCCAGCTTCTCATTTTAACCTGTTTGCCAAGTCCCTAGTTTTTACTATAGCTCTCGTGTCATCTTTGATTGCACCGGTAATGTAGGGATGCTCAGCCTGGACCCCAGACTTGGAGGCCCTAGAGAGACAGATAATCAGGCCAAGGGGGTCCCAGGAAAGGCTTGAGCAGAGAGCATCCAGCTGCCCCTGTCCTTTCTCATTCGCTTACCCTTGATATCTTCCTGAACTGGTATGTTAGGTTCTCAGAGTACTAACTCTCAAACTTCACTGTACATTAGAATTACTGGGGAACTTTTTAAAATCCAGAAATTCAGGCTGTACCCCAAACAATTAAATTAGGCATGAATTAAAACAACAAAAGTAACCCCTCCAGGTGATTCCAGTGTGCAGCCACATTTGAGAACCAATGTGTTAGTTGATGGAATGAAAAATCGAGTGCAGTTACTTACTGGGTTGACTTTTGTGCGGTCACCAACTCTTATCATCTGAGGATCACACAGGACACAATGTCACCCCTATGGGGCCACACTGCCTGTTCTGGTCACTAGTGAGGTCTCAGTGGCATATAGCCATTTTAACAGCTCTTTTTCCTTTTTACCGTGAAACATTGACAGAGATAGAGTAGTATATGCCCCCACCCCATGTACTCATCACCCAGCTGTCATTCATGTCTCCTCCGCCCCACACACACACTTTTTCTTGTATGGAGGGGGTGGACTGCAGTATTTTAAAGCAAATCCCTGACATATAATTTCATCTATAAATACTTCAGTATGTATTTCTGAGAGATAAGGACTTTAAAACAAGAACCGCAATACCATGATCACACCTAAGAAAATTAACAGTAGTTCTTTAATCTCATCTAATACCAAATCCATGTTCTATTTTCTCCAATTTGTCTGAAAAATACCTTTATACATTTGGTTTATTCCAATTAAAGCCCAAACAAGTGTTACTCACTTTTAGTAGTTTGACTTTAACCCCAGGGTAATTAAACTGTCATTGTGTACACAGGTAACGATGCATATGCACTTCTGAAAAGAGGTGTCAATGGAATTTGGCTCAGCTGATGTTTACTGGATGGGCTCTCTCCTCCTTCCTTCCTTAGCCCTTCTGGTGGGATCTTGACATGTTACAGAGGAAATGCTAATTGAAGCCCCAGCCACAACCACTTCTGTGCTCTGCTTCTGCCTGAAGGCATGTTCCCTTTGGTAAACTTAGAATAGAACCTTCAGGATGCATGTGGAAAGAGAGTATGAGTCAGCTCCGTGGACAGCTTAGAATTTCCTGCCCCTTTGCTGGAGGCTGTGTCTGAGAAGTGCTGGGACTGCCCCCGGGCTCCTCTTTGGTCTCTGCTGAGGACTGCCGCTTTGACAGTTACCTAGGGAGTTGCCCAGGACTTGTGTTCTGATGGAAGGACCAGCCAACACCCACACAGCCTTCCTTTCCTTGGTGTGCAGATGGCTCTATGCAGTCTTATCTCCAGCTGGGCATCTGGGTTCAGGTCAGACGATGACCAGGAAAGGAGGGGGTGAGTTTCTGCCCTCTGAGGTAACACCTACCACCTCATCAGTCATTGCTTTGCCACAGTGTTCCCCCTCTATGAGACCGAACACTGTTAGAATTTCTTAGAGTCAGACGCTGCAGCTTTAATGGGTGATGAGGCTTTGGGGGGTCGGCAAGAGGAGGATAAGGATGGAGAATGGGCAGCCTAAATAATCAAACTGTATCACTCCTTTCACAAATACCAATCCAGTGCTACCACGTATGCATCATTCATTATCCTGACCCAACAAATCTAAATTTGGTTTTATTTTTCTGTAGCTTTTTTCTTCTTTAGAAGGGCTTTGTCTTGATTTCAGATGGGTTTACAGTTGCAAGATTTTCTTCTGTCTTTGTATCATGGTTAGATGGTTACAGAGCAGTAAACAAGCATCTTAATATGTAAAGGCAACTCTAATGTATAAGGTTATTTATCACAGGATTATTTTTAACAGCAAAAAGTTTGGAAAACACTAAATGTTCATTAATAAGAAACTAGTTAAATAAATCATGGTACATCCCTATAGTGGAATATTGTGCAGATATAAAAGGAAATGAATTAGTTGTGTTTCAATATGGAAAGATTGTGGCCAGGCATGGTGGCTCACGCCTGTAATCTCAGCACTTTGGGAGGCCGAGGCAGGCGGATCATGAGGTCAGGAGATCGAGACCATCCTGGCTAACACGGTGAAACCCCGTCTCTACTAAAAATACAAAAAATTAGCCGGGCATGGTGGCGGGCGTCTGTAGTCCCAGCTACTCAGGAGGCTGAGGCAGGAGAATGGCGTAAACCCGGGAGGCAGAGCTTGCAGTGAGCCGAGATTGCGCCACTGCACTCCAGACTGGGCAACAGAGTGAGACTCCATCTCAAAAAAAAAATATGGAAAGACTGTGAAGAGATAAACAGCAAGGTCTAGAACATGTGAATAACGTGCTTGCTACCTTTTTTGTGAGATGAGTTTGGGAGAGAATACATATTAATATTTGCATAAACCCTAGAAGGATACACAAAGCAACCTTTAAGAAATGGGTACCACTGGCATGTTGGGTAGGAGAAGGAATGGGGCAGATGGGATGGTGGGAGTACGCCTTTGTATTTTGATTTATGAATCAAATCAATATGATACCTATACAGAACAATTAATAAAATTAAAAAGAAAAATGCATCTATCTTTACATTGTACAGATAAATTAATGGCTTCATTATGCCCCAGTTAATCTGTTTTGTAAGCTTCTGGCCACTGCTTATCCACATTTAAACAGTCCAGAATCTGCTCTGAAACGGACCCATGGAATGCCGTGCCCTGTTCTTCCCATGATGCTTTCCTCAGCAACAGATAATAAATACATGGTTGGCTCCTGGAGCCCATGGGCGTTTCCCCTTCTTCACCCTGAAATATAAACTGAGCTGACAGCCTCTAAAGTTTAACTGTAGGGAACAGGGAAGGCAGGTGCCTATGTCCCACAACATAGTGGGCTGCTGTCTTCTTTCTTCGGAGGAGGTGTGGTGGGAGGATAGGGAGCACAAGAGCATGGCCTCCTCTCCCACCCCAGTCTCTCTTGCTTACCTGTTGGCATTCTGTGCACCATATTGTCTGTATGTTTGTGTTTATTTCCAGCTTGTCCTGAGTGGTAGCAAAATCTCTCTGAGCTGAACTGGTCCCACCCTGGTAGCTTTGGAATGTTCAAATGTTAAGACTTGCTCTTCACACTCCACACATTCTTAGCATCGGGGGCTCATGGGAAACAAACAAATGAAATCCGTGGAACTCCTTTCTCCATCTTGAGTGGAGAAAGAGGCAGAGAAGATCTTTGGGGAGACTTGAAACAAAGAACCGTGAGAATGAACCTTGTTTAAAAGTTTAAAAGTGTTCTGAAAAATGAAATTCAAGGACACTTGGGATCTATTCTCGGCTCTGCCACAAATGTACCTTTTCTATTTTATTCTGGTTTGTGCATTACTATTAGGTTTCTACCTACAAAATAGGTAGAGCCCACATTGACTGTCCATTCCCCCTACTGTTTCGTCTTAGCCAGCTGACACTTACTTTAATGAAACTTGAGAGCTGTCCTTTTAATGCCAGCTAAATGAAGAGAGTGGGTAAGCCCTCCTCCTTTGGCCCTTTTCTTCCTTGAATGAGGACTACGTGAGTACTATTATGAGGATGAGTGCTGGTCAGTTGAGATTTGATCAGGGACTTGTCATCTCCCCTACAGATCTCTGTCCCTTTTGAATAGGGCTATACACACAGTGGAAATCACATGTGGTCACAGCTACCTGAGACCGGCATACAAGCCTTCGCCTCTTCCTCCAGTGCTGGGAAGAGTTAATGTTCCTGTGATGGAGTGCCAGTTGAAGTCATTGACTGGCATTTAAGAGCCATGTTGACACATGAGTATGTGCTGCAACTTTAAATGCTTGAGGCACATCAGGGGTGGCAAGGCACGTGGGCAGGGGCCCCCAAGTCTCAGCCAACTCCAGGGTATGTGTTCTTCAGAGGAAGGGCCTCTACTCTCTAAATGTTCTCAGGCTCTTGCTGAGTGTGCGTTGTTCAATTGGAAAGGGTAACTGTGCACCTATGAGACACCCCTGTAAAACACTCATCTGCCACACACAGCAAGCTTCTTTTCTTGGTGAGGTGCTTTGGATACCCGCTTCTCTCCCCTCTCCCAGCAAGCTGTATTAGGCTCACTCTTGGGGATACCTGAGAGGAGGAGATACTCGAAACAAGTTGGGTGCTCTCCACACATGCCTCCCCTATGCAGAATGCAGGTAAGCCATGGGCAGGAAGTTGGGCCCCAAGTCAGTCGTCTGTAAGCTTTATCTGATAGTTTCCCATCTATTAACCAGTGAGCCCTGACTCACCTTCACTGGCCTATTTTTAAAATTTCTGTTAGAGCTGAAATGTTTGTGGCAGAGCCAGGAAGAATTTTCAAGTATTTAGTAACTTTGGCTGCCCTGCTGGTGATTTATTTAACCTGCCACCTGAGAATTCTCATCCAGGTAAATATCCTAGATGTGATCATCTACTTTTCTTATTCTGGAATCATGAGAAACCAGAAAGTTAACTGTGACAGAATTTTGGGATTTGTTTTAGTTAGGTAGCTAATTCTTAGTAAGGAACAATGAGTTTAGAATCTGAATTTAGAATCTTAGTAATGAACAATGAATTTAGAATTTAGAACAATGAATTTAGAATCAGGCCCAGTTCTGGCTCCTGCAGTTAAATTTGTACAAGGAACTTGATCAACAGCTGTAATTTTCTCTTCCATCAAGTGTGCTTGGTCTGGACCTAGGTATTTCTGAAGTCCAGTTTAGAATTCCAGGCAGCTCTTCTAGTTCTGTAGTTAATGTCTAAGGTTCATAAGGTGTGAACCCCATAAATTATTTATTTGCCCCTCTGGGAAGCTGAACGAAAGCAGAAGAAAATAAAATCTTGCTAAGCCCTGTGCACAATCTCTTTTGTTTTTATCAGGAATGAATAAATAGAAAAACGGGAATGTTATTTTCCAGTAATTTTTTAAATGGATCTCAGTGGCGAAAAGTACGTTAAGTTAGCAAACGTGCCTCACATACTGTGGATGCCTGTAAGACTCTTACATTCGTCTGCCTAGATGTATTTCAGGTGAATGTTTTTCTTTGCATTTGCTAAATTTTCTGTAGTGAATTTATCACTTTTTGTAATGAAGAAAAAAATACACATCACAGAAGTTTGCTGTTGTCATTTCCTCCCCTCATGTAATCCTTATCTCTACCCCCTGTAGAAGCCAATAAAAGATAATCTGTGTTTGTTGAATGAATGAAGAAACCCAGTCTACCGTGGGTTTACCATGTGCCAAATGCAGAGCTACAAAAGGAAAAATGAAAAAGAAAAGACCTAGAGAATCTCAAGTCCAGTGGCAAAGATGACATGCAAGTCATAGCAAAATGCTGTAATTGTGGCACCAATTGCCATGAAGACAGAAGAGATTGTGCTATAGACTCTGTCTCCCCATCTTGGGTCTTTGTTTGGGATAAAAGTCCAGTGTAATTCTAAAACTCAGTGTTTGCATATTACATAACCATAGCTAATATTGACATTAGCTGCTGCTGTTGACTAATGTTTGTTTGTAAGGAAAAGTGAGTTCTAGCTTTGGGGTAAGATCCACATCCTTTTGGACTGGTGTGTGAGTTTGGTGTGGTCTCTTAGATCCAGCATCAGGGACATAGCTTTCCTCCCAATCCATTGGTCTTGATCCACCAACAGTGCCCAGCTTTCTTTCCACTCCCCTCTTCTTTATGGGGTACTTTTATTGTTAGGCAGTTTTCTCATTTCGCTGTGTTGGAGCTTCAGGTACTAAACTAGTTTAAACCCTGCATTTTCTAGACAAGGAATTTGAAGCACAAAGAAGTTAAGTGACTCTACCTCAGGTTGTATAACTAGTGGCAAAGCTAGGCCAAAGCTACTGCCTCTCAATAGAATAAATTTGCAAGATTTCTAACTCCATTAATTATGGGCTGTTTACCTAGGAGAATGATTAAAAAGTATTGTTGAAAGTTCTTAGAAGACATTTCCATGTCCACAGCTGTATAGGCATCTGACAAACAGATAGCTTCCATGTGAAAGGTTTACTTAGCTAGGAAGCTGTCTTGGATAAGTTTTTTGTGGCCAGCATCAAGGTGAGTAATAGATTTCTCTGCTTAAGACTATTCTTAGAATTTTACAGAGCAGCTTCAGGTCTAATTCTGGCTTAGAGGTAGGGAAACAGCAGAATGGGTTGAGTTGGCCTGAGTGGCAGATTTGGGTCTAGCATGCTTAGTCCGGTTAATGATCCTCTTGGTGCAAGTGCTCCTTAAGGAATAGGTCATTCAACTTTAAGCTGATTTCAAGCTCAGACCTCATTGTTCAGCCTGTCAGTTGCTAAATACATTAAATGGTCACTCCTTAACTCCCTTTATCTCATTTCCAGGACTTGAGTTAACCCAATCCCTTGAACTTCAAATTCCACTTCTAGATCTAGACTTGGTCTGTTTGCAACCAGGTCTGAAGCCAGGCCTTGTCCTGGTTGGTCCTCAACACTCTTTTGCCAGGCTTTAAGGGGAAACTGGTCTCCTCTCATAGACACCTGGCCTCCCATCAGCCACATAATCAGCACCCTGAATGCCGCAACCATTCCCTTTTCATTGCTAATCAAGCCCCCGGCTCTTCCCATACTTTCCCAGAGTGACTTTCCCATATTTCTAATGTATTTTGGATTCTTCCTCTCTCATCAGGCCTGCTGCATTTGTTTAACATACTGTGCAGGAGAAACTCAGACTATCTAGACAAAGCCTGCCGACTAATCCAGCCCTGATTTTCCCTCCACACAGTCCAGGAACAGAATTTACGGGTGTGATAATAGAACCCTATGGAGCACCCCACACAGAGTGGGCTTTGGGAGAATGTGAGTTCCCTTTGCCTTTCCCTAAAGAAACCTGGGCTGAAACCACAGTCCTAGCTCTGAAAGATCCTTACATTATAGAGCCTTTTTTTTTTCTTTCTTTCTTTTTTGAGACAGTCTCGCTCTGTCTTCCAGGCAGGAGTGCAGTGGTGCGATCTCTGTTCACTGCAACCTCTGCTTCCCGGGCTCAAACGATTCTCCTGCCTCAGCCTCCCAAGTAGCTGGGATTACAGGCATCCACCACACCCGGATAATTTTTGTATTTTTAGTAGAGACGGGCTTTCACCATGTTAGCCAAGCTCATTTCAAACTCCTGAACTCAAATGATCTGCCTGCCCCGGCCTCCCAAAGTGCTGGGATTAGAGGCGTGAGCCACCGCGCCCGGTTGAGCCTCTTACTTTTTTTTTTCAATCTACTTGGCATAATAGCCCATATGCATTTCATCTGCGAGAGCCAGGTCTTCTGGCTCTGGCCAAGCTGAACATCCCCAAATTAACCCTGAGCTTTGGAGAGAGCTTTATTTTACCCCCTCTGCCAGCCCGTTACACTTTAAGAAACATAGCTGAAAACTGACTTAGCTTCAAGTAAGATTTGTCACTGTGTGTACTGAAGGCCCGGCTCTACTAGGTAACAATAGAAATCATCTGCCTCCGCCGCCTCCTTGACCAGCCTTCATCATTCTCATCAGTATTTAACATAGACATTTCTCTATTGGATTGACTTCTCAAAGATGTTGATATTTTCCAGTAAGGCAGCAAGTGACCACCAGAAAGACACTGTGTATATCTAAGTACACCCCAGTTTAATCTGTTCAAACAGCTGGCTGAGGCTTCTTTTTTCAAGAGAACATAACTGAAGGCAGTTAGAATGGTTTCTTTTGTGCAAATTTCCCCTCCCAGAGACCAGTCCCAGGAGTTCCTTCAACTGCATTATCCATTAATGCTGTGGATTCATTTCCCCCAAATAAACAAGTTTTCCTGCCAAAAAAAATATTCAGTATGATTGGATGCGGGGATATGTCTTGGGACCTGATTTTGAGGCACGTTCTTCATTTTTCTGGGTTGGCCCTCATTTTCCTTACTGAGCTCTTACGGGCAGCGACAGGGTGGCTGTAGCCCTCATTTCTGAAGGCCCTCACTGCCTTGTTAATCCTGTGTGTGGCTATTCAGCCCCCTTGAAAGCATCCTTCATTTCTGTTTGCTTAGTTTCCTGCATGCCTCTTCCAGATCATCTTTCACCTCTTGCTTCAACCTCTGGGGACATGTGTGGTTTCTACATAATGCACAAATGTGACTTCGGGGGAGGGGAGGATGGCTGTGGACTCATACACTTCAGCTGGAATCACTGGACTCTGAAATAGGGGAGGTCCTTTCTGAATGGGCTGGTCAGGAAAGAGGGGAGATGGAAAGACCAACAGGCAACCTCAGGCACTGTAGATTTCCCCTCCTACCGCAAGACAGAAAGCTGTGTATGTGTTTTGCATTATAAGGAAAGTGTGAACTACAGATCCTGTGGACCAAATCACTATAAATAACACTCTTGTATCTGATTCTAAATTGGGACATTGAGGAGAATAAGGGACCAACAACCAACATTTCTGTAGGAAAAAGATCTGGTTCTTTATTCACCCAAATGTTGATCACTGGGGGTCAACGAATTTTCTCTATGAAAGTTAGATGGTAAATATTTTCAGCTTTGGGGACCGTATGGTTTCTGTCACAGCTGCTCAGTCCTGCCTTTGTAGCTCTCAAGCAGCCATAGACAGCATATAAACACTCGAATGTGTGGCTGGCCATAATTTGCCCACCTCTGAGAGAGTCTAAATTCATAAAATTTACTAATAATCATTGTCGTTGTTCACATAAATTGATGAGTGTTCTGTATGTGGCCAGGCTCTATGCTAAGTACTTGTTGCGAATGGTCGCATTTATACCATTCAAAACAATTCTGTAAGATTATTAATAGTATTGTACCCATCTTACAGGTAAGGAAGCAGAGGCTTAGAGAAGTTAAATAACATTAAGTGTAGGCAAGGTTGAATTTGGAACAAGTAAATTTCACTCCAAACTCATGCTTTATACCACTACACAATACAGTCAGCCTACAGTACCTGCATCATTGATATCCGCATTTTCTTTTAGATCCTGACATAAGCCAGTATTTGGACTTAAGTTATATACATATATAGCTAAAGTTTTGCTGTATAGTTACAGCTAGTTTTGCTTCTTACCTGCCGAGGATCAGTGCTAGGAAATGAATACATGAAGTCCTGGAGAGCTCAGAGGCAGAAGACATATATGTCCAGGCTGCTTTCCAGGTTCTAAGACCCTGTGCTCTGAAAATAGTGAGGTGGAGCCAGGCCTTCAGCAAGCTATACTACTCCTTGGAATGGCCTCACCCAGGCCCAGCACTGGCATGAGCTGCCAAGCCATTGCACACAGGTGCAGGCTCCTCAGCTGCTGGTGGCACAGAGCAGCTTCTGCTGTTTCCCTACCTCTAAGCCAGAATTAGACCTGAAGCTGCTCTGTGGTCAGGGGAGACTAGAAATTGCATAATTAAGTTGTTTTCTAAATAGTGGTATCATTAGCATGCAAGTCGACCAAACAGAAATGTCTGTTAAAGATGGTAGGAACCATGTTTTGATGCCTTTGTTGTTATAATGAGTAAAATGTGTTCTGAAGAAAACTTAGAGTAAAAGTAAAAGATCAGGGGAAAAGTATCGCATATGCTATCACCACCAAAGTTCTTTCTTCAGGCTTATTGGGATGGTAGTGGGGGTTGGGGGTGGGGATTCTGTGGTCAAATAAATTTGGAAAATGCAAGCCTAGAAAAACTTGAACAATATTCTCAGGGATATAGTATGATGTTTTCCCAAAATGTGTGCATGTGTGTGTGTATGTGTGTGTGTGTGTATGTGTATGTATGTGTCTCCCCTTATAAAAATGTTTATAAGGAATATCCTTTGAGAAACCCAAACCCAGAGGCATTTCCCAGTGTTAACACTTTGGTAAATTTCTTTATGGTCCAATATTTTTCAAATGGGTGGGCATGTCAGCAACAGTAACTGTGGTGATTATTAAATACTTAAAAAATCATTTTTTTTTGAGACATGGTCTTTTGCTCCATCACCCAGGCTGGAGTGCGGTGGTGCAAACATAGCTTACTGCAGCTTCAGCCTCCCAGGTTCAGGCTATCCTCCTGCCTCAGCTTTCTGTGTAGCTGGGACCACAGGCATGCACCACCATGCCCAGCTACTTTTTGTATTTTTTGTAGAGACAGGGTCTCACTTTGTTGCCCAGGCTGGTCTCCAGCCTCAAGCAGTCCTCCCACCTCAGCCTCCCAAAGTGTTGGGATTACGGGCATGAGCCACTGCACCCAATAATCTCTTTTTTAATTTTTTTAGGAATAGGGGTTATATATATTCATTCCTGTGTGTTTGTGAATGTTTAAGTTTATTTTGAAACAGTTCATAATTACAGAAATGTTGCAAGAACAGTATGAAGGACTCCCCTATTCTCATTTCCCCATTTGTTACCATTTTACTATCTTTGCCTTATTCTCATTGTTTGTGCATGTGTGCACACATTATTATTGCTATTATTTTTGTATTTTTCATTACTGAAATCTGAATTATAAAATTCTTCAATGAACTGTGAACTTATTTCTCCAAAATACTATAGAAACTCAAATTAGACTACAAGTTTATTAATTTCCCCCATTTCTACCTGCTGCATTAAGGTAAATTATGCTTTTCAAGTGTGTGAAAAGTTATAAAATTTCAAGGAAACATTTTGATAAGGCTGCAGCCTGCAGTCCTCGTGAGGAGGAAAGAATTGTCAAAGCCAAGGAAGTCTTCAGTTGAGGCCCATGCACAATCCTAATCAGTCTGGATTAGTGAGGTTGTAATTTGATGTTGGATGGGACTGTCCCAACCATTTGGAGCCAGTTTGAAGTCCTATTAGACAGGGTCCTTTAAGAATTAGAGTCAGCTGTTTGCTGAGGTGTGAACCTCAGCCTGAAACATGCTTCCATTTTTAAGTTTCAGGACTAAGGGGGCCATGCAGGAGCTCTGGGCTTTAGTGACCCCTCTATTTTGTTTCCTGTGGTGACTTGTCATGTTTTCACAGCGCATCAATATGGATAGTTTTTAAAGTGACAGCCAGTTTCAACAGTGGTTTTATTTCACATACATTGGAGCTTCCATATCTGGATTTTTTTTTTGTCAGCCACTAAATCAAAGCTCTTCCTCCTCCAGATGGTTTAAGACACCCAATTTGAACATTAAGTGAGTCAAGCAAACCCTGTGCCACATTACCAAAGGGCCTGCTGGTTTAAGAGACTATGGATGTGACTTACATAACCTCTCATGGAGCATTTCCAAAACCTTGTAAGGAAGCTGGGTATAGTCACCTCTCCTTCATAACGTTAACACTGAGCCATGAAGCCAGGGCTTGTGTCCTCAGAGAATGCATAAGGAAACAATCACCAGATCGCCCTGGGAGGAGAAGGCACTAGGCGTTTGTTCAGGAGGTTGATGCAACACTCACAACAGCCGCAGGATACATGTATCATACCTCCCAGCTGGAAGGCAGAAACAACTTCAAGTTCAGCTCCCACACTCACATGTGTGGTAGCTCTATACCTAACTAGAAAAGTGCCTTGTTTAGGTATAAATTAGATTGCAGGGACTGAAAAAAAAATTTTTTTTAATTTTTAAAAACATTTTATTATGAAAATTTTCAAAGATACTTCAAAAAAGAGAAATACAGTCAGCCTGCATATACGCACTACACAGATGCAACCATTTATCAAGATTTTGCCACATTTCTTTACCCCGTCCCTTATTTATTTTTTGCTAAAATATTCACAACAAACCCCAGATATCATATCATTTTACCCCTAACATACTTCAACATGCCTCTCTAAAAAAGTAGACATTTTATAAACACAATGCCACTATCCCACCTATAAAATTAATCCAGGACCAAAATTTTGATGTATACTTTTTACATAGCTTCTGCAGCTGGGTAACCTCACAGCACAAGAATCAACAAGTCCATGCCTACACGAATTCAGCTGATAACTTTAAAGAGAGGGATCCTTGCTCTCAACTTTGGACGAAATTCTTTGGTTTGGGGCTGGGGGCAGGTGAAGAATTTGCACTTGTGGTTCTCCAGAATGTAATCTCAGGTATTGAACTGTGCCATTTGCTTCCTGGGCATTTCATCCTTTCATCAATGATTGGTAATCATAACTTACAGGAATTTTTAAAACAATATTTTAATTGGAAAACGCATCTGTCAGCTGTCAGGCTTCCAGTTTCCACTTTTGAGAAGCAGGATGTTGAATGTGAGTAATGACACAACAGGCCTATAAAATGCGGACTAACCCTCGGATGACTCATCCGGTACAATGCAGTATATTTGTCAAGGAGACTGAATCATATATGGGGGAAACCACTTCTCAGGCAGCCAGCTGGTTCTCAGGTCAGCAAGAGACGATCCATTTTTATCGGAAGCTTTATAGTAGCAATAATGCTAATACCCAGCACTCGGGCTCCACAATGTAGAGGAAATGGCATCGCCTGGCAGGTACGTGCTTACTGTTTACATGAACTTTATTTTTTCATTGTTCTCTTATTCTTAACCTTTCTGGTGCCTGCTTTTAGCATTTTTTTAAAGGAGAAAATTTATCCTAGTTGTAGAGGACCACAGTGTGTATGTGTTTGTATTTGTGTGTGCCCACGTGCAAGGACAGATAGGTAACCTCTGGTCTGTTGATAGACACAGAGCTCTTAGCCTCTCATGCCTCTTTCTGAAAACAAATTTCTCCTTAGATATTCTGATAGAAATGTTTTGTTGTTGTTGTTGTTGTTTTTTATTATTAAGTCCTGAATCTAAAAGATGCTGCCTAGGAAACAGCTTGCAGAGATGGTATACCTCTTGGGTGGGTAGTGTAGAGCTTTAAAACAAATGAATAAGCAGAGGTGAGCTGAAGGAGGTGGTCTAACAATTACTATTGTGTTACGTTGGATTTCTTTCAGTACTGTGCTTTTTTCCTACCCCCATGATGCGTGACTTAATGCAAGAAAGCTTTATTCCCCTACGGAGTGAATAGGGTGGGTTTTGTTTGTTTGTTTGTTTGTTTGTTTTTATAAATCACAATTTGCTCATACTGAATTCATGCATTAACTTTTTCTAGGTGGGAGAAAGGGTAGTGGGGATTTGGTAGCAACATTTAATTATAGCGTTCACATGATCTGAAGGATCATTCTGCATAATTGGGAGGCTGTGTCTGCCTGTCTGACCCTCTCTCTTTCTTCACCCACTAAATTTAAACAATGTCTGACTAGTTAAAGCACATATCTTATTTATTTGAGTGTATTAAACATTCCTATGTGTGTTGACAGTCTATTCAGTGTCTCCTCATATTTTAAAAAAATACTTTGTGAGTCTTGCTTGTTAGGGACAGATGCTATAGTTAGTTTATAGCAGTACTATTTATGCTTTCCTGGTCTGTCTGTCCAGAATGGCTAGGTCAGGACCTATAACACAACTGCCCACAAATTTGCCTAAGATTTAGCATTTGTGGAGCAGCCCAGTGTATAGCAGTAAATCCTGTTATCACTCAGAGAGCATTAAACAGATCTGGGGTTACCAAGCTGGAAAAATCGGCAATCTTTGTTTCTCTTCCCCTTTCTTATAAAATCCATAATAATGACTTGTTTTCCTTGAAGTGTATGAATTTTAAGCTGTCAGTAAATGCATTCAATTTACTTAACTACATTCAGAAATTCCTATAATTTGGAAAACCAGCATGAAGGGAGTTTGTTTCTGTTTGTTTTGTAGATTAAGGGGTGTACTTTTTATAGAATGGCCAATTTGTTTTTGGAGACAAGACCATCTCTAAATTTCATTAATTTTGCATTCTATAAATGAAAGCCACCTGTTATGCTGTAACGTGCTAATTATGGTAGAGGACAATAATGAAGAAGAACAGTATTTGAAATATGTGGGGGTTTTGCTAAGAATTTTCATGCCCACATCTGTAGTGCTTATTTTTATGTGTGTATACATGCATATATAGTACACATTTAATAATAGCACTTGGTGACATTAAAAAATACTTCAGATTCAAAGTGAGGGCCATTTTTTATTAACAACATTTTTTTAAGTTGTGAAAGAAAGGCTACTTTAAAAGTGTTAGCTTGAACTAAGACCCATATTTTGCCATCTTATAGTAAACGGGGTTTTTTCTTATAGTTTTGGTGAATGCCACACTCAACTTAGGGTTCACTTTATCAAATTCATTAGAAAAATATACATTAATTTTGTTTTATTTTAAAGACAGAATAACTAATTTCCTGTGCTTTCACGGAAACATTAGGTTTCATGGTAGCATTTTTTTTTTCCTTGAGGCCTATGGTAAATGATTATAGTCAGGGATAAAAAAAACATTTATTTTAAAGTTCTTGATTTAGTGACACTTTCTGTGTCTTGTTTTTCTGTGATTTGTATAGTTGGGACTCGCTCAGGTCCTGTCCACATTCTTTCCAGAGCACCATATTCTGTTAGCTTTGGTTACAGTACACAGAGGGTATACTGACCATTGAAATTGGACAATGATAATCACTCCTAGGGTTGTGGCTGCCACGCCTCAGAGGCCCCTTTGCTGTTAAGCACTGTGAGCCATCAGTCCAAAGGAACCACGTGGTTTTTAGATGCCTTCTTTCCCTTTTGAGGGAAAAGGAATACAGAGCCATGGCCAGTTCCAAAGGTCTCATATCATTCAACTTGGAAGCAATCAATAGATATTGAGTGAGACGCTGCCTATGTTCAGAGCAATGTGCTGGGGAGTGTTACATTTAAAAGTGTTTCAAATCTGAGCCCAGTCCGGTTCTTCTCTTAATTCCCGCCCTAGTGGGGATTCATTGTTATTGGAGATAAATTCCTCCCTGGGTTTTCTTTTATTCATAGATTTACTGGAGTCTACAATCCAGAGCCACTCATTGCTATTGTGTATAAGCAGCTTTGAGCTATTCCTTTTTGGTTCTTCAAAACCTAACTCTGCTTGGATGGAAATCAAGAAAGAACTGCTCTACTCAAAAATCCATTTGATAGTTTTGGTGGCCATGTCTTCTGAGCCAAGTAGAGTGACATAACCTTGGAAAAAAGATTTTTGTTTTTCCTTTTTCTTGGGGAGAGTGAGAGTCAGGGAGAGCATTTGAATCCTGAAAGGTTAAGAGTGTCCAAGATATTTTAGTGGAACAATTTTTCCCAATCTTTGCTGGCTTGCAGATTTTTAGCACTTACTAAAATTATATTCTAAAGACTCAAAGCTATTACGAATTCAATAAACATTTTATAAAAACAGGTTTATGTAAAATTAGTATAGATCACCTACCAACATTTAAACATCCTTATTTGTATTTGGAGGGAGACCTGTTTGTTACAGAGTCTGCAGTCTGTCCTTGCTGTCCGGATGTGTGGTTTATGGATGTGTGGTCATGATGATCACTGCCTCAGGAGGCTTGGCCTGTCTATCGCCTGCTGTCCATTGCTCACTGTCTGCTGTGATATTGTCCTCCCCACATCTGGAGTTTATGGTCATTCTGCCATACTGGGTGGGATTAATAACACTTGTAGGTAAATCTTATATCATTATCTAGAAATAGCAACATTCCTGTGTAGCTCAGAAAAGCCAGAGACAAGCGTGGATCAGCCTTCTAACGACATAAACTCCTAAATGTACAAATGGGATGAATGATCACCCTCTTATCAAACCAGCATGGACTTCTGTGAACCCTGAACATTCTTCCGGGTACATGTTTGCTGACAGCTTGTTGCGTCAACTGCACCTGGATTGTCTTGAGCTATATGTGGCATAGTTGTGGAAACCGTGCGCATTCCCAGTTGGAATTTTTTTTTTTTTTTTTTTTTTTGAGACGGAGTTTTGCTCTTATTGCCCAGGGTGGAGTGCAATGGCACAATCTCGGCTCACTGCAACCTACGCCTCCCAAGTTCAAGTGATTCTCCTGCCTCAGCCTCCGAGTAGCTGGGATTACAGGCATGTGCCACCACACCCAGCTAATTTTATATTTTTAGTAGAGACAGGTTTTCTCCACTTTGGTCAGACTGGTCTCAAACCTTTCAAAAAAAAAAAAAAAAAAAAAAAACAAAACATGATGACCATAGAGAAAGCAAGTGCTGCAGAAGCAGGCTGGCCTGCTCGCCCGCCTCGGCCTCCCAAAGTGCTGGGTTTACAGGCATGAGCCACCGTGCCCAGCCGTTTTTTTCTTTTCTTTTCTTTTCTTTTTTTTTTTGAAATGGAGTTTCACTCTTGTTGCCCAGGCTGGAGTGCAATGGCATGATCTTGGCTCACTGCAACCTTCACCTCCCTGGTTCAAGCGATTCTCCTGCCTCAGCCTCCCAAGTAGCTAGGATTACAGACATGCACCACCACGCCTGGCTAATTTTGTATTTTTGGTAGAGATGGAGTTTCACCATGATGGCCAGGCTGGTCTCGAACCCCTGACCTCAGGTTATCCACCCACCTTGGCCTCCCAACCCAGTTGGATTCTTATTTGCCAAGGTTTCTTCATAACAGGTGACGGCCGGGCGCAGTGGCTTACGCCTGTAATCCCAACACTTTGGGAGGCTGAGGTGGGTGGATCACCAGGTCAGGAGATCGAGACCATCCTGGCTAACACAGTGAAATCCCATCTCTACTAAAAATACAAAACAATTAGCTGGGCGTGGTGTCGGGCGCCTGTAGTTGCAGCTACTGGGGAGGCTGAGGCAGGAGAATGGCGTGAACCCGGGAGGCGGAGCTTGCAGTGAGCCCAGATCGCGCCACTGCACTCCAGCCTGGGCGACAGAGTGAGACTCCATCTCAAAAAAAACAAAAACAAAAAAAAACAGATGATGACCATAGAGAAAGCAAGTGCTGCAGAAGCAGGCTGGCACTTCAGCCCTCTTAGAGCTTTTGGCTTGGGATGAGAGTGATACCTTCTTTGCTGCACATCTGAGAGCAGCTCAGACAGTTAGCTGCATCATCTTCATAGAGTTCAGTGTATAAGAACTACAGCAAGATTACTATCTCTTTCTTGATTTCAATCGAAGAGATGACTTCATTCATTCATTTGTAAAGATTCTTCAGATTGGAGATGTCCAAGCTAGATTTGGCTTTTTTTGTTGTTGTTGTTTTCTTTTAAACACATGTTCCCTGTACCCATCCAGTGGAGGAGATGGGTTGCCTGTTGTTGCCCTGGCCCTGTGGGGCTCTGCTGTTTGACTGGGCCTCTTGAATTCCATTAAATGAAGCACAGACAGCATGTGTCATAAAGGCTGCTTGGGAGGGGTGAAGAGCAAAATTAGTGTCTGTGGGTGGGCATGTGTTCTCATCACGTCGCCAGAGAACTGCAATGTGCAAAATCTGGCTGGAACCTGTTCCAAAGAAAAATAAAACAGCCCCTTTTTCCCTGCTTTGAGTAATATTAAAAAACATCGCTTAACCCCCATGTAGAAGAAATGGAACTGTCAGGAAATTCTTGTGATTATGTGTGTGTGTTTAATAATCTGTGTGTTTAATCTTTACAACTGAGGTTAGAATACAAGAGATGAAAAGGGACTAATCATGAAAAATATTTTGGTGTATTCTGTTGCTGGTGTTGTAGACATTGTAAGTGTTCTTTCTATTAAAGTAGAACTGCCTAAGGATTAGAGGAATTTGTCAGAGCTAACAATTCAGGGAAAATCTATTTTGTTTAACTTTCTTCTGTTCTTCTTTGAAATGATTTTGTAAGAAAAGCCATTTTTGTCTCAGTAAAACCAGTACCAAAGGAAATGTTTGTGTTTTTCTTATATATGATTCACCTGGTACCCCAAGGAACAAAGCAAAGCCAACATTTACACTTACATTTGAAGCATAAGATCTTCCTTTTATAGTTTTCTTGAGAAGGTCTTGCATATTTATTAATTGCTCCTCATAGTATAGAAGAATGCTTTTTAAGGGAGGGTTGTGATGTATGTAGTTTGCATAATGGGGACATATGTTACTTTTGTAATTAGGGGAAAGTTAACTTTTTAAATAGTGTTAATGTTTACTCCTTTTTTCTTTTAAAAGAATTTTTTAATAAAAATAGAGATGAGGTCCCACATTGTTGCACAGGCTGGTCTCAAACTCCTGGGCTTAAGCAATCCTCCTGCTTTGGCCTCCCAAAGTGAATGTTTACTTCTTAAGGACTGCAGAAATGCTCCTAAGCTAAACCCAACATTTCTAAATTTGGGGTTCTTTACCTATTTCAAGTAGCCTCTCTTTGTTTCACAGTTTATCTTTTTTTATTGTGGTAAAAAACACATAACATAGCGTATATCATCTTAACCATTTGTAAGTGAAC
Source organism: Homo sapiens (assembly GCF_000001405.40). Classification (NCBI taxonomy): domain Eukaryota; kingdom Metazoa; phylum Chordata; class Mammalia; order Primates; family Hominidae; genus Homo; species Homo sapiens. Next base: position 65,360,782 of record NC_000002.12, on the reverse strand, counting down.
AGTACAGTAGTGTTAACTATATCCAAGTTTGTATAATAGATCTCTAGAACGTTTTCATCATCCAAAACTGAAACTCTTTCCCAATTAAACAACTCACTCCCCTCCCCAGCCCCCCGCCTCTGGCAACCACTGTTCTCCTTTTTGTTTCTAGGACTTTGACTAGTCACATTTAGATAGCTGGTGTAAGCGGAACAAATCATGCAGTATTTCTTTTTGTGACTGACGTTTCACTTAGCACAATATCCTCAAGATTCATCCATGTTATAGCATATGACAATGTTTCCTTCTTTGTTAAGGCGGAATAATTCCATTGTATGTATGGACCACAGGTGTTAAGGTTAATTCGCTATATGCGAACACACAAGAAAAAGTTAACACAAGAGCTTCCATATATGCCAGCAACTCACTGCTGGGTGTGCGGCAGTTTTCAGGGGATGGCATATCCAGGATGCTTTCAGTGACTGTGACTTTCCTGGAGAATGAAACTGTGTGAAGTTAGTCCTGAGAAGTGGCTGAAGCACACCAGTGAGTGAAATGAGCAGAGAGTTGTTCCTTTTGACCAACATTAAGTCGAGGGCCCTTCCACCTGTCAGTAAAGCTCTCTGGTGGAAGAAGTTGGCAGTAGCCACTTGGTTGTCCTGTCTTGAGCAGTGGTCTTTTGGTCTTTGTTTTTTTTTTTTTTGTTTTTTTTTTGTTTTTTTTTGTTTTTTTTTTTTTTGAGATGGAGTCTCGCTCTGTCGCCCAGGTTGGAGTGCAGTGACGCGACCTTGGCTCACTGCAACCTCCGCCTCCGGGGTTCTAGCGATTCTCCTGCCCCAGGCTCCCGAGTAGCTGGGACTACAGGCACACAGAACCACACCAGGCTGAGTTTTGTACTTTTAGTAGAGACGGAGTTTCACCATGTTTGCCAGGCTGGTCTTAAACTCCTGACCTCAGGTAATCCACCCTCCTTGGCCTCCCAAAGTGCTGGGATTACAGGCATGAGCCACCGCACCTGGCCCAATTTTTTGCATTTTTGGTAGAGACGGGGCTTCACCGTGTTAGGCAGGATGGTCTGGATCTCCTGACCTCATGATCCACCCGCCTCAGCCTCCCACAGTGCTGGGATTACAAGCGTGAGTCACTGCGCCCAGCCAGCAGTGGTCTTTAACCACCACAGACTGCATGACTTAAAGCTTGGTTGGGCTCCCTGCTGCAAACATGTTGGTGATGGCCAGGAAAGCCCAACTTCAGCAGCTTAGCCACGCAGGGTTTCAGTTATCTGTGAAAATCATGAGTCTTGAAAAAAAATGCCTTCTAGTGCCTCCACAAGCTAGTTGGCTTTGGGAGGTGGAGATAGCTCTAGTATTTCCTGGAGTTCTTTCTGAATCAAGTACTTCAAACTACACTACTCCCTTATAAATGAAAAAATATTTTAAGACTAACGTGTTAAAACTGAGGAAGCTTGGTAGCTAGTTGGCCTTTACATTATCCTTGCTGCCTAGTTCTTTTATGTCAGGAAAGTAACATGGGAAATATGTGTACTGAGTGGATGGCTCTGTCTTGTTATAACTCGGAAGGAAATTGCGCTTGTAGGACAAATCCTGTCCCTCTGTGTAGTCAACTAGTCAAGAATCCATTGCATCATGACTATATCCTATGAGCCTGACACTTGACTTAATTGCTCACCAACAGTCATTGTGACCCTAAAAGGAAAGAATTTCCCCAGTAACACTTAAGTTGGGATTTGTAAAATAACATCAGTACGGATCCTTTTAGAGCCATTCAAGATTCAGTGGTGCCACATTCTGAGGATCCCCAAAATGAAGCCTAAATCAGAAGTTTAAGAAGAATTCCTCCTCCTTACCTTTTCTCCCTCACCCCACCCCCAGATAGGAAAGCCCTTGGCCAAAACCCAGCAAGAGCTGAGAGGAACTGGCCTTTCTGGCAGTGGGGAAAGAGGCTTCTTGTCAAGGAGACTGTCAGTAAGCAGTTGAAACATTTGGGAATATTTTTCCACGTTGATTGGGCTTTCGTGGGCTGGATTGGGAACCCAGTTGCCCACCATTTTATGTTTTTTCTGTAGGGAAGATACATTCCAATTTCAAACAACTGACTTACGTTTGGACCAGAAATTATTTGTCACATTGAAGCAACTTAAACCTAAGTTGCAACTTGATGTGCACTGAGCTGCTTTAGCAGAGGTCTATAAGAAATGTCTTTCCCTATTTTTAAGCTAAATAATTGCTTTGTTACCTTTTCCTAACATTTTCTCCTTTTCACTCTGAATGTAGTAAAGATTGGGGCTGGGGAGTTCATGTTGAGTCAACTGATAAGGCAGATAGAATCAACTGTTTGGGAGAAAAAGGGTAGATCTCTCTTCTCTTCTTGGCCTGCATTTGTTCCATAAATATGTCATGGGGTTTTTCTTCCATGTGGCTAAAGAGAATCTCACATTTGTGGATGCGTAAACCCAGCTAGATGACCAGGTTGTACCTTTTATTTTCCCCCAGAGGATCTTATTAAACTTATTAAAACTCAATTTTCATCATTTTCTTGCTTTTTCAAAATACTTGGATAAACCAGTTTCACTCCTGGAAACTTCATAATTGTGTCATAACACTGGCACTGAGAGAACATATCTGTTAGTCTGTCATGGTTTCAGGTCTTTGTGGTTTCAAGTTTTTTCTCTACTCAAAGTATACTCTCAGTTGCATTTTACTGCTGAAAGTTTTCTGATCTGCTTTTGTAGGGTATTTTAGTGGCTTAAGTTTGCTAAGCCCTCTGCCACAACTACAGGACTTTAAGGCCATTTTTTTAAAACACAAAGCATGAAAAGGGATCAAAGTTGAAAGGGTCTCAAAAGTCATTTGTGGTCTCTACCCCTCATTTTACACATAAGGAAACTGAAGCTCAGTAATAAGAGTTTGGGGTGCCTCACCCGGTTGTGAGAAGATGTGTAATGGAGGTTAGGTCAGGTTAGGTCACCTGTCCTGACTTACGGCACTCATTACAACAGATCCAAAAAGGAATTACCTCTATTGGTGTGAAACTTCAGCAGGATGAGTAGGATCACCCTCTAGCTCTGTGATTTTTTCATGTAGCTGTGTTGCCAGTGTTACCTCTTCATTTCTCCTTAGAATTCCTTTCACAATCAGTTGCCTATCCAGTAAATTTCAAGGGACCAAGATAAGGAATAACTTATCCTCCAGAGCACCTAACTTGAATATGCGCACTTCTGCCACCACACGAGGTCCTTTCAAAAGTGTGATCGGGGGTTGTCACAGAGACTGATCTTAGTCCTTTATCTGTCCCTAATGTCAGTGACCTTGAACAAGTCCCTTCTGCAGTCTGGATTTTAATTTTTCCACGTGAGAGAGGAGTCTAGCATAGACGGTTTCCACAGTTCTTTGTATGAATAGCTTAAGAGGTGGAACTAATGTGAAGACCTGAACTCTGCCTTCGGGCTGACCTCTATACCACTCTCCAGGAGGGAAGTGAAGCCGTCCAGCATGCTTCAGGGAGAACAGGTGCCTTGACTGTGTGTTGTTTGTTTATCTGTGTGTTTAGCTCTCCATCTCTAATGAGGGAGGTGGCAGAATCCTAGAAAAAAAGGAACTAAATGCATTAGTAATTCTTGCCATCTGAGAGGGCATCCATTTCTAGTGGACCTGTGGGAATATAAACAGGCTCTTAAAAATCCTGTCAGCTTATTGCTAGCATGATCTGCTGATTTTCCTCCCTCCTCTATAGGTTAAATTATCACCTTCTTTTGTTTGAGAGCAGGTTTTTTGTTTTGTTTTGTGTTTTGAGACAGAGACTCATTCTGTTGCCCAGGCTGGAGTGCAGTAGCGTGATCTTAGCTCACTTCTAACTCCGCTTCTCGGGTTCAAGCGATTCTCCTGCCTCAGCCTCCCAAGTAGCTGGGATTACAGGTGCCCGCCATCACACCCAGCTAATTTTTGTATTTTTTTAGTAGAGACGGGGTTTCACCATGTTGGCCAGGTTGGTCTGGAACTCCTGACCTCAGGTGATCTGCCCACTTCAACCTCCCAAAATGCTGGGATAACAGGCATGAACCACCGCGCCCGGCCAGAGAACAGGTCTTATTAAGGGCTGGCTTGTAAAGGATTTTGTAGGTTTAGAATTTGGTATTAACATAGTTTGGTAGAGTCATTTCCTGACCTTCTTATTAGGTTTTCTTTGGGGTAGAGGGCAGGTGGTAGATAGCAGGTACACACACACAAAAAAAAAAAAAAAAAAAAAAGAGGGAACTGGGGAACTGCACTCTAAATAGCAGAAAGAAAAGTAATCAGATTCTGTTTAGTACCATTATCAGCATCTTGTAGATTTAGTGTTGATTTCCATTTAGAAATCAACCATAACACTACAAATCTCTCACTCTCCCAATATTTATGATTTTCAGGTGTTCAGAAAAGTTGAAAGAAGTGTATGCTCAACATCCATATGCCTACCACCTCAAGTCTGCAATTAGCATTTTGCTATTATTGTTTTATCATACACATATCTATCCATCTATCTCCATCCATGATTCCATGTTTTTTTAAATGCATTTCAAAGTAGGTTGCAAATATCATGGCATTTCTTCCTAGACATTTCAACGGGTGGGTTATTACATACTCCCTTCCTTTGTTTTCTCCAATAATGTGAAAGAAAGCAAAAATATTCTGAGAAAGTCAGGCATAGGAGTTCAAGGGCTGCAATTTAAAGCCCTAAATTGGAGATTATTAACTTTAAACAACTCCTCTTTGCCATTTGTTTTTTGAAGTACCAATTTTTCTATTACATGTACACTTTAATGTGGTGAGAGTTAATTTTGTTTAGTAATCTGACATTTCCATTAGCTGGCCTTTGGGGTTTAAATGTGGATCACAAATACCATTTTTGGAAGGGTGTGTAAAACAGAGGGAAAGTCAGAAAATTACTGCTTCTGGAATAAAAAGTAGAAGAAACGTTTCTTCGGGATGGGTTATTTTGTTTGCTTTAAGATGGTAATCTTTTGATCTTGATTAATTATGAACTCCAGAAGTTCAGGCTCAACTCAGTAAAGCAGACAGACAATAAAAGCAAAATCATAAACCTAGATTCAGACTTTGGCCTCTCAACTCCCAGTACTCCCTCACTGCAACCTCTGCCCCCTAGGTTCAAGCGATTCTTGAACCTCAGCCTCCTGAGTAGCTGGGTTTACAGGTGTCCACCACCATGCCCGGCTACTTTTTTGTATTTTTGATGGAGACGAGCTTTCTCCATGTTAGCCAGGCTAGTCTCAAACTCCTGACCTTGGGTGATCCACCTGCCTCGTCCCCCCAAAGTGCTAGGATTACAAACATGAGCAACCACACTTGGCCATAAATTTTATTTTTTAAAGTAGTTTACTCATGTCAGAGCCATTCGTGTTTTCGTGGTTTTTGAAAAAAACTCAGAACTACCTCTGACACATGCCTTGAATGTCAACAATCTTTCACAGTAAAATCTTCCCATAATTTCCTAAATTAATTGTAGAGCCTTCTTTAAGGTGATTTATCTGCTGCACAGATACGTGACTGATACAGAGGCCCCTAACTGGTTGACTAGGAAACCCACCAAGGATTTAAGAGGCATATGCCCAGGAGTCTCCAGTTCCCTGGTCCCCCAGGATGAGAAAATTAGGATTTCTGCTATTAGTAAGGATTAGAGCAAAGAGTTTTCAAACTTCAAGAAAAAGTTGTTCCATTCTTCGCTGATTATAATCTAATTACTAAACTACCATGCCTGTCCTGCCAGTCCCCCCAGGCCTGACCTCAGCCCTCTGCTGGGCTTTCCTTCTCCTGGGCCAGGTGCATTACTCACCTCAAGAGGTACTTGCACAAGAAGAACATATTGACAAGAGAAAATTGCCCAGGAGCCATTTTTTAAAAATCTGTCTTAGACATTACTTCTAAAATTGGCTGCCTGTGTGCTGAAGCTAAGATTTACTTCAGCGAACACTTCGTTGCCCATGTTTAAAACTGCCCCATGTTAGGGTTTTAGGTTGAACAACCTTAACCTTTATTGTGTCCCAATTACACGTGGTCTGTCATCTTGTATATATTTAGTATTCTTGTGGTTTATAAATTTGAGTACTGAATTAAAATGCTGAAAAGATTTAAAAAAAAAAACCAACAAATATAGTGGTATCCTTAAGACATTTTTGATAGATTAAATAAGTATTGATAAAATCAAAAAGTTTCTATTAAGATTTTTTTTTTTTTCATGAGAGCACTGTAGATAGAATCTAGCCAAATCACTCTTTTCCTGTGCAGGATTTATACGTGTTCAAGCTACAGGAGATAAACACTTAGAGGTGAAATTTAAAATTGCGTTTAAACACAGTACAATGCAGTGAGTCTAATGTAACTTTGTCAACCTTGCTGAAATGGAAACCAGAAAACCAGCATTTTATGAGGTAACTTCCAGTGTGCCTGGGCATTGCTAATGCCGTGGGTATCACCACCTTCTATTTACAGTCCATATAGATTTGCCGCTAAAATTGGGGCTTTCTCTGAGAAGATGATGGGGGCACTAGAAGCTCCAACTTCCATCTGCCACAGTAGGTTTTTCAAGCTTACCAGAACTGTCACTCAGGGCTCCCAGGCTCGGGGGATGTCAGAGGATCCCTAATTGCCTGCCGGTATTTTCCCAACTACTTCCTCAAAGGCTCCTAAGCCTCTGTAAAGCTTACGTGTTTAACTTCCAGCTCTGATCTTTGTTCCTTTGTGTCTTTGCTTCATTTCCTTTTTTTTGGCCCTTGTGGGTCACAGGACACAGCAGGAAAGAAAGGAGGCCAGACTGGTGCATGGCACACTGCCTTGTACCCTTGACTAAGGACAGCTGGGCAGAGCATCCATTCCACTCCCAAGGATGTCTGCAAGGCAGGTGCAAGATAATGTGCCAGAATGTGCAGTATACATGCTGCTCTGGCTCTAGTGACCTGGAGGTGTAAGGTAGCACTCAGCGATGGGGAAATATTTATATTTAAATTAGGATTTAACATCAGTGATAAGTTAAATCTATATTATCTAAATATTAAATCTATAATATTTTCCTTTAAACTGAGGTTTAAAGGAAAGTATAGAGGCACATAGAATGCTAAATCAGCACTGTATGTTAAACAAGGTATGGGCATATATTTCGAACCAAAATTGCTCACTTATAAAAATAGGGATTCACAGCTTATTTTTAAAGGAGTATTTCTGTATTAAAATTTCAATAGGAAAACTAAAATACTAGAGGTCCAAGTCTAGCAAACTTTGACTTGTTAATACTGGTTCTGAAGAATGATTGATAAATTATTAAGTTTAATAATCATTTATATGCTGACCAGTGTCTTCCATGATAATGGAGGAAACGGCCTCTTTTAATATGTGCACTGGAAAATAGTGTGTGGGTGAGAGGTTTATTTATATGCTTCAGTGTAGCTAGGTAGCATGAACAACAAAGATGCTCGGCTTATCCAAGGCATGAGGAGGGACATGCCCCTTACCTCCCTCTTTGGGAGAGGGTAGAACTTGGACACAGAGGGCGCTAGTGACCTTGCAGGACAGCAGTACTTACTGGCTTTACTCATAGATTCTGAGCCCAACAGAGTGAAGGAAAACCTATTTATACCCCCTCTGAGGCTCCTGCACATAAGCAGGACCCCTGGCTTTTAGCTTAATTGGTTCCTGGATGAAGGTCATATCCCCAGTCATTGTAAAGCAAAGACTACCACCGCCACCTCCTACACACACCTTTTAGGTACCGTGTTTTGTATAAGGGTTCTATTCCTAAAACTCATTCCATACCATTTAAAAAATACATAAATTGATAATGAAGATAACATATTTTTAAAAATCAAAGCTGGCTGGGCCTGGTGGCTCACGCCTGTAATCCCAGCACTTTGGGATGCTGAGGCAGGTGGATCATTTGAGGCCAGGAGTTTGAGACCAGCCTGGTCAACATGCTGAAACCCCGTCTCAACTAAAAATACAAAAATTAGCTGGGCGTGTTGGAGCACGCCTGTAATCCCAGCTACTCGAGAGGCTGAGGCAGGAGAATTGCTCAAATCTGGGAGGCAGAGGTTGCAGTGAGCTGAGATCGCGCCACTGCACTCCAGCCTGGATGACAAGGGTGAAACTCCGTCTCAAAAACAAAACAACAAAAAACCAAAGCTATGTTGTAGTCCTCTAAGGGTAGGGGTTACTCTGCACGAGCAAGATTAGCTACAGCACCTCAGAAAAGCAGGGACACAGTGAAGACTGGACGGAAGAGCCTGTTTTCTCCTCTTGATAAACATAGAGCATAGTGCCCTGGCACTGTGAGCTCACAGGAAAGTGTTAGTCCCTGTTTAAGTACACGGGTTCTTTTACTAGTACTCTCCATTGAGTGTATTTGTTGGCTGATTTCACTGATGTTAAATAACTGTGGAGAAGCCTGTTGTTAAGTGATCTTAGCCCACTTTTCACCTTCTGTACATCTTACATCATGCAAACTGGTTCTCTTTATGAAACAAACGTTTAATGATCAGAAAATCTCTTCTCTGCCTCACAGTGCCTGCTCATCCATGTTTGAGAGAAGAGCTGATGGCCTTTGCCAGAATTGGCTACTGCCAGATCTGGCATCTTTGCGATCGAGTCTTTCTACTGTGGGCATTTATGAGCTTTCGTTAACACTGTTTTCTGTAATGGCCTACCCTAACCACACAAACAGTACATATTTTGGTGGTTAACACAAAGGCCTTATTTTCTGGGACATTATAGCGTGTAGAGCAAGTGTTCTACCTTCAGGGGCTTGTACAGAGCAGAAAATCATGTTACCACCATGCATAAAATTACGTTATGTTAACTTTCCTTGCCCATAAAGTTCAGAATATATAAACTTCCAAAACCAGGGCAGTCCGCTTTTAAAAAATTCTTGAGTAGTTGATACTTAAGACGAACACCCACAAAACCACCACCCGACTTAACAAATAGAAAGTATGACCAGTACCCTCAGCTTCTCAACACATTTGATTCTACTGAAGCATTTTGTTGATTCTTTTTAAAAAGATCACTAGTCATATGTATTTTATATTCACATATACTTCATACACACATATATAATATTTTAAACATATAATTCGATGAAATCAAAGAGCCTTTATAAATCTATAAGCACAAGGAAGACCGGGGGCGGGGGATGTGATTAAAATAAAGTGAGTGTGCCTGGCTCCCTGCAAGAAGTTGGTGTTATATTTGGCTCAGCTGGCGTCTGGGAGTTGGGCTGGAGAGGCTGGGATCTTGGCTAATCCCTCTCAAGGTCTGGTGAAGTGGAGAAGAGGCTGGGAGGAAGTGAATCTAATGTTGAGCATAATGGAGAGATAAAGGAGCCGTGTAATCAGATAAGGGCTGGCTGTAGGAAGTATTTATGGGGGAGGTAAAAGTCCCAGTCTCCATCCCTGAAAGAAATGGGGAGGGGCAGGAGCAGAGGGCCAGTTCACAGATGGCGGACAGCATTATTTTCTTCTACAGGTATGCCTGCAGTGGACGACTAAACCTGGTCTTTATAAACCTGACTTCTCTTGACAATTGCTGGAGGTCCATGTCAAATTTCCTCCTACTGTCAAGAGCCTGACAGCTTCCCTGCCCCTCCACTCTCTGATAGCTGGAAAGGGCAGGCAGTCGAAACCCACTCCTCAGTGGCCAGGGAAGCTGGTGTTTCAAGGACCTGTTTTTGTCACTGAGGTAGCCTTTCAGCAAAAATGATGATGGTTACAACTTACCAAACTTCTGGATCTGACACGACCTGTAACACTACTTTCAGCCAGCAGGGTAGATCCCCTATTCATTTTGCAAAGGAGGAAACTGAAGCTTAAAAAGAGGTTTCTTCAGCTCCTGAGAGGGCTGGGGACTTCAGGGCCGCCTGGCCCTAGAGCACACATTCTTTGTGAGACCCAGTGCTGCCTCGCCGTCATCTCCTACACTTCCTTGGTTTATGTCTGTAACGTGGCCCAGACGGGGCCTGCTTTGAAACTGGAGAACACTTAGAACATAAAGGCTGAGGTCTAAAACTTTCCTGTGGAGATGCTAATCCAGTTTTGAAAGATTTTTTTCTCTGCCTTCCTATCCTGACTTACAATGTCACCTGCCTCTTTTGCATATTGCGTGATCCCGGGACAGGAAGCCCTGTTTTTACAAAAAGTCCACATGTTGGGAACACAAGGCTTTTTCCTTAAAGAAGCCACATTTAAATGGGAGATCCTCAGTCCAGCCAGTTTTGCTCATAACACAACTAAAGAATATGGTATTGAGGGCTGGTCGTCCAACACCATTTGTAATAACATTGTTGGGGCTGTTCAGCTCAAGTTCAGACACTCGGGCTCCATTCAGTTGGGGTTTGGACCCTTGGCTGGAGCTTCACTAGATCCACACCATTACAGCAGTTGTTAATTTCAGAAGCATTCTTTTAAAATGTTGTTATTTTTGACAAAGATAGCATGTTTTGACATTTTTTTCTAAGGCATACCAGCAGCAGTTTCCTTGTGCAAATTTTTAAAACTAATCTGCCCTTGCCCTTCCTGCCCCATCCCCCCACCACTAACAAACCCTGCATCTGTTTTAAACAGATGTTGTTTAATTCTTTCCAGAAAGAGGGGGAGGGAAGGTGGGAAGAGAGTTTTCCTCCTTTATACCTTTTTGGTAGTGGAGTTCATTGTCATTTCTGTGCTGGGTGGGGTGAAGTGCCTGAGTAACGTAAATACACCATGGATAGGAAGCAGTTGGCACGCAGCCATGCAGCTGGATTATCCAGACATCCTTTGCAGCTTTTAGTCCAGCACTTTATCCCCCTGCCTTGTTTTAAATAGCCAGATGCCTCAGTTAATGCTGGCTGTCGGGGCTGTTGCCGGAGGAGACAAAGGGGGCTTCTGCCCCTGAGCCTCCCCTTCCCCCAATCCCATCACAGAGAAGTCTATACCCTGGAGAAGGCACTTGATAGGAGGCATCGAGGCAGGAAGGAGGAGGCCTCAGAGTGCAAGCAAAGGCCAGAGTTAACAGCCTTGTAGTCTGGACACAGAAGGGTATGGTATTTTTAAATTCTCTAACAAATGGGTACTTTTTGGAAATAAGTTTATGGCACTAACATAAGTAATGCAAACTTCTCTTTTTCATGTTTACTTAATCCCCTCAAAGAAACAGAACAGCACATAACTGCAACACAAAAAAAGTGAAAGCATGTTTTAACAAGAGGTGCACAGAGTTTCAATTCTTCACCTTAGCCATCTCCTGTTGAGATGAACCCATAGTATACTTATAGAAGATTTGAGAAAGCTGTGTTGCACACTAGAGAATTAAAAGTCGTAGGACCCTTAGGTTTTTTTGTTTGTTTGTTTGTTTTTAAATAAATGGGGTTGGAGTGGGGGAAAGGATATTCTCCAAAGTTGTATGCAGTTAATCTAAATAAATGTTACAGAAGATTCTTTTTTTTTTTTTTTTTTTTTTGAGACAGAGTCTTGCTGTGTCGCCAGGCTGATCTCTGCTCACTGCATTCTCTGCTCACTGCAACCTCCACCTCCTGGGTTCAAGCAATTCTCCTGCCTCAGCCTCCTGAGTAGCTGGGATTACAGGCGAAAGCACCGCCACGCCCAGCTAATTTTTGTACTTTTAGTAGAGACGGGGTTTCACCATGTTGGCCAGAATGGCCTTAATTTCTTGACCTCATGATCCGGCCGCCTCAGCCTCCCGAAGTGCTGGGATTACAGGCGTGAGCCACTGCGCCCAGCCCAGAAGGTTCTTAATCTAAGGGAATATGCATGTTGAATCCTGAAATAGTTGGATTAGTCATATATGTACATGTATGTCCTATGACTTTTATATGTACTTCTACATGATTTTTCAATTTTTAGGAATAGAAAGTACTGTGATCCCAATTTAGTAATTGTGGTTCATAAGTAAATAAGTATTGAACACTATATGTTTTTATAGGAATTCTGTTAGCCATAGATTTTTTTTTTTTTTAGACGGAGTTTTGCTCTTGTTGCCCAGGGTGGAGTGCAGTGGCGCGATCTCAGCTCTGCCTCTGGGGTTCAAGCTATTCTCCTGCCTCATCCTCCCGAGTAACTGGGATTACAGGCGCCCACCATCAAGCCCAGCTAATTTTTTGTACTTTTAATGGAGACGGGGTTTCACCATGTTGGCCAGGCTGGTCTTGAACTCCTGACCTCAGGTTATCCGCCCACTTCAGCCTCCCAAAGTGCTGGGATTACAGGCATGAGCCACCGCTTCCAGCCTGCTATAGATAATTTTTTTTAAACCTGTTTATATTGTGAATTTAACCCCATTCATTCCGCAACCTGTTACATATAAGACACCATTCTAGGCTCTAGGGATATAGCAGTGAACAAAAAAGGCAAAGTTTCTGCTCCTGTGGAATTCATATTCTGGTAGGCAAGCAGATATTTTATTGAGCAAGCATTGATTTAGTAGCATATAGAAAGCCAAAGCAGAGGGGAGAAGATTTAAGAGGGGTGGAGGGTGCTATGCTGCTTTATATAGAGTGGGCAGGGAAGTCCTCTCTGAAATAACCTTGGACAGAGACTTAAGTGAAATAAGAGAATGAACTCAGTTGGTATGTGAGGAGTAGGATTTGAACAGAAGAAACAGCAAGTGCAAAGGCCCTGAGGTAGAAGGATGCTTAATATGGAGGCCAGTGGGACCAAAGTGGAATGAGCAAGGAGAGTAATAGGGTAAGGTCCAGATTTTGACTTCTGCTTGGCGATACCACTGGAGGGTTTGTTTCAGTAGAATGATCTGACTTACCTTTCTATTTTCTGGGTTAAGTTGGGCAAACGTGGAAGCAAGGATGCCAGTTAGAAGGCTACTGCAGCAATCTCAATGGAAGGTGATGGCAGCTGGATCAGGTCAGTGTCAGTAGAAGTGGAAAAAGTGGATCCTGGATATATTTTGAAGAGAGAACTAGAAGGATGAGGAGGTGTCAGGAACCAAGAGAGTTCAACCTGAAACATGTTGATTGTGATACGTATTCGATGCCTATGTAGAGACCTCACATAGGCCCTTGGTTCTACTGGCCTGAATCTCACAGAAGAGACCTGGATGGAAATGTGAATTTGGGCACTGTTGGTATGTAGAAGGTTTTTAAGTGGAGGAAGTTGGCCCTAGCTTGAATCATGGATGGCTTAACCACAGTTACAGGAGGAAGGGCGGAGAGAGTGCTGGTACAAAGCGTAGGCATGGTGGTGGGCACAGGCGAAAGGTCTCCTGTGATTTTGTCTATTTTCTCAGTGAAACTAAAGCAACTTCATCCATCATCTGAGAGTGAGGGGGTAGGAGGCCATGTGAAGTTGTCTTTGGGGGACAGATCAGGGAAATGTAGCAGGATGCCAGGTGGCACTTAAGGATTCACTTGAGAGTAGTGTTTATGGCTTTAAAACTAGTCCTATGAGCATAGTAGAGTGGGGTTTTTCCCTCTCACTATGTTCAGCAGCCTGGGTGGGGTTACAGAGTAGGTAGATGGTAGGATTTAACTCCACTGGGGTCATGCCAGGCAATGGCAACAAGCAAGGGGAGGAGTAGAGAATCAGTTGAGGACATGGGGTTTGGGGGAGGGCAAAAGTGGTCAGAACAATAGATTGTTGGCCCCAACAGGGTAAAGAATTATTGGAGTCTGGAGGGAGAGAGCTGCAAACTTACGAGGTGGTCGGAGAGCAGGATGCTTACAATTGAGTTATGGAGGTGGTGCAGATATTGGTAATGACGAGATTCACGGTTGACCTGGGCATGAATGGCTAAAGTTGGTTGTAAGACAAGGGCATTGGAAGGAAACAGGCCCAGACACTGAGAGGCCAGGGAATTGGAGGAATCCTCCATGTCAATAATGAAATTATCAAGAATCGGGCCAGGGATCATGGTGGAGAGATGGAGAGTCAGTGAGCCTGGTTGCTGAAGTCTTCAAGGAATGAAGGGAAGTGAGGTCTGTAGAAGACTGAAGAAGGGTTGTGAGAGGGGTCAGGGTGTGAGCTTCAGAAGCACTGGAGGGAGGCTGAATAGTCTGCAGCAGTGGCAAGCACCATACCCACATCTAGGCCCAGCAGGGTGCAGTGGGGAGATAGAAAGCAGCCCTGGGAGAATGGGCCACAGAGGCCCAGCCAAGAGTGCATTTTAATTTAGGTTAGGAAAGGGAAAGGAACTTATATGAGGTACCTAGAGTATCAGATTCATAGAGACAAGACAGTAGAATGGTGGGTGCCAGGGGCTGAGGGGTCGAGGAAGTGGAGAAGGGGGAGTTAGTGTTTTTCATAGGTACAGAGTTTCAGTTTGGAATGACGAAAAGTTCTAGAGGTAGAAAGGGGTGATGGTTGCCCAACAGTGTGGGTGTAATTAATGCCACTGAACTTGTATACTTAAAAATGGTTAAAGCGGGAAATTTTATGCCATTCATATTTTACCGCAATGAAAAAAAAAATGAAAGGAATGATCAGAGAAGGGGATGAGGAAGTAAAGGGAATGGTAGATCTTGGGTTGGGGGGGCCAAGGGAGATCAGTTGGGTGGCAGTGGAGGGTGAGCCATAGGGGGTCATAGAAAATCTGGTGGCTTTGCCTTTAGCGGTGAGTGAGGTGAGCAGGGCTGTGGGGCACAGGGACTGCCTCCACGTCTCTGGCCAATTGTGGGGACCAGGTTCTGAGTGCCCAGGGTGAGGGCGTCTTCCCTGAGGCCCAGGGAATAATGGGGGTTCTTTGTTACTCTGCAACTTTGTTTCCTGAGAATCTGTTATAACGCCTGGCATATACAACACGCAAATATATGTTTGAATGAGTAAAAATGAATTCTATCCAAAGAAAGAAAACAGCAAGTGAGAATGTAATGGCCTTGCCAAAAATCCAAATAAATTTCCCCCAAAAGTGATGAAGAATGAAAAGAAGCTAGAATTGGTCTCTGGGGGAGAAAAAGGATTTTTGGCAAATGTGCAGAAGAACTTATTGTGAAATTGAGGTTTTAGACTGGAAGAAATAAAATCATAAACAGAAGTCTACAAATATGTAAAGGGTTATTGGAATTGAAATATTTTCCTACCTAGATACGTGATTTCATGGTGAATTTATGATTTGCAAGTAGATTATCCTATTTTATGCTAAATGAGATTCTTGGCTTTATAAAATGTTAAAACTTGGTCATTCATTTTCAACTCATTTTAAAGGGTTGAAACCATAATACCGTCTTAATAGGTTTGTAGTCTGGGCGTGGTGGCTCCCGCCTGTAATCCCAGTGCTTTGGGATGCCAACATGGGTAAATCACCTGATGTCAGGAGTTCCAGACCAGCGTGCCAACATGGTGAAACCCCATCTCTACTAAAAATACAAAAAACTAGCCAGGCATGGTGGCAGGTGCCTATAATCCCAGCTACTTGGGAGGCTGAATCAGAATCGCTTGAACCCGGGAGGCGGAGGTTGCAGTGAGCCGACATCGCGCCATTACACTCCAGCCTGGGCAACAAGAGCGAAACTCCGTCTCAAAAAAAAAAAAAAAAAAAAACAACAACTAAAAACCAAAATAGGTGTGTGTCTTTCCAACCTAAAGATACTGAATTACAGAAATCAATTCATTTATCAGTACTTACACCTAGAAACTGGAGAATATTGTGCCTGTATACATCTTTCGATCACAAGTAATTTTTAATTACTTATCTTTTTTAAAATGTACTTTTATATTGAGTTTAAGTGTTTTGTTTTTTCCCTAAAAGTTGAGATGGACCACTTTTTAAGGTTGCCGCCAAGCATAGATTTCTTTCGATAAAACAAAAAAAGTGCTGGCTGGTGGTCATCTTGCATTTTGAAACGTGTTCTGCAACTACCAGACCATTGTCATGCCCTGTGCTTCTTCTTCTTGTCGTTTTAGTGACAGCTATATTGTGCGTGTCAAGGCTGTGGTTATGACCAGAGATGACTCCAGCGGGGGATGGTTCCCACAGGAAGGAGGCGGGATCAGTCGCGTCGGGGTCTGTAAGGTCATGCACCCCGAAGGCAATGGACGAAGCGGCTTTCTCATCCATGGTGAACGACAGAAAGACAAACTGGTAATGGCAGACATACAACTCGTGGGTTAAATTAGTAACAACTGCTTTCTTTACGTTAAATCATAGTCCTCTTTCCTTAACGTATTTTTTTCTTTCTTTCTCTGACTTCAAACTCTTGCAAAAGCTTCAAAAGTTAGAACCCCGGAGCTGGTGCCAAATTGTAAAACGTGACTGTCCTTTCCAGCAAAGTCTCTTTTGACCACACGCTTTATCCGAGATGCTTAGAAGTATATTTGGCTGTTTTATTTGCATCTTTGATTAAGATGTCTATCATTGTAAAAAGGTATTCAAAACAAAAGTGTACTCTTTTATTATTATGAATCACATTGTACTGAGCTGTGAAGTCAGTGTTTTAAAAATGTAGAGTTTATTCATGGAGCATGCCATTGAGGTTTGGATGGTGGCAGGTAAAACAGAAAGGCAAGATGTCATCTGACATTAGGCTACTTATAAATAAATGTTTATCTAGCTTTTATTTCATGCCCTAATGAATAAAACATGCTTGGAAAAAGAAAGTAACAAGAAGTAGTGGTATCATACTTTGTGGGTTTTTTTGGGTTTTTTTTTTTTTTTTTTTTTTTTGAGACGGAGTCTCGCTCTGTCACCTAGGCTGGAGTGCAGTGGCATGATATTGGCTCCCTGCAACCTCCACCTCCCAGGTTCAAGCAATTCTCCTGCTGAGTAGCTGGGACTACAGGTGCGCGCCACTACACCCAGCTAGTTTTTGTATCTTTAGTAGAGACAGAGTTTCACCATATTGGCTAGGTTGGTCTCGAACTCCTGACCTCAGGTGATCCACCCACCTCGGCCTCCCAAAATGCTGGGATTACAGGCATGAGCCACCGTGCCTGGCCCATACTTCTATAAATTATTATCCATGCTTATAGATAAATACTTTGGAAAGTAATCATCACCTCCCAAGGGTGGGGGATTGACACTTCATAATATATGGTCTTATGGAGGAACTCAAATGTTCAGTTCTATGTTATGAAGGAATCTATGATAGGAAGGAAAATTGAATGTCCAAAATCTGTTTTAAATTCATGGCCCTAAACATGGAAGAACACTACTTCTATCTGTATTTGATCATGGAGTGTATACTCAGAAGCCAACAGATGATTCAGAATGTGCAGGATTGTGCAGGATCCCACAGAGAAAATGCAAAGACACCACAAGAATATGTCAGTGTTACATCTGAGACCCTTTACAGCAGCATCTGTTGGGTTTTATGTGTTAAGTGTACAAATTTAACCTTCTTTTGCAAGCACTTCTTATAGTTTAAAAAAATTTAGAAAATAGATAAGACAGAACAATTTGTAAATGTTACATGTGGGTTAACAGAAATGTTATTTTCACATTTGATTTCATTTCTGAAAATTTAAAGGGAGAAGACAGCTAATTTTAAGAAGTATTTGTTCAGGAAATACCCTATATAATAGTCAAATAATGAAAACATTCTTGTTTATAATATTTTTGCAATAAAAAGCAATGTAACTATATTACCAATAAAAAGTAAAATGACTACCATTTATCTAGCATTTACCATGTACTAAGTATAATCCAGCCCTTCGGTTAGATCTCTCATTGTATCCTTACAGCAGCCTGTATAATTGTAATTGAAGAAATTATGATTCAGAAAGATTCCTTGTTCTTAGTGGCCTGTTTTGGGGGCCTGGAACCAGTATTTGATTCTCTTGTCACTCTGACCCCAAAACTGAACAACCACCCTTAGCCCTTTGATGTAATTTTCCCACTTTGTACTTTTTTTTAAAAAGGCAGGATCTCACTTTGTTGCCCAGGCTGGCCTCCAACTCCTGGGCTTCAAATGGTCCTCCCACCTCATCCTCCAGAGTAGCTGGGACTACAGACACATGCCACTGTGCCCAGCCATATTTTTAAACAGTTGTGTATCTTATTTATTTTGCCTTAAACATTCTCTTTCAAGACTATCATGAAACAACATTGCCCTAACATTCTCATATGAAATTTTCCATGTTGCTGATATCAGTTTGATGTTTCATTATTTGACCACCTCCTTAGTGTCAAATATTAAGGTTCTTCCCCTCACCTCAGTGTTAGGAATACACCTATGTGAATTTTCCACGTTTATTATAGTTTTGGAATAATTTAGGAGGTCATATTTTTATGACTTTTGATACATGTGCAAGGAGCTGCTACCAGTATTAGAATTTCCTTTAACACATTGAGGGATATAAAATATACATACATATATAATATACGTATACAAAATATTCATACATATATAATATATATACAAAATATACATACATATAATATACGTATACAAAATATACATACATATATACATATACAAAATATACATACATATAATATACGTATACAAAATATACATACATAATATACGTATACAAAATATACATACATAATATACGTATACAAAATATACATACATAATATACGTATACAAAATATACATACATAATATACGTATACAAAATATACATACATAATATACGTATACAAAATATACATACATAATATACGTATATAAAATATACATACATAATATATGTATATAAAATATACATATAAAATCTTATTGCTTGCTAATTAATAAAATGTTTTTCTGTTTGTTAAACAGTTATAACTGTGAATTAATTATCTGTTGATGTCCTTTGTATATTTACTTATCAGGGCCTTATTTTTCTCCTTCATGTGTATGCCCTCTTGCATAATAAAGATATGAATCTCCATCTGTCATATTTGCTGCAAGTATATTTTTATAATCTGTTGCTTGCCCTTTTAGTTCTTATTTTTATATATATAGAAATTTTTTTCCACTTCTTTGGTCTTTTTGTTTTTAGGGTTATTCTGTGTTTTACCAGATTATCTTGTCTGAAGGCTTATGTTTTTAGAGCTACTTTTTCCTGGTATTTCTATGGTTTGTCATAGAATACTTCAACCTAAAGTGGCCCTTTAGCTTATCTAATCTAGTCACTGGTAAGACATTACTAGTGCATAGTAAACTTTTACCATTTGTTCCAGGTCCTTTAAGTAAATAACCTCAGTTAAATTCCTGCAACATTTTGAAGGAGGAAGATACTACTATTTCCACATTGTAGTGGGGAAACTCAATGCTCTAAGAAGTGAGCCACGTCCTTGGCATGGGGTGGGCAGTGTCACCAGCAGAGCCTGCGTTTGAGCTCATTTCTTTGCAAAATCAAAGCCTGTCCCTTCACACTAACTTGGCATAATATTAGGGCAGTCCAGTCCTCTGTCCGCCCCCGCTGAGTCGTGGACCAACTGCTGTTGTTTGTTGCTAGTGTACACAGATTGCACTATCCTAAAAGTGTGCCTCATCCCCTCCCCCATCATGTTTCTCCATTTCCCCACCCCTTTTCCTGTCCCCTTTACATTCCTTGACTCCACACTTGTGGGCTTTTATATTCACTAGTACCTAAGTCACACACCCATATGTCCTGCTGTACTTCTCTGTCTCTCCATCCCTCACCTTGCCTGTTTCACACTCCAGGAAATTCTGGATTTCTGTACTGAGTGGTACTTAACCCCTCCCCTCACACCCATACCCAGCACACTCATGCACATGCACACACACACACACACACACACACGCCCGTACCCAGTCTCCCTTCCTCTCTCTCTCTCACTGCCCTCCCCCCCACCACCCCGCCCCTTTCTCTCTCCTTAGAGATATGATAACTCTTCCTTTGGCCTCTCAAGCTTCTCTAATGCAATGCTAGTGCCCACTGGAGACCATGCGCCCACATGGGAGCTCTGCAAATGTGGTGAGTTATTGAGGAACCCCCCTCTAAAAGGTGGAATGGCAAAGAAAAGATGAAGATTATTTTTAGGATATATTGGATGGATTGTATCAGAGTTCCCAGTATTCCAACTAGGGCATGAAGTGCTCTTTCAGATAGAAACAGTGTTGTCAGTTTTTACAATGTAGTGCACATCTAGAATTCAGCACATTGTGGGAGTTTGTTTCGTTACATATTGAGGGCTGTTAACTACCATTGTTTCTGTGGGAAAAGTCTCTGTTCCAGACAACCATTCACGAGTAGTCAGGTAATTTTTTGGTAAGCTGGGGACAGTCAAGCCTGAGAAATTATATTTAAATTAAAATTTTCTGAGTTGAATCTCATTTTTAGATGGATTAGAGGAGTTTACTCCTGAAACAAATCTTATGAGAAACCTCTTTATGGAGACTAATCACAAAATCTAAGAGTTTGATCATTCCAGTCATTGCCCATGTGTAGGTCAGCGAGCATTCTCACATAACATTTGGTGGGAATTTGAGCTGGCAAAGCTCTTTGAAAAGCAATTTGGCAGGATTTTAATTTTAAATGTGCATATCTTTTTACCTAGCAGTTCACATCTAGAACACTATCCTTTAGAAAAAGACTTAAACACACAGAGATTTATGGACAGTAACAGTTCTTAAACTTTTTTGGTCTCAGGATCCCTTTACACTCCAAAATTTTATTCAGGACCTCAGAGAGCTTTTGGTTTGGTGAGTTACAGCTATTTATAACTTGCCATATTAGAAATTAAAATGGAAAAAATTTAAAACTTTTAATTAAACAGTATTGTTAATATAAATGACATTTTATGGCAAATAACTGTATAACTTTTCCAGAACAAAAGTAATTATGAGAAGAGTGGCATGGCTTTATGTTTTTGAAGATCTCATTAATATCTGGCTTACCAGAAAATAGCTGGATTCTGGTATCTGCTCCTGCTTTTAATCTGTAATATATTATTTTGGTTGAAGTATATAAAGAAAATACAGCTACTCACAGAGAAGGGGAGTTAGTAAGGGGAGAAATATTTTAATAGCCTTTTCAGACAATTGTAGATATTCTTCTTTGATACTACACTAAAACTCAACCATGTGGAATCTGAAATCTATCAATGGACCTTTCATACTCTGTTACATTACCACCCACTGGTTTATCTTTCACTTTCTTTTTTTTTTTTTTAGGATTTTTTTTTAATTTTATTTTATTTTTTATTGATCATTCTTGGGTGTTTCTCACAGAGGGGGATTTGGCAGGGTCATAGGACACTAGTGGAGGGAAGGTCAGCAGACAAACAAGTGAACAAAGGTCTCTGGTTTTCCTAGGCAGAGTGTTTGTGTCCCTGGGTACTTGAGATTAGGGAGTGGTGATGACTCTTAACGAGCATGCTGCCTTCAAGCATCTGTTTAACAAAGCACATCTTGCACCGCCCTTAATCCATTTAACCCTGAGTGGACACAGCACATGTTTCAGAGAGCACAGGGTTGGGGGTAAGGTCATAGATCAACAGGATCCCAAGGCAGAAGAATTTTTCTTGGTACAAAACAAAATGAAAAGTCGCCCATGTCTACTTCTTTCTACACAGACACGGCAACCATCCGATTTCTCAATCCTTTCCCCACCCTGCCCCCCCTTCCATTCCAGAAAACCGCCATCGTCATCATGGCCCATTCTCAATGAGCTGTTGGGCACACCTCCCAGACGGGGTGGTGGCTGGGCAGAGGGGCTCCCCACCTCCCAGTAGGGGCGGCCGGGCAGAGGCGCCCCTCAGCTCCTGGACCGGGCGGCTGGCCGGGAGGGGGCGCTGACCCCCCGCCCAACCTCCCTCCCGGACGGAGCGGCTGGCCCGGCGGGGGGCTGAGCCCCCCACCTCCCTCCCGGACGGGGCGGCTGGCCGGCCAGAGGGGCTCCTCACTTCCCAGTAGGGGCCGCCGGGCAGAGGCGCCCCTCACCTCCCGGACGGGGCGGCGGGGCAGAGGCGCTCCCCACATCTCAGACGATGGGCTGCCGGGCAGAGACGCTCCTCACTTCCTAGATGGGATGGCGGCCGGGAGGAGGCGCTCCTCACTTCCCAGGTGGGATGGCGGCCGGGCAGAGACGCTCCTCACTTTCCAGACTGGGCAGCCAGGCAGAGGGGCTCCTCACATCCCAGACGATGGGCAGCCAGGCAGAGACGCTCCTCACTTCCCAGACGGGGTGGCGGCCGGGCAGAGGCTGCAATCTCCGCACTTTGGGGGGCCAAGGCAGGCGGCTGGGAGGTGGAGGCCGTAGCGAGCCGAGATCACGCCACTGCACTCCAGCCTGGGCACCATTGAGCACTGAGTGAATGAGACTCCGTCTGCAATCCCGGCACCTCGGGAGGCCGAGGCTGGCGGATCACTCGCGGCTAGGAGCTGGAGACCAGTCCGGCCAACACAGCGAAACCCCGTCCCCACCAAAAAAACACAAAAACCAGTCAGGCGTGGCGGCGCGCGCCTGCAATCGCAGGCACTCGGCAGGCTGAGGCAGGAGAATCAGGCAGGGAGGCTGCAGCGAGCCGAGATGGCAGCAGTACAGTCCAGCTTTGGCCCGGCATGAGAGGGAGACCGTGGAAAGGAGAGGGAGAGGGAGACGGGAGAGGGAGAGGGAGACGGGAGAGGGAGAGGGAGACGGGAGAGGGAGAGGGAGACGGGAGAGGGAGACGGGAGAGGGAGAGGGAGACGGGAGAGGGAGAGGGAGACGGGAGAGGGAGAGGGAGACGGGAGACGGGAGAGGGAGACGGGAGAGGGAGAGGGACTCTTTCACTTTCAATAGATCTCTTACTCATCCCTGATTTTGTAACATCATGCACTGGTCACCTGAAAAATAGTGCTCCACTGAGTTAAGCAGATCTTCCAAATGTTGATACATTTTATTCTATAATATCAAAAAACTACATTTCTTAGTATTGCCACTAACTCATTAATATAAAAAAACTACATTTCTTAATATCGCCACTGACTCATTAATATCAAAAAAACTACATTTTTTAATATTGCCACTGACTCATTAGAAAAGTCTTTAAGTACCAGGAAGCTGTCTAGAATTCTAATTTATACTTCAAATATAGATAAGGATGTAAATTGCAGCATTGCCTTCAAGGTGACCAATTCTTACTGACATAAATGTCCGTTAGTATGGAGAATGGTTGAATAAATCTAATACATCCATACAGATGAATTAAACAATTATTTTACCTTCCTGTATCTCTATGACATATTTTTAAGGAAAATAAAAAGCAAGTTAAAAACAACTTATAGGTGTGGCTACATTTAAACACAGTTGCCCTTACACAGAAACTTACCTGTGTATATGTAAAGAAGCCACAAAATGGAAACTGGGATTGTGCCCGCTCTACTGACAGTGGGGAACTCGACAGAGAGGGATGTTGACGGTGGAGGGGAGAGATGAGTAGGAATGGAGTCCTCATGTCTTCAGCTAATACTTAAATCTCCCACAACATGTATTTCTTGTGTAGTTTTTTTTTTCAAGTCTCGAACAAGAACATAATCACTTTTTTTCTCCGTATGCATCTTATTTAAACGGGTATTTTTTAAAGCCTTTCTCAAGTTTTAAGTTAGTGTCTAATTGTGTGCGTGCCAAAACTTCACCAGAGAGTTTATATCTGTTGGGAAGATTAAAGCATCTAAAACCTTTTCATTTTTGTCTTTAAACTTAGATACATATGATACTATTTTGCTTTAGAGGACATAAAGAGATGGTATCTGATTTCCCCCCTCACTTAATTTAGGTGGCTGAACTTATTTTACTCAAACTTTATTTTTTTTTTGAGACAGAGTCTTGCTCTTTCGCCCAGGCTGGACTGCAGTGGCACGATCTCGGCCCACTGCAAGCTCCGCCTCCCGGGTTCACGCTATTCTCCTGCCTCAGCCTCCCTAGTAGCTGGGACTACAGGTGCCCGCCACCATGCCCGGCTAATTTTTTGTATTTTTAGTAGAGATGAGGTTTCACCGTGTTAGCCACGATGGTCTCGATCTCCTGACCTCATGATCCGCCCGCCTCGGCCTCCCAAAGGGCTGGTATTACAGGCGTGAGCCACCGCGCCCGGCCATTTTACTTAAACTTTTCTAAGAAAATGTACCTTTGGAATAATTTCAAAGTTGGAAAATATCAACCAAAGACTAATTTTTTCACCCCCAAAATATGGAGAAACTAGGAGTCTTTGTTTTTAGAATACAAAAAGTTTATTTTGAGACTTTGAATTGAGACTATTAAATTCTAAAATAGATAACATTTGTTAAATTCTTGATTATTTGGATTTCCCCAATGTGGAATGGGGCTGGGCTGACATTTAATCATTGTGCTATTCTTAGGGGGAAATGGCTATAATAAGCAATTTAATCATAAATAGAATTATGGGAGGGAACTGTTGTCCGATCTCAATACAATGTAATAAAGTTAACTGCTTGGGACTACTATTTGATATACCAATTTGAATATTATTCTCATTTTTTTATTAAGTTAGGGAACATTCATTAGACAACCCTTAATTTATTTCTCGTTTGTTTTTTCCTTTTGTTGAGACAGAGTCTCACTCTGTCACCTGGGCTGGAGTGTAGTGGTGCACCTTCTCAGCTCACTGCAGCCTCAGCCTCCCAGGCTCAAGCGTTCCTCCCACCTCAATCTCCTGAGTAGCTGGGACTACAGATGTGTGCCACCACACCCAGCTAATTTTTGTATTTTAGTTAGAGACAGGGTCCTGCCATGTTGCCCAGGCTGGTCTCAAACTCCTGGGCTCAAGTGATCCTCTTGCCTCAGCCCCCAAAAGTGCTGGGATTACAGGCATGAGCCACTGTACTGGCCTCCTTCTTTTTGCTTTGATCTATTCTTAGAATTTATACTTATTTAAAGATATTCTCTAATTTATCTGTATACTAATTTAGGCAGGTCTTTACTCTTGTCCTTCATTTAGTCTAAATTAATAAGATCACATTGCGGTAAATGCAGATCTTTGCCAGAACAAGATTGGGCTATTAAAACTTAGCAAAATCATTATGGTGTTTGTAATGAAGCCATAGGAATAAATATTGTAAGTAGTCTGAGTTTTTTAATGAATAAAGAATGAAGTTTACGTTCAAATTATTGCAATGTTTCTTTTCTATAATATTAAATAAATTCTAGTATCTCTATCAACTGTGCTAGACGGGGTTATTTTATAATCTTGACTTTTTGTAGTCTAGTTAGGGGAACAAGACTAATACACATGAAACTGTTAAAGAATAGTTTGAAATCAGGTACTAAATTGTGAAGATGACAAGAAGGAGAATTGGAGTACATATAAAACTTGACAGGGAAGATATACTGGACAATGAATGTGAATTAGGTTTCTCATTTATTCAGTGTTTTCAGAGCATGTTCTTGTTCTCATTGATAACATTGGTGTTCTTTCCATCTTAGAGATAAAAAGATCAATCTACTCATTACAACTCAGTAAAAGCCAGTTCTGAGATTAAATTGCTAGAAACTTGAATATTGTTCTATTAATCCAAACATAAAGTTAATAGAGACCCAGATCAGGGTGGCAGCAACTGAAATGGGGTTGATATAAAAGCTGTTGAAGGAAAAATGAAATGGACCTGGTGATTAATAATACAGGAGATAGGCAGAGGAGGCAAAGATGACCACAGAGATGATGAGCCAGAGAAAAAGAGTGGAGAGGGATTGGTATTGCCAGAAGTTGGGAGAGGAGAAATTTTAGAGTAAAGTTAATTTTTCAACTTTTGGAATTTGGAGCCTCGGGGGAGGGAAGCTAGATGACCATCAATATAAAAACCCCAACATAAAAGCAGTAATCTGAAATACAGCCAAGACCCAAGACCTGAGCATCAACTTAGTGCCCTGCAGCCAGGAGGAAGAGGAATAACCGTGATGAAGAGAGTGTAGTGAAGGGGTACAACCAGGACAGTGGGGAGCAGCGAAGATCGGATGGTCAGCAGCCAAGCAAAGCCTCCTTTCCCATTGGAGAGACTCACAGATATGTGAAGGCAGGGGTTAGAGGGGTTTTGGTAGTTGCCACCAGTGATGGTTCCTAATTAGACTTCTGTAACCAGACATCATCATGGCTGTTCCACTAGTAACCAGCCTGTGTGTTTCCATCCTTCAGGTGGTATTGGAATGCTATGTAAGAAAGGACTTGGTCTACACCAAAGCCAATCCAACGTTTCATCACTGGAAGGTCGATAATAGGAAGTTTGGACTTACTTTCCAAAGCCCTGCTGATGCCCGAGCCTTTGACAGGGGAGTAAGGAAAGCAATCGAAGACCTTATAGAAGGTATTGAACTTGTCGCTGCATTCTTAGTGGGACTATGGAAATGTTCCAAATTATTTTTAATTCCAATAGTCTGCCATCATTTATTTGTGGTTTATTTGCGGGAGGGTTTGGGACCAGGTCAGTAGATGCCAAAACTTTTGGAATTTCCAAGGAGAGTAATTAAAGTGACAATTCAGGGAAAAGGAGATGGGTTTCAGAGTAAGGAGTAATCCCAATTGATTTTTAGACTCTGCTGTGAAAAAACAGGCAGGTTCTGGATTTCCATGTGCATGTATTTTTGACTGCTTTCACCTTGTCCTGACTATTGAAATGGCTTTGGTCTGGTCTGTCTTGGCTCAGAAGTAGAGAATGGATTCTGGCGGGCCCAGAAGGCTCCTGGCCTACCCACTGTCCTCCTGTAATCAGAGGCCCAGGGTGTACAGCTGCCACTGAAAAGGAAAGGGATCTGTGACCTCTGGAGCCCTGGTTCGGTTTAGGCCTTGGTCTATGGGTAAGTGAGTAGTAGGCATTGTGTTACATCTGATCGTGGCCTGGAGGGCCCTTGGGCAGTCAGTTCTCATGGTGGGCTTGACTAGAGTCCACAGATGCAAACACAAAAATTCTCCACTGCAGCACATCCAGGTATCAAATCAGAGGGTTAAAGAAGCCATAGACAGGGCCCTGTGAAGAAAGAAATATCAAGCAAGGCATGTTAATACCAAATTCAGATCTTGGGGAAATTAATCACAAAAGGATGTATGTTTCATTTGCTTAAGAAATAAAAGTGTTCTGAAGTCATTTTCTTCATTGTGGATTTGGGGGAAGAGGAAAAAAAGCAAGTCTTAAAAGACAAATTACTTAACATTATAATCAGTAGTAAGACAAGACTAGCTAGAACATGAATCCATAAACAAGTATGAGATAGCCAAAAAGAGATAATAAAAACCAGTGTTCAAATCATAGTTCTGACATAAGTGGCAAATATTTAAAATGTTATTAAACACAGCTTTTTCATGTTTAGAGAAAAAACAGCTCCTATATTATTGATAGACGTTCGCATTGTGTCCATGTACTTAATTGCACAACATTTCATTCTCCTACTTGTAATTTTTTTCTCTATATACATACTATCTAGCTTTTTTTTCCACCAGTTTTCCTAGAACATTGGTTGATTGGAGTAATTCAGAGTAGAGACAGCTCCCGAAAGACCAGTAGGAGTTGCACAGAACATACTATGGGACTGTTGTTTTTTCTCCTGCAGTCTCTCGTTGGAAATTTAAGTATTTCTCATCCTTTCTGAGCAATTGTTTTCATTTCAATTTCATGTAATAGCAAAATATTTTCTTTTTCTTTTTTTTTTTTTTTTGAGATGGAGTCTCCAGCCCAGGCTGGAGTGCAGTGGTGCCATCTCGGCTCACTGCAACCTCCGTCTCCCAGGTTCAAGCGATTCTCATGCCTCAGCCTCCCCAGTAGCTAGGATTACAGGCGCCCGCCATCACACCCAGCTAATTTTTGTATTTTTAGTAGAGACAGGGTTTCACTATGTTGGCCAGGCTGGTCTTGAACTCCTGACCTCGTGATCTGCCGGCCTCAGCCTCCCAAAGTGCTCGGATTGCAGGCGTGAGCCACTGCGTCTGGCCAGCAAAATATTTTCTAAATGCATATTTTAAAAGATCTAACCAAGAAAAGGAAAAGATAGAGAATAAATTTCCCTTTTGGTATATCTGTCACTGATGCAATTTTAAATATGTCTTTCTTTTGGCCAATTAAGTTGATCCATGCATTATTGTCTGCTATTCAGGGTGGTGGGGGGAAGTAGGGCAGTTGTACCTGATTCGCATACCAGAATGAAGAAAAAGGTGAACAAGTAATTACATTGAACTCTAAAATCCAATTGGTTCCATGATGGAATAAGGAGGGTTTTCTAACAAGAGCTGTAATTTTGACTTGGAAAAACAAAGCAAACTCACTGATGCCTTGGTATTGCAAGAGGAAACCCCCTTGCACAGGTGTCCCCTTAGAAGGGAGCCCACAATTTGGGATTTAGAAATACAACATCTGAATTCAGAACTGGACACAACCATACAAGCTATTGAGCTAAAATGCCTTCATTGGTAGGTGAAAAGACCAGAGGAGCTAAATCCAGTTTACACAGTAGATTGTGGCAGGTCTCACTTAGGGGTTCCCCGTCCAGTGCTTTTCCCACTACACGGCTGGGACCTCAAGGTCACTACAGAGGCTGGGCTCGATGCATGTCCCTCAGAGGAGTGGGCAGCCTCTCCCCTCACCTCCTCCACAGTGCCTTTCTGTGTGCTTATTCTCTAGCAGCGAGTGCAGAAGTTTGAGAGATTAATTGGGAACAACAGCAGGCAAAGTTAATTTAGGGAGCATCCTGGCAAGAATCAATTAAAGAAGAGTAAATTAAAAGCACTCAATTCCCAGGTAACTTGTTTCTGTTGGTAATTCACATGCAAAAAGAATGGAATGTGGTTTTATTAAAATATACTTTTTTAAACGGTTGGATTTGATGTATCCTCTTGGGAAACACTTTTTATTACATTTTTGTCTTTTTAGGTTCAACAACGTCATCTTCCACCATCCATAATGAAGCTGAGCTTGGCGATGATGACGTTTTTACAGTAAGTTTCCTTTGTCCTTTGCTTTCCAGATTAGTTGTTGAATAATCAGAGAAAGGTTTTGTTTAAGGGCATGAGGCACACTTTGCAATGCAGTGTTTGCTGTTGCTGTTTGGATGGCATCAGAGCGATCTCTGTCTTACTACAATTTTTCTCAGGCTGGGTTTGTCCCTGTTGCTCACGCTGCAGTGAGCAACACTGCACATCTGCCACACAGCACAGCAGTGTCAGCTCTCCCAGGTCTGTCCAAGGTTGTCTTAAAGTCTTTGCTCAGATTTAGGATGACCAGCTGCCCTGGTTTGCCCAAGTCTGTCCTGGTTTTAGCACAAAATGTCCCTAGTCCTGGGAAACACCTCAATCCCAGGCAAGCCAGGACAATCGCTTGCCCTATTTGGAGTCTTCTGTGAACACGCTTCCCTCCCTGGCATCAGGGGGGAAAGCCAGCAGTATCTTTCCTGATGAGTAATTAAACATCTGATAAGAAAGGCCTGCAGGCTGACTTAAGGTTAGGCCCAAGTGTGCTAACGCAGGAAAGGGTTTTTAGCTGTTTTGACACAGCTTGAGTTAATGGGATGTAACTGGAAACAAAATGATTTCTCAGCTTGCTGCTTCAGTTAAATCCTGTGCTTCTAGAAGTTAATTAACAAATAGTTCATTGCCTGCCTGCTGTGTGCTTAGAGCAGCAAGTTACGCGGGACAGCATTTTCTTTCTTTCCTTTTTATTTATTTATTTATTTTCAAAGATGGGGTTTCGCTGTATTGCCTAGGCTGGTTTTGAACTCCTGGGCTCAAGCAGTCCTCCAACTTCAGCTTCTCAAAGTGCTGGGATTATAGGTTTATAGGCTTTAGCCACCACGCCCAGCCTGGACAGCATTTTCAAATTCTGGGCCTTGACCCACAATAAGAAATATATGTATGTTGTGACCCAGGACACATATGTCAATAGAAACCTAAAGCAAATCATATTTCATCCTCTGCATTCTGATTTTTTTTCTGTTTCATTTTCTTCCATTTTTTATTATAAAACTTTTCAAGCACACAGAAAAATGTAAAGAATAGTACAGTGAATGCCTGCATACCGTACACCTAACATTCAGCTGTTGTAACATTTGGGCACATTTGCTTGATCTGTGCAAGCGTGTGAGCTTATACACACACAGATATTTTTGTTGTTGATCCATTTGAAAGTAAGTCACCTCTCGTACTTTAGCATGTGTCCCCTGAGGTTCACAAAGGAATTTAAGGGCAGTGACACTACTCTGTATGTCACCGTAATGGCAGATGCATGTCATTATGCATTTGTCCAAACCTGTAGCATGTATAACACCTGAATCCTAATGTAAACCGTAGCCTTTGGGTGATAGTGATGTGTCAGTGTACTTCATCGATTGTCACAAATGTACCACCGTGGTGGGGATGTTGATAATGGGGGACTTTGCATGTGTGGGGACAGGGGAAATCTCTACTTTCCACTCGGTTTTGCTGTGAAACTAAAACTGCTCCAAAAAAAAAGTCTAATAAAAATAATTTTTAAAAGAAATAAGGCATTTTCCTGTGTAAACACACCACCATTACGATCCCTTAGAAAATTAATAAGAATTTCATAATGTCATCTAATATCCACTTCATAGTTCCCCAGTTGTCCCAGGAGTGTCTTTTGTAAGCTGGTTTTTATTTTATATTTTAATATATTGGGTGCAACCCATTAAACTTGTCTCCCATTGTACTCATGGTTTGCAACTGGTGATTTGAAAAACCATTACCTTGGGAATACAAAGGTATGTGAGCCATGGCTCCAACCCTCAAAGAGATCACAAGATGGTTTGCAGAAATGAGACTGACCCATGAGAGGCTTACAGACTGTGAAAAGTAGTCTGGTTGAGAGATGAGGGAGGGGCATGGGATCAAAAAAGTCCTCGCTGGGGGTGAGGCTGGACTGAACCTCTCAGTTGCATTTGAACGGGGTTCAAGAAGGGGCTTTGAGAACTGGGAGCCACAGGGGCAAAGGTGGAAGCAGGGGTTTGCGTGGTGCATAGCCTGATCATTGCCGACCCAACCTGACTTGAACTGAGTGTGCAGAGGGGGTTTCAGGAAATGAACTCAGTTGTCCTTCCTTGGATTGGCTGGTGTGATATAGCTCCCAACAGACTTCCTATAGTGCTCCGAGCAGATCCTCTCAACAGTTGGCATGTTGCTTACATCTGTTCCTTTGTCACGTTTTGAGAGACAAACAACAGCAGGCGGGTTAAAAGGTGGCTTCCTGTGCTCCAGAGCAAACCTGTCATTCGCAGCTGCTTCCCAGCTACCTGCCAGAAGTGATTTATAGAATCAGAAGAGGGTGAGAGGGAAAGGGATGATGGAAGCCAGAATCCCTCCTGGTTTTGTCCTTTAATCCACGGGGGATCCATGTGCTACTCTAGGCTAACACCAAATGCCTGGAAGAAAGTTTAGGAGCAGCCCTGCTGCTTCCGGGCACTTGCAGACTCACTGCAGAAAGAGCACCACTTAATTTCTTGTATTCTGTATAGACCCTGGTGTCTGCGATCAATTGCCTTCATTCCATTTGTTTACAAACAAGGACCTATTAACAATAGTACCTCCTTTCCCTAGAAAAGCCCAGTAATTAGGCCATTGACTCTTAGGAACACACTCCATCAGGGCTTACAAACCAGGTCCCCCTTCATTTATGAGCTCCCTGTCATTAGATTTTCTGTCCTGAGATAATGAAATGTCTGGAACCTAGAGCCAGGGACATGAGCACTGCTTTAGCTCACATGTGGTCCACAGCTTCCCAGAGTGGGGTTGTGTTCTAAAACTTACTGGTAAGACAGATATTTAGAACTTGGAACTCAGCGCAGTTGTGTCTAATGACATCCCAGCCCCCTCCCATCCACCTCAGGTGTTGTCTAAGGCATGGATAGAGCACATAGTTAAAACCAAAG
The DNA here is from genome assembly GCF_000001405.40 of Homo sapiens. Lineage (NCBI taxonomy): Eukaryota > Metazoa > Chordata > Mammalia > Primates > Hominidae > Homo > Homo sapiens. The sequence goes on along the minus strand of NC_000002.12, from coordinate 65,329,047 downwards.
CACCAAGACAATGTTGGTTTTGTCCTAGATGGGCTTTTGGGTATTTGCAAGTTGAGTTTCTTTTCATTCTTAAGTGGAAAAATGAATTTGTTGAATTTTGTACTTATCAAGGTTTCATTTGCAGAAGTAAAAGGGCACAGAATACAACATCTTCCTTTTCTTGAAGAGTTTTTTTCTACCTACTCTATCCCCAGCAAACATTAAAGCTGAGGGCAGATCTACCAGTGTTGTAATGAATGGAGTTCATTGACTGGCTTTCTAAGTGTTTTCTTAAAGGTGAGGTGGCATGTGATCCCTGTGTTTGGAGTCTGAAGAGAGGCCTCCATTCTAAACTGGATTCTCCTTTTAGTTAGCTGTGCTTTGGACTCAAAACCTTCTTGGGATGAACATATTTCTTTTGAGTCTCCATTCACTGGCCCAAGGGGAGGGGAAGGAAAGGGACAGTGATGTGGAACCATTACTGTCCCTGGCATTTTGCACTGGACTCCTGGATACGTGACTGCATTTGGTCCTCACAGCTACCCTGTGAGTACAGATCGACACTTCCATTTTTGCACATAAAGCCACCACAGCTCAGCGAGATGAAGTGACTTGTCCTCAGTTCCACACTCTGCTGTCCCAGAATGCAAGCCCGTAAACTGCTTGCTGCCTTTCAGAGAAGCTTAAGAAAAGGAAATCGTTATCCAACTAAGTTTCAGTACATTTTACATGGTCAGTATACCAGATTCCTTTTATTGCAGAAAAGCTGCCTAAACGATGTGCATTTAAACTGGTACATTGGCTTAAGACCTCAGCCATCTCTTTGCTGGAGGTCTGAGGTTCCCCTGTCCCTACTTGAAAGCCCCAGTCTCATTTTAGAAGATCAGTTGATCAAAAATATTTTCTGGTGTCATTATCTTTAGCATTAAGGGATTGGGGCAGAGGAGGGAAGGGGTGACAAGTAAAAGAGAAAATAGTTTGAAAATATAAATTACTTCTACAAAGTTTAGTGAAACTGATTTATGGTGGGTAAGAAAAGCAAAAATGGGCCGGGCACAGCGGTTCATGCCTGTAATCCCAGCACTTTGGGAGGCCAAGGTGGGCGGATCACGAGGTCAGCAATTCAAGACCAGCCTGGCCAACATGGTGAAACCCCATCTCTACTAAAAATACAAAAATTAGCCAGGCATGATGGCGGGCCCCTGTAATCCCAGCTACTCCGGAGGCTGAGGCAGGAGAATCGCTTGAACCTGGAAGGCGGAGGTTGCAGTGAGCCGAGACCGCACCATTGCACTCCAGCCTGGGCGACAGAGCGAGACTCCGTCTCAAAAAAAAAAAAAAAAAAAAAAAAAAAAGAAAGAAAGAAAAGAAAAGCAAAGATGTTTTGGGAGGGCAGCCCTCCACGTTTTGGTTGACCCCAGGGAGCAGTGCATCCCATAACTACTGCTGATTGAGACCCAACACAGGGTGGGGTGTCAGAAGAAGGTCTCAGAAGATGGGTGGGGACTCCTTTATCTTCTAAATGACAATAACTCTCAAGCTCACATTACGCTGTAAGAGGAGGATCTTTTTATCGACATGTAATACCTATAGTGGCTAAATTAATTAAATGTCTAAGGATCTAAATAAAAGCTTTGGAATGCTCTCAGTTTCAGGAAGCCCCAAGGCATTTTGCAACCCCTGCCACTTGTGTCTTGCTTTATTTACATATATATCATCTCATCTTTTTAAGCTGTGGACAGTGAGAAACTTTTATTTCCATTTTATTAATTCATACAGAGTATTTATTCAAGGTTACTTGAAACCCAGCCTTCCTGCTCCCATCCCCTCAGTCCCTCCAGTGAAGCTAAACTGTGGGTTTATCAGAGTCCTTTTCTTTCATATCAACATATCATCTAACTTTAAAATTTAGAGGCCGTGCATGGTGGCTCACAACTGTAATCCCAGCACTTCGGGAGGCCAAGTGAGGCAGGAGGATTGCTTGAGGCCAGGAGTTTGAGACCAGCCTGGGCAACATACAGAGACCCTGTCCTGTCTCTACATAAAATTTTTTCAAAAAAATTAGCCAGGCATGGTGATGTGCTCCTGTGGTCCCAGCTACTTGGGAGGCTGAGGTGGGAGGATCTCTTGAGCCTGAGAGGTCAAGGCTGCAGTGAGCTGTGATTGTACCACTGTACTCCAGCCTGGGCAATAGAGCAAGACCCTAACTCAAAAAAAAAATTGTTTTTTTAAGAAACAAAAATTTTTCACAAAATTGTTTTTGTTGACCTGGACTGGTGGCTCACGCCTTTAATCCCAACACTTTGGGAGGCCGAGGCGGGAAGATCACTTGAGCCCAGGAGTTTGAGACCAGCCAGAGCTATAGTGAGACCCTATTTCTTTTTCTTGGTTGGTTGGTTGGTTGGTTGGTTTTTGTTGTTGTTAATTTCACAATGAAAGAATCCTCTAGGTCCTAGAGAGAGGATAATGTCCTAGAGTCTAGGACAGAGTCAGAGTCATCTCTCCCCCAAAGCCCCACCAGCAGCTGCCTCAAACTGCCTGCTAGCTGGGATTGTGAAAGAATACAGGTCTGGCCTACTTCCTGATCTGCTGTCTCTTTGAAAGAGGACACCTGGAACCAACGTAGGCCCTCAGGACAGATGAGCCGGAGCTACCTGTTCCCAAAGACCTGTTGACAAAATGGCAGACGACTTCCTGTTTGCCAAAGGAGAAAGGACTGATCATAGGTTTCTCAGCCTTAGTAGACATTGCGGGGAAAATCTTGCAACTCATCCAGTCTGAGCCAGTAGCCTTCTGAGACACTCTCAGGCTGAGGTTAAGAAAGGAACGAATATTATATACGGGGTGGGGGGAGTTGTAAATACTTATATATAAAATGAGAATCCCTTGCAAAAGGAAGAATATTGCCTTAGTTACATCAGCTATTGAGATATATTTTGGTGGTAGATTGCAGCAAAAATAATGCAAATGTAGTCCATAACTACTAGTTAGCTACCTTTAAAAATTCAAAATAGCAGCAGCATCTGCAGACAAGGCAGAAATTCTACTTAATCAATCAAAATTAATCCTGTAACTTTTTTTTTTTTTTGAGACAGTCTTGCTCTGTCACCTAGGCTGGAGTGCAGTGGCACAATATCAGCTCAATGTAACCTCCGCCTCCCGGGTTCAAGTGATTCTCCTGCCTCAGCCTCCTGAGTAGCTGGGATTACAGGCACCTGCCACCACACCCAGATAATTTTTGTATTTTTACAAAGATATTTTCTATTTTGTATACAAAATACTTTGTATTTTACAAAGATGGGGTTTCACCATGTTGACCAGGCTGGTCTCCAACTCCTGACCTCAGGTGATCCATACCCCTTGGCCTCCCAAAGTGCTGGGATTACAGGCATGAGCCACTGCACCTGTCCTAATCCTGTGGTTCTTGAATCAACTAAGCAACGGGCTTAGTCCAACTCCTCTAACCTGTAATGTTCTTAGGAGCAGGTGAGAGGCATTGCACATGAAATTGTTAGGGCTCAAACAGACCTTGGAAATCATCTAGTTCAACTCCCTCATTTTACACATGAGAAAACTGAGGCCCCCAAAAGTTAAACAACTTGTCCAAGATATCTGGCCTGGCCTGAAATTGAGGTTTTCGAATCTCCCTGTATAGTGCTATTTTTGCTTAGCAGTGCTACATGATTCCTGAATGATGTGGTCTAGCTCCTTAAGCAGTTTCTTTAACATTGTTTTCTATGGCCCTATTCAAAACACGTAGGCCCACTGATCTCCCAAATGGGCTGGTCAGAGAGGGCTTGGCTCTTTGCACATTGTGATTTCTGCAGTCAGCCCTTGTGTTCCTGGGAACATGAGGATGATGAAGTGGCTGTACTTGTTTCCTTGCCTCTTGAGAGGAGGGGTTTGTCCCTTTTATCTCCCTCCCTAAGAAGAAGGAAGAAATTACACATTGCCAGCCCTCTAATAGTCTCACCCATGTACTGGATGGGAGCATCCTACTTGAGAAGGCTGTGAACCAGGTGCCCCTTGATAATAATTCCAAGTGTCCTTGAGAAAACAGCCCAGGCACACCTTTTCTTTCCCATAGCACTTTTTGCCAACTGTTGCCTCCTTGTCCTCTGCCCCTACCCTCTTTTAGAAAGCAAAGGTTTAGCAGGAAAACCTAGAGGACTTGAAGGGATGCGCATAGTACTGAAAAGACCTGCGAAATGTGAACGTTGAAATCTGTCCGGCTCGTCCTGAAGACACAGAAAGTGCCCCCAAAAAGTCCTGGGTCAGCAGCCAGGATTCCATCCCAGAATGGACAATTTAAGCAACCTGTCTCCTCAGCTCGTCTGGCCTGGTGGTTCCTTCCCTCCCTCCTTGAGCTTCCCTTGGTCAGAGAGGTGGCCTTCTACATGAAGAAGGTTCATTCTTGGACCCAGGGCGTGTGAGCTGCTGCACTTGCTTCTTTATGAATTTCCCAGTAAACTCAAGGTCCCTCCATAAGAGAGGGAAGAGTAGCCAAGCTTCCAAGAACAAGAGATCATATTGTACAAAAAAGGCTCATACAGCAGGAGGGAGCTGGCTCAGGTTTAACCTGAGGTGTTGCCCTGTTAGTCTCGTTTCTCCATTCAGGCTGATTCCCACCCAAACCAGACAGCATTGACCTTGGGGAAACTGCCAGTCCATTAGCCCAGGCAGTTTCAGCCCAGTGTCTTTTGCACTCAGATTTTGATTGATTGTCAAGCCATCATAACATTAAGGTCCATTATTATTTTTTAAAATTCTGTCTCAAGTTTTGAAGCTCCATGGAGTTGCTCTCATTTGTCATCAAACTCTAGAGTTATGGGAAATATCTGAATTCTCAAAATAAGTACAGCCTGTGTCTATAGAATCTGGCAACTGGAAGCCTGCTCTTTTTTTGGAGATGTTGATCAGATGTTCACTGATAAACTTGAGCCCCCTTTTCTTCCTCTGGTCTACCCATCTAGAATGCTATGACCCATCTCAGACACACCCCTCTGGGAAGCTGCCTGACTCTGACCAGTGCTCTGAGGCCTGGTGCTTGAGGACTGCTCACCTGGCCTTGCCTCTTCCCGTGCCACGTGGCATCTCCCCCAACAACATGGTCACTTTCTGTGTCTGAGCCCACATCCCGCAAAGCACCCAACCCAAACCCAGAAACCCTTCTGGGAAGGGATGGATTTTTTTGAGACGGAGTCTTGCTCTGTCGCCCAGGCTGGAGTGCAGTGGCGCGATCTCGGCTCACTGCAACCTCTTCCTCCCACGTTCACGCCATTCTCCTGCCTCAGCCTCCCGAGTAGCTGGGACTACAGGTTCCTGCCACCACGCCCAGCTAATTTTTTGTATTTTTAGTAGAGACGGGGTCTCACCGTGTTAGCCAGAATGGTCTCGATCTCCTGACCTCGTGATCTGCCCGCCTCAGCCTCCCAAAGTGCTGAGATTACAGGCGTGAGTCACCGCGCCTGGCCAGGGATGGATTTTTTTTTTTTTACTACCATAGAGGATTTGGACAGGCCAGCCCTGTCCCTGTTTCTTGTTTTTTTAAATGTTGGCAGTGCCCACTTTCATTTCTGTACCCTCTGACACCTGCTTTCACCCCCTTCCCTTCTCTTTTCTTACTCTCTCCTTTCTGGGTTCTTCCTCATCAAAGGCTTGTCTCAGCTCACTGCCCTGTTAGAGGGCTTTAGAAACCAGGTCACACAGAGCTTGTTATTTGCTACTCAAAGTATGTGGTTTTTTTATAGTTACCATAGAAAAATTTGACAGTGGGCCAGGTGCAGTGGCTCATGCCTGTAATCCCAGCACTTTGGGAGGCTGAGGTGGGCGGATCACCTGAGGTCAGGAGTTGGAGACCAGCCTGGCCAACATGGCGAAACCCTGTCTCTACTAAAAATATAAAAAATTAGCCAGGTGTGGTGGCACGTGCCTGTGGTCCAGCTACTCAGGAGGCTGAGGCATAAGAATCGCTTGAACCCAGGAGGCGGAGGTTGCGGTGAGCCAAAATTGTGCCACTGCACTCCAGCCTGGGCGACAGAGCGAGACTCTGTCTCAAAAAATAAATAAATAAATCACATCACATATTAGTAAGGCATATTTAGTGAAAGACCGGTAGAATGTATCTGAGGAATGCAAAGAAGGTTTATGTTGGAAAAGCTGTTTAATTCACATATTAATAAAATAAAGGTGAAAGATTTTGTAATCATCTCAGTAGACAGAAAAATCATCTAATAACATCTAATATCTGGTGAAAATCCTTAGCAATCTAGAATAGAAGGAAACTTTTGGAACTTTATAATCACTCCAATTACCTAGAAATATTATATCTAATAGAAATTCATTAGAAGTAATTCTATCAAAGTCAGGTTCAAGACAAGCAGGACACTGTCCCCTCTGTTTTTCCATGTCATGTTGGAAGCCCTGGCAAAAGATGCAATGAGGTAAGAAGAAGATGGTATAAATATTGGAAAGGAGGCCGGGCACGGTGGCTCACGCCTGTAATCCCAGCACTTTGGGAGGCCAAGGCAGGTGGATAACGAGGTCAGGAGATTGAGACCATCCTGGCTAACAAGGTGAAACCCCATCTCTACTAAAAATACGAAGTATTAGCCGGGTGTGGTGGCAAGTGCCTATAGTCCCAGCTACTTGGGAGGCTGAGGCAGGAGAACGGCGTGAACCTAGGAGGCAGAGCTTACAGTGAGCCGAGATCGTGCCACTGCACTCCAGCCTGGGCAACGGAGCAAGACTCCGTCTCAAAAAAAAAAAAAAAAATATATATATATATATATATATATAGAGAGAGAGAGAGAGAGAGAGAGAGAGAGAGAGAGAGAGAGGAAAGGAGACCAAACTATCTTTTGTGAGCAAAATGATTTACTTAGAAAAATCTAGTTTCATAAGGGAGCTAAGCAAAACAACCAGATACAGGATCAACATACAGAATCAGTAACTTTCATATACCAGCAGTCACAGTTTAAAATAGAAATTTTTAGGCCAGGCGTGGTAGCTCATCCCTGTAATCCTGGCACTTTAGGAGGACAAGGTGGGCAGATTGCCTGAGCTCAGGAGTTGGAGACCAGCCTGGGCAACCTGGTGAAACCCCATCTCTACTAAAAAAATCAAAAAATTAGCCAAACGTGTTGGCACGTGCTTGTAATCCCAGCCACTCGGGAGGCTGAGGCATGAGAATCGCTTGAACCCAGGAGGCGGAGGTTGCAGTGAGCTGAGATTCCGCCGCTGCACTCCAGCCTGGGTGACAGATCAAGGCTCTGTCTCAAAAAAATGTATAGCAAAATAGAAATTTTAAATCCCATTTTATTTTTGCCATAACCCCAAGGAAGATTTTGGCCCAATTTTACAGATGTAAACACTGGAGTTAGAGATTAACTTGACCAAAATCATCTTATAATTAGCAGAGAATGATTCAAATCTAATCTGCCTGAGCTGAGACCCTGTTGTTTTTAGCATTGTAATACTCCCCTCGTTTCTGTTGTTCAGTGCCTCATATTAGGTTGCACACTTCTTAATTGGACATCTTTTTTTTTTTTTTTTTTTTTTTTTTAGACAGGGTCTTGATTTGTTGCCCAGGCTGGTCTCGAACTCTTGACTTCAAGCGATCCTCCTACCTCAGCCTCCCAAAGCGCTGGGATTACAGGCATGAGCAGCTGCACCCAGCTGGACATCTTTTTAGCAACAGGCATTGACATTGAGTCAGAGTCAAACCCAAAGGCAAGAGTGTTTTTAGAGGGTACATTTGCAGGTGGCAAGGGCTGTGCTCCCTGCATCATAGTGCACAAGACCTCCCAGTGTCAGCTGGGGCCAGATGGCAATGCCAGCCTCAGTGTCCACAGCAGGAGACATTAAACGCCCACTCTGACCTGCTCTCTCAGGATGCTGCAGTCATGCCTTCTAGGAGCCTGAAGTCCCCGAGCACAGAGTAGTCACAGGGGACCTCTGCTTTTGTTCTTCAAAGCCCTAACAGTTCTTAGACCCCCACTGGAGAGCAAGGGGAGTGTAGATACAGTTGGGAGCATGTGATTGCCAACTTTTTCATTGAAGGTGACAGCTTTCAGATTGGTAGGTTGGTAGGTGTCAGTAGCTTGTGCACAGAAATAACAGAGAGATGTTTAAGAATCTTGCTTGTGTATTAGGTATGTGCATACCTCAGGTGGGCTGCTTTTCTGCAGCCCACGGAAACCAGGGCAGAGTTATAGGAGAGCCAGTTCAGAGGTGCATGAGGGTAAAAGGAGATTTTTTTTCCCCTTTGCCTTTCTTGGAGATGCCCTGGTAGTACATTCCTTTTGTTTGTAGGTCACACTAGCTGCTTTGTAAGAATCATCTGTTAGTATCCATCTGAAATAGCCTTGGCTTCCAATGGAATCTTCTGGGAGTTCAGACAACCCTGAACAGCTGGGCCTGGAAGACTGCAGGCTCGGCTAGGACGCAACCTCAGCTCTGCCCTCAGGAGGCAGTAGACTGTGGACATGCCTCTCGAGGTCTTCTGGCCTTCTTGCTTCACTGTAGAAATTCGTCATCAGATAAGGCCTTTCTCAGTCTCACATCCTCTGACAAATGTCTGGGGAGCTTTGCACTGGACTGTGCAGGGAGAGAGGGCTGGGGAGGTGGGATGGGAATATCGGAAGGTAGCATTTCTGATCGACTAATGAGTCCTAGGAAAAGCCGGATGTGCCTCATTTCTCAGAAGGACTTTCTACACATTGTTAACCCAAAAGTGGGTCACAGAAAATAGGCTGAGTTAGGGTGAACAGATGACTAACACAGTGGTGACCGTGGTGTGTTAAATGGGCTTCTGAGAACTAAGTACTGAGAGCTTATTACAATGTTCAACACAAGGCTAACTTCTAACCTAATAGATGACTGTAACGTGGCTGTTGGATAAGAATTTAACTCTTGAGATTTGAATCACACTGAAAGGCCCTGATTACTCATTTGAGAGGTATTTATTGAGATCTGTAGTAACCTTTGTACTGTGAGACATCATCTCCTCATCTCCTGGGTTTGTATACAGCAGGGTGTACCTTGTGACTTGGAGAAGTTGTGTTTTGTGTTAATCTCAACAAAATACCTCTTAGCATAGGAGCTGGAAGTGGACTTACCTGGCTGTGAGAGGCAGCAGTGTGTGGGGCCTATTAGAAATCTCCCTGGGCTTTGTGGTCAGGGAGGCTGCATTTCAGTCCCAGCTCTGCCAGTGACTGTGCTGCCATGGCCTGGATTCACCATCTCTCAGAGTCCCTTAGTGCCAGTGTGTGACATGGAGATAGTGTTTTACCTGTGACCTGCTGGCCATGCTGAGGAACCGTGTCCACAAGTAGCTCAGGGCCTGGCACACCATAAGCACTCACACATATGACACCAAGAAGAGTTGTTTGTGAGGAAGAGGAGGGAACCTGGGGAGGAGTAAGGGGTAGAGAGAAGCCAGGAGTGTGGTGCCTGTGGGACTGCTTTGGAAGGAATCCATAGTGAAGGGAAAGTGCACCCAAGTGACAAACCCAGTGTATTCTGGCTTAAGTCACAAAAGAGAATTGGTGTCATCATTGGGACATCCTCGAGTGGTCAGGATTCAGGCTTGGCTGGATCCAGCAGCTCAAAGGGACTAAGGGTGGCTTCTCTTGCTCCCATCCTCAGACAAGTCCTTTCCCCACACCCGTGCCAGGATTCAAGGCTTATAGGACCCTTAGATCTTGATTACAGAAATGGAGACAGCTGCTTTTCTGACCGCTCTGTCAAAAGTCTCTCTATATTGCTTCGGAGAGCACCGTGTGTTCATATTGAAATTAGTCACCATGGCTTGGGGGATCAGAAGCAGGCATCAGCCATGCATGGCATAGACCAAACCCAAGTAGAGAAACATCCAGGAGGGTTGGGTCTCCAGAGGGATGCTGCACATGTGGACCAAGGTGTAAAAACTAACAATGCTTATGTTGCATAATGGAAATATGGGTGTGTTTTTCCTAAATTCTTGTAGTGCTTTTTTTCTAAGTATGTACTACTTTATAAATGAGAGGAGGATAAAAAGAACTTTTGTAAGTCTATTTGTTTTGCCCTTGTCCCTAAAATGATTTATGATAGCTAACAAAAACATGTAAAGTGATAGATAAGTCAGGGTATGGTGGCTCATGGCAGTAATCCCAGCATATTGGGAGGCCAAAGCAGGAGGATCACTTGAGCCCAGGAGTTCAAGACCAGCCTGGGCAACTTGGCAAGACCCCCGTCTCTACAAAAAATACAAAAATTAGCCAGGGGTGGTGGTGCACACCTATTGTCCCGGCTACTCAGGAGGCTGAAGCAGGGGGATCACTTGAGCTGTGTTCATGCCACGGCACTCCAGCTTGGGTGACAAAGCAAAATCCTGTCCCAAATACATAAATAAATACATTTAAAAATATATATATAAGCAAATGAGATGAGGGGAATATACAAGTAAGAAACAGTAGCCAAAGGAAAGTTCCTGTAGATTTGCAAGAAAGAGAGCATCTAGAGATCAGAAAAAGCCTTTTCTTTTCATCTGTTTAGTTGGGGAATGGTAGAGGGTGGAGAGATATGTCACTCTAAGCAAGCAGAAGGAAGGGTAGGGATTCTGGGGGTCCTGGTTTTAAAGATGGTTGCCAGCTGCATCTAACAAGGCCCCTGGATAGCCCCTGGGCCCAGAGGGTTGTGGAGTATGACCACCACCTGGGGTCGCCTGGCCTGCTCCGTTGTGTCTCAGGTGGGAGTATTAGTCTATTTTCTCGCTGCTGATAAAGACATACCGGAGACCGGGCAATTTTCAAAAGAAAGAGATTTAATTGGACTTACAGTTCCGCATGGCTGGGGAGGCCTCACAATCATGGCGGAAGGCAAGAAGGAGCAAGTCACATCTTACGCGGATGGTGGCAGGCAAAAAAAGAGCTTGTGCAGGGGAACACCTCTTTTTAAAACCATCAGATCTGAGACTTATTCACTATCCCGAGGACAGCACGGGAAAGACTTGCCCCAATGATTCACTTACCTCCCAGCAGGTCCCTCCCACAAATTCATGATGAGTTTTGGTTGGGGACACAGCCAAACCATATCAGGTGGCATACTGGGTGCCTGTGGGATCTGCTTGTACAGTGCGCACTGATAGCTAATCACCTTCCAAAGACATGGTTACGGAGACTCCAGTCTTAACTTGACATCTCTACTGGGCAAAACAGCTCTGTACTCCCCCTTCACAGAGGTGGCCTCTGTTTTTCTATGCAGTCATCCATCTCACTTCCAGTTTAAAGTGACCTCCAAGTCTTGCTCCCAACCCCAAAGATACAAAATTTATTCTTGGAAATCCAGTACTCAAGATACGCCAGCCAGCGGTATCCTTACCTCTGAGACTCTCCCAGGTGGAGATTTCCCCCCTCCATATAAACACGTGGGTTTCATTTTTGCCTGTGTGCGTCTTCCCTGCTTGCCATAACACCTCACAACCAGGGCCACAGATGGGATAACCATTCTTTTATTTATGTTTTGTTTTTGTTGTTGTTGTTGTTGTTGTTGTTGTTGTTGTTGTTGTTGTTGTTTGAGATGGAGTCTTGCTCTGTCACCCAGGCTGGAGTACAGTGGCTCAGTCTTGGCTCACTGCAGCCTCCGCTTCCCGGGTTCAAACAATTCTCCTGCTTCAGCCTCCCGAGTAGCTGGGATTATAGGCACCTGCCACCATGCCTGCCTAATTTTTGTATTTTTAGTAGAGACAGGGTTTTGCCATATTGGCCAGGCTGCTCTTGAACTCCTTACCTCAGGTGATCCGCCCGCCTTGGCCTCCCAAAGTGCTGGGATTACAGGCATGAGCCCCCGCGCCTGGCCAGGGTAACCATTCTTGATCAAACTAGAACACAAACCTTTGGGGAGCCTGGTATATCCAGCCTTTCCCCCCGCACCCAGTCACTATTCCCGCATTTAAGAAAAACCTACCTTTCCAGGGTCTGGTGGCTGGGCTTCTCTGCCTGTTGAACCAGCCACATTGTGTTTAGACAATCTGGCCATTCAGGGGTCCTCCTGTTGTAGCCAAGACAAACTCAAGATTTTGGGAAGAGCAGCAAATTGCCACAACCAGGGAATAGCTAGTATTTGAATAGTGCATGTCAGGGTTTGCTGCGTGGGGTTTTTGTTGTTGTTTTTAAATTGACTCTTGGTTACCTCCCTCTACACAGACAGCTACAGACAGTTCTTCTAATTCCTCTCAGAAGAGAGAGCAACCTACTCGGACAATCTCCTCTCCCACATCCTGTGAGCACCGGAGGATTTATACCCTGGGCCACCTCCACGACTCATACCCCACAGACCACTATCACCTCGATCAGGTGAGCAGCAGCCCTGTTCCTCTGAGGGCATCAGGGTGGTGCCTCTGATTCTGGAATGGCCTCTTTCCCCTCCTATTCAGCCAAATTCCATGACCACAGGCCTCTCCTGCTCCTGCCTTTACCCCCACTTCATATTGAAAGTGGCATTGGTGGTGGCACCTCAGCCTCATCCAGTGTTTTCTGTGTGCCAGACACCTTGCCAGACCCTTTATATGCTTTATGTGGTTTAATCCTCAGAAACTGCCCCACAAGGCAAGTCTTCAGCCTCCCCAGGTTATCGATGAGGAAGCTGAGGCTTAGAGAGGTGGAGTATCTGATGGAACGAGATTCAAATCCAAGCCTGTTCTCACCCAGGGGGCTACACTGCGTCCTGCATTCCTCTGTCCAAAGGGCCTCCCAGCTTTGTGTGGAAGCCCAGAGCCACAATCAGGACTAAGGAATGCTGCACACTTGGCTCGAGCCCCCAGCCTTACAGGCTACAGGCCCAGTCTTGCTCAGGCGGATGTAGCTGGAGCTCAGAATTCGGTAGTTCAACAAATATTTACCAAGTGGCTGCTTTGCAGAGCAAGTTCCCAAATCATGGGGCATGGACTGGTGCCTGTGTGGGGTGCTGTGGCCACTAGGCTGCTTTGAAATGAGAAAAAAGGGCAGTGAGTTGTTTTGTTTTGTTTTTAAACATAAAACTAGATTTATTTGACTCTTTTTAAAAAAATTATTTTAGATTGTGCTTCCTAATATTTTGGGATTAAAATGTCCTATTTAAAAATCACATTATTGGCCAGGTGCAGTGGCTCATGCCTGTAATCCCAGCCCTTTGGGAGGCCGAGGCAGGTGGATCACAAGGTCAGGAGATTGAGACCATCCTGGTTAACACGGTGAAACCCCGTGTCTACTAAAAATACAAAAAATTAGCTGGGTGTGGTGGCGGGCGCCTGTAGTCCCAGCTACTCGGGAGGCTGAAGCAGGACAATGGCGTGAACCCAGGAGGTGGAGCTTGCAGTGAGCCAAGATTGCGCCATTGCGTCATCGCAACAGAGCAAGACTCCATCTCAAAAAATAAATAAATAAATAAATATCACATTATGCTAGCAGTAGATGGAAATTAACTTTTTTACTTTCCTTACTGTCCAAAATAAAGAATTAGTAAAGCCCGTGTCAGTTTCCGAGATTTGTTTTGAAATCCTTCTGAAATCATGATTTTCAAAAATCTAGGCAACTCTGATACCAAGAATTTGACAGGAATTAAGGTAAAATGTGTGGGACATGGCCCTGCCCTCTGGTAGGAAGTGATGGGTAAATCTAATAAGCGCATGATCAAGTCCGTAACAATATGATAATGACTGTGATGGCGAGAGTTATCAAGTGCATCCTGTGAGCAAGGCTGTGAGCTGACACCCTCTGTAGATTGTTTCTCTTCATTCTCAAAACAGTCCTATGCAGTTCGACAGAAATGGAACCTGAGTCTTAGGTACTAGCTAGAAAATGTCAGCATTTGACTGCAGTGAGTCACTCCAGAGCCACGTTCCTCAACCCCTGAAAAACCTTCATGCCCAAAGGACTTCGAAAGCAAGAAGTCTCAGTTCTCTGCCTCCACTGAGAGGCCCTGGGTGAGCCAGGGTTATATGCATGTAATTAATAAATATTTATTCAGTGTCTGCTGCTCTGGACAAGGCAGGGTTGCAGCCTGTAGCAGGACTAACTGCAGAGAAAAGCCTCTTCCACCCTGAGGGAGAATGCAGCTTAGATTTGCAGGTTTCTAGAGGGTGTGGCTCTTGGTCTGGCCACTCACTATTTGTGAGATCCTGGCAGGAGTGAAACTTCAGTTTCCGGAGCCTTCACTCTATCCTTCTCCTGTCCGCATCTCACCAGATGACATGGTGAGCTACTGTTTCCTAGTGTCCCCTGTCTCTTGAAGGAGACACCCACAGGGAGAAATGCATCTCCTATTGTGATCCTTTGTGGACATATTGTGCACATATGGATAATGAAGTTTCGTAAAACAGGACTTACCTTCTCACATGTATTGCACTCCAGTGTCCTTATTCTATTTCAATTTTTAAAAAGCCAGCCTTACAAAAGAGAACATACCATACAAAAATAGGCAAAACTAATGCAGGCCTTTAGAAGTGAGTGTAGCCCTCACACTGGGGCTAGGAGATCCCTGAGGGAGGCGGAAGATACTCTGGGGCACAGGTCCTGTTCTGCCTCTTGATCTGAGTGTGCCATGCTCCTGAGAACGCATCACACTGTGCCCTTGCCATGTGCACACTCCCCTGCCTGTATGGCAGTGCGTCACCAGAAAGGGAAAATACTGCCGGTCTCAACCCACGAAATTGATTTCCTGGCCCATTAATGGATTGAGACTCTATTTGAAATACATCTCTGACTGGGCGACAGGATATTCAGTAATTTCAGGAAGGGTCTGTTTCTTCACGGAGCATCGTGATGGAGTTATCGAGAAAGGTGCATTTTGGACGGCTAGGGAGGGAGAAGGTGGGGTGTTTTTTTGTTTGTTTGTTTTTTGGCCGCTGCTGTAAAATAATGTCTCCTCTCCTACGGGACAGCCGATGCCAAGGCCCTACCGCCAGGTGAGCTTCCCGGACGACGACGAGGAGATCGTGCGCATCAACCCCCGGGAGAAGATCTGGATGACGGGGTACGAGGATTACCGGCACGCACCCGTCAGGGGCAAGTACCCGGACCCCTCGGAGGACGCGGACTCCTCCTACGTGCGCTTCGCCAAGGGCGAGGTCCCCAAGCATGACTACAACTACCCCTACGTGGACTCCTCAGACTTTGGCCTAGGCGAGGACCCCAAAGGCCGCGGGGGCAGCGTGATCAAGACGCAGCCCTCCCGGGGCAAGTCGCGGCGGCGGAAGGAGGACGGAGAGCGCTCGCGGTGCGTGTACTGCAGGGACATGTTCAACCACGAGGAGAACCGCCGGGGCCACTGCCAGGACGCGCCCGACTCCGTGAGAACTTGCATCCGCCGGGTGAGCTGCATGTGGTGCGCGGACAGCATGCTCTATCACTGTATGTCGGACCCCGAGGGAGACTATACAGACCCTTGCTCGTGCGATACTAGCGACGAGAAGTTTTGCCTCCGGTGGATGGCTCTTATTGCCTTGTCTTTCCTGGCCCCCTGTATGTGCTGTTACCTGCCCCTTCGGGCCTGCTACCACTGCGGAGTGATGTGCAGGTGCTGTGGCGGGAAGCACAAAGCGGCCGCGTGACTCAGTTTCCCTCCCTTCTCCCTCCATCCGCAGCCACAGGGGAACTCGTCTCTTACATACTCTCATCTTCTCCCCCGCTCCCTTCCACTCCAAGGAGCGAGGAGGGCAAGCGGCCTCCCAGCTCCCTGGTACCTCGAGGCACCATTCCAGCCAGGGACGCTGCCGGGTAGACTCTCCACTCCCCCTGCCGCCCACACTGCAGCAGCCACATCCATACACACACGCTCGCACAGTGTTCTGAGGAAGGAACCTTCGCCACAGACTCCTGTACTATTAACAATCTGTAACCAAGCTAACTGTCTCATCCATGTGTTGATTTCCTGTTTCCTCCTCCCCCGCCTCTTCCAGTTCAAAGGAGTCTGCAATTGGAACTGCTGATTTTCGGTGGGTTTTGTAGTTGATTTTTCCAAGAGCGTCGAAGACTCTCTTTCTCTTGGTTCACCTTGCCTGTCGCTAGCAAGCATCTGGTTCAGCGGAAATGGGATGTGAGAATGATGAAACCCGACAGAAGTATCTCAGCCTGCAGTCAGTTATTATGTATAGGAGGTGAGCTAGTTAACAAACTTGTACCACAAAACAATATCGCTTTAACTTTTCTAAAGCCAAATTTCCCATGTAAGCTGCAGTTTCTATCTTTAGCCCATCATCATTTTCTGCCCCCCCAAAATCTGTTGAAATGATTCACTGATGCAAAACATTCACCCGTAATAGACTGAGAATTGAGCCTTAACTTCAGATTAACTTGTGAGAATCAGGAAAATTCCTTCAACTGCATTGCATCCTCTTGGACCAGGGCTAGAATGGGGATTTCAGGTTTCTATGAGCCTCCCCATTACCCCTAAAGTAGAACATTTTTTAAATTGTGTTGCCACCACTTCTAAAAATTTAGCAATATTAGAATAGGATACTAGTGAAGTAAGAAATTTTGCTTGTTGTTTTGCAAACCAAATAGTTTCCTCAAACACAAATCAGTGTTCCCACGAACAAGTTCCAGTTGAGAAACACTAAGGTTATGGTGAATAAAACCATAGGGAGCTTCTTCCCCCCAACCCCTGGCTATTTTATATTAATGGGGAGAGGGGATTTTTAAATGTCATAAATTTGAAGAGTGGTGGGTTGCATTTTCTTCATGGGTTTATGTTTTCGTTTCATTTTGGACTCAATTTCACATCACCAAATTCCTCATTTATACTTGGGGAAAAAACAAGGCCATATGTAAAAACCCTTCCAATGCCTAAGTGTCTTTCTCCTGCAACTCCAAACCCAGACTCGCCACTTTGGGTGCACAGGTGGTTAGGTCAGCCAACTGGTTCTGCCTGTCGCCTTGCCACGGAGGAGGCTTCTAATTAGCTGGAAAAGAGTATTTTTCTAATACGTTGCAAGGATTAGCCAAATCTTCTTATTGAAGAAAGAAGAAAAGTGAAGAGTGGTTACCTATACCTAGCATAGTACAATCAGAACCTCGTGGAGACCACCGGGGACAGGCTTGCGGACGCCGGCTGTTCTTCCCGCCACGATCTTTCTGTGGTAGCGGCCAGCAGAAGACATGGCCTGCTCCCCACTCCCTTTCCCCACTCCTTCTTTATTGCACACAGGACACCAGTCTTCAAGGAAAGGGACTTTTTTCCAGTCTGCCAATCATATTGGGAAAGTGCTAGCTGTGCTCACCTTCATGGGGCTGTTTCCAGCTCGTCCACAAGCTCATCGATTTTCTTTAGTAGATTACCGGTGTAAATACCCAGTGTGCTTATGAGTCAGTTAGTAGACGTCTTCATTCATTGGAGTAACTGGTTTAGGCTTTCCAGTTTGGAAAAGGAGCAGAGAGCTGTCCATCTGGATTGATGGAAGAAAAGAGAACCTCATCCATGCCTGGAGAACATCTAGAAAACCTTCAGCCAGCCTCCAGTGCTGTCGAGAGACCACCTTCCCCCGACCCGGAGGCACTTCCTTGGGGTCTTTCTCTAGGGTCTCTTCTCTACAAAGCACAACACTAATGTTCGTTTCCTTAGACCTCAGTTCAAGTGCCCCTATTTATTTCAATAAGAACGCACATATCCCAGCTGTTTTTTGTTTGTCACCTCTATTTAGTTGTTACCTGTTTCTCTCTTCTTTCACCCCTTGTCCTTTTCCACCCTTTTAAGAGTTACGCTAGCAGATCTTACTCCACGTATACTTTTTGGTTTGTGAAGGCATCGGTTAAGGGCACAAAGACAGCCATGGGGACATTTATGTAAATACGTCTCTAATTGCCACACTGCAGCTGAACAGTGTGTAGTATTTTCCCAGTCAGCTTTGCCATACTGACGTCAATCATTTGAGAGAAATTATTCAGATTTTATTTTTGTATCTGTGGTAACAAAACATTAACCAAAAGATTTTCTGTCCAGAAGCCTCCCCGACCCCCCAAGCTATTTGCTCACATTAACAAATTAAAGTGCCTGAAGCATAATTCATTCTTTACCTGTATACTAAAAACCCTGTTGTATTGATTTTTTTATAATAAGCCTTTTTACCTCTGTGTAAAAAATATATATACAAGTGTATGATGTACATTTTAGTTCTTAACTTTTTTTTATGGTTTCTAATATGTATGACCAATGTAGCCATTGCTTTAAAATGTACCGTGTAAATATAAACACATCCTATCAGATCGCTGGCTTTGGGGTATTTGTCTGGCAGGAGACGAGGTGATGCTAGAGCGTTGGCAGATCTTGGAGTTCCCGCATACAGGATGGGACAGGGCTTCCTGTGCCGAAGGACATGTGGACACCGGTCTGTTTTTTCAAGGCCCTTTCCTCCTATGGTTATGTCATATTCCCAAGGGGAGACTGCAGCTCCTTGGGCTCGGATGCCTCAGTGAAAGGAAGGCTGCAGGCCACCGCCCAGGAACACCCCCTCTTCCTAGGCCTGGCTTCCCCAACGAGCGCTCCTCAGAGGGAACAGCTGTACTTCCTCTAAGTTGTTTTCCACTGATCCCTGCTGAACCTCAGGGATATGTGTGTGTGTGTGTGTGTGTGTGTGTGTGTGTGTGTGTGTGTGTGTAGTTTGGAGGACAATTTCTCGCAGAAAACAATTGTTAACACTGCAAGATGCTTGGTCTCCTCCGAGCAGCTCTCTTTGGCCCACTTTCCTTTCCAAATTGACACTTTGGATGCTCCAGAGCTACAGTGACAATCCCCAGGAGGAAATAAAGTATGAGGTCTTCTGAGGGTCACAGAGAAAAATTTCTCTAGAGAAAGGAGTAGGGCCCTTAAAAGGAGATATATAGGAGGGGCCTTGCGTCTTAGTGTTAACGTTTCAGTTTTAACTCTTCCTAAAGGGGGTGATTTTCGCAAGCCACTGGCAAAGGTGAGAAGCATGGAGAGATGTTGGAAGTTAGGAAGGGAGAGGAGGACTTGGAGGAGTGGGGAAAGAGTCCTACGAGCTCACTTGCCCTCATGCTCCCTGCAAGACAGGGCCCTCCTGTCATCCCTGTGTCACAGTTGAGCAACTGAAGCTTAGAAAGGGTGAGTAACAGGTAAACTGCGGTCCCAGGAGGCAAGGACTGAACCAGGCTGAGCTGGGCTAGCCAACTGCAGAGCCCAGGTCCTTACCAGGCCTCACTCTGATGCCTCTGTTCCTTCCTTCCCTGCTGGTGGCCTTGACAAGTGGGCGACAGTCAAGAGCCTTATCCTGTCCGTCTGGTTCTCTGGGGCGCCCTCAGGCTGCCTCAGGTATAGTTTGTCTTTGGTGTCCTATGTGCTAGGCCGGAACTGGGCATACCACCAACGTCATGTTTAACTTTCTGCGGAATGCAGGATTCTTTTCCACCTTACAAGTGAGGAAGCACACATGTAAAGAAACAACAGTAACCCTCAGTATCCATGGGGGATTGGTTCCAGGACCCCCTGCAGATAGAAAATCCACAGATGCTCAAGTCCCTGATATATTTGCATATAACCTATACACATCCCACATCCTCCCTCTTATATCCTTTTTTTTTTTTTTTTTTTTTTGAGACAGGGTCTCACTCTGTCACCCTTGCTAGAATGCAGTGGCACAGTCATGGCTCACCGTAGCCTTGACCTCCTGGACTCAAGTGATTCTCCCACCTTATCCCCTCGAGTAGCTAGGACTACAGGTGCACATCACCATGCCCAGCTAACTGTTTTTAAATTTTTTTCATAGAGATGGAGGTCTCACTGTTGCCCAGGCTGGTCCTGACCTCCTGGGCTCAAGAGATCCTCCCACCTCAGCCTCCCAAAGTGCTAGGATTACAGTCATGAACCACCATGCCTGGCCCTTTCTTTGTTTTGTTTTTTCTTAACCTCTATTAAAACACTTTAATGATTTTTTTTTTTTTTTGAGACTGAGTTTCGCTCTTGTTGCCCAGGCTGGAGTGCAGTGTTATGATCTTGGCTTACTGCACCCTTCGCCTCCCGGGTTCTAGTGATTCTCCTGCCCCAGCCTCCTGAGTAGCTGTAATTACAGGCACCCGCCACCACACCCGGCTAATTTTGTATTTTTAGTAGAGACAGGGTTTCACCATGTTGGTCAGTCAGGCTGGTCTCAAACTCCTGACCTCAGCTGATCCACCCACCTTGGCCTCCCAAAGTGTTGGGATTACAGGTGTGAACCACCATGCCCAGCCTAAATGAATATATTTTCGATGTGAGGTTGGTTGAATCCACAGATGCAGAAAACATGGATACAGAGGACCGACTACACCTAACTCCATAAAGGTCACTGGACAGCCTTTCTGCCATTACTAGCCATTAGTTCTTGGGCAAGTGACTTCACCTTTCTGAGTTTTCTCAGATTTAACAAGTGGGATAATACCTACCCTCAGCTGGCGTGAAGGTTAAATGATATGCTTTAGTTACAGTGGGATACGCAGCAGGTGCCCCAAAAATGCTAGTTCCTTTCTCAGTCCCTTTTTTATTCTGAGGCCCTGAGGAAACATCAGGAACTCGAGAGAACAACCTCTTTCAAGGCACAGAAGGCTGAAGCGCATTATCAATATTTTGTGAGTATTTAGATCTACATCCTGTGTGTTGAGATTTCTATTTCTTAACTTCTATTTGATCTGAATTTGATTTCAGTTTCTTGCTGACCCCTCCAGGTATGTTCACAGCTCCAAGGACGGCTGCAGAAGTGCACTAAGCTGGCTGGGTTTCTGGGAGCCAATGCATCCAACTGGTAAAAAGTCGGTGGCCTCTGTGGGAGCGGTTTTGCCGAGAGGGCAGGGTCCTGCTCAGTGGCACTTGCCCTGGGTCAGAGCACTGTCTCCAGAGTACTGCCTGCCTGAACCTCCCACCCCGCTTCTCTGGCCTTTGGGGTCGCCTCCTGCAAGTCACGCCTCTGCCCTTCCTCCCTGCTGCTGCCCTGATGCTGGTCCACTACCCACTTCCCTGAATGGTGGACACCCCCCAGAAAATCAGGACACTTCCCAGGGGAAAAAGTATTGTTAGAGGAGCTCTATTTTACAGGACTCACAGGCTGGGTTTTGTTGGTTATGTATTGTGGCATTGGAGCAGGCAATCACAGGGCCATCTGTGTGAATGGGGGGGGCGGGGGGTGTGGGGAGGAGGCTTGTGAAAGTGCCCGCCAATGCGGGCGTCCTCACTGGAAGCCCGTTGGTCTTTCCGATTCGTGGGGTGAGATGGTTAGAAAAACCGCTCTTCCTTTGTTTAGAACTGAACTAGGTGCATGGAATGAAGGGCAATGACCCTGTTAACATCTTGTAGAACCAGATACCAGTTGTAACTGTGCAAATCAGGGCCTGCCCCATCTCCTCAGCTGGAGCAGCCACTGGTGCTATTGGTGCCGTGGTGGCAAGCTGAGCTCCTAAAGGGCACTGTTGGGGTCAGGGAAAGCATATATATTTATAAAGGAGGAAAAAGACAGTTATTATGTGATAATCATACCTGGTACCCTTTCCCCCTCATTATGTCTTTTTTTTTTTTTTTTTTGAGAAGGGGTTGTGATTATAGAAGTAACATATGTAGTTATTAAAATGTCATACAGGCCAGGTGGAGTGGCTCACACCTGTAATCCCAACACTTTGGGAGGCCGAAGAGGGTGGATCACTTGAGGTCAGGAGTTCAAGACCAGCCTGGCCAACATGGTGAAACCCCATCTCTACTAAAAATACAAAAATTAGCCAGGCGTGGTGGCGCATGCCTGTAATCGCAACTACTCAGGAAGCTGAGGCACAAGAAATGCTTGAACTTGGGAGGCAAAGGCTGCAGTGAGCTGAGATCAAGCCACTGCACTCCAGCCTGGGCAACAGCGCAAGACTCTGTCTCTAAATAAATAAATAAATAAAATGTCATATAATATAAAAATAAGAGTCTCCTTGTTGTTTTGCCGGGGCTGCCATAACAAAATACCACAAACTGGGTGGCTTAAACAATAGAAATTTGTGGTCCCGCAGTCTGGAGGCTGGAAGTCCAAAGTAGGGTGTTGCAGGGCTACCAGGGCAGGATGTGCTCCAGGCCTCTCTCCTTGGGTTGCACATCTTCTCCATCTTTTCCAGGCCTGTTCTCATAGTCTTCCCTCTGTGCATGTCTCTGTGTCCAAATGTCCCCTTCTTAGAAGGATAGCAGTCATACTGGATTAGGGCCCACTCTGATGACCTGATTTTAACTTGATTATCTCCAAATAGATATGTTATCTCCAAATAGTCACATTATGAGGTTTTGGAGGTTAGAATTCCAACATTTGAATTTTATTGGGGAGTAGAGAGGGGGACACAATTCAACTCCTGACATTCCTCTGTCACACAAAATGTAACCACTCTGTGTCCTTCCGGACTTTTTTCTATGCATTTATACACAGATGTATGTGTGTGTATATTTGTGTGCGTGTAGACATGTGTGTTTTCCCTTTGGAGGGGAACTAAAATAGGGTCATGTATTCTACCTATATTTATTGCTCTGAAACCTGTTTCTTTTGTTTTAATTAAAAATATATCCTGGACATCTTTGCATGTGAATACATACAGATTTACCTTATCCTTCTTAACAGTTTCATGTGAAAAAAACTTTTTTATCCAGTTAGAAAAAGGTAAGATAACAGTCCAACCATTCGGTTAAATGGATATATGTCTCATCCATTTCCTTGAGTTCTCCAATGAATTCAGAGTAAATTCCTTGAGTGTTCTCTCCTCTTAAGGGTGTAAGGCATTCCCATTAATGACCAAAGTCAGCAGTGAACTCAGCATTTTTAATCTTCTCAATGAATATGAGTTGACTGGAAGGGCAAGAGGATTTTGTACCCAGGAAGAATACAAAAGTGATTTTTATTTTCTGAGTTTTGCATAACCCAGAATGTCTTCTTGTTGCATGCACACACACCCAGTGACTTGGTGGAGTACAGAATCCTTGGCCAACATTTCCCTCTGAACGTCCTATGTAGATGACCTTTGTTTCTTGGCATTTACTGTTGTGAAGAAGACCTGTGTGAGTGTTGACCAATTTTTGTTCATCAGTAATGGTTTTTTAAACCTGGATCTCGTCATTAAACCCTTTGGCTTGTGTATGGCATTAATTTTCCCTGAAGCTCAGTGAGCCCTTTCATATACAGAATCAGATTTTTAACTCAGAATTTTTTTTCTTGTATGTCTTTGATGACTTCTTCTTTTTTTAATGTTTTTAAAAATTATTTTTGTAGAGACAGGGTTGCACTATGTTGCCCAGGCTGGTCTCAAACTCCTCGGCTCAAGCGATCCTCCTACCTTGGCCTCTCAAAGTGCTGGGATTACAGACGTGAGCCACCATGCCTGGCCTTCAATGATTGCTCCTGCTCCTTACAGTTCAAGTTTCTTCCTTTGGGTTACGTAATTCATAGATTGACTCTCCAGTCTTCCATATCTATTGTATTTGCTCATCATTTGCATCTTGCCCTTTTATTAAATTACACTCTTAACTTTGTCCTCTTTAAAATGATTTTTTTCCTTTTTTTTTCTTTTTTTTTTTTTTTTTTTTTTTTGCTATAGTACTCTTTTTCAAAGAGTGGTCTGCAGAGAGACACCTGAGAATCCCTGAGGTTAAAATCATCTTAATAAGACGGTGTTTGATTTTTCCACTGTGTTGACATTTACATTGATGGTGCAGAAACAATGAAGGGTAAAACTTAGCGCTAGTCAAAGCGGACTACCAAATTGTGCTAGTCTAATCATTGCATGTTCTTAGAAAAAAATGCCAGTTTCACTTAAGAATGTACTCGATGAAGCAGGCCTGGGGCAGTGGCTCACACCTGTAATCCCCACACTTTGGGAGGCCGAGGCGGGCGAATCGCCTGAGGTTGGGAGTTCGAGACCAGCCTGACCAACGTGGAGAAACCCCATCTCTACTAAAAATACAAAATTAGCTGGGCATGGTGGTGCACACCTGTAATCCCAGCTACTCCGGAGGCTGAGGCAGGAGAATTGCTTGAACCTGGGAGGTGGAGGTTGCAGTGAGCTGAGATTGCGCCACTGCACTCCAGCCTGGGCAACAAGAGCAAAACTCTGTCTCAAAAAAAAAAAAAGAATGTACTTGATGAAGCAATAAATATGATTACTTTTAATACATATTGACCCTTGAGTTCACATCTTCTTAATATTTTGTGTGACAAAATGGAATATATATGTAAAGCACTTCTGTTGCACAGTTAAGTATTGTTGTCTTGAAGTAAAGCTTTTGTGCAACTGTTTTGAGTTGCAAGCTGAAGTAGCTGCTTTTGTCATGGGACACCACTTTTACTTGAAAGAGTGACAGACTGTCATTATGGTTATGTTGTATGGTTATTCAGGAAGGGGTATTTGGCATACACTTTCTCAAAAAAAATGAGCAAAATGAGCCTATTACTTCAAAGAGACAACAGACAGTTTTGTTGTCAGTGACAAAATCTGAGCTTTCAAGCAAAAATTGGAATTTTGTGAAATATGTATCTGCTACTGTTGGCTTGACAATTTCCCAATAGACTTTTTTTTTTTTCCATGAAATTGGTGGTGATATTAAGAAATGCAATTTTGGCCAGGCACAGTGCCTCACACCTATAATCCCAGCACTTTGGGAGGCCAAGGTGGGCGGATCACGAAGTCAGGAGTTCGAGACCAGCCTGGCCAACATGGCAAAACCCCGTCTCTACTAAAAGTACAAAAGTTAGTCAGGTGTGGTGGCGGGTGCCTGTAATCCCAGCTACTCGGGAGGCTGAGGCAGGAGAATCGCTTGAACCCAGGAAGCGGAGGTTACAGTGAGCCAAGATCGTGCCATTGCACTCCAGCCTAGGAGACAAGAGCAAAGGATATGTGATTTTAAAATATATATTGTATAATGAAAATGATATGTGTCAACTTTCAGATCTGCAATAGAGTCAATATCTTCCAAATGACCAATGTATTGCTGTTAAAAAATCACGCATGGGTAAAAGATCCATTCAGAGTGAAAGGCCCATAATGAACGTTGGGTTTTTGTTTTAGTATTTTTTGTTTGTTTTGTTTTGTTTTGCTTTGTTTTGTTTTTTTGAGATAGTGTCACTCTGCCGCCCAGGCTGTGGAATGCAGTGGTGTGATCTTGGGTCACTGCAGCCTCTGACTCCCGGGTTCAAGCGACTCTCGTGCCTGAGCATCCCAAGTAGCTGGGACTATAGGCACACACCACCATGCCTGGCTAATCTTTGTGTTTTTAGTAGAAACAGAGTTTCCCCCATGTTGCCCAGGCTGGTCTCGAACTCCTGACCTGAAGTGATCCTCCTGCCTTGGCCTCCCAAAGTGCTGGGATTATAGGCGTGAGCCACTGCGCCCAGCCCCCATAATGAATTTTGATGTAACCAAGTGATGTGGTTTTAGATTCCACAACTAACCTTTCTTTTTCCTGGAGACGGAGTTTCGCTCTTGTCACCCAGGCTGGAGTGCAGTGGTGCGATCTCAGCTCACTGCAGCTTCCACCTTCTGGATTCAAGCTATTCTCATGCCTCAGACTCCCGAGTAGCTGGGATTACAGGCACCTGCCACCACACCCAGCTAATTTTTGTATTTTTAGTAGACAAGGGGTTTTGCCATGTTGGCCAGGCTGGTCTTGAACTTCCGACCCTAGGTTATCTGCTTGCCTCGGCCTCCCAAAGTGCTGGGATTACAGGCATGAGCCACTGCACCCAACCTCCCACGACTAACCTTTAAGAAATTATTACCTATGAGTTTTGGCAGAGTATCAAAGAAGACTACCTACAAGGATCTCTCAAAAGACTATTAAACTCTCTTCCCTTTTCCAACAACATATCTGTCTAAGGTCAGGTTTTCTTCATATACTTCAATCAAAACAACACATTACAACAGATTGAACTCAGAAGCAGATATGAGAATCCAGCTGTCTTCTATTAATTAAAGGTTTTCAAAATATAAGCCAGTATTTCTGTTCTCTAAAATATTTTTTATTTGGCAAATGTAGTTATTTCTTTCTCTTTTTTTGAAGCAAGGTCTCCCTCTGTCTCCCCAACTGGAGTGTAGTGGTGCAATCGTAGCACACTAACCTCAAACTCCTGGGCTCAAGCAACTCTCCCACCTTGGCCTCCCAAAGTACTGGGATTATAGGCGTGAGCCACTGTGCCCGGCCTCCTTAGTAATTTTTAAGAGTGTACAGAGATCCTGAGAACAAAGTGTGTGGCCTCTTCCTCTCTTGGTTAACAGGCTGTTTTGTAGTCAATTCTGCTCTCATTCCCTTCAACTGCAGCTTTGACTCTGGTCTTCTATTTTTGGTTACTTTGTATTGCCTTCTTATTTTAGACAGCTCCCTTTGTATCTCGTCTTAGACTGTTTTGTCATTCCCCTTCCTTCTTAGGCCAGTTCCGTTGAAGCCATATCTTCTTGTGTCATTCAGAGGACCCTAAATTGCAGTCATCTAAGATGAGCCTCTGTTTCTTGTAGAGTAGTAATGTTCAGAGAGACCTGCTACCTCTGGCCCTTGAGGGCAGTTTTCTCCCCTTCAGGCTCTACTCTCTTTTCTCTGGCCCCTTGTTGGTATTTTTTCCATTGCATGGAGAGCCCTCTATCCAGGCTTGACCTTGGCCATCAGACAAGGCAAATGCCTTGTCCTAAGCCTCCCAGTTGGGTGCTGGCAGCTTCCGCTTGTGGATCTATGCCCGTCTAGCTCAGATGTTCATGCCTGGTGAGCATTATCTGGGGTATTTCTGAGCCAGCCTACAGTTGGATCTTCTGCTCAGCTCTTAAAATCTCTGATTAAACCAGAGAATCAAATGTAGTTTACATCGCTTCTTTGAGCGGCCACTCTTAGCACCCTCCCCTTTCTACCACTGTTGAAGATACTTCCTCTAGCAATTAAACACCTGAAAAAGATGATGTGTGTCTTCAGCTAGTGCTCGCTCTCTCTCTCTCTCTCTCTCTCTCTCTCTCTCTCTCTCTCTCTCTCCCTCTCTTTGTTGTATGCTGGAAATTGCAGTCTTTGTTGCTTTGGAGAGAGGAGGATAGAGAAGATGAAACTGGGTTCTGTCTGACCTAGACGATAATTCCTGCCCAAGTGGAAGGCTATCCACTGACAGAGATTGAGTGAAACAAAACTATTTCCTTCCTTCCTTCCTGGGGCTGTCTGCCCCATTCTGGCTCAGAGGGGGCAACATGAATGGTGTGAAATCCAAGAATGTTCTAAATGCATCCCCAGGACAATGTGATTCGTGAACATTCTGACTGGTTCATGGTCTCATCTTGGTCAGGGAGCTGATGCCAGGTTTCATGTCTCTGTGAGACTTCCCGGGAATCTGAAGGGGATGCCGCGAGGGGTGTCAGGTGTGCCTGCTCCGCTTCTACACTCATCCTCGGGTCCTTGGAATCAACATTTGGGGCTTGTTGCAAAATCCATCCCACGTTTTTTCCTCTTTTGTCGAGCCTGGGTAATAGCTGCCTCTGTCTCATGCTTGCCATGCTCCATCAGTAACTATGGTTGCCTTTTGAGTGTCTTCCAAAAAAGCCTTTTCCCTGCCAAAGGAGAGAAAATCAATCCTGTCTGCCTATCCCTAAAAGCTGACATTGTCGGCTGTCACAGAACCATCCTGTGAAACGTGCAGCGAAGGAGAAAGGTTGAAACTCAGGCCTCAGGGCTGTGGTCCCTTTCGAGTCTACCCTCTGGGGCCAGGAAGTTGTGGTGTGGCTCCTGCGTGATGTTTTTGAATGAATGCCTTTGCTTCCTCGCTGGCTTGATGCGACTAACAGAAAAGCCACTTTCAGAATGCCTCGCCTCACCCGGGGCCCAGATATTTACATAGTGGCCTTTCATTCTGCGAACAGTGTGTGCCTCTGCAAATATTTTAGGCCTCCCTGCATGCTTGCGGGCCCCTACGTCCCATTCACCAGCTTTTAAGTTTGTTTTGCAGGCAGGGAGCCACTGAGAGGGAGGCCTGACTCAGAGCACAGGGGGCCCTGCTGTCTGCTGCCGCCGCCTCCTGCCACTGCAGACTTGGCGGGGAAGGAAGCAGTGGGTTTTACAGCTGGTGTTTTTGGTTTAGCAAAAAAAAAAAAAAGGAGTGAAAGAGAAAAGAATTTTTTAAAAAAATACCTCGCACATGTAAAATGACACTAAATGTAAGTATATGTGCAGTATTTTGGGATGATAGAAATTGCGTGTTTTGCATGATTCATCCTCCCTCTTGATGACAGCAAAGGAGGTTTGCACTCAGCCTCTGGTATTTTGGGAGTTTGTTCCAAATGCTCTGAAAAGAGAGAGTGAGAAGGCCCAAGCTCCTCATCCCTTCCTCAGAAGGAGGGTTGTGTCTGGGCTAAATTAGGGCAGCGTGGCATTTGCTTCCTCTCCTCTCATCTGACTGGTAAAGATTTTCATTTTTCTACCAAAAACTGGGTCAGCTGCTCCATGGGTGCAGGGGGAGCAGGATGTGGAGCCAGGAGAGGGCCATGCTTTCCCAAGTCTGACTTGAGCCTAGAAATATGTGCTGGCAGAGCTGGCTGGAAGGCCCGGCCCGGTGCTGACTCCCAGCAGGTGCATCGGGCTTCCGGGACGGGGGCGAGCATCACCAAGGCCAGCGTCCAGCGGCCAGGAACACGCGGTCTTTCTAGGATTCAGCCTCTGCAAGTTACCAAAACATTGTGTGCTGCCTTGAGGCTGACACATACCTTGGCAGGGACGATGAGGCTTCTGCCCAGAGCTGGGAGTCCCCGAGGGTCAGGCTGACCTCCAGGCTGCAGCTTGGCCTGGAGGAGGGACCACACGGTGGGTGTGGTGGCCTCTCGGGGCCAATTCAACTTTCTCTTGAAGCACCAGGGCCTAAGAAGCAGGATGATCCAGAAACCAAGTCCACAGTTAGGGAAAATGGGGAGAGGCTCTCAGCTGCTTCCCAGGCCACTGGCTGGCCGGCCCCAGGAACCCCACCTTCCAACCTAACATTTACTGTGAGAGGGGAGGACTTCCTCACTCCTTGGTCACAGGCAGATTGCAAGTTCGCTGTCGAGGTTAGACAGCCCTCTGTTTAAAAGTGGAATATTATACCTCTGAAATTCAAAACTTCACTTTTCCAAAGCTATGTTAGAAATGCTATGGCAAAATACAGCACTGAGTCCAAAAACTAAAACGATTAATTCCTTCTTGCCTTCGGAGGCATTTATTTACTCAGCTTAAACTCTACATTTGTTTTGTGAGGTTTTCTGTGTATGTGTGTTTTATTCTACAGTAAGATGGTTAGGAAAAATAAGTGACCCCTGCAGATGAATTAGCAATTGGGTAGCACCTAAAAGCTAATATTGGTCCCCAAATCTACTGTTAACAACCTCCCCACAGACCTGTGGTCATTCCCCTGCTTAAAGCAGCCCGTATTTGCCAGCCCCACCAGCCTAGGAGCTTGGCAGAGACACATACTGCTCAAGACTATCCAGGAGACCCCTCCCTGCCATTCCAAGTCCCTTGCAGTTAGGCGTGGCCACGTGAATAATTCTGGCCAGTGGGCTGTAAGTGACCGGGGTGAGACACTTGAGGGTCAGTGTGTGATCTGCCTGCATCCTCCATACCCTGTCCCAGCGATGTGCCCCTCCCCCGGGGCAGTTCTAGAGGCCACACATTGAGGTGGCAAGCCACAAGATGAAAGCAGATTGGGTCACTGAGTCACCATAGGGAGGACAGCTGACAGGGGAGTTCCCTGAGTCGGGGGTGAATGAGTAAGTGAAAAATAAATTTGGTAATAGGCCAGTACAATTTCAGGTTTGTTTGTTACCACCATATACTATCCTGACTAATAAAAAAAATAGTGGGAATTTATAAAATAGTGACGAGGCCGGTTACAGTGGCTCACGCCTGTAATCCCAGCACTTTGGGAGGCCAAGGCAGGCAGACCATTTGAGGTTAGGAGTTTGAGACCAGCCTGGCCAACATGGTGAAACCCCATCTCTACTAAAAATACAAAAATTAGCCAGGCATGGTGGCAGACGCCTGTAATCCCAGCTACTCAAGAAGCTGAGGCAGGAGAATCGCTTGAACCCAAGAGGTGGAGGTGGCGGTGAGCTGAGATCATGCCACTGCACTCCAGCTTGGGCGACAGACAAAAACTCCTTCTCAAAAAAAGAAAAAGAAGCTGGGCGCAGTGGCTCACGCCTGTAATCCCAGCACTTTGGGAGGCCAAGGCGGGCGGATCACGAGGTCAGGAGATTGAGACCACGGTGAAACCTCGTCTCTAATAAAAATACAAAAAAAAAAAAAAAAAAATTAGCCAGGCGCGGTGGCGGGCGCCTGTAGTCCCAGCTACTCAGGAGGCTGAGGCAGGAGAATGGCGTGAACCCGGGAAGCGGAGCTTGCAGTGAGCTGAGATTGCGCCGCTGCACTCCAGCCTGGGCGACAGAGTGAGACTCCGTCTTAAAAAAAAAAAAAAAAAAGAAAGAAAAAGAAAAAGAAATCGTGACAAGGACACTAACCACTGCCTGCTACCAGCAGGGGAGGCATCACTCATTGGTACTGTACCCACTCCCCTGGGCCTAGAGAGGGCATCAAGATCTTCTTGAGCCTTAGTAACAACCAGAGACGAGACAAACCTCTGTTGAGCAGGCCTGCTAGAGCCAAGGTCCTCCCCACCTTCTATGTGACCTTGGGCAAGCTACTTCAACTCTCTGGACTTTGATCCATGCCTCCTTTGGTGATCTAGGCATGAAGGTCCCCATCTGCCCAGGCAGCAGTCTTCACAGACAACCTTTACAGTTCCTGGCTGCCCTAAGGGTGCTGTGATGAAATGGCGGCTGGAAAGAGGAAGCCCTGCTATCCATATTCTTGTTTACATTCAGAAATGTCCCTGGGGTGCCCAGGTCTGTATCTGTCAAACCTGGAGGGTCGTTCGTATGGAATATCCCAAAGCCGAGGGCCTGCATGGCCTTCTTGGTGCCACCCTCAATGCCTTTGCGATGCTACAAGTGCAATCTCTGAGCTAGTGACCTGGACAGTGAACCCACCTGTCCTGGGATATCATCTTGCTCTTGTTATTAAAAGCACAGCGTTGCTCACACACGTGTGCAGGGGCATTTCCCTGAAGATGCGCATTGCGGCATTATTGCTGATGGCAAAAATGTAGACATCCTAAATGTCCCTAAGGAGCAGACTGGTTAAGCGCCTCTATATCTATACGACGAACCATTATTCAGCCATATTAAAATCAGGCAGCTGTCTTTGTTAGGTTTTGCTAAAGTCTTCCGAGAAATGTTAAGTGCCAAAAGCAAGGTGCAGACAGTGTGGATAGTGCACACCCATTTTATATATATACACGTAGACACAATCGTGTACACATCTGTGTGTGTATTCTCTGTAGTCGGAAGGTAAACAAGGAAGCAGTAACGGTAGTTGCCTCTGGACTTGGGTCTGGTGGGACAGAGAGTTAATTTTTATTGTAAGCTCTTGTACTTTTCTTTTTAACCGTATATGGATGTAGTCTGTTTTCCTTTAGGTTATTTATTTATTTATTTACTTATTTATTTGAGATGGAGTTTCTTTCTTGTTGCCCAGACTGGAGTGTAATGGCATGGTCTCAGCTCACTTCAAACTCCACCTCCTGGGTTCAAGCGATCCTCCTGCCTCAGCCTCCCAAGTAGCTGGGATTATAGGCACCCGCCACCATGGCCAGCTAATTTTTTTGTATTTTTAGTAGAGACAGGGTTTCACCATGTTGGCCAGGCTGGTCTTGATCTCCTGACCACAGGTGATCCGCCTGCCTCCGCATCCCAAAGTGTTGGGGTTACAGGCATGAGCCACCGCGCCAGGCCACCTTTACGTTTTTTAATCAGGGAAGTAAAGAAGGAAAGCATTGGCTTTGGAATCCCAATCTTAGATTTCAAGCCAAGCTTTGCCACATCAGAACTGTGTGGTTTTGGGCAAGCCTCAGTTTTTGCATATGTGAAATGGGGATAACAATAGCTCCTCCCTCTTGGGTTGTTGTGAAGATGAAAGGAGACAACGTGTAAGCGTTTAGCACAGGACCTGGCACCCAGTAAGCTATTTTTTGATGAGGCCCAAAAAGCTCACTGTCCATTTGACCACAGGACCCAGATATCTGACAGAATCATTAAGACCATTCCTTGAAGTGGGAGTGTTGGTAATGGTTTTAATATTTTATCACCTGGCAGCGTCCTGTGGAAAACACTCATTCGTAGCCTCTTCCTGTGCTTTGCCCAGCCTGCTATTAACAGTCCCCAAAGCCTTCGTAAAAAGTATGCTTCTCCATATGATTTCCCAAAACTCGTAGTCAATAGACAGGATTGATGTATAGCTGGGTGAACATCCTTTTCTCCTTGAGCTTTTACGGAGGATGTGAGGGAAAGGGCTCTTCTTATCAAATGAGGGAGAAAAGACTCTCAAAGCCATTATGTGTCTGACACCAATTCAATTACCCCACCCATGCCCTTTTCAGCTAAGCACTTCCTAAACTTCATTAGTGCTGCAGCAATGCTGCCAGCTGACACCGTACCCTTTACTGAAAAATGTTGTACACAGAAGAGGACAAATCTCCACTGCGGCAGGTCATTGCGGCATTCCTGCTTCCTGACTAAGGTGACCTGGGTCTTCCTCCCAGGCGGAGTGGAGGGTCCAGGTGAGGTTTCAGGGCTCAGTCGGAACCTGCCCCTGCCTGATTCCCATCACCCAGAGTTTCAAGTTATCTTTCTAAAAAAATCTTAAGGCCGGGTACGGTGGCTGACACCTGTAATCCCAGCACTTTGGGAGGCTAAGGAAGGCGAATCACTTGAGGTCAGGGGTTCGAGACCAGCCTGAGCAATATGGTGAAACCCCGTGTCTACCAAAAATACAAAAAAAATTAGCCAGGCATGGTAGCACATGTCTGTAGTCCCAGCTACTTGAGAGGCTGAGGCAGGAGGACCACTTGAGCCTGGGAAATGGAGGTTGCAGTAAGCCGAGATGACAGAGTGAGATTCCATCTCAAAAAATAAAAAATAGGACCGGGCGCAGTGGCTCACGCCTGTAATCCCAGCATTTTGGGAGGCTGAGGTGGGTGGATCACAAGATCAGGAGATCAAGACCATCCTGGCTAACACGGTGAAACCCCATCAGTACTAAAAATACAAAAACAAAATTAGCTGGGCGTGGTGGCGGGCGCCTGTAGTCCCAGCTACTTGGGAGGCTGAGTCAGGAGAATGGCGTAAACCTGGGAGGCGGAGCTTGCAGTGAGCCGAGATCGCACCACTGCACTCCAGCCTGGGAACAGAGCGAGACTCTGTCTCAAAAAAAAATAAAATAAAAAAATAATAATAATAATAATAAATAAATAAATAAATAATAAAAACACTTAAGACATGGAGTTGTGTATCCTACTTTGGCTTATTTCTCATAGGGAAAACAGCACTATGTTCTATCCCACTGCCCCAGCAGAGCCCAGCCTCCCCAACCATAAACGCTGGTGTACTTGTCTGTTGGACCAAAGATTATAAGAGGCTTGAGGAAAGGTGACGGTGCCTTACTCATGCATGCAGCATCCACCAATGCCCGACTGCCAGTGGGTGGTGAGTAGATACCAGGAGACTGAGTTCTTAGAGCTATGGTCCTGGACCCAAGGGAAGGATCTTGGAAGCCCTGTTGGTTATGGAGGATAGAGCTGCTTGCCTTTGAAAAGACCAATGGACTTGGACCATGAACATAAAGTTGCATTATCCATGATGGACTGGAGACCAGAGACCCTTCCCTTCCCAGGCACCTGTAAGTTGCTGGACTCACGTGTAGCCATGGGTGAAAAGAAGACCTGCCTCTTGAAATATGACTGAGATCAAATTCCTTGCCACCATGGCAGGTGGGAGCTTGGAGTACTGAGTAAGTGTCTGTACAACGATGGATGACCAGTACCAAGGCCTTGCAAGATCTTCAACCATCAAATGAAAATTCAACTTCTTTTCATAAGTTCCAAGGCAGAGGGTAGGCTCTCCCTATTTAGAAAACTGTTTATCCCTATTAGAAAGCAGAAATTCTTCCTTGTACCTCACATTATGCCCCTCCTCAACCCCTCCACTGGCTTCTCATCTCTGAATAAATATCCGAAGTTCTTATCTTGGCCTTCCAGTCCTAGGAGATCTGGCCCCCACTCACTCTCTGACCTCATCTCCTAACACGCTCCCCCTCTTTTATTCCCTTGAGCCACAATGTTCCCCTCGTGTGCCTCCTTGTTCCTGCCTCAGAATGTTTGCCCTTGCTGTTTCTTCTGCCTGAACGCTCAGCCCTGGGATCTCCGCATGGCTTTATCCCTCACTTCCTGCTAGTCTCTGCTCACAAGTCACCTCTTTAGAAAAGCCTTCCCGGATCACTTTATCTAACAGAGTATCCCTCTCTCAGCCTTGCCACCCCACACTTTTTGTTTACCATACTTTATTTCTCTCCAAAGTCCTTAGCTGACATATACATGATATAGTTATTACATTTGTCTGTAGTCTGTTTCCCCCAGATTTTATTTTACTGACTTTGGAATCCCCAATGCCTAGAACAGTATCTGGCACATAGTAAGGATTCAAGAAATATTTGTTGAATTAAATAAGTGAATTTATCCAGCAAATACAACTGCCCCAGGCCACCACACTCCATGGATATTCCCCTGAAGTGAGATTTGATTGGGCATGAGCTGCAGAAACAGGATAGAGTGCTGGAGCTGGAAGAGACCTTGGGATCACTGACTTCTGCCCTTTCACAGGGCTGCCGGGGCACACAGGGTGTAAACCTGCCGTGAGGCCTGGGGCTTTCCTGTGATCTTAAGGAGGCTGCCTTGTTGAGGGAGATGCCCAGCCCAGTGGCTCTGCGGTGTCTTCTCCAACATCACTGGGCGGGAGCACAAGGGAAATTCCTTAGGCAGTGAGAGCTACCCGAGAAAATAAACTTGGGAAACCCAGGTTCTGCGGATCTCTTACTTCTCAGGGCTGCAGGTAAGTTTCTGTGTGTTGCGATTCTCTGAGATGAAATGACTGTACATCTCATTTCTCAAACTTTTTTTTAAGCCTTTTTTCTGGTGAATCCTTTTATGGGATTTGTCTTTCCAGGGACACATTTGGGAAAACGCTGCTTTTTTGCCTTTTTACTGGCTGAAGCACCTTCTGAACAGGCATGGGGAAGCTACAGGGGTCAGTGGCTTTTGTTAGCTAAAGAACCCAGAGATGGGACTTTTCCTTTCCTTAAGGCCAGGGCTTGCCAGCTCCTCCCATCTTTTAGAGGAACCCCAAAGCATACCCTTTTCTACATTCTGCTACCCCCTGGCCCCCCCCAGACCTGAAATGGCTCCCTTCAGTCTCTCTTTTCTTCAGCCCCCCAACACTTGTCTCACCAGGCCCAGCTTTTCCTTCTGGATGTCGCTTGCCGCCCGCCTATCCTCCCACCTGCCTCCTGAGGCCTGGTTTGGAGGTTCTCCTCCTTCCAGGAGCCCAGCGCTGCCTCTAGGAGAGAGAATTATCCTGGAAACTCCCCCTTCTCCCTGCCTGACAGCAGCCCCTGCTGAACTCCACAGCCGCAGCTGGGAGCCATTTAAATAGCTGATGCAGGGTGGGCTGGTGGCTACTGCCTGTAATCCCACACTTTGGGAGGCTGAGGTGGGAGCACTGCTTCAGCCTAGGAGTTCAAAACCAGCCTGGGCACTATAGCAAGGACCCTGTCTCTAAAAAAGAAAAAAAATAGCTGATCTGCATCTGAAAGGAGATAAGCAGTTTCCTGAGCGGTATACTGTGCAGTATCCAGCTTCGTAAACTAAGGGCATACACACTGTAGACATGTCCATGCATATCTGCACAAGGAAAGAAAACGCATGGAGGTGAGGGTGTTGGTGGCTAACTCTGGGTGGTGGGATTTGGGGTGATTTTTTTCTCCTGCGTTGCTTAGCTGTGCTTTTAAATTTTATTTTTTCACGTATGTTTGCAACAACGAAAACTCATGATAAGTGTCAATAAATCGGCAGCTCTCGTTTGGTTCCTCATTAGCTGTGTAACCTCAAACAAAGTACTTAACCTCTCAGGCTCCTCATCTCAAATACATCCCACCTCCCTCCTCCTCTGAGATGCCGCGGGATTCATCTCTCTCCCACAGCCAGATTGCAAGCAGCTAGAGAGCAGGCAGGTGAGTGTCTTCCCCCCTACAGACTCCCGTTTCCCCCGCATGCCCATGTGGTGCCTGGAGCGCTGCAGCATTGTGATTTTTTTATTATTGCAGGTGCTAAATAAATCCTCAGTGACTGAGCCCGGAGCCAAACACATTTATCCTTGTCATCCATCCAATTCTGTGCAGCTGGGATGGAGCCCAAGGCGCTGAGGACAACATAAATCTGCTCTTTGGGCCACACCCATTTCTTCTCCAAGCAGATGTGGTAGCCGGGAGCCAAGTCTTGGGGGCTCAGCGCTGGGCTGAGAAGGGGACGAGCTCCAGGCCCGGTGAGTTGGAAGTCTCGGAGAAAGGCTGACTGGCTTCACCTCGCCTCCGCCGCCCAGGGGCTGTGTGAGCAGGCTTTGGCAGCGATTTCTCCAGCAGGAAGGGATGAAGCCCTGACCAGGTTCAGAGGCAGCGGGTCAGGACCGTGCCTGGGCTCAGTCCCGCCCTGGCTCCTTCGCTTCTCGCCGCTGTGAGCCTGGGCAGTGGCTTCGCTGCTCTGGGCCCCACTTTCCTCAAGCGTTAGCAGGACAGTGGCACTCTATTTTGGAATCTCATGAGAATAAAATGAGATGATGCATGGACAACCTGCACATAGCAAGTGCTAATAATTACCATCTCTTAAGTTGGTTTGAAGGTCCAAAGCCAGTCCCTAATTGAGTAGCCTCCGGTAGCTCAAAGTACATGGCTGGCTTAAGGCCTGGGATCCTTTCCCAGTGCTAACCGAGCTGCCATAAATGTAACTCATGGAAAGCAAGCTCCAGGTCTGACATGGGCGGGGCCCATCCTGCTGAGATACAGTACAGCCTCAAGTGGATTTATTAACCCAAAGAAACTAGCAGCACAACTTGTGTGCTGACACCTGCTAGTCACTTCATACCTCACGATCCCCTTTTCACGGAACAGGACATCCATCTAGGCACAGAGAGGATAAGGTTCTGCCCAAAGCCACACAGCATGATAAATGGCGGAACTTGGGTCTAAATACTGCATCAGAAGACAGTATCTCTGCTCACCCCTATTTTGTTTTGCAACCTCTGGAATTTTCCATTCCATTTGTTTAACGCCACTTATAATGAAGGCCTCCTCATGCATCTTGAGAAGGCATGTGTTCAGTGGTACAGTATACAAACTCACTTCTCCCACATGCTGGCCGCACTAAGTGCCACACCTTGAAATAATTCTGAGACATTCTTCTTAGGATATTTGTGGCATAAGGAGGAAGCCCTTGGTGCCTTCGTGCAGCTGTGTTCCTCTAGGATAGCAATTGTGATAAAGACCCAGGGCCGGCTGGTGACTGAAACGGGAGTGGTTTCTACCAAATCCTGTGAGCAATTTAGACTCTCTTGGGTATTCCCTAAACAGTCATCATCAGACTGGGAGGAGAGAGCAAATATTACCTGAAATGAGGCCGCTTGGTGGAAGACATTGGAGAAACACAGCTGGAAAGATGGACGCTCTGCGGTTCAGAAACACTGGAGTTTCACATTTGACCTCTGGCTTTCATGTGAGATGAAAGGACAGAACACTTTTCCAAAGTTATTTTCTCTTTACATGAGTTCAAGGGCTGTGGTGAAAGTGAGGAATCCAAAGTCTACCCAGACTACTTCCTCTTATTTTGATTTATGCCAGTGGTTTATAACTTTTTATAATAAATATTTTGTAAACTCCCTTTAACATCCCAGATGAAATTCATGGATTACATAACCTCTCTAAACACATTTTTTTTTTTTTTTGAGACGGAGTTTCAATCTTGCTGCCCAGACTGGAGTGCAGTGGGGCGATCTCGGCTCACCGGAACTTCCGCCTCCTGGGTTCAAGCAATTCTATTGCCTCAGCCTCCTGAGTAGCTGGGATTACAGGCATGTGCCACCATGCCCAGCTAATTTTGTATTTTTAGTAGAGATGGTGTTTCTCCATGTTGGTCAGGCTGGTCTCAAACTCCCAACCTCACGTGATCCGCCTGCCTCAGCCTCCCAAAGTGCTAGGATTACAGGGGTGAGCCACTGTGCCGGGCCACACATTTTTAAAATTAGTTGTAATACCCTAACTCTAACACAGGGTTTCTCAACCTCAACACTATTGACATTTTGGGCCACTTTACTCTTGTGAGGGGGCTGTCCTGTGCATTGTGGGATGTTCAGCAGCATCCCAGGCCTCTCCCCACTAGATTCAAGAAGCACCTCACCCCCAGTTCTGGCAACGAAAAGTGAATGTCCCAGGGCAAGGTGGGACAAAATACCCCCAGCTGAGAATCACTTCTTTAACATAAAGGATAGATTTTTAAAAATGTGTAATAAAATAACATGTACTTTAAAATATAAATGCTCAGGTGTGGCTGCACAGCAGGACACACTGAAGCCACCAGATGCCTGCACCTACTGATAATGAATGGGTTTGGATTTAAGGGAAATAAGAAGATCAGAAGCTATTTTCATAAGAAGAACAAAAAAATAAAAGAACATACCGGGCGTGGTGGCTCACGCCTGTAATCCCAGCACTTTGGGAGGCTTGAATCCGGGAGGCAGAGGTTGCAGTGAGCCGAGATCACGCCACTACACTCCAGCCTGGGCGACAGAGTGAGACTCTGTCTCAAAAAAAAAAAAAAAAAAAAAGCAGAGGTATGAATGGACATTAGAATAAAAAATAAAAATTAGTGTTAGGCTAAGTAATAATAGAGAACACTTATCTGTATATAAAAGAAAGAATAAAATAACGTTATTTAAAATAGAGATACAGGTTGAGCATCCCTAGTCTGAAAATCCAAAACCCAAAATGCTCCAAAATCTGAATCTTTTTGAGTGCTGACATGATGCCACCATGGGAAATTCCACACCTGACCTCATGTGATGGGTCACAGTCAAAACACAGTCAAAATGTTGTTTTTCATGGACAAAATTATGTAAAATATTATATAAAATTACCTTCAGCCTATCTATATAAGGTGTATGTGAAACATAAATGCATTTCGTGTTTAGACTTGGGTCGCATTCCCCAAAATATCTTATTATATACATGCTAATATCCCAAAATTCAGAAACTCTGAAACATTTCTCATCCCAGGCATTTCAGAAAAGGGATACTCAATCTGTAATATACTAAAACAAGCTACAGACTCAAAGTCATGAATGATCTGGGGCTTATTTACAAAATACAGCATCACTGTGGTTCCTCGATTTTATGACCTGGGATAAGGGTATGTTTTGGAGAGAGTCTCTAGCACTTAAAATGAACTTGGGGGCTGCATCCTGTGAGAAACAAAGGACAGTGAGGATGGATTTGAAAGAGGCCACATCATAGTCAATAGTAATTCTTTTTTCTTTTCTTTTTTGAGACAGAGTCTCGCTCTGTTGCCCAGGCTAGAGTGCAGTGATGCAATCTCGGCTCACTGCAACCTCTGCCTCCCGGACTCAAGCGTTCAAGTGATTCTCCTGCCTCAGCCTCCCTAGTAGCTGCGACTACAGGCGTCCACCACCACACCCAGGTGATTTTTTGTATTTTTAGTAGAGACAGGGTTTTACCGTGTTGGCCAGGCGGGTCTCGAACTCCTGACCTCAAGTGATCCACCCACCTCGGCCTCCCAAAATGCTGGGATTATAGGCGTGAGCCACCGTGCCCAGCCCACAGTCAATAATAAATTAATTGTACATTTTAAAATAACTTAAAGAGTGTAACTGGATTGTTTGTAACTCAAAGGATGAATGCTTGAAGGGATGGATACCCCATTCTCTATGATGTGCTTATTTCACATTGCACGCCTGTGTCAAAACATCTCAGGCCAGGCGCCGTGGTTCACACCTGCAATCCAAGCACTTTGGGAGAGTCCAAGGTGGGCGCATCACCACAGCTCAGGAGTTTGAGACCAGCCTGGCTAACATGGCAAAGCCCCATTTCCACAAAAAAAACAAACAAACAAAAAAAAAATTAACCGGGCACAGTGGCATGAACCTGTTAATCCCAGCTACTCAGGAGACTGAGGCAGGAGAATTGCTTGAGCCCAGGAGGTGGAGGTTGCAGTGAGCTGAGATCGTGCCACTGCACTCCAGCCACTGCCCTCAGTGACGGAGTGAAACCTTGCCTCAAAAAAAGACAAAAAAAAAAAAAAAAAAAACCTATGACATCCTTGCATTTCATGAGTCTGCTCTTTTATATTTGGCTCAAGATTTGTTTAAATAAATCTCAAATCTGTTTCTTATTTTCAGTTGGTTTCATTGTACAGTAAACTCCCTACTGTACTGAAATTCTTTTCAGTAAAATTTATAATCAGAAATGCTCAATACATAGAGCAAGCAACCAGCACAGTATGAGTAAATTAATCATTTCGGGGCAAGACGTTTCTTCCATTTAAGTTTCTCTCTATAGGCCAGGCGCAGCGGCCCGCGCCTGTAATCCCAGCTCTTTGGGAGGCTGAAGGGGGTGGATCACTTGAGGTCAGGAGTTCGAGACCAGCCTGGCCAACATGGTGAAACCTCGTCTCTACTAAAAATATAAAATTAGCTGGGTGTGGTGGTGCAGGCCTGTATGTAATCCCAGCTACTAGGGAGGCTGAGGCAGGAGAATCGTTTGAACCTGGGAGGCAGAGGTTGAAATGAGCTGGGATCACGCCACTGCACTCCAGCCTGGGCGACAGAATGAGAGTCCATCTCAAAAAAAAAAAGTTTCTCTCTATGGAATGGTCTTCTAAATTACTGGGCTTTTCAAGTAACTCCTTTCAAGTTATTTTCAGGATCATTGTGTTCTAATTATTGATGATTTACATTTGTAGTGAGTTTAGGCTAGGGGAACATCTGAAAGTCATGTGGGGCATGAGAGTTCTTTGTTGTCTGGGACTCTCCGACACATTGCAGGACATCTAGCTTCCTCCCCATCCCCAAATGCCAACGGCAGAGTCAACAAAAAAAGCACACCTGCCAATTTTCAAAACACCCCCTTTGGGCCACCACAGCTCTTGCTAAGTGCTTCAAGCTTACGTGACCACACCCCAGATGTGGAGGCTGCCCCCCAAGACCACATTGCCAAGGCGCTCACTTTGGGTGGACACAGACTCTTTGAGCGGATGCAGACTCGTTCCCTCCCAAGGGATGGCAAATGGGGCACAATATAGGTATTTCTATTATCTCCTCTACTATTATTTCTACTACTTCTAACTTCTATGCAATTTTGATTTGCCATAAATCACTTAATGAAGTCCTCAATGTATGGTATTAGCAAGCAAAATAGGTAAGGTTTGTTGAGTTCCCTGCGTGTCAGACCCTGGGTGTTGGGTCTATTATTTCATTCAAATCTCACAATAACCCTATGAGGTAGATACTATTATTAGCCCCCATTTTATAGATGAGAAGACTGAGGCGAGAAGACAGAGAGGAGAATTTAGGGAAGTTGTCCAAAATGGGCCAAATAGTGAGCGGCAGAATCAGGATTTGAACCCACGCTCCTACTCTACTTGCCATATTGCTTCCCCAGAACTGGCTTCTTTGGATTAAATTTAAGGAAAAGATGTAAATGGTAGCAAAACATATTTTATAAAAATTTTATTTATACCCAAAGTTTATCTGAACTCAGTATACATTCAGCACAGTCCCCATACCACCTGTCCTACAGCCCGGTGTATTTGGAGAGGATGGAGTGGAGGAAGGGTTGTTTGGAATCTTGCCTTTGAGGCCCTGAAAGATACCCCATTATGAAAGAAATACTGAGCTAAATTTACCAAACCCAAAATGGCAAATCGGTTTCATTTCCAGTGTCAGCTTTGACTGATTGGTCATGGCTGCCTAGAGGTGAGATGGATTTTTATGGCAAGTTGGAGGTCAGTGTCTTCATCAATTAGTAATGTCTGCCCTGTCAAGGGAAGAGAGCATGTGGTGGCCCCCATGTTATGAATTTATTGTCCCTGCTTCCCTAGACAGGAGGTTGGAATTTTACACATTAGGAAAGATTTCAAAAATAGAAATAAAAATGAAAAGGAATTTTTGGTGGCAAATTAGTAAATACTAAATTCATCAGAAAACTTAGCTCCTCTGAATATCCTTCTCATGTAGTCATAGAAACTTTAAGGTAGGAAGGACCTTCAAGATTATTTAAACTTTTTCACTTTAGAAGAGTTTTCAAAAATAGGAATAGAAACAAAAAGGAATTTCTGGTGGTGAATTCTAAGTTCATCAGAAAACTCAGTTCCTCAGAATATTCCATTCATGGATTCATAGAAACTTAAATCTAGCAAGGTTATTTAAGATTATTTAGGTCTGTGGTTCTCACATTTGGTTAAGATCAGAATCCTCTGGGGGAATTTTTGAAAAATTCTGATACCTGTGTTCTGATTCAAGTGGTCTGGGGATGGGTCCAGGAATTAGAATGTTTCAAAAAATTTCCCTAATGATTCTAATGCACAGCCCAGATGGAGAACTACAGATCTGGTCAAAACCCCTCATTTTACAGATGAGAAAATGGAGACTTAGAGAAGATTGGTGGTTTTCCCAGGGACACACAGTGAATCGGCAGCAAGGCAGATTCTGCCTCACATCCCTTGCTTTTGGTCAGGGGATGGGGTGAAGCCCTGAGACCTTGATTTTGCAAAGAGCTCTAGGGCACGGGCAGTCTCATAGTCTGTGTCTCCTTGGCTATTTTCCTCACAGCTGACTCTCAAGCTGCACATGAAGACGCCTTTCAAGATGACACTTTTGTTGCTGCCTCCAGCCCCTGCTCCTGCCATTTCCAAAGAGGCCCTCTGTTGCATATCTTGTTTCTCATGCCTCCTGCCATAGGTTACATTGTATGATTCGCTTATCTTTGATGTCCCTTCATGGCACTAGAAACAATAGTAAGAGATCAACAAACCACTGTCCTCAATTTTGGAGTTTAAAGTAACTTTAAAAGTACAAAGTTGGGGTGCAGTGGTGTTACCTGAGTCCCAACAACTTGAGAGGCTGAGGCAGGAGGATTGCCTGAGGCCAGGAATTCAGGGCTGCAGTGAGCTATGATGGCACCTGTGACTAGCCACTGCACTCCAGCCTGGGCAATATAGCAAGATCCCATCTCTATTTTTAAAAAGCACAAAGTTAAAGTAACTTTAAAAAGCAGAGGAGAAGGCCCAGATCGGTGGCTCACACCTGTAATCCCAGCACTTTGGGAGGCCAAGGCAGGTGTATCGCTTGAGGTTAGAGACCAGCCTGGCCAACATGGTGAAATTCCATCTCTACTAAAAATATCAAAATTAGCCAGGCATGGTGACAGGTGCCTGTAACCCCAGCTACTCAGGAGAATCGCTTAAACTGAGGAGGCAGAAGTTGCAGTGAGCCGAGATCACGCCACTGCACTCCAGCCTGGGCAACAGAGTGAGACTCCATCTCAAAAAAAAAAAAAAAAAAAGCAAAGGAGAATGAGAAGCACACTCACATTGTAGAATGTCTCCTGTGAGTCAAGTATCTTACATGTTTACTTATATTTCCAACACTGGGAGGAAATATTATTATTATCCCATTTCACAGAAAAGGAACGGTGGCTCTGAGAAGTTAGAGAATTCGTCCAGGTCGCACAGCTAGAGAATGGCTGAGTGAGGACTGTTTGAGCTGGTTCTCACTACAGTCCTCTGTAGCCTCCATTAATATGGTATGTCCCATTCCCTTAAAAGACAAGAGTATATGGCTGGGCACGGTGGCTCACACCTGTAATCCCATCGCTTTGGGAGGCCAAGGCAGGTGGATTGCCTGAGGTCAGGAGTTTGAGACCAGCCTGGCCAACATGGTGAAACTCCGTCTCTACTAAAAATACAAAAATTAGCTGGGCGTGGTTGTGCACACCTGTAATCTCAGCTATTTAGGAGGCTGAGGCAGGAGAATCGCTTGAACCAGGGAGGCAGAAGTTGCAGGGAGCTGAGATGGTGCCACTACACTCCAGCCTGAGTGACAGGGCGAGACTCCATCTCAAAAAACATACAAACAAACAAACAAAAAAACAAGAGTTTATCACCCCACAGCTTGCTTATGAATTGCAAGGACGAAAATATGGTAACTCGGCAATGAAGAAACGTGACCACACATTGACCAGGTGACTAAAATGAGCATTAACAGATGGACATTGCTCAACATCACCATCCAGTTTTGTGGCCAGAGCTACCTAACCTGAGCCTAATCACAAGAAAACATCAGAGGAACCCAAATTGTGCTATGAAATAGTTGGCATCTCTTCTTCAAACATTTCACTGTCATAAAAGACAAAGAAAGGCTGAGGAACTGTTCCAGAGTGACAAAAACAAAAGGAATATACCTAAATGTATGTGATGCCGGATTTGATTCTGCAAAGGATAGGGAAACTGCTTTGAGGCCCTAATGGGACGATTGACAAAAGTGGAATATGGAGTGTAGAACATAAAAAAATTGCATCCATGTTAAATTTGCCGAATTTGGTAACTGTGGTTATGTAAGTGAATATCCTTGTTCTTAGGAAATATACACTGAGGTATTAAAAGGTAACAGGGCATGATGTCTCAAGCTACTCTC
Organism: Homo sapiens; assembly: GCF_000001405.40. Taxonomy (NCBI): domain Eukaryota; kingdom Metazoa; phylum Chordata; class Mammalia; order Primates; family Hominidae; genus Homo; species Homo sapiens. The sequence goes on along the minus strand of NC_000002.12, from coordinate 65,284,432 downwards.
AAATGGTTCAGAAAAAACTAAATATTGTTTCAATTTTTTTTTTTTTTTTGAGACGGAGTCTCGCTCTGTTGCCCAGGCTGGAGTGCAGTGGCGCGATCTCGGCTCACTGCAACCTCTGCCTCGTGGGTTCACGCCATTCTCCTGTCTCAGCCTCCTGAGTAGCTGGGCCTACAGGTGCCCGCCACCACACCTGGCTAATTTTTGTATCTTTAGTAGAGATGGGGTTTCACCGTGTTAGCCAGGATGGTCTCGATCTCCTGACCTTGTGATCAACCTGCCTCGACCTCCCAAAGTGCTGGGATTACAGGCGTGAGCCACCGCGCCTGGCTGCTTCAATATTTTTTACAGCAACCCTCAAATAGCTAAGCCCATATCAGGTAATGGATTTAAAATATTTGTTGATTATTTAATTTTTAATTAATTTTTTTTTTTTACTCAGTCTATGTCACTCTGGCTGGAGTGCAGTGTCGTGATCTCGGCTCACTGCAGCCTCCACCTCCCAGGTTCAAGTGATTCTCATGCCTCAGCCTCCCTAGTAGCTGGGATTACAGATGCACACCACACCCAGCTAATTTTTGTATTTTCAGTATAGATGGGGTTTCACCATGTTGTCCAGGCTGGTCTCGAACTCCTGGACTCAAGTGACCCACCTGCTTCGGCCTCCCAAAATGCTGGGATTACAGGTTTGAGCCACGGCGCCCGCCTATTTAATCATTTTTTAATTTTTTTGGGCTTTTCCCTGCAATATACTTTTTTATTTTTCTGGCACCTTGATCTTGGACTTGTTGATTTATTAAATAATTCCACATTCTCCTGAGATCAAGGAAAATACTTTTCAGAGTGGCTTTCTTGGTGTCTAACATTTCTGCTTTATTGCAGCGAAGACACAAATAAAATCCTGATCCTTTACCAGCCCCCTCCTCACCCCACCCTCAGCTCCTCTAAGAAAGGGGAAAACCCTAGTGTGAATTTACTTTACATCATTACCATTTATAAATTCTTTCATCTTTCCTGGAAGTTTATTTGGGATTTCATTAATCTTACCGTATTCATGGGGTGCAAAAGCAAACTCGGCAGGATATAGCTGAGCACACTGTCTGCTCTTTTCACCTTCTGCTCCCATGGAAATCTTAAGTCAGAATCTCATTCCACTGGATGAAGGGACTGAACAAATAGATGGCACCTCTCTTTTGAGAAAGCTGACTTTAATTTGATAAATATTGAGCTCCTGCTACATATGGCACATAGAGCTCTTACCTTGGACATGTGAGAGAAGAAACACACTCTATATTGCTGAACTAAATGTTTTGGAACTATCCAGTGTCTTTCATTGCCAAGCACTGGCTTCCTTAAGACAGAATTGCATCCCAGCCAGATATTGTCAGGATTTACCTATATTAGTCAGGGTCTTAGCTGCAAGCAACAAACCCTACCCTGCCCTGGATGATTTAAGCAGAAATAAACTAGTAAAGAATATGTAGGAGTTCACAGAATCTCCAGGTTGCCGCAGAGTCCAGCTGGAGGACACCCAGTCATGACCAAGGCCCAACCATGCTGTGGGCCTTCAGCAGTGACTCCTACCACCTCCCCTCCTGGACATCGTCTCTGCCACTCACACCCCTGACACTGGGCACTGAATACCAAGTGCCTTGCCCAGCTCTGCTTCAAAACCCCAGGCCTGTGGTGACCCCTGGCTAGGAAACAATTCCTCTGGGTAGCTGCTTCTGGAGTGGGAGTGTCTAACGGGCAGATCTTTGCTACAAGAAAAGCTAGAAGGGTGAGTTGTGGACTTCTGCCTCAGGGAAGCAAGATTTGTAATGTAGAAAAATCCCTAATCATGGGAAGAGAATTCAAACCATGGTTGGTGGCCACAAGTCATGACCAATGTCCACTAATAACCTCCCAGTTTCTAGGTTTTCTTTGCATTCATTAGTCTAATGTATTTGTCAGTTATAGTTTTAGTCTTCTCTCTCCTCCTATCTGCTGTTGTTTGGCATTCTACAGCTTATTCTTATATTAAAAACATCGATAATCCTTGAATCTTAGTTCTAAAGCAAACCCTTGAGGAAGGGAGTGTGAGTGATGACAATTCCTAGCACCTGGAAACCTGCTGTTGACAAAGGAGGAAACAGGCAGGGCCCAGAAATGTGAAATTTCACCATAGCTACTACAGCTGTCCTACTGGCTAGGACCCAGATTTCCCAGAATGTGCTTTGCATAGTGCTAATAGGCGGTGGGCCACAGAGGGAGGGTGTGAGGAAGAGGGGAAGAGAGAGAGGAGGGGGAGGGGGAGGGGAGGTAAAAAAGTGGAGAGGGAGAGGGAGGGAGGAAGAGTGGGGGAAGAAAGAGAAAGGAAAAGGGAAAGAGGGACAGAGAGGGAGAGGGAGGGATATGGACGGAGTGAAGGAGGGGGAGAGAGAGAGAAAGGAAAGACACACACACAGAGACAGAGAAAGGGGGAGAGAGAGAGAGAGAAACAGAAAGAGATCCCTTGCTGAATAAAGTCGGCTGGGTTTTCTCCCTGCAGGACATCTCTGAGACTTTAGTATGCTGCAGGGAAGGTTTCTGCAGCATTTCTCTAACTCTTTAAACCACAAAGCACACTTGGGATATAGGGCATTTAGCTGGGACTCACAGAATACTCTTGGGGAAATATCATAGTACTCTGTGTTCTTACACGTTAGAACTCTGAAGAACACTTCAGATTTGAAACTCAGTGATTTTCATGCAAATACAAGTAATTTTTTTTTTTTTTTTCTGAGACAGAGTTTTGCTCTTGTTGCCCAGGCTGGAGTGCAGTGGTGCAACCTCAGCTCACTACAACCTCCACCTCCTGGGTTCAAGTGATTCCCCTTCCTCAGCCTCCCAAGTAGCTGGGACTACAGGCGTGCACCACCACACCCGGCTAATTTTTTGTATTTTTAGTAGAGACAGGGTTTCATCATGTTGGCCAGGCTGGTCTCGAACTCCTGACCTCAGGTGATCCGCCCACCTCGGCCTCCCAAAGTGCTGGGATTACAGGCATGAGACACCACACCTGGCCGGCCAAATACAAGTAATTTTAAATGTCACTTTTGAGGGCTACTTTATTATTTTTTTGAAACAGAATCTGGCTCTGATGCCTGGACTGGACTGCAGTGGCAGAATCTCGGCTCACGGCAACCTCCACCCCCACGACTCAAGCCATTCTCCCACCACAGCGTCCCAAGTAGCTCAGAGTACAGGCGCACAGTACAATGCCTGCTGAATTTTTGTATTTTTTGTAAAGATGGGGTTTCGCTGTCTCGCCCAGGCTGGTCTCGAACTCCTGAGCTCAAAAGATCCACACAACTCGGCATCCCAAAGTGCTGGGATTACAGGCATGAGCCACGGGCATGAGTCGAGGGCTGCTTTCTAAATTTATTTTATTTTATTTTATTTTGAGACGGACTTTCGCTCTTGTTGCCCAGGCTGGAGTGCAATGGTGCAAATCTCGGCTCACTGCAACCTCCGCCTCCTGGGTTCAAGCAATTCTCCTGACTCAGCCTCCCGAGTAGCTGGGATTACAGGCATCTGCCACCAAGCCCGGCTAACTTTGTATTTTTAGTAGAGATGGGGTTTCTCCATGTTGGTCAGGCTGGTCTCAAACTCCGGACCTCGGGTGATCTGCCCGCCTCGGCCTCCCAAAGTGCTGGGATTACAGGCGTGAGCCACTGCACCCAGTCGAGGGCTACTTTAAAAAGGGAAGGAGGGAACCGTACTCCAGTGCCTTTCCAGTTCTCTAACTTGAGAACGGAACGCCTTGGGAAGTTGCTTTACCCCATCACCGTTTGACTTAGGAAGTGCAACTTGAAATCTTTAAACAACAGAGCCCCCTTACAGGTAAGCTTTATGGTCAAATGATTGTAACTAACACAAGATAAAATAATGTTATCCAGTGAGGAAAAAAGATTTGTCTCCTAGGAAGTCAATTTAATACATACGAAATTACAAATGTGCTTATTTTGCGCAAACTGTAACATTGTCATGAACTGATATTTTTTTTTTTTTTTGAGACGGAGTCTCGCTCTGTCACCTAGGCTGGAGTGCAGTGGCGCAATCCCGGCTCACTGCAAGCTCTACCTCTCGGGTTCACGCCATTCTCCTGCCTCAGCCTCCCGAGTAGCTAGGACTACAGGCGCCCGCCACTATGCCCGGCTATTTTTGTGTATCTTTTAGTAGAGACGGGGTTTCACTGTGTTAGCCAGGATGGTCTCGATCTCCTGACCTCGTGATCAGCCCGCCTCGGCCTCCCAAAGTGCTGGGATTACAGGTGTGAGACACCGCGCCCGGCCATGAACTGATTTTTTAAAAAATCATCACCAAGTTAAACCTGACAGATCTTCTCCAAACTAATTTAACACATATACATGACAAAACCTGCAAAAAAAAATCCTTGGCTCCCACAGGAGCTGGCCCCCAAGCCCTTCACAAGAACAGCTGCACAAGGCTAACACTTCCAACTACGGCATACAATTTGGCTTAGTAATCCTTGGTGCATTTGATATTGAGATATTTAGCAGCCTACTAAAATGCCCGCCACTCCTACTTTTTAAAGGTATTTGTTTGGTTCCGTCTAAATGACCATTAAGATACTGAGAAAACCCATCTTTGAGGTTTGGGAAGCCCTGACAAATCTTTTTTATTTTAAAAACATTGAATTGTGCCAGGCGCGGTGGCTTACGCCTGTAATCCTAGCACTTTGGGAGGCTGAGGCAGGCAGATTACTGAGGTCAGGAGTTCAACACGAGCCTGGCCAACATGGTGAAACCCCGTCTCTACTAAAAATACAAAAAAAAAGTTAGCAAAAATACAAAAAAAAGGCGCAGTGGTGCGTGCCTGTAATCCCAGCTACTCGGGAGGCTGAGGCAGGAGAATCGCTTGAACCCAGGAGGCGGAGGTTGCAGTGAGCTGAGATCACATCACTGCACTCCAGCCTGGGCTACAGACCGAGACTTTGTCTCAAAATACAAACAAACGAACGAACAAAAAACTCGTTGAATTGTGAAGGTTGCCATGCAGCAACCAGTCCAGTTACTCTAAAATACTGCCTTACTCAAGAGAGGCTTTCATAGTTATCAGTATATTCACTTCTTTTAAACCACATTTTCTTAAAAAGTGAATTATTTTCCACGAGATTATCAAACTGTTGAATCTTGTCATGGGAAACTAAAGGCAAATTAGCAATGATCTTATGGTAAAACTTGCTAGATATATTTTTCCTTTTTTTTTTTTTTTGCATGTGAGACTGAGAACAGATACTATTTTAAAACAATTTATATGTCGGCCTTGATGTGTCTAAACATCCAGAAACAATAAGAGGACTCTGTTTCCAGGACTCTTTAAAACCAAGCCAGTCGCCCCACTCTTCAGTTGCTTTGTTCTTGGTATTCCCATTCCATGTGAAAACATTTAATCCAGGTCCTAACCCTCAACTATCCCATGAGTATGTGAATTACAGATTCTTGCACATCTGAAGTACTTTCTTGTGGCTTTTTGGGGTTTTGCTTTGTTTTGTTTATCCTACACAACTTCCTTCCTTCCTTCCTACACTCAGCTCCCCAGGGCTTTTAGAGATAGGCTAACCACTAATCATGTCCTCTTGCTGCAGTGGGACAGGAGACCCAGATCCAGGCTCCTCCCTCTGCTCCTGGCTCGAGGAGGATGTAAGCAATAATGGCCATCTCAAACAACACTGCTATTCACAGCATGGAGATCTGGGAAACATCCTTGAATTCAGATAGTGAAATTAGCTGCTTTTAAAGTAACACACAGCTGTTCTGCATGGAAGCGTTGTTACCGTCTCCCAGGCGGTAACTTGCATGTTTTAGCCTCTACGGTCGGCCTCCCATTAGGTGGTCCCCTCTGAAGACAGCTGGTCTGAGAGCTAGCTCATGTAGTCGCCATTCTCAGAACGTTCCCAAAACACAGGACAAGTTCTTAGCAGATGTAGGTGATTCAAATGCTTCCCCTCCCCAAGTGTTCTTCTCAAGGGCCACTTGGATTCCAGGGGCCACTGCTAACCTTAGTAACTGTCATTCTTTCCATTTCTTGCCTTCCTCTTGCAAGTGGAGAGTTTATAAACTCCACTGACTCATTTATGAAGCTCTGAGCCAAATCCGGGGCCTTGGACCACAGTGTACACCTGCTGGTCAAAAATTAAACCTACCAAGGGGAAAAAAGCCTCAACTGATCACTCCTAAAAGTGGGACAAGCTCCTCTGGATCCAAATGCCTGTAGCCAACACTCCTTTCACTCGTTCACTCCCAGAGCTTCCACTTAAGTTTCTTCATGGAAATGGTTTGCTATCAACAGAAGAGCAAGCCCTTGTGGGCACTTCATATCAAAGCACTTTTCAAATGGCACTTGGGACGCCAACCACTCCAGGCTTGGGGCACTTGACTCACTGAGTTAAATTAAGGCACACAAAGGACAAGTGCTTTTCCCAAGGCCTGTGATGAGGCGCAGGGTCAAGACAGCCTCCTAAACTGATCAAGGCTTTGAAATAGGACAGGGCTCAATGACCACCACACAGAGCCATCAATGGGTGTTGGAAAAGCAACGGTTGTATAGTCAGGAAGATGCTTGAGCCCCACTCTGGCTCTACAGCTTCTTAGCTCTGAGTCTTTGTTCTTGTTACTTTACCTCTTAAGTCTCAGTCTCCTCATCTACAAAGTGGTGATAATTCCTACTTGCATTAAGTGAGAATGCTGGCAAATGCTTAAGGTACAGTGCCTGGCACTTCACAGACACTCATAAATGGTGACCTTACAGCTTTGTCGTGTCCTCGCTGTTGTTCTCATTGCTTCCTTTTTAGCTCTCTTAATTAACGTAGGGTCTGAAGACCATGGTTGGCTCTGCCCGCAGAAAGTCAAGGAACTTTAAAAGTTCAATAAACACGTTTGAGATGCATTCTTGTTCTCCAAAAGGCAGTAAACCAAGGCAGAAAAATGCACCCCTTTTCCAAAAGGGATTTGAAACAAAGCCCTTTGGAAGCAGATGAGACTGGTAGCATGTTCCTTTGTGAGCAAGATTAGGCACAAGAATGAAGCAAGCCAGCAGTTTTCTCAAGGTATACAGTGGCACCCTGGAGAGTAAGCCCGAAGAGTCTCAAGAGTCCCCAGGCGGAAAAGCCTTTGCCTTCATTCTCTTAGGAAACTCCTAATTAAGTGAAACCTTCTGTACAAACATACCAAGATTTTTTATTAATATCATTTAGTCTGTAGCTTAATTCTTACAAAATTTCCCTGGTTTCTGATTCACATTTTTCTAAGTGCAAAAGACCCCTTCCTAAGAGTGTCACCTCAATTTCTGGAAGTGGAGCCAGGTATCTGCATTGTCACTAGCTCAAGAGAGTCTCAGGCACCCCAAAGTTTGAGAATCACTGGCCCGAGTGTTGCTAGAAATGCTCGGAGAAGGGGCGAAGGTGGGAAAAAATGGAGCACCTACGGAGACTCGGAATTCACAGTCTAAATGGAAATCGTTTACACTGATATTGTCACAAATCCAAGCTATCTGGGGTGAATGGTTTCCTGATTTTTTCTCCATAAATCAATGTGGATATTCTTGGCAAGCTCTGCTCCTCTGCAGGGTGGGCAGCTGTGAGTCAAGCTGCCTCCTCTTCTCTTGACCTTGTCTTCCTGCTTTTTGCAGATGCAATTCTTTCCCTGTCTGCCTCACAGCTAATTATTTCAGCAGACAAGCTCAGAGCCTGAAGAAAACAGGGTGTATTCTTGAAAGTAGTAACTGTACTGAAATTTAGTGGGAAAAGTTTCTCCTTTAGCCCTATCTTCTGAATAAAATCAGCTAGTGGTGTGAGCTGCCATTTGGTTTAGGTTGACAGTTAGCAAATCATGCCTTCTGAGTTTAAGGTACTCTTTAGTATTCTATTTTATCCTAACAGTTCAGGGAACTTGGGAGCAGCAAAGGTTTTTGCGATCTGGGCCAAAGTCACAAGTTTTCTAGTTTCAATGGTGGGGATGGGGGTGGAAGAACCATAAATCCAATCCTCTTTAGACTCTTAAAACATGGAATTTCATTACATAAATCATTCTCTTCACGTATTTGTTCAAAAGTGCAACAAAACAAAGCTTTCATTTAGGATATTCAAGGAAGCCTGTCTTACTGTTATTAAAGCACCTGAGGGAGGATTTGTGTTGGCTCACACCACAAATCTTAGCTTCTTTTGAATGGTATGAACAGAAAAAAAATGTTTAAGGCATAAAAGAGTTGCTATGAAATGGAAATGATGAAGATCATTTTCATGCAACACTAAGACTGGTCGGATTAACCAAAAGAAATCAACATAAAGTTGTCATACCATTTAAAAAATAGTAGCTTAAAGTCAGAAGATAGTTTTCCTCACACCACCTATACCTTGTGTTTCAAAAACACAAATGGTGAACACTGGCACTCCCCAAATCCACATTATGAACTGCATTCTGTATTAGGGGACCATGTCAGTTTTGATATCATAAGAAACATAATTATAGCAGTCATTAATGTGTGGACTGTTGGTCACCATAAACAATTCAATACTTCCACTTTTGAACAAGTTGCATCCAAAAGTTCATTTGTCAGTTGCATAGAACTTGAAATACATACATGCTCTCTAAAAGTAAAGCTACATCTGGTAGGTTGGTTTCTTGGCCTGATTATAAATCACTTTCATGTATCAAGCAGCTAAACTTGTAGCATTAGCTGTACTAGCTTGAGTTCAGGAAGCTGGAACACTGCAAGTCGGAAGCGAGGAGAAAGGAATGTTGAAATGAGCAGTTTGCTTTGGTTATTTTACCACTTCCAGCACTCAACTCTCATCTACCAAGGTGAGCTTGCCCTAAAAAGTGAGCTTGCTCTAAAAACTGAATTTCCTCAGGAACCTACCAATTTTCTCCAATGCACTCCTTAGGCCAAAGTTACAGACCTTCCTTTCACTTACATCACAAAGAGCTGCTAATCTCCCCTAGGCGTCAGTGTGAGTCTCTGGATTTCCTTTTAATACAAATGGATGTGTAAATGACTGATGGTGCTTTAACCATCCCAGAACTGGCCTTTTTAATGAAAAGGTGTTTATCATCCATTTGAACTGAAGATCCATTTGGGGGAGGTGGAGCAGAGGTCAGCACACTGGCAAAAGATGGTCTCTAAGTGGTTCCGGCTTCCCAGGGCTGCTTCCTGTGTCACTTCTGAACCCATCTGCTAAAAGCCCTAGTTTTCCCCAGGAAGAGGAGGAAAGAAGGGCATTGCAGGTGTGGGCCCAGGAGAGTGGTTCATACTTTGAAGCCTGACTGTCCTCTTAGCCCCTAAAACAGGAGTATGAGAGTTGTGGGGGAAGAGTTGGAAAACAAGCAAACCCTCAGGCTCCATTCGGTGGTCCAGAGTGGGGCTCAAGGAAGCCTGCTTTTTTTTTTTTTTTTTTTTTTTTAAGATGGAGTCTCGCTCTGTCACCCAGGCTGGAGTGCAGTGGCTGATCCCAGCTCACTGTAACCTCCACCTCCTGGGTTCAAGCCATTCTCCTGCCTCAGCCTCCTGAGTAGGAATAGTTGGAATTACAGGCGACCGCCACCATGCCCGGTTTGTACTTTTAGTAGAGACAGGGTTTTGTCGTGTTGATCAGGCTGGTCTCGAACTCCTGACCTCAGGTGATCCCCCACTGCCTTGGCCTCCCAAAGTGCTGGGATTACAGGCGTGAGCCACCGCGCCCCGCCTAAGAGCCTGCATTTTTAACAAAAGGAACATGTGATTCTGACCCCATACTGAAAAAGACATTTGAAGGACAAGTAATTTGTTTTAAAAATACAGATAATCATACTTTAGCTACATCACTTCCTGTGGGATGTTTTCATTTTAGAGACTCCTTTAGAATTCCAAGTTGTGTAAGCAGGGAACTTAGAGGTTGAATATTATCTGCTTGAATTCCACCTAAACTACTAAGTAAAAGCAAAACAAAGAGGACAGCCTCCTTAATTGATTCTTTGAATCAAGGTCCTTTAAATTGTCACCATAGTTTAGGTTCCACTCCTTCCTAATAGCTCTTAAATAAAAATTAATTAATGCCAGAAGCTTTCAAATGTAGATCTAAGTTAGCAGGGAAAAAAAAAACACATCTGGAGGTAAATTGTAGGTTTCCAATAAAGGGGTCAAATGTGTATTATCAATTTAACAACTGAGCCTCATTTAGGCCCAAATTTCTTACTCTTCAAACACTAAGTTGTCACAAAATATAAAAATATAAGAATATATACATGTAAACATAAGAAAATATGAAAATATAAGAATTAACAACTCAGGAAACCCTTAGATTTTTATATATTATTATTATTGAGATGGAGTCTCGCTCTGTTGCCCAGGCTGGAGTGCAGTGGCATGATGTTGGCTCACTGCAGCCTCTGTCTCCTGGGTTTAAGCAATTCTCCTGCCTCAGCCTCCTGAGTAGCTGGGATTACAGGTATGCGCCACCACACCTAATTTTTTGTATTTTTAGTGGAGACAGGTTTTGCTATGTTGGCCAGGCTGGTCTCAAACTCCTGACCTCAAGTGATCCGCCTGCCTCGACCTCCCAAATTGTTGGGATTACACAATGCCCAGCAAGATTTGGTTTTCTAAAGTAAAATAGATCGCTTAATTTTCTTGTGCACAGACACCTCGAAAAAAATCTCAACCCCTACAGAACATCAAGGCACTCACATAAACATACTCATTTAAAATGATCCAATTAATATTGTGGCAGACTTTTAGAATTTCCCTAATTTCTTAAAACCTCCTTTGATATTAATGCATTTGCATTCACATTTTTATGATTACATTTTCTGTTTTTTGAGATGGAGTTTCACTCTTGTTGCCCAGGCTGCAGTGCAATGGCACAATTTCGGCTCACCACAACCTCTGCCTCCCGGGTTCAAGCGATTCTCCTGCCTCAGCTTCCCAAGTAGCTGGGATTACGGACTTGTGCCACCACACCTGGCTAATCTTGTATTTTTTAATAGAGACGGGGTTTCTGCATGTCGGTCAGGCTGGTCTCGAACTCCGACCTCAGGTTACTGGCCCCCCTCAGCCTCCCAAAGTGGTGAGATTACAGGCCTGAGCCACCGTGCCCGGTCGTAATTACACTTTTATGCACAAAAAGTATAATTTTAAAAATCCTTATCCTTGAGAGTTGAGGCCCTTTTTCAAACCCATATTTAAGGAAGAACAAATATTTTACTCACTGGAGTTTTCTTTTTACCGATTTTTTAAAGCATTCATCAGGCAAAAGCTCCACTTGCTGTGAATGGCAAAGGGTACAGTTCTTAAAGGCTACCCTGGGCATAAGAATCACTCTGTAATACCTTTGTGATTGCTTTCTGCACTTGCCAAACCCAAACCTTTCAACTGGTCCATGAAAATCTACTCAACATTCTCTAATTCTTCTATTCCTACGTCAAATGTTTCATGGAAAATTATATGCCAAGTCTTTTCCAGTCTTTCCTTTTTTCCTCTGGTGGGTGGGAGGAGTTGAGGGGGTAGATATGAAAGAGACAGGAACTCCATTCTGCCAAAAGGAAGAGATAAATCATTTGAATTCCCCCTACTCAGATATTTTACATCTGCAGATAACGCAAACTGAGACACTTATAATAGGCAACAAGACTTTTTGTCACTGCCAGTCTAGATAATTTAAACAAAAGTAACTATGGTTCAATAGCTTCTTTCTTCCTAATTTCAGATGTTAAACAATACAAAGAAAGATGCTTTAGAATGTTTTTAAAATGTTATATTAATGTGAACATCACTTGAAATTTTTGTAATAGCTGCCTATTTTCACCTCCTCTAAATCAAGTTTATTTCTATTCTATGACTAAAAGTTACTTTCAATATAATGGTTAAAGTCACTAATTTTAGCCTTTTAGTTATTCACACATGCAAACATGCTTTCCCAGGTACGTCCCCTTACCTCCTCCACTTACCTCTGATGTAGCATTTTTCAATCTTCAAAGAGGTCAGAGATTTTTGAGCCAGAGGAAAAAAGTATCCCAGTATTGTGTGTAGTTGGCCAATTAGTCCAAGGTTAGAGAGCATGTTAAATATTGAGCTTAGCCGGCCGCGGTGGCTCACGCCTGTAATCCTAGCACTTTGGGAGGCTGAGGCGGGTGGATCATCTGAGGTCGGGAGTTCGAGACCAGCCTGACCAACATGGAGAAACCCTCTCTACTAAAAATACAAAATTAGCCGGGCGTGGTGGCGCATGCCTGTAATCCCAGTTACTTGGGAGGCTGAGGCAGGAGAATCGCTTGAACCCGGGAGGTGGAGGCTGCGGTGAGCCAAGATCGCTCCATTGCACTCCAGCTGGGCAACAAGAGTGAAACTCCGTCTCAAAAGAAAGAAAAAATCGAGTTTAGATTAATCCTCGAGTTTCTGGTTCACTTTAGTTGGCTACCCTCTTTGATGGTTCTAAAATTAATACAGTTAATAAACTCACTCAATTGTATAATGGTCAAAGTTTGTGGGTGGAGGAAAAAAATGAAGTGCACTGAGAGACATTCATTCCATCAAAGGCACTATGCAGTGCCTGGTATTTTCTTCCTCCATTACATATGGAGATAGCTGTTATCATATTCTTCTTCCGCAACTCAGAAGAAACTAGATAAAACACCAGAGACAACCCTTACGTTCGCTGTCTGGGACTCCGGCCCTGAAGCGGGCAATGAGGTTTGCACATACAAGTCCACGAAGAAGGAAAGGCAAAAATACTCTCTCTACTCTCCAGCCCTCATCCTCAAGGCTAGTATAAAACAAGAAAAGGTCAGTTAAATGTATTTTCATCCTTCTTTTATTTGTTAAAAATAATATGCCTAAAAGTCTGCAGATGAGCTAATATGTCCTTGAAAGGGGGCATGTTACATACAGGTCTCTTTAGCATTTCTAATTCTGTGAAAGCCACCTTAAATCTTTTGGGAGACAAAACAGTTTGTTGGAAGAAAACAGCCTCTGATGTAGCTATAAATCGCTATTCTATTTTCTTATGTATTTATAAAATCATACCAGAAATAATGAGTTGTTTTGTCAATAATAGAACACTGACATGAACTTGACCTAACAACTAGCATAAACTGTCAATTCATCTTGCATTAACAAGAAAATGAAACAAGAAATAACTATTAGAAAGAAATGACAAAATTCAAATTGACTTTGAAAAAATCTGATTTTATTTTCTCAATCAAAATGAAGTATTTCATGTTAATTTAGACTGTTTAGCTTTCCACTGATATCTCAAGATACTTTCCAGATATTAACAGTACTCAGAACTGTGTAAAAGTTAACCACCAAAACCATGTTTTAAAGAAAAAAGTTTAAATGTAAGACTAATGTCTTGGGGACTTTACTAAATGTATTTCTAAAAAAACCCTTCTCAAATGTAGAAGTATTGGCAATTCTAATTTAAAAATTTTAAATTTTTAATTATTGGAAATTTAAGTAGCAATAGTTTCAAGAGCTAAGAATCAGATTGCTTTTTAAAACAGAATTTTTTTTTTTTCCTGAGGGACTCATACTTGACAACTCCAGTTAAACATAATACTCCACCCAAATCCCAAATTTAAATGCATTATGTCACCCTGGAATAGTAAAATTATAAAATGGTATTTCTAAATTATAATATATATACATAATGCACCATTTTAACTGTCACATTTACCAGCAGAATTATGAAATCAAAAACAAATTCTACATTCAAGGGACAAACGATAAATGCTCTTTCATTGTTTTAAGAGTCCATTCCATTCTTTGTTGTTTTCTACTCCCATATTTTAAAATTATGACCAAAGGAGCCTGAAGGCCAAGTCAATCCCATTTCCCTGAACCCAACTGCCAGTAGGTACGGGCCCTACATACGCGTCCTTTAACAAGCCCCGTTCTCAAAAGGCTGGGGGTATTTATATAAGAACTTATTCCAAAGTGACTCTAAGATCCATGTTCCCAAGATCTAGTACGGGCTATTCAGGGTTCTGAGGCATGTCCAGCATGCAGGCAAACTTATCTGTTCAAATTGAGGTAAAACAGACAAAAAACACTTAATATTAACAGAAGCTACATAATTAAAACTAACCTTCTGCTGCTTATTTAAGCTAATGATGTATTCTTACCAAACAGAGACCCTCAAGTCAATCATTTCTTTTGATTTTAGTTACCACCCCCAAATTAAGCCTCTTCTTTCAAAGCTATTATTAGTTAAAAAAAAGTTTTAAAATGAAGAAAAATATTTTTTCCAGAACTTGTATTTTGTAATTAGTGTGATGCAATTTCTTTTTATTTTTCAAACTTAGAAATAACTCATGTATGGTACTATTTGGTATTTTTTTCAGATACCAAGGAATACCGACAGGATTCATAAATAGGATTTTCTGACACTGGCAGGAAAGTCTGCTAACGTTTACAAAATACCAAAGACTCTTCTTTCAAGCTTCAAAGATGGCTGAGAATTAACAGTTATGATTAGTTTTTCAGTACAAATAAAAAAATTAAATCTTGATTTTTTTGGCCAACATTTTAAACAGTCAAATTTTACTGTATTTCCAGGTTTCAAATCAAAACAAACAAAACAACTAATGAAAATTACCCAATTGGCAACAAGTCCTGTATTCCAATGTTATTTTTAAACCACCAATTATAACCTACTGCCAGTAATTATTTGTAAGTACCTGCTTGTTTTATTAAGCACTGGTCAGTTATATAAAAGAATAATTTGCAAGAATGATACTTGGCAATGGGTTACCTTAATGCTTCTGGAATAAACAGAAGCATTAACAAAACACCAGATCTTAAGCTCTTTTAAATCTGTAATTCGAATTACCCAAAGGATTTTTAAATGTTACTTTTCCATTGAAGGACTGTAGGGAGTCTAATCCCAGCTAACATGGTTGATTTTAAAAAACAAATAAATCCCTAAGCCACATAGTAATGGAATACTACACTTGCTTTTTATATCATATGGAAACAGCTCCAGGCAGAGCACAAGTAGAAGAAAACCTGCCAAATCAAAGTACTGTAAATAAAGTTCCTCTACGTACTCCAGTTGACAAAACCTCAAAAATAAAAATCAGAAGACCACCCATTGTTACCCTCCCCCCCGCAACAAAACCCACCCAAAACACTTTAGTTCTGAACCTAACATTTCCCTAAGAAGTTCACAGGAGAAGCTTTAAGGTACTTAAAGCTGCAGCAGTACAGTTGAAAGCGCCACATTACAGAGGAAATGCCCTAAAGGGTTCAGCAGCTGCCCACCCATCCCGAACCACCCCCCATCCCAGTAATATGTAAAAGCTCCTGTTAAAGTTTTTTTTGTTTTATGCTAATAAAGGCATACCACCTAGTGTGCTAAAGACTACGACTAGCAGCATTAGAGCAGTAAAGTGAAAATAGGAAGCCTATAGGAATGATCTAAATGCCTACTTAGAAGAAACAAAGCAGCAGACAGAATCCTTAGCCCTCTAGTCTATGTAGGGAAGCAGTTGAATTAAACTCAGATTTACCCACATTAACAAAAATTTAACAAAGCTTCCCCAAGACACCAGAATAAAACTTGACCTTTCCAGTCAAAGGGCAGAGAGAGGCCTCTTCCATGTCCTGGAGTTGAATGAGTTCAAAGATTGGCAATAAAGGAAAAAAGAAAGCATTACGGGTATGACGGGAACAAGCTTTGGAGTTTATCGAACAGTCACACCAAGTTTCTCTAGCACACGGACACCCTTTTCTTGGTACTCTTGTCGGGTCATCCAAAAGTTGTCTTTGTCTTTCATGATATCCGCTAGAACTGCACCACCCAGGAATACCATGTGCTTTCTGCGGGGTGGGTCTTCAATGCGGATCTTAAATTTCTAAAGGAGAAAGAAAGGATAATGAAATGGTACATGTGCACAGTGCTTTCTGCTTTATGAAAATGGCTTTTTAAATATATGCTCTCCCTCAAACTTGCAACAGTCCTGTAATATAAGTAGAACGTAATATTTGGTACCTGAGGTACAGAAACATTTAGTAATTTGCCCAAAGCTCATGTTTAGGAGACCACACATCCATCCCAGCATGCTTGGAACAGTCCTGATTTACACGTGGTGTCCCATCATTATTAATACCACCCTTTCCATTCTTGAGTGTCCTAATTTGATCAGTAAATTACATGACTTAACACCCTACTGAGAGACCAAACATCCAAGACATAATTAGAGCAAATTTCCCATCCAATGGCAGATGACCACTTGGGAAAGTCACTTTGCTGTCAAGCAAAGTCTGGATAAGAGGACTTGCATGGCTGGGTGTGGTGGCTCAAGTGTAATCCCAGCACTTTGGGAGGCCAAGGCGGGCGGATCACGAGGTCAGGAGATCGAGACCATCCTGGCTAACACAGTGAAACCCCGTCTCTACTAAAAATACAAAAAAATTAGCCGGGCATGGTAGTGGGTGCCTGTAGTCCCAGCTACTCGGGAGGCTGAGGCAGGAGAATGACGTAAACCTGGGAGGTGGAGCTTGCAGTGAGCCCAGAGACTCAATCTCAAAAAAAAAAAAAAAAAAAAAAAAAAAAGAGGACTTGCATGACTTCTTCAAGGTCTCATACTGTTATGATTCTAGTCCAGGGCAATAGAGTAAAACTGAAGTTCTTTTCTTTTAAGCAAAGCTTACTTTCTATTGTCTCAAAATCAAATGAAATGTTCTTAAAATAAACAAGGCCAAATATGGTCAAAACAAATCATCAGGATGTTATGAGAAAATGAACACAGTAACCAAAATTAAAGGCAATTGGGAAAAGTTTTATACTCTGTAGCTACTATTAAGTGTCTAGGAAGGACACATCCTTATCTTTATGGTTGGTCAACACCTGAAAGAGAAACCTTAAAATGACATAGCAAGTTTTTCATTTACAGTATCACGATCTGCAAAAAAGACCCAATGTAACTATGTCATTCTAAATCATTTGTATATTTATGTCACATAAATGAACTGTAAGGGTTCTAACAATCCAAGATAAAGAAAAACATCAGTTTATTTACCAATTCTGAGACTGTTTTAATTGTTCCTTTTACTTTCTTGCTCTTACATAGGGGTCAGCAAACTTTTTTTGTGAAGGGCCAGATACTTGAGGCTTTGTAGGCGTGACAAGTACCCAACCCCACATGTAGCTAGAAGGTGCCCACAGACAATATGTGACAACAGGTAACATTATGTAAACAAATGGGCTTGGCTGTGTTCCAATAAAACTTAAAAAAAACAAACAAACCAGTTTTGGCATAAGGGCTATAGATGACCACCTCTACTCTAAGGGAAACTTAGCTAGCCCCTGAAGACACTGCTTCTGTAAATACCTCAACTGCTTTACTGTTTCTCTCTCACACACTACCTTAACCCTGGAGGTTTGGTAATATGAGTTATTGCTCTTCATTGCTGCTTCTATCTCGCTCATCCCTAAAACTCCATAGCCCCACTGAAACTCATTCTATCAGATCATTCCATCTACCACTCCCTCCTTGCTGAACTCATCTACAGATTCCTACAGACAAATTGCACCTGCTGTCAAGCAGCTGAACAAGATAGGAAAGAAACAAAACATCTTGCTATAATGTATCACTAACCTCAACTGAGCCCTTCCTGCTGCATGGCAATCCTATTACATTTCTCTATTCTCGCTTCCATTCTCCAAAACAACCATTTCAACCTCCTCCTCTATTCTAAAACTCTACCATCCCTCCCCTCCTCTCAGTGCCTCCTAACTGGTCTCTCTATGCCCACCTTTGTTCCCTCTTCCCCCAAGAGTCTATTCACCACACCAGACTTAATGATCCTTTAAAAATATACATCAGATCCTATCATTTCTCTGCTTAAACCGCCCCCACACCCAAGACTTTCCATTTCACCAGGAGTCAAGCCAAACCCTTTACCATGGCTGAACAAGACCTGCCCTCCTGCTACCCTTCTGACCTCATATCCCACCTGCCCCCCTCCCTTGCTCACTCTGCTCCAGCCACACTGGCACACTCCCACCAACCTGGGGCTTTTGCATTTTTCCTGCCTGGAAGATTCTTCCCCCAGACAGTCACAAGGCTCACTCCTCTCACGCTCAACTTAGGTCTCTGATCAAAAGTCACTTCATCCAAAAGGCCTTTCCTGATCACAGTTTATGAAGGAGCACACTACCTCCCCAACCACTAACATTTTCCAGCTCTTCACCTTACTTTTCTTCATATCACTTATTACCACTAATACATTATTTAGACTAAAAGCAGGGATTCTGTTTTCATTGTTTTGTTTGTCCCCGGCACCTAGACCTATGTCTGGCACCCAGGAGTTCAAGAAATGTTTGCTGAATAAATGATCACCTGAGATTAATTATAAATTATATGTAAAACTCAATAAAATCAGAAAAATAAGTGAAGTACTTAGACAGTATGGCTCCTTTCCAGTCTGTTAATCTGTTTAATGTATGTGAGCCCATACTCAATTTAATTTCAACAATGAGTCATATATGAAAGATGTAACATACAGTACTCTGTAATACATAATCTCATTATCTAAAACAGTTGATCAAAGTCAGTGAGACAAAGCTCAGAGATTAACTCAGGATTAGATAACTCTTGGTTAAGTATACAGCACATACTGTATACTTCACATAGTCCAGAGTCTGGTGGAAAAAACACAAAAACCTATGCCAAAGAAACATCAACTATTTCTAGTTTAAAAATTTCTTTCTACTGTACATACCAACAACAACCAATTAAAGTCTGTTTCAAGAGTTATGACAGTCACCGGAATGCAAAAAATTTTGAGACATGATGTTTTTCAATCTGACTGAGAAGACAACATATGCAACAAATAAAGTCAGAAATATGAGATAGCCCAAGAGAAGTGCTGAAGGCTGATTGCATATCCAAAAAATAAGTTTAAAAAAAGAACAAAACTCAAGTGGGGCATTTATTTCCCTATAGTACAGCAGGTTCTTCTCATGCATATACAGGTGCCTCAGAGTCCGTGCTGGTTGTTACAGATGAACCAGAACTTTTGGCCCTGACCTCACTGCCTCCATCCACCAACTCTATAGAGGTGACCAGAGCTTATCTTGAACTATTTCCTTCTTGCTATCATTTCCAGGATGCACTTGACTGCAGTAGGAATTTGTTTTGGAAGACGTCTTGCTCCCTCTGGTGGTTGTCAAGATTCACAAACTACTGTATAGCCTTTTAAAAGAATGTTAGTAATAGTTGATTTACTAATACTTACAGAAAGTTTTTCCACATCACCCTTCAAAACTCGTTCTAAGTAAAGCTGTTTAAGTTCTCGTTCCAACCGTGATGGCAGGCCAGGATACATAGTAGACCCTCCAGAAAGCACAATGTGTTTGTAGAATTCAGATCTAGAAAGGCACAATGGTTATTCATTTGGAGTTTTAGGTTAGGAAAATGGTATCTCAGGGTTACTGTTACTTATGTCAGCCTCGGGGTTGCTGGGAGAATTAAATAAAATTCCACATGTAAATCACAGGGCTGAATATTTGCTGTTATTACTACTGTGAAGTAACGACCCCTCTTTACATATAAAATCTTTTCATAATTTTGATGAAAATAAAATACTTCTAAAAGTATATAATACACTTTTTTGTGAATATAACTGAGACTTCTAATAATGACCAAGATTTACATTACAAACTATTTTATCACATGCTTCCCTAAAGCCACTAAGATGTGGTTGTTTACTATAATTAGCCCTATTCTACTTTAATCCAGAATTCCTGCTTTTTAATTTTTCATTTATCTTTTGTAGTTTTCTTTTTTGTTCCTTTGCTTAGAGGCTGTCTGCTGTTATTTTTGGCTAGACTGATGTGTATGCTTCTTATAGCAGTACCCTCTTTTCTGATACAGTACCCTGCTATCTACTGACAGCAGTACCCTCTATTCTGATATCTATGAGATCAGAAAATCCAATCTAAAAAGACTGCATATGTAGTAAAAGTAACAGAATCTGAGCGAGGGTCTGAGGAATAATTCTCACAGTAAAGTTTGGGAGCTGATTTGCACCCATTTTGGCCTTTTTCAACCTGGCTTCCAGGTTCTCAATGGCTAAAGCTACTGCAACTCTAACAAAGCATTGCTTTTGTATTTAATTGCCATAGCAAGCCCAGTGAATGTCGCATAAACTAAGCAGTTGAAATACAGATTCATGTGATAAGTACTCACAAGCATTTACATGTACATTTTCAACATGCAGAACACACAAAACAAAATTTGAGTTGTTCCACTTTGCAATGCAAACTCTGTGGAGAAGGTACTGAATCTGACTCCGCACTTTAGGTACGTCGAAGCTCTAATCAGCAACAGGCATGTACTTTTCTTTTTTTATTTTTTAATACAGAGTCTCACTCTGTCACCCAGGCTGGAGAGCAGTGGTGCGATCTCGGCTCACTGCAACCTCCGCCTCCCAGGTTCACGCCATTCTCCTGCCTCAGCCTCCCGAGTAGCTGGGATTACAGGCACCCGTCACCACACCCAGCTAATTTTTTGTATTTTTAGTAGAGACGGGGTTTCACCATTTTGGCCAGACTGGTCTTGAACTCCTGACCTCGTGATTCGCCGGCCTCGTGATTCACCGGCCTCAGCCTCCCAAAGTGCTGGGATTACAGGCGTGAGCCACCGCGCCCAGCTGGCATGTACTTTTAAATACAATTTTGCTGTGAATGAACATCAAAGAACAAAATCATCTCCCTAATCCCTATCATGAGAATTTACCATAATTATGAAGGCTAGATTCGATTTCTGATCATCTTCTACCAGGTTTATAGCTTGTTATGAGTCAATTGCTATTTTTATTAATTTCTATTACTATCCTGGCTCCAAAGCCATCCCATCAAAATTAATTAGGTGGCTATTTAACTCAGGGTTACACAAATAAATGCTTGCTGTACAAAATGCTTCTGGGTGAATTCCTCTATAACCTGAGTGTAGAGAAGGGATTTCTAACTATGACTCAAGCTCTAGATGTAATAAGACTATAAATCTTTTTATATGACTAAATAAAAACAAACTTTTGCATGGCCAAAACACTAAGAGCAATAGACAAATGGCAAACAGAGAGAGTATCTGTGAAAGATATCAGAAAGCTAAAAGAAAACTTTTCAAAACTGAAAAAAAAAAAAACCCAAAACTCCAAAATCTACAAAAAGCCATTAACAATTTGCCAAAAAAAAAAATTTAAAATGTCCCTTAAGGCTGGGCGTGGTGGCTCACGTCTGCAATTCCAGCTACTTGGGAGGCTGAGGCAGGAGAATCACTCCACCCAGGTTGCAGTGAGCCGAGACTGCACCACTGCACTCCAGCCTGGCGACAGAGCGAGACTCTATCTCAAACAAACAAACAAGTCCCTTAAACATATAAAAATATGTTTTATATATATATATATGTTTTTTTTTTAGGAACTTTCTTTTGTGGCGGTGGGGAGAGACAGGGTCTCACTCTGTCACCCAGGCTGGAGTGCAGTGACACAATCATGGCTCACTGCAGCCTCTACCTCTCAAGCTCAAGCAATCCTCCCACTTCAGCCTTCTGAGTAGCTAGGACTACAGGAGTACACCACCACCATACCTGGCTAATCTTTTTGAAAAAAATTTATGTAAAGACAGGATCTCCATATGTTGCCCAGGCTGGTCTTAAACTCCTAGGCTTAAGCAAACCTCCCACCTCAGCCTCCAAAGTGCTGCGATTACAGCCAGAAGCCACCACCCCTGGTTTGACTTCACTCTTAATGACAGAAATAAAAAGTAAAATTACACTGAAATAATTTCTCACTCATCAGATCGGTGGAAAAGGATAAACGATACAATTGCCAGAGAGGGAAATTTGGCAATATCTAACAAAAATATACATGCATTTACATCAAACTAAGAAGTTTCTCTCAGCACTTTGGTAGGCTGAGGTGGGGTGGATCACTTGAGGCCAGGAGTTCGAGACCAGCCTGGTCAATACGGCAAAACCCCATCTCTACTAAAAAATACAAAAAAAAAAAAAAAAATTCTGGGCATGGTGGTACATGCCTGTAATCTCAGCTACTTGGGAGGCTGAGGCAGGAGAATCGCTTGAAAACGGGAGGCAGAGGTTGCAGTGAGCCAAGATTGCACCACTACACTTCAGCCTGGGTGAGAGAGTGACATTCCGTCTCAAAAAACAAACAACAACAAAAGAAGTTTCTGCACAGCAAAGGAATTAATCAACAAAGTGAAGATATAACCTATAGAATGTGAGAATATATTTGCAAATCAGACATCTGATAAGTGGTTAATATCCAAAATATGTAAGGAACTCAAATCTCAAATGACTCAATAGCAAGAAAGCAAATAACCCAATTAATAAATGGGCAAAGGACCTGAATAGACATTTCTCAAAAGACATACAAATGGAAAAAATGCTAAGCATCCCTAATCATCAGGGAAATAAATGCAAATTAAACCACAATGAGATATCACTTCACATCTGTTGGAATGGCTATTATCAAAAAGAGGAAAGGTAACGAATACTGGCGAGGATGTGGAGAAAAGGAAACCCTTGTACACTGCTGGTGGGAGTGTGAATTAGTACAGCTATTACAGAAAACAGTATGGAGGTTCCTCGGAAAGTTAAAAATAGAACTACCATATGATCCAGCAATTCCACTACTGGGTGTATCTCCAAAGGATCTGAAATCAGCATGACTATGTAAGAGAGTATCTTTATCCTTAGGAAACACCAACTAGTAAAGAACTGATGCATTTAATCTACCCTCAAACGGTTCAGAAAAAACAGAATGAAAAAGCAAACATGAAGAACATTAGAATTAGTAAAATGGTAAATCCAGATAAAGGATACAGATAAGTTTTCTGCATTTTTCTTGCAACCTTTCCGTAAGTCTGAAATTATTTCAAGTAAGTTTATAAACTTAGTCATTCTATTTAATTCCATCTATTTCTGATAAATAACTTTAAAACTATTTTTATGATTTTTCTGATAAATAACTTTGAAATCACCACTTCTAATGTACCTGGTATCAATGTCAGCTGCCTGAATTGTGTTAAAAAGCAATTCAGCAACACCAACTCCTTCAACATTGATCAAGTGAGGCTGAAATAAAGCTTCTGGTGCTTCAAATCTCTCTCCCCCAACTTTGATGATACGTCCATCTGGGAGCTAGAAACCAAGAATAATCAGGTACTAATCAGCAAAAGATTAAAATTTCCCAGTGTTCTCCGGAACACTAGTACTTATAAATACATCTGTTCTGTAACCAAAATCATTACCAACAACAATTTTTCCTAAAATATATTTGGGGAAAAAAAGGTAAATTAAATAGATTTAGGTAACTGCTCTTATCACATTCTGTTTTGCTTTTAAAAATGTTATGCCAGGCTGGGCGTGGTGGCTCACGTCTGTAATCCCAGCACTTTGGGAGGCTGAGCTGGGCGGATCACAAGGTCAGGAGATTGAGACCATCCTGACTAACACAATGAAACCCTGTCTCTACTAAAAATACAAAAAATTAGCCGGGTGTGGTGGCGGGCGCCTATAGTCCCAGCTACTCGGGGAGGCTGAGGCAGGAGAATGGCGTGAACCCGGGAGGCAGAGCTTGCAGTGAGCCAAGATCACGCCACTGCACTCCAGCAGGGGCAATAGAGCGAGACTCCATCTCAAAAAAAAAAAAAAAAAAGGTATGCCACGCCCCCAAATATCAGGAATTTCTTGGAGAAATCACTGATGCATGAGTGCATGATGTTTGCAGCAAAGCAGAAACAAGCATCACTGACCAACCATTGTATTTTGATTATTGCTGGTATGTGTTACTACAGTTTTATAATTTTAACATATTTGTGATTTTATGGATATTTCTGCTATGTAGAACAGACATGTTAAAACACTGATTGACTGATTGATTGAGACAGAGTTTCTCTTGTCGCCCAGGCTGGAGTGCAATGGCACGATCTCGGCTCACTGCAACCTCTGTCTCCTAGGTTCAAGCAATTCTCCTGCCTCAGCCTCCTGAGTAGCTCGGATTACAGGCATGTGCCACCACGCCAGCATATTTTTGTATTTTTAGTAAAGACGGGGTTTCATCATGTTGACCAGGCGGTCTTGAACTCCTGGCCTCAGGTGATCTGCTCGCCTCAACCTCCCAAAGTGTTGGGATTACAAGCATGAACCACTGCGCCTAGCCACATTAAACATTTTAAATAATTTTATTTCATCAAATAATTACTCTGTGAAACTATTATTTTGCCAAAATACTTTATAACATGTGTACCACTTCTATCAAATCATTTAATCCAAAAAATGTCTTATGATCAAAAAAGTTTACAGAACACTGGTCTAGACTATTTTTATTAGGCAATTCTGTTGTATCCTACTAGGTCCTAATACATTTTAAGTAACTGATAAATATAATTTCAATTTAAGCAAATAAGATTTAAACAAATCAGGTATCATATTATGACTTTGTACAAAAAAATCTTGTCAGTCACACATCATGTTCATATTTAATTAAATGAGAAGTGTTAAGTAGAAACTTCCTCTCATAACACCTCACAATTCACTGGATTGTCCTAAGTAATAAGCACGCCCATGTATGCTAGCATTTGACACATTTCCATGAGATACCAGAATTAATTTTACATTAACAAGTCTAACAGTACATTTATAATTTAATTTTTTTTTGAGACAGAGTCTCGCTCTGTTGCCCAGGCTGGAGTGTAGTGGCTTGATCGTGGCTCAGTGCAACCTCTGCCTACTGGGTTCAAATGATTCTCATACCTCAGCCCCCCAAGTAGCTGAGATTACAGGCATGTGCCACCACGCCTGGCTAATTTTTGTATTTTTAGTAGAGACAGAGTTTCTGCATGTTGGCTGGGCTGGTCTCGAGCTCCTGGCCTCAAGTGATCTGCCTGGCTTGGCCTCCCAAAAGTGCTGGGATTACAGGCATGAGCCACCATGCCTGGCCCTACAATACATATATATTTTTTTTGAGATAGGGTCTTCATCTGTTGTCCAGGCTAGAGGGCAGTGGTGTGATCATGGCTCACTGCAGCCTCAATCTCCCAGATTCAAGGGATTCTCCCACCTCAGCCTCCCAAGTAGCTGGCACTACAGATGCACACTACTATGGCTGGCTAATTTTATTTTTTGTAGAGACGGGGGTCTTGCTTTGTTACTCAGACTGGTCTTGAACTCCTGGGCTCAAATGATCCTCCCATCTTGGCCTCCCAAATTGCTGGGATTATGGGGAAGAGCCACCGCGCCTGGCCAATTACAATGATTGTTTAGATTCCAGCTTTGGTCCCAGCTACCTAGGAGGCTGAGGTGGGAGGATCACCTAACCCTGGGAGATTGAGACTGAAGTGAGCCGAGATCATGCCACTGCACTGCAGCCTGAGCAACAGAGTGAGGAAACCCTGTCTCAAAACAGAAAGAAAAAAAAAAGGTTACCAAAACTTATACCCTTAAAAAAACCACCTCCACCTTCAGGTGGGTTCACATGAAATCACCCAAAATATCTGGAAAAACTTCACACAGCAGATCTTATTAGCAAAACCTCCTGCCTTAAGCACTTGAAGCCTGATAGTGTGGCTTCTCTCCATTCTCTGGCTGCTGGCCAGCATGGGGTCAAGTTTTCTAATCACCTTAATGAACTGTTAAAACTGCAGGCATCCCATTTCTTTGCACCAAATCTTATCCTGTTCTGTATTTGTCCACCCATGTCCCTCCTCACTTATTCATCAGCTTATTACTTTATACTTGTGTATATGTGTGTGTGTGCATATATATATCAAATATATATATGGATTTTGTTTTGTTTTTGAGACAGGGTCTCGCTCCTTCACCCAGGCTGGAGTGCAGTGGTGCAATCCTAGCTCTCTGCCTCAAAACTTGAGCCTTGAACTCCTGGGCTCAAGCAATCTTCCCACCTCAACCTCTCAACTAGCTAGGACTACAGGCACGTGCCACTACGCCTGGCAAATTTTTGTATTTTTTTTGTAGAGACAGGGTCTCATTATATTGCCCAGGCTGGCCATGAACTCCTGGCCTCAAGTGATCCTCGTATCTCAGCCTCCCAAAGTGCTGGGATTACCGGTGTGAGCCACTACACCCAGCCTATTTGTATATATTTTTGTAGCCTACCTCAAATTCTTTGAGAAAAGAGAGAAGGAAGAAATAAAACATGTTTTACATTCCTAGTTTGCTTATCTTTTGCCCTGTGCCAGCCACTTTCTTCCAAAATAGTCAGGTAGATGGAAAATCAGACAACTAGAGAAACTGTCAAGAAGACTTCAGGAAGGAATCTCCAGAGCAAATCTGGAGATGATTAAGTTACAAAATGGGTTTACTCCTAGAAGAAAACCTAGCCAATACCATTCAGGACATAGGCATGGGCAAAGACTTCATGACTAAAACACCAAAAGCAATTGCAACAAAAGCCAAAATTGACAAATGGGTTCTAATTAAACTAAAGAGCTTCTTGCATAGCAAAAGAAACTATCATCAGAGTGAACAGGCAACCTACAGAATGGGAAAAAATTTTTGCAATCTATCCATCTGACAAAGCCTTAATAACCAGAATCTACAAGGAACTTAAACAAATTTACCAGAAAAAGACAAATAACCCCATGAAAAAGTGGGCAAAGGATACGAACAGACACTTTTCAAAAGAAGACATTTATGTGGCCAATAAACATAAGAAAAAAAGCTCATCATCGCTGGTCATTAGAGAAATACAAATCAAAACCACAAAATCTCATGCCAGTTAGAATGGCGATCCTTAAAAAGTCAGGAAACAACAGATGCTGGAGAGGATATGGAGAAATAGGAACGCTTTTACACTGTTGGTGGGAGTGTAAATTAGTTCAACCATTGTGGAAGACAATGTGGTGATTCCTCAAGGATCTAGAACTAGAAATACCATTTGACCCAGCGATCCCATTACTGGGTATATACCCAAAGGATTATAAATCATGCTACTATAAAGACACATGCACACATATGTTTACTGCAGCACTATTCACAATAGCAAAGACTTGGAACCAACCCAAATGCCCATCAACGTTAGACTGGATAAAGAAAATGTGGCACATATACACCATGGAATACTATGCAGCCATAAAAAAATGAATGAGTTCATGTCCTTTACAGGGGCATGGGTGAAGCTGGAAACCATCATTCTCAGCAAATTAACACAGGAACAGAAAACCAAACACCAAATGTTCTCATTCATAAGTGGGAGCTGACAATGAGAACATATGGGCACAGGGAGGGGAACAACACACATGGGGCCTGTTGGGTGGGGGGCGGCAAGGGGAGGGAGGTATAGCATTAGGAGAAATATCTAATGCAGATGACAGGTTGATGGGTGCAGCAAACCACCATGGCACATGTGTACCTATGTAACAAACCTGCATTTTCTGCACATGTATCCCAGAACTTAAAGTATAATAAAAAATAAATTTAAAAAAATTTTAAATGGGGGTTTACTGAATATTTGGATCACTATCTTAACTTTTTTTTTTTTTTTTTTTTTACCGACATGGAGTCTTGCTCTGTCACCCAGGCTGGAGTGCAGTGGCACGATCTCAGCTCACTGCAACCTCTGCCTCCTGGGTTGAAGCAATTCTCCTGCCTCAGCCTCCTGAATAGCTGGGACTACAGGTGCCCACCACCTTGCCCAGCTAATTTTTTGTATTTTCAGTAAAGACGGGTTTCACCATGTTGGCCAGGCTGTTCTCCAACTCCTGACTTCAGGTGATCCGCCTGCCTCGGCCTCCCAAAGTGCTGGGATTACAGGCGTGAGCCACCGCGCCCGGCCAACAACAAATTTTTTATAATTACTTTAAAAATGACTATTTTGCATATATTTGTGAATATGTAGAGCTAGTATGCATCATATGGTTTTAAAATACTTGCCTTCATTGCCTATTACTGTTTCATTTTAGTAATAACTAGATCAAAGATGAGACCTGGAAGTACTTTATACTCAGACAAATTTAATAGGCTTAAGATGGTAATTCATTAAAAATTCAAGTAGGATCAACTCCTCTGGTGTTATAAACTATAACCAGGTACTAAATCTCATTAGTTACAATTTCAAGTTAACATTTAACACCTCATTAAAGAATATTAAGTCAGGAAAGGCTGCCACCTACTGAATTAGTAAAGCAATGCTCTAGAATGACCATTTCCAAAGTATGTTTCTTAGATCACTAATCCCATGAAATTCTGAAAAGTCCTAGAGCATAAGTCTGAAAAACACGCATACTATATTAATTGTGCCCATATTAGCATACCAAAGGCTCTGAGTTCTACAGTGAAGTGAAATCAACTCTTTCTCAAACTCATCTGACAATGTAATCCTTTTTAATTTTTGTGAAATGCTTATTAGCATCTCAGGGAAATAAAGTTCTGTAAAACATACATTGAGAAATGCTATGCCAAATACTAGAATCTCAAAATAACATCTCGCATCTAATTATATCCTAGTATAGAGAGTAATTTATGATTCTTGCCTTAATTTGCATTATATGGTGCCCTAAAATAATTAAATAGAAACTTAATGTAGAAAGAGACATTAAAAGTCACACATATACATATTACAACAACCCAAGACAAAAATACTGATTCTAAGAAAACCTCCTTAAGCTGACACCAATAATCATGGCTGTCCACTTTAAAACACATATATATTATACACTGGAAACACTTACTGTATAAGATTCAACTAATACTGTGGTTTCTAAGGCCAGTTTCTGCTCTTGCTCAATATTATATCCCACGTAACACAGTTTTTCTTTAATCATGCGAACCGTTTCAAAATCAGCAGAGTGGTTGAAGGCGTATCCTCGCAACAGAAGTAGCTGGTACAAAACAATAGCAATAAGTTCATAATACATCTGAATGAGTTCTACTCTGCAAAAGCTAGTAATGCTCATTAAATATGTCACATCAATAACAAACAGAATGGGCAGTGGATCCTCAGCTCCTACTATTTCAGAAGCAGGATTTTATCCGCCATAAAAGGATTTATATTTCAGTTTCAGAGAGGGTAAAAGAATTAACAATTCATAAGTAAGTCAGTAAAATGACTAGAAAAGTCAGTTTTTGAAAAGCACTGCATGAGTACTAATGTTTTGATAGTTTTGATAAACAATCAAAAGTATATTAATGAATAAATATTATTTTAGTACTGGACTCCTGTAGCCTGCAGTTTGCTCACACAATTAATGCCATATTTATGAAATGCCCCCAAGTCTTTAAAAGTTTTATCTTTAGCTTCTAGTACTGTGTCTGGCACATATTAGAAGGACAATAGCATTTGTTTAACGAATGATAAGGGAATTATTGGGATACTCAAAGGTATAATCTCCATTGTTACATTTCTTAAATGCTAGAAAATACTACTATTTTTTTAAAAACCCACTGAGAGAAAAAAAATTACTAGACTTTACAAATAAAAAAAAAATCCTCTAA
Source organism: Homo sapiens (assembly GCF_000001405.40). Taxonomy (NCBI): domain Eukaryota; kingdom Metazoa; phylum Chordata; class Mammalia; order Primates; family Hominidae; genus Homo; species Homo sapiens. The sequence continues at coordinate 65,254,931 of NC_000002.12, read as the reverse complement.
TATTTGAGTCTGTGTTCTAAAGACAACCCCAGAAATTCTGTTAGTTACGCTTTGAATTTTGGCCTAAAATGAGAGTATTATAATTCTCATTAATTTAATCTCCCCTCATGAGGAGGATTACTTTAAATGAGACTGAAGGAACCCAATGTCAAGGTAAAGACAGTGCAACCCAATTTAATGCAGAGACAGGGTTTCTTAATAGCAGCACCACTGACAGACTATACATTGTTTGTTGTGCAGCCAGCCCTATTCATTATAGAATGTTCAGTAGCATTCCTGCCCAGCTCAGACAACCAAAAATGTGTCCAGAAATTGCTAATATCCCCCAGAGGACAGCACTGTCCCCTGGTGAGAACCACTGTCCTGGAGAGGATAGACTGATTATAGAATTGTGGTATAAACAATTTTCTAAATTTTATTTTAATATTAAAAATGATATATGTTAGCAAGTAGACACCTTATGTACTTTCTCCAGTAATGTTTTAAAGAAAATTATAACTAGTTATATTCAGAAATAAACTAAAATAGTAAATATTAAAAACTGCATCTATTCCATGAAAACTACTAAATATTAAAGTCTGGCGTATTTGGGCTGTTTTCCTCAAATATCATTAATTTGCTATCACTGTATTTTGTAGGAAAGGACAAGAGCAGACAACCCAACCAAGATCATGGCTTAAAACATACCTGCTCAAAGAAAGGTTTTATGGCAGAAAAGGCTGCCTGAGCTGTCCAAGAAAGTTTCAAATTAGGGGTCTCTTCTATCCTTGAAATATCTGTCTACTCACTCCTCAGGAATAACAAATATAATTATGTAATGATATAATGTACTCTCATTAGTATACAGAGATCATGTGTGTACACTTTTTTCCTTGTTTTTAATGTATCTTCTTTTTTCTTCATGTGTATAAATCTTATATGAATTTTTATATAAATAAGGGAGGTAATTGGATAATTTCTCTAGTGGTACAGATTTGCTGGAATCCTAAAACGATAGATTCAATTCTGTGTTAAGGTGGTAAACAAATTACAAAATTTAATTTCCATGATATTTTCCTTTCACTTACCTTGATAAGATATCTAGTTATATCCCTCCCAGCAATATCCAGTCTCCTGGTAAGATGAGGGAGAGAAAAGCCTTCATATACTGGGCAAATGTGAGTCACACCATCTCCAGAGTCTACCACTACACCAGTCAATAAACCTGCATAAAAGCCAGGGGGATTTAAATAAAAAGTCAAATCAGGAAAACCAAAGCCAGCGAGTTCCAAATACAGTAGGGAAGCCAAAACAGAAACGTAACCAACTAGAAGCCAGAATTTATTATTTAGTTATTTTGCAGTTTGTTTCTAATGCATAAGTATTAAAGCGAGTGTTCTCTTTTAAGACTTTTAGTCTACTATTATGTGCTGTCCAAGGAGATGAGAAGAAACAGACCCTGAGACTGAGGACTGAAAAACAGGACTTTTTTTTCCTTTTTTTTTTTGAGACAGGGTCTGGCTCTGTCACCCAGGCTGGAGGAGTACAGTGGCTCAATCTAGGCTCACTGCAATCTTCATTTCCTGGGTTCAAGTCATACCTCCCACCTTAGCCTCCTGAGCAGCTGGGACTACAGGCATGCACCACCATGCCTGGCTAATTTTTGTAATTTTTTTGTAGAGACAGAGTTTCGCCATGTTGCCCAAGCTGGTCTCGAACTCCTGGCCTCAAGTGATCTGTCTGCCTTGGCCTCTCAAACTGCTGGGGTTACAGGCGTGAGCCACCACACCCAGCAGAACACGTTCTTAAAGCTCTGTACAATTCTTTATTTTTTTCAACTTAGATAGTTTTGAATATACTACAAATAACATATACTGTGTGTTCTGGAAAAATGCCTATTGATACTAGACAGCTAGAAATCTAAGAAAAATTAAACATGGCTAGCCAAAGCATCACTTTGATTATTCACTGGAACTTATAATAAAAGGCAATGTCAGTTAAACCTCATAATAAAAGAACAGCAAAGAAGCTGCTTTGTTTCCCCTGTTTCCTCAACCTCCTGGGCTCAAGTGATCATCTCACCTCAGCCTCTCAAGTGGCTGGGATTATAGGCATGTGCAACCACACCCAGCTAATTTTACTTTTTATAGAGATAGGGATCTCACTATGTTGCCTAGGCTGGTCTCAAACTCTGGAGATACAGCAATTTGACCACCTTGGCTTCTCAAAGTGCTGGGATTACAGCCATGAGCCACCATACCTGGTCAAAAAAACTTTTTTTATTTATTTTTATTTACATATTTTTTTTGAGACAGAGTCTCACTCTGTCGCCCAGGCTGGAGTGCAATGGCACAATCTCAGCTCACTGCAACCTCTGCCTCCTGGGTTCAAGCGATTCTCCCGCCTCAGCCTCCCAAGTAGCTGGGATTACAGGCACATGCCACCATGCCCAGCTAATTTTTTGTATTTTTTTTTTAGTAGAGACGGGGTTTCACAGTGTTAGTCAGGATGGTCTCGATCTCCTGACCTCGTGATCCACCCACCTCGGCCTCCCAAAGTGCTGGGATTACAGGCGTGAGCCACCACACCCGGCCTAAAACTACCTCCTTTTTAAGTGGATATAATTCCTTGATGCAATAAGCCTCATAAAACTCATATACAGCCCTTGAATGTTGTACTCTTTTAAAAAGAAGAGGATTTCCATTGCAAAAAAGAAAAAAAAAAGGAGGAATTCACACCATCATCAATTCAAAAATACTCCCAGGAACACTGACTAATGCAAGAATTTACATTTTATTTCCCAAAGAGCCCTCCCTACCCACCTCACCTTATTTTCTACCACTTCCATCAGGTCACACACATACTGGCCTTTCTCCAAACACACTTGACCCATTTCCAGTGCCACACTCTTTTCCCACTGGATTATCCCCTGAAGTGCCTAAAAGACTCCTTGGCACATATCTGACAGGCCCAGACATTCTCAGTAAGTTCCTGTTGAATTTATAAGACCATAAAAAAAAAAAAGAGCTCTCCCAACGTGGCCAATATTTTATTTCCAATAAAGAGGGAGGCAGTTGCTAATGGCAATATCAAGAGAATATATAAGTAGTCCCCTCCATTAAACCCACCTCAAAAGTTAGAAATGCACTCCCAAATGTTTACCTTCTCCTTTTTAATCTACTATATATTTGACAGGCATGATTTTATGCTACCTTTTTGAATCTCTGCGTATTTTTTTTAACTCAAGCCAATTCTGGGGACAAATTCCATGCATAAAAAATTAAAATAGCTATGCCAGGCACGGTGACTCATGCCTGTAATCCCAGCACTTCAGGAGGCTGAGGCGGGCGGACTACCTGAGGTCAGGAGTTTGAGACCAGCCTGACCAATATGGAGAAACCCCATCTCTACTAAAAATACAAAATTAGCCAGGTGTGGTGGCACATGCCTGTAATCCCAAATACTTGGGAGGCTGAGGCAGGAAAATCACTTGAACCCAGGAGGTGGAGGTTGTGGTAAGCCAAGATTGCACTATTGCACTCCGGCCTGGGCAACAAAAGCGAAAATCTGTCTCAAAAAAAATTTAAATAGCTTAAAAGAGAGAATATCCTATTTTTTAAAAAATAAGTCTTTAAGCCTTTTTTTTTTACCTTAAATACATATTTAGCAAATAAAAATGTATATAAAATCTTATTTCACAAATTTTAAAAACTGAAAATATTTCAAAGTGTGGTATATAAATAATGTAGTTTTCTGGGGCTTATAACTTATTGAGAAACCAAATTCTCTGACATAAAACATACATAATAAATGTTTGATGAAGTGTTTTTTCTAACAGTTAAGCTTAACCTACCTTGAGCGTACAAAGTCAGAACTGCCTGGATGGCTACATATACACCGGAAAACTGGTAAGTTTCAAACATTACCTGTAAATGCAGACAGAAAGAAAAAAACTGGTATTTAGAAAATTACATAATAAATAAATGTTTTCCTCATGGTCACAGAGTGAATTAATTGCCCAAAATAGAATCAAATGGACCTGAAATAGTCTTCCATTTTCATCAGCTCCTCTTATTTCTTATTGAAGTCCTGCTGCCACAGAGCTCCAAATCTGAAGACAGATTTCTAAGTCCCCAAGCATTTCATAAGCGTGACAAAGCAAAGATTTCTTAGTGTATTAGTTAATGACTAATTAGTGTGAAAGAAAGCTCTCTGTATTGAACAAGACTTTCTTAATTGATATCCCTTAAGGGAAATTCTTTTTTTTTTTTTTTTTTTTTGAGATGAAGTCTCACTCTGTTGCCCAAGCTGGAGTGCAGTGGCGCAATCTTGGCTCACTGCAACCTCCACCTCCAGGGTTCAACTGATTCTCCTGCCTCAGCCTCCTGAGTAGCTGGGACTACAGGCATGCACCACCATGCCTGGCTAATTTTTGTATTTTTAGTACAGACAGGGTTTCACTATGTTGGCCAGGCTAGTCTCGAACTCCTGACCTCATGATCCACCCACCTCGGCCTCCCAAAGTGCTGGGATTACAGGTGTCAGCCACCACATCCAGCCAGGGAAATATCTTTTTTTTTTCTTTTTTTGAGACGGAGTCTTGCTCTGTCGCCCAGGCTGGAGTGCAGTGGTGCCATCTCAGCTCACTGCAACCTCCACCTCCCTGGTTCACGCCATTCTCCTGCCTCAGCCTCCCGAGTAGCTGGGACTACAGGCGTACACCACCACACCCGGCTAATTTTTAGTATTTTTAGTAGAGACAGGGTTTCACCGTGTTAGCCAGGATGGTCTCCATCTCCTGACCTCATGATCCGCCTGCCTCGGCCTCCCAAAGTGCTGGGATTACAGGCGTGAGCCACCGCACCCGGCCGGGAAATATCTTTTAATTCGAAGACAAAATATAGAAATTGCTTTACAGAGCCTCGTACCCCCTCCCTCAATCTGGGCCAAGAGTGTAGCTCTGTCTACCCTGAGCAGCTTAAAAATTAAAAGAAAGAAAGAAAGAAAAAATAAAAAACCCAGTAAAATGCCACGGCAAAGACAAAAATCAATGGTTAATTCCTGATTGCTGGAAGATACAGAAATGGCTTAGCTGCTGAGCCCAGTCCCTACTTGAATCAAGACTGTAATTACAACCTCCAAATGAACTACCCTGGAAGGAGGAGTTCTTTCCTTTTTGCCCTCACTGGTCACACACATGTTCATTCTCTGTAGCCCAGGTCAGCTGGGAACATCCTGCATGATTTTTTTTTTGGTGATCTTGACTGAGCACCCCTTGACTGGTAGGGTTGCCTATCACTCTGAATATCTAAATATTTAGAAATTTTACAACTGACCACAATGAAAATTACACAGAATTTAAATTCTACAACTCTGAAACACATACTCATCAATTAAGCAATTAGATAGTCTGAATAGTATTTTATTCCATCATCCTTTATTCCACCTCCACAGGGATGAAAATGGAAGAATGATCATATATATGCACATACCAATGTGAAAGCATGTTAATGAGATTAAGGTAGGACACTATCAGTCATAGACATATTTGTAGTCATAAACAAATAAGAATATTAAAATATAAGCCATAAGAAATCATATGGATTCTTTAAAACCATGATCTTAGATTTTCAAAACACTTAATACAAAAACTGAGTTTTAATACAGGCTTTAAAAATACTAACAACATTTTCTTCTAAACCCTTTCAAAAATTTCCATCAACATTTAAACATATTCGTAAACAAAATATGTACATTAAACAGTAACTGGAAAGCTACAGAAGTTATTAAATTTCTACTTCATATATACAAAAATAAAAGAACCTTGAAAAATTACTTATTTAAACTATGAGGATCATAGCTCTCTTGCTCTCTCTTTCCTCTGTAACTGCTTATTTCATTATTTCATTAACTTTTTTTTTCTTTTTCTTTTTTCTTTTTGAGACAGAGTCTCGCTCTGTCGCTCAGGTTGGAGTGCAGTGGGGTGATCTCAGCTCACTGCAACCTCCACCTCCTGGGTTCAAGCAATTCTCCTGCCTCAGCCTCCTGCGTAGCTGGGATTACAGGCGTGCACCACTATGCCCAGCTAATTTTGTGTTTTTAGTAGAGACGGAGTTTTGCCATGTTGGCCAGGCTGGTCTCAAATTCCTAGTCTCAAGTGATCCACCCGCCTTGGCCTCCCAAAGTGCTGGGAGCCACCTAGCCCGGCCTCAATAACGTTTTCAATCTCCTTCTGCTGGCTCCTCCTATCTCTCTGGTCCTTGGCCTTTTCACCACTGTCTACCCTCTTCTTTGTTGAACCGTATCATTTATAGCCCTACCTTCAAAACAGACCTATAATCTGGTAATTTCTCACTATCTCTACTACTACTACTTCAATCCTAACCATCATTATCTTTTGCTTAAATGACTGAAAAAGTCTCCAACTCTTCTATCTTTGCCTCCTTGTGGGATACTCACAACACAAGAGAAATCTAAATCTGAGCATCTCCTTTTCCTGTAACAGCCCCATATTTCACCCACAGTAAAAGCCCAATTCCCTTTTTTTCTTTTTGAGACTGAGTCTCACCCTGTCGCCCAGGCTGGAATGCAGTGGTGTAATCTCGGCTCACTGCAGCATCTGCCTCCTGGGTTCAAGCGATTCTCCTGCCCCAGCCTCCCAAGTAGCTGGGATTACAGGCACGCACCACTATGCCCAGTTAATTTTTGTATTTTTAGTAGAGATGGCGTTTCACTATGTTGGTCAGGCTGGTCTCGAACTCTTGACCTCGTGATCCGCCCACCTCGGCCTCCCAGAAGTGCTGGGATTACAGGCCTGAACCACCACTTCCAGCCGCCCAATTCCTAATTAGAGCCTACAAGGCACCAATATTACTTACTCGACCTCATCTTCTGTTGCTCTCTCCTCAACCACACTGGCTTCCTTGCTTATTCTTTAATATACCAAGCTTGTTCCTAACTTAAGACCTTTACACTGGCTACTCCCTTTATCTGGAATACCATTCTCCTATATACCCTGGCTAACTCACTTACCCTGTCTGTTTAAACATCACCTTCTCACAACCTATGTACAATTACAACCTCCCACTCCCCGTTAACCTGATTTATTTTGCCTTTAGCATCTACAGCTGATCCATGAATAACAACAAGTTTGAACCACACAGGTCCACTTATACACGATTTTTGTCAATAAATCTTTCCTGCCTCCCCTTGCACCTCTTCTGTCTCTGCCACCCGAGACAGCAAGACCAACCCCTCCTCTTCTTCGTCGGTGTGAAGACAATGACGATGAAGATCTTTATGATGATCTACATCCACTTAAGGTATAGTAAATGTATTTTCTCTTATGATTTTTTATTTTTTTTTGAGACGGAGTCTCGCTCTGTCGCCCAGGCTGGAGTGCAGTGGCACGATCTCCACTCACTGCAAGCTCTGCCTCAAGGGTTCACGTCATTCTCCTGCCTCAGCCTCCTGAGTAGCTGGGACTACAGGCACCCGCCACCACGCCCGGCTAATTTTTTGTATTTTTAGTAGAGACGGAGTTTCACTGTGTTAGCCAGGATGGTCTCGATCTCCTGACCTTGTGATCTGCCCGCCTCCGCCTCCCAAAGTGCTGAGATTACAGGCGTGAGCCACCGCGCCCGGCCATGATTTTCTTAACAGTATTTCCTCTAGCTTACTTTATTGTTAAGAATATAGTATATAATACATATTATGTTATCAGTAAGGCTTCTGGTCAACAGTAGGCTATTAGAAGTTAAGTATTTTGGGTGGTAGTTAAGTTTGCACGTGAGTAGGGAGGGTTGGTGCCCCTAACCCCTGCATTGCTCATGGGTCAACTGGATCACTCACCTTCTAACAAACCATTTAATTAACTCTGTAACTGCTTATTGTATTAGCCTTTTCAGTCTCCTTCTGCTGGCTCCTCCATAAAAACTTAATTAACTTAATTAACTCACTAAATTAAAAACTTAATTTTTTTGGTCTGTTTTTCCCTGTTAGAATATATACACTCCATGGCAGTAGGATTTTTTGTTTACTGATCTATCCTACTTTCCTACTTAGAATAATGACTAGCATATAGTAGATACTTAATAAGATCTGAAGGAAAACAATTATTTTTATTCTCTTTATCCATAGCAACAGTAAGAAAATTTTTGATTTAACATAATATCACAGAAATACACATATGCATATCCTGCATAAAAACTCACCTCTACAATCTTCTCTCTGTTTTTGGTTGGGTTCATAGGAGGTTCTGTGAGTAAGATTTTACAATTTCTGGTATCTATATTAAGTTTCTCTGGTCCAAATGTGTAGTCCCACAGGTGTTTCATGTCATCCCAATTTCGTACTATGCCATTTTCCATAGGGTAGTTAACTTCTAACATTGATCGTAATTCACTTGCCTCATCACCAACCATAAGATCCTAGAAAATTATGTCAAAGCTGTAGATCAAAGTTTTGCATAATATTTAAGAAAACTTGGGAATAATTAATTTTAATATTTCTGACACTTGCAAAATAAATCTTTTTATTCCACAAGTTAGAAAATCTTTTCTATCAAGAACAATGTCTTAGAAAGTTTAATCATGGATAATACATTTTTACATACAATGTGGTTTAAATCAATAAATTGACCTTACCTTTAACACAAATGTTTCCAAAAGAAGAGCATTAGCACAAATAAACCCCACATTTTCATATTTTGGAGGGTTTTGTATGAGGTTTCATCTGTTTCTTTTGCTCAATTGTTCAAAAAATAAGGCCTGTGATATGTGAAATAGCACATCAGGGGGAAAAAAACTTGTAGAAAAATGCTCAATGCATGCAGCACATTTCTTTGCACTAAATATCAAAATGATAAATGTAAGTACTATAAAGCATAATGAAAGAAGCAAAAAATAAAATGATTCTTTATTACTCTATAATAATGCATACATACACCAACTAATAAATAGCACAAACTTCTATCTACATATGCCTGAATAAGAATTTAAACTGTTTCTACATATGCCTCACCAAGGTGAATGAGAATTTGTAGAGTTATAAAAAATTAAGATATAGGCAAATAACCCATCCTTTAAAATTGTCTCCTGAGCAACATTTTCAATCTTAAAGTATACTGGAAAACTACACCATCACACATGAAGCATAATACTCACAAGTCTTGTCTCCAATGAGAGCATACTTAAGATGACCCACATTTGAAAGTCACATTTTCTATATATAATAAGTAAGGATGTCCTAGCATTTAGACTTATTTTTAGAGAACAGCTAGTCAAGAGGTTAAATAATACTAATTTCTACATATGTTGATAAATTCAATTAAAAAAACTAGTATCAGAAGTAGATATTTGCTACAATACGTTAAGTTTTAATTATGGAGAGACAAAAAAAAGCAGCAGCAAAATTAACACGAGATTATTTTTTTGAGACTGAGTCTCGCTCTACTGCCCAGGCTAGAGCGCAGTGGCATGATCTCAGCTCACTACAACCTCTGCCTCCCAGGTTCAAGCGATTCTCCTGCCTCAGCCTCCTGAGTAGCTGGGATTACAGGCACCTGCCACCACGCCTGGCTAATTTTTGTATTTTTAGTAGAGATGGGGTTTCACCATGTTGGCCAAGCTGGTCTCAAACTCCTGACCTCAAGTAATTCACCCATCTCGGCCTCCCAAAGTGTTGGGATTACAGGCATGAGCCACCACACCTGGCCAACATGAGATGTTTTAAAACAAAGGCTTAAAAATATATGAGTTTTAAATTAAAAAAAAAAGAAAAAGAAAATATCAGAGATGAAACCAAGGTGAGGACTCTAACAAAAAACCAAACAGATCTCTGGAAAATCCACTAAAAGCATCAAAAAGTATAACAAAGTTAAAAACAGATGCTAGAAATGCTCAGTAAAAATTTGTTGCAATTTCTTATGAAGTTCATTTACCATAACTTACTAACTTATTACTCAAATATCTGAAATATTAAATGTTTACACTCTTTTTTTTTTTTTTTTTTGAGATGGGGTCTCACTCTGTCACCCAAGCTGGAGTGCAGTGGTGCCATTATTGCTTACCACAGCCTCAACCTCCCCAGGCTCAGGTGATCCTCCCACCTTAGCCTCCCAAGTAGCTGGGACTACAGGCTACATGCCCAGCTAATTCTTGTATTTTTAGTAGAGACAGGGTTTCACCATGTTGCCCAGGCTGGTCTTGAACTCCTGGGCTCAAGGGATCCGCCCACCTCAGCCTCCCAAAGTGCTAGGATTATAGGCATGAATCACCACACCCAACCGTTTAGATTCTTCTATGAGGAATATGCAAAACTAAAAATCTGTATTTGTGAATTCTAGTTAATAACATGCACATGTTGAAGTATTCAGGGAGAAGTATACTGGTATCTGCAACTTACTTTGAAATCCATCAAAAAACAAGATGCACTGATGAATGAACAGATGAACAGATATGTAATAAATCAGTATGATATATATTAATGTCAGAATCCAGGTGATGGATATACAAGTTTCATTGTAAAATCATTTCAATATTGCTACATTTTCTTAATACTGCTTAATAAAATGTTAGGGGGGAAATCTATACCTGTAATTATATATACCATTTTTGTTACTAACTTTACGTCTTTTTTGTGTGTTGTACAAGATAACAGATTAGATAATTAGATAATATAATCAGTATTATTTCAACCAATTTGAAATAAGTCTGATCTGATTTCAACAGAAATTTACTTTTTATTTAATGTACAAATAGGGGCTTACATTTACATGACCCAATGCCAACTCTAAATAAATGCCTCATGTATCTACTTCTAGGACCACACATACTATAAAGGATTAACTGAAAGAAATGTTTGGAATTGAGTATCCTTACCTTCCTCAGAACAAACAGGACATTTAAAATGGAGTATTAACTTATTTAAGAAGTACAAAGTTTGACTATACAAGCTATCCAATTAAAAAATTTTCATATCGAAAATTTTAATAAAAAAATCCTACTAAGTGTTATATAACTTGCCTTCATCACTCAGAACCAAGTTATAAGTGATCAGATCAGACCTTAGGTTTTAACCACCTGCCCCGCCACTGAACATCACCTATCTGAAACAATGAAAAAAATCACAGTAACTGAGATGCTGTTTCAAAGGTATTTATACTTCATGAAAAGTGGGTAGTAGGGATTACATTTGCCAAGAATCATTTTGAACAATGTCACCTCAAATTAGAATACAGAGTAAACTCAAGTTCAAAAGCACAATTAAATCCCTAGAAGAAAATTCCACTGAAAACATTTGTTTGTTTGTTCAATTAACTAATAGAGGCAGGGTTTTGCTCTGTCACCCAAGCTGGAGTGCAGTGGCCCTGTCATCACCCACTGCAGCCTCAAACTTCTGGGCTCAAGCAATACTCCTGCCTTAACCTCCCAAGTTGCTTGGGAGGCACATATCACTATGCCTGGTTACTTTTTAAAAAACTTTCTATAGAGACAGGGTCTTGCCATGTTGCCCAGGATGGTCTTGAACTCCTGGGCTCAAGCTATCCTCCCACCTCGTCCTGCCAAAGTGCTGGAATTATAGGCATGAAACACCTCACTCGGTCAAAAACTTCTGTTAAAATAAGCCTACACTGTTCTCTACAAGCGCACTCTTTCCTTTTCTTTTCTTTTTTTTGAGATGGAGTCTCACTCTTGCCCAGGCTGGAATGCAGTGGCGTGATCTCGGCTCACTGCAACCTCTGCCTCCCGGGTTCAAGCGATTCTCCTGCCTCAGCTTCCTGAGTAGCTGGAATTACAGGCACACACCACCACACCTGGCTGATTTTTCTATTTTTAGTAGAGATGGGGCTTCACCATGTTCGTCAGGCTGGTCTTGAACTCGTGACCTCGTGATCCACCCGCCTGGGCCTCCCAAAGTGCTGGGAGTACAGGCACAAGCCACCGTGCCCAGCAAGCACACCCTTTTCTTAATCTCATTAGAATATAAACACAAATGTTATGATCTTTTATTTAGGATAAATTTCCTCTTTTAAATGTTTTTGTTTATTCAAAAGAAAACTTCACAAAGTTACTATTACTAGTTAAAATATATATTAGAAGTGCCTGATTTTTGTCAGAGATTCTTACAAACAATATTAAAAACAAACTTGAAAAGTATCTACTACAGAAGCACTTAGACTATCACAGAAAAATACAATGAAGAGTTAAATGTCTGAGATAAGACCAGCAAGCTTATAGTTATAAAGAAAAACACACTGTACAATGTTTGGGGGGGAAATCTGTTGTTTATAGAAAAGCTTTACCTTTTTCTTATTTATCCTCAGATAACGTTGTGAAATCTGCTCATCAGTAAGGATGATATGGAAAGAATTCTCTTTTTCTATCTATGGTTTATTTACATATTAAAATTTTACTCAGTTTATTAAGTACACATATGATACCACACTAGATGCAAATATATATACAGGCTATGACAGTCAATGTTCAATTTAATACTGGTCAATAAAGTGAATTTATTCAAATGTAACAACTTCACTTGAATTTTTTGGATCACACATATCCTATATAAAGCCATCTGGTTTCTAATATTATGCACAACACATTCCATTTTAATTATAACATTCATCTACAAGAAAAACAAGGAAAACAATTCAAAACTATGTTAGTAATTAGTTCTTGTTTGGTCCATTGTACGCAATCAGGAAAGTATAGGACTTAATTAGTTGCTATCAAATTGAAGCAATGAAAAAGGTTAAAAATCAAAGTACTTAAAATAAAAATATGGAAATAACCCCCCCTCCCCAATACTAAAGGGACACAAAACAACAACTACTGTCCCATCAAGCAAAAGTGGAAAACAAACAGAGCATGTGTGTAACCTCACTTACCATCTTTTTGTTATTCTACTTCAACGGGTCAAGAAAGGTGAAGAGAGAGAAGGTAGAAGTAAGAGTCAGAAAAGGCCTAAATAAAATCCTCACTGAAATGTTTAAACATACAAGCAATAGAGACAATTAGGTTGAGGTCAGATGCAGTACTACTATATTTAATGGAGTTAATAATTAGGGCCAAATTAACATGGACAGTTATTCCTGAATGCAAATTAACTCATTAAACGATTTAAATTTCCATTTTTCAGTCTACCACATTTTAGCTAACAAGACACAAAAAGTATAAGTCAAAATACTAAGCACAGGAATTCCAAAAAGTAAGCTTCTTTAATTCATTACTGAACTTAAGAACTTTAATTAAGAAAAATAAATGATAACAGCAAAGGTCTAGCTGAGTAGGCAGAGTGTTAGATAGCTCAGGGTTGTTTTTCCAAGCTCTAGTGTTCAAGTTAAATTTATTTGACACAGGTATCTTTTGCTGTTTTCTACTCGAAGAATAATTTAACTTGATAGGCTTACAAGATTGCACAGAGTGAACAGAATTGAGCCAATAGAATACAGAATGACAAACCATACAAGCAAATGCTGCTAGGGAATTCCTTGGCAAAAATGTTTTATTAGCATACTGACAAATTTGATTTCTATCACTTGGCCTTAAACACGAAGAAAGTGGGCATGAAGAGATGTGTAGTTATTTGTGCCTATGTTGCAAAATAAATTTATGGCTATACATGATATTTCTTCATACCTCAAAAATTTTATTGTCCAGTATATAAAAAAGCCATTCTTTAAAAACCTGACACTGAATAAAAAGTATAGCCTTCAACTTCATTAAACAGTTTATCCTTATCACTATTATTAGCTAATTTCCAGTCAAAGTTCATTTAAGATAGAATTCATTCAGAATGAAAGGAGTTCACAATAAGCAAGTAAGGAATCCCACAAATATTCCAAAAGCTCCTTAAAAAGGAAAAACTTACACTGAGTGTCCCATTTTATTTTTTTTGTTAACAGGAGAGGCCAGAAAAATTCGCTACTTTAACTCTGAAAAAAAAAAACTAACACAGAACCCAAGTTTCAGCTTGTATTTTTATTCATTGTGTAACTCAACTCTCTATCCCAAAAGCAGAAGGCTACATAGCAAATCTCTACCACCCATTACCACCTTCCTACATAAAACAAATGTCCCAAAGAGATACGCCCTAATGCATATTTCAAATGACTCATAACCTTACACTGAAGGCTTGCTAAAGACTATCCAGATAGGACAAACAATGCTAGCGTGTTCACAAATAATTCACTAAAAAAGACCCTAAATTCTATGGCATTCTGTATAACTTGATCCTTCAGTCACCTGAAGAACTTAAAGCCAACTGGTGACTACTGTCCTCTCACTGTTCTCTTTCTTGTCAAATATTGTAACTCCTACTTGATTTCTGATCCCTTTAATATGGGAGAAAAATCGATCGTCTTTTCATGTAGTCTTTCATCTTAAATACAGCGAGTAGGCAATGAAAACTTTCCTTCCTCTTTATGGTAAGATACATAATCCAAGGCCAAATAAAGGCTTGAATGGCTTCCTTCTGCACATTATGGAAATAAGTTATATTAATGAAAAGAGGAATCAATGAGATTTACACCCTGTGTTTTCCTAAATGGCTATATAAAAAAGTAGAGGGATCAGGCCATAAAAACATGAAAAGAAAAAGTCTAAGGTGCCAAAGAGACACTCACATACAATGACAAATATATGGAATTGAAAGACATAAAAATACCAGGCCGATTTCTTTTAAAAATTATATTATGTAATAGGACTTAAGTCACTAACACAGCGTTTCACATTAATGTAATAAACTTAAGTATTTTACTCCAAAGAGTAATGGCATCAAGCCATACATAAACAAAATCAGATGAAATTAACTTCAATTTTTGTGCCCCTGTTCAGGTGTTGATATAAATTAAAAATATGAGAACTTCTACCCTCCCCTTTGCTTTTCATGGCAACATATTTTAAAACTACTTAAAAGAACTGTTAAACTACTTTTATAAGAACACCTCACATGTCTTGATTATCATTTATCAATAAATAAAATATTACCTTGATTTCAATGTTTCCCACTTTGGTGGTTGATCTGATAATAGGTCTTCCAACCAAAGCTGGGAAGATGTGTTCTGGAAAGTTAGAGCCTGCATATCCACACTTCACAAACTGGAATGAAACAGTAAAATAAAAGTGGGTTAGCATCAGGATATTTACTATATTTTAAGACAGCATCTGAAAAATATCACTTTGCATTTATATAACATTTTAAACTTTTGGTGCTTTCAGTCCACCCGAAGTAGCCACTCAATCTATCGCAACATCTCCTTTTAACTTCTTTCACGGCATTGCCTACTTCCAGGGTTCATGTTTATTTACTGCTAAATTAGTGCCTAAGTTCCCTCACTAGACCAAAAGCCTCATAAGAGCAGGGAGCTAAGCTGAGCAGTTCGTGCTGGAATCCAATACCTAACAGAGCTCCTGGCACACAGTGCTCACTCCAGAAGTATCTGTGGGATGGACAAATTCGCTGAACAAATGCTAAGGTTTTTTTTGTTTTTGTTTTGAGACGGAGTTTCACTCTTTTTGCCCAGGCAGAAGTGCAATGGCACAATCTCGGCTCACTGCAACCTCCGCCTCCTGGGTTCAAGTGATTCTCCTGCCTCAGCCTCCCAAGTAGCTGGGATTACAGGCATGCGCCACTAAGCCCAGCTAATTTTGTATTTTTAGTAGAGACGGGGTTTCTCCATGTTGGTCAGGCTGGTCTCAAACTCCCGACCTCAGGTGATCCGCCTGCCTCAGCGTCCCAAAGTGCTGGGATTACAGGCGTGAGCCACCATGCCCGGCAAAATGCTAAGTATTTTTAGAAAGAGAAATGTGAGAAAATGAACAGAACTAAAGCTTCAATTCTAAAGCAGACTTTCATTCATTTTGGGCAAATCGCTTAGAGAATGTCATTTTCCAAAATGGGAAAACCAAGTGTCATTTAAACTAATATCACCGTATTATGAAAAGAAACATTTATTAGGCATTTTTGGCTATTTATTTCTTTGAGACGGAGTTTCACTCTTGTCGCCCAGGCTGGAGTGCAGTGGCGTGATCTCAGCTCACTGCAACCTCTGCCTCCCAGGTCCAAGCAATTCTCCTGCCTTAGCCTCCCAAGTAGCTGGGATTACAGGCACCCACCACCATGCCCAGCTAATTTTTGCATTTTTAGTAGAGACAGGGTTTCACCATGTTGGCCATGCTGGTTTCGAACTCCTGACCTCAGCTGCTCTGCCCACCTCGGCCTCCCAAAGTGCTGGGATTGCAGGCGTTGAGTCACCGCGCCTGGCTAGCTATTTACTTTTTTTTTTTTTTTTTTTAGACAGTCTCGCTCTGTCGCCCAGGGTGGAGTGCAGTGGCGCCATCCCGGCTCACCGCAAGCTCCACCTCCCGGGTTCACGCCATTCTCCTGCCTCAGCATCCCGAGTAGCTGAGACTACAGGCGCCCACCACCATACCCAGCTAATTTTTTGTATTTTTAGTAGAGACGGGGTTTCACTGTGTTAGCCAGGATGGTCTCGATCTCCTGACCTCGTGATCTGCCCGCCTCAGCCTCCCAAAGTGCTGGGATTACAGGCGTGAGCCACCGCGCCTGGCCCTATTTACATTTTTACATTTAGATAAATATATTTAGTAATACCGGGTAACATAATTTCATTCTCTGTGTACTGCTCCGAGAACATATCATTGTGATAAGACTTCCATTTTATACATAAGAAGCTGATATTCTACAGGATTTAACTACAGTAAAACTTGAGAGAATCAAGAGCTTTTAATACTTTTTTAATTTAAAAAATATTTAAAATTTAGAGTTGGGGTCTTGTATGTTGCCTAGGCTGGAGTGCAGTGGCACAACTGCAGCTCACTGTGGCCTCTAACTGCTGGGCTCAAGTGATGCTCCCACCTCAGCCTCCCAAGTAGCTGGGACTACAGGTATGTGCCACCAGGCCCGAATAAGTTTTTATTTTCATTATTATTTTTTGAGACAGAGTCTCACTCTGTCGCCCAGGCTGGAGTGCAGTGGCTCCATCTCAGATCATTGCAAGCTTGGCCTCCACCGCCCCCGCCCACGGGTTCAAGTGATTCTCGTGCCTCAGCCTTCTGAGTAGCTGGGACTACAGGTGTACCTCACCACGCCCAGGTAATTCTTTTTATTTTTAGTAGAGACGGGGTTTCACCATGTTGTCCTCAAACTCCTGACCTCAAGTGGTCCACCTGCCTCGGCCTCCCAAAGTGCTGGGATTACAGGAGTGAGCCACCACGCCTAGCGTAAGTTTTAAAATTTTTTGTAGAGATGGGGTCTCACTATGTTGCACGGGCTGGTCTGGAACTCCTGGCCTCCAATGATCCTCCTGTCTCAGCCTCCTGAGTTGCTGGGATTACAGACATGAGCCACTGTGCCCGGCAGTTACAAATTCTTGTATAGTCTGTTTACGCTGGGCCCAGTGGCTCACACCTGTAATTCCAGCACTTTGGGAGGCTTAGGCAGGTAGATCACTTGAGCCCAGAAGCTCGAGACCAGTATGGGCAACACGGCAAGATTCCCCCCCGGAAAAAATTACAAAAAATTTAAAAATTGGCCAGGCATTGTGGCATGTGCTATAGTCCCAGCTATTCCAGAGACTGAGGTGGGAGGATCACTTGAGCCTGGGAGGTTAAGGCTGCCGTGATCATGTGAGACCCTGTCTCAAAAAACATACAAAAAATAAATAATACATAGTCTAGTAAGAGCAGACATTGCAAGGAAAGGGCAATTAAAAATTTCAGGGTGGGAGGAGGAAGCTATATAAGAAAGGAAATGTAATCATAGTCTGCACCCTCTTTAACAAGCATTTATTTAATGTTAGCTACACTGTGTTTACTGATGAATTCCAACTGCCTAGAACAGCGTCTGGCACATAATAGGTACACAGTAAATGATCAATAAATATTAAAAGTTTTGCTGTTGACTTAACAGTATGATACCATGATTGTTTTAAAATATATTTAATATTCAGAAAAAGTCTGTTTTTCTATGGCTCCAGGCACCACACATTCTTAGAATTAAGGATGAAAAATAGTACCTGAATGTGATACATGACAGTAATAAAACAAAGGTAGACAGAAAAGAGCAATGTACCTCTTGATAGAAGGCTACTATGCACACCACTTGAATCACATGAGGCCAGAAGTTTGAGATCAGCCTGACCAACATGATGGAAACCCATCTCTACTAAAACCAACAAAAATTAGCCAGGTATGGTGGTGCATGCCTGTAATCCCAGTTACTTGGGAGGCTGAGGTATGAGAATCACTTGAACCTGGGAGGCGGAGGTTGCAGTGAGCTGAGATCACGCCACTGCACTCCAGCCTGGGCAACAGAATGAGACCTGTCTCAAAAAAAACAAAACAAAACAAAACAAAACCCAAAAAAACAAAAAACCAACAACAAAAGAAAGCTACTATCTACAAGAAACTCTTTTGTTTAATGCGGTAAAACTTAGCAAGATCTTATGTAGCTCTCCAAAACATAAAAATTTGGTATTTTCAAAGATCTCTACAGCAGCCCTGTTGGAGATGACGCTGATGAACCACATTTAATTATAAATAGCCTAGGACATTCTGCCATCCAGAATTTCACTTGTCTTTTTTTTTTTTTTTGAGATGGAGTCTCGCTCTGTCACCCAGGCTGGAGTGCAGTGACGTCATCGCAGCTCACTGCAACCTCTGCCTCCTAGGTTCCAGCAATTCTGCCTCAGCCTCCCAAGTAGCTGGGACTACAGGCGCCTGCCACCACGCCCAGCTAATTTTTGTATTTTTAGTAGAGACGGGGTTTCACCATGTTGGCCAGGCTGGTCTCTAACTCCTGACCTCATGTAATCCACCAGCCTGGGGCTTACAGGCATAAGCCACCGCACCCGGCCCCACTTAGTCTTTTAAAAACAGAGTTTTTTCAAATATGTTACAGTCATGACAATCAGATTAAAGCTTTTATGAAAAATTCGTCTGAAATGAGGAAAGTTCACACTCCCAATGCCACCTCAATTCCTATCCTTTCACCTCATGTTTACATTTTATTAATAGAAACTACATAAAACATATTATTCAGATGTCTTCTTACAAGCCCACAAACCTAGTCTTAGTTTATATTGAGCCACCAAGGTAAGGGCATTTTTCAGGTACAGCTATCCATTTCTAAAAGTATAATACAATTCTTTTGGATTATTTTATTTTATTTTATTGAGACTGAGTCTCACTCGGTCATCCAGGCTGGAGTGCAGTGGCGTGATCTCGGCTCATTGCAACCTCTGCCTCCTGGGTTCAAGCAATTCTCCTGCCTCAGCCTCCTGAGTAGATGGGATTACAGGCGCTCGCCACTGCACCTGGCTAATTTTTGTATTTTTAGTAGAGAAGGGGTTTCACCAAGTTGGTCAAGATGGTCTCAATCTCCTGACCTCGTGATCCACTCGCCTCAGCCTCTCAAAGTGCTGGGATTACAGGCGTGAGCCACGGCACCCAGCCTGGATTACTTTTTAAGGCAGAAGTTAGCATGATATGATAGCATATGCAATAGATAACCCACTTGCTCACAGCTATTTCCCCTTGGCAGTGGTTGATAGTGATGAACTGGAATACACTTCCCACCCTTAAAATGAACAGAATTCAGGAGTAGTAGTTCATTTTTTCTCAGTGTCTTCTTAAATAATGTGACCTAAGACATGGAGGAAAAACTACCTCAGAGGAAAAGAATAACATCTAGTATTTTTTAGTATTTTCAAACTAAAACATAACACACACACCACGTGCACACACACACACACACACACCTCTCACACACTCTTCTCTCCCAAATCACAAACTCTCTTTTAAGTCAAAATCCAGTTTACTTGATACAAACTTAAATGATATGGAAGAGAATCTGTTCTCATCATTATCCCTATTGTTCCCACATTTCTGTATAACATCTGTCATGATCGCCAGCCTAATGTCAGTCATAATTTACACAAATATCTCAAATATGGGAATTAAATACTATTTTGATATTAAATTATTATGCCTACCTCCAAGTAATAAACAGATATAGTCAAAAGTATCCATTTATCCGGATGAAAATGCTCACTTATATGCGTATAAATTATCTCAAAAAAATTATAGAATGAATGAATGAATGAAAAGAGAACCTACCAGTTTGTAAGGTTCATTTTTGGCATGCTGAATGCAAATAAATAAGTTTACTAAGTGAGAAATCGTAAGAGAAGCTGGAGGTGGCAGGAGGAGCCTGGGATGGAGCATAGGTCTGATCCTAGTGCAGGGAAGAGGCTGCTAAGGTTGACACGTCTCCCCTCTCCTTCAGAGCTACACACACTGGACATACAACATGGCAAAGTGGCAAATAATCACATCACTCAAAGTCTTCCAATTATAATCGTTCAGATGGGTAGTTCGTATCTTAACATTCTTATGAGTATATTTTAAGCAACAAACATTTCCCAAGTTAGAAGACAAAAACTGAAATCCCTGAAACTATAAAAACAACTGTAAACCTACTATTACTGCCTAACAAAAAAAAAGACTTTTCATTCAAATTAAAGATTATCAATCACTTATTAATAAAACTATTCTGCTTGAGCAGTAGTTTATTGGAAGCAGATGTTGCCATAGAACTCAGCACCAGTTTTCATACAGGGTATATATTCATCCATCAAGATAGCAAAAATTGCACTATTTCACATTACTTCAAAAGTGAAAACATTAACAGTTATAATAACAAGAACTAAAATAATTGGCTGGGAATGGTGGCTCACACCTGTAATCTTGGCACTGTAGGAAGCCAAAGTGGGTGGATTGCTTGGGCCCAGGAGTTCGAGACCAGCCTGAAGCTACAGAGCAAAACCCCATTTCTACAAAAAATACAAAAATTAGCCAGGCGTGGTGACACACACCTGTAGCCCCAGAAACTCGGGAGGCTGAGGTGGGAGGATCACCTGAGCCCAGGGAGGTTGAGGCTACGTTGAGCCTTGAGCCATGATTGTACCACTGCACTCCCACCTAGGCAACAGAGTGAGACCCTGTCAGGAAAAAAAAAGGCTGAGTGTGGGGGCTCACACCTGTAATCCCAGCACTTTAGGAGGCCAAGGCAGGAGGATCATTTGAGGTCAGGAGTTCGAAACCAGCCTGGCCAATATGGTGAAACCCCATCTCTACTAAAAGTACAAAATTGGCTGGGCGTGGTGGTGCATGCCTGTAATCCCAGCTACTTGAGAGGCTGGGGCAGAAGAATCACTTGAACCTGGGAGGCGGAGGTTGCAGTGAGCCGAGATAACATGAATACACTCCAGCCTGGGAGACAGAGTGAGACTCTGTCTCAAAAACAATAATAAAATAAAATAATTAAAAAAAAAATTATACTGGCTACTCTGGGCACACTGCCTATGGGGTAGTCCTGCTCTGCAAGAAGCAGTAAAGAAAAAATAAAAATTATAATTTTTAAATTATATTATTTTTTGTGGAGACAGGGGTCTCGCTGTTGCTCAGGATGGTCTTGAACTCCCAGCCTCAAGCAATCCTCCCACCTTTACCTCCCAAAGTGCTGGGATTATAGGCATCAACCACTGTGCCTGGCCCCAATTTTTCAATAATATAAAACTGACAATCTGATTACTTCTGCAAATAATAATAATAATCAGTATTAAAAAAAATCTAGACTGGGCGCAGTGCTCACGCCTATAATCCCAGCACTTTGGGAGGCTGAGGCAGGCAGATCACCTGACGTCAGGAGTTGGAGACCAGCCTGACGAACATGGAGAAACCACATCTCTACTAAAAATACAAAAATTAGCCTGGCGTGGTGGTGCACACCTGTGATCCCAGCTACTGGGGAGGCTGAGGCAGGAGAATTGCTTGAACCCGGGAGATGGAGGCTGCAGTAAGCCAAAATCATGCCACTGCACTCTGGCCTGGGCAACGGAGCAAGACTCTGTCTAAAAAAAAAAAAAAAACTAAACCATGATGTGATAAAATACAAAGAAAACATTCCTTTCTAAACTATCATTTGGTATCATTGGTATCATCTTAATCCTTGAAATTCCTCCCCCATGTCAATCATTTTAAGACTTGGTGACTTCGTTCTTTCATTGTGTGCAGTAAGGCTGTGTTTAAGAAATAGATTTTACCATATATAGTTTCCTCTTCACAGCAGTGTGGTTTAAACTAGTTCCCTTACTTCCCACTGAGTCATCAAATGGTAAGAATATGAACAGTATAATGTTCTTTCAAGCAAAAATGAAAAATTCTATCTACATCTGCTCTAAAAGTACATTTTTTTTTTCTCTTCAAAAAAATAATAACCTGGGATTTATAAAGCCCCATTTGGGCTTATTTAATATTTATTTTCCCCTTACTAATTTTATCTCATGGTACTGATGTTCTTTAGTAAGTTAACTGCACAGTGACTGTTCTGATCTTAGGCCACCAAAATATTTATTCTACTTATACCAAAGCATTTTGCAAGATGAAACCAAATTTGGTTTTGGTTTGTTTCTGTTTCAAACACTCCTAAATTCAACATATAAAGTAGCATAAGCCCGATAAAGCAGGCCACAATCAACTACAAATGTCAATTACATAAATGCAAATGCAATTATTCTAGCACTATAAGCTTCTCTGTACGACTGGACCTTATTAAGCACTGTGCCAGCAACATAGCACGCACTGGAGAAACCTTCATTTTGTTGGTGATCTAACTCAATGCTGATGAAATCACCCTAGTCTGGTAACAAGACACGTAACACCAGGGGCCTGGGCCTAGCTCGTGAAGAGGACCTAAACCTAGAGTTTCACAGACCTCCAGATTTTCACCTATCTGGGCCACTTTAAGTGGCTTGATTTCAGAAGGAGGTTTGAATGGTTAAAATCCACATAAATTATTGGATCAAATGAGTTTTCCTCCTCTGGGCAACCCTACTGAGACACTGGTCAAGCTGGGAGATAGAAAATCAAGCGGGACCAACATTGGTCATGTGATCGTAAGTACAAACTTGTTTCCAGGCAAACTTGTCCAACCCATGGCCCACGGGCTGCATGAGGCCCAACACAAATTCACAAACTTTCTTAAAACATTATGAAATTTTTTTGGTGATTTTTTTAGTTCATCAGCTATTGTTAGTGTATTTCATGTGTGGCCCAAGACAATTCCTCTTCCAATGTGGCCCAGGGAAGCCAAAAGACTGGACACTCCTGTCCTAGAATATTTAATTTGGGTCTGCCAGAGAGGTTAAAAGAATCGTAACTTTTTAAAAAGCCTGTAATTTTATTTTTATTTTTACTAGATATGGGGTCTTGTTATACTAACCCAGGCTAGTCTCAAACTCTTGGCCTCAAGAAATCCTCTCACCTCGGCCTCCCAAAATGCTGGAAATACAGGCATGAGGAACCACACCCAGCCAGCCTACAATTTTAAAACCTAAGGCATGTAAGGAGCAAATGAAAACACCTTAGGATAACAACTATTTCCATAAATTTGCAAAATTACATCTGAATATCTTCTTTAATATTTAATTATAAAGGAATCATTATAACTTCAGGTATCTAAATAAAATCAAGATGATTATTCATGTCTACAAATGGTAAGAAACAGAATACACAATCTAAGCGGTTCCTAGTCCTCTACATACTCAGAACTATTACAGCATTCCTGTTATATGATTCATGTATTTTAACAGCACTGTTTCTTCATTTGAAACCAATCATGTCCATAGAAAATCTGCATAAAATTTTAAAATAACTAGAAGCATAAGAACAGATAAATTTTATTTGAATTAATTACACTCACTTTTTTCATTTATGACAGGAATTGATCACTTGTCTTAAGGAAAAGAATCTTAAAAACATGGATTAGACACAAGACTAATCAATAACATACTACAATCAGCTTTTTTTTTTTTTTGTGACAGTCTCACTCTGTCGCCCAGGCTGGAGTGCAGTGGCGTGATCTTGGCTCACTGCAACCTCTGCCTCCCAGGTACAAGTAATTCTCCTGCCTCAGCCTCCCAAGTAGCTGGGATTTCAGGCATCAGAAACCACACCCGGCTAATTTTTGTATTTTTAGTAGACACGGGGTTTCACCATGATGGCCATGCTGGTCTCAAACTCCTGACCTCAAGTGAACCTCCTACCTCGGCCTCCCAAAGTGCTGGGATTACAGGCATGAGCCACAACGCCCAGCCTAAAATCAGCCTTCTAATGTTAGCTAACTAATGGAATAGTAACATAACATTAGCTTCTGACAGCAGGGTGCAGTGGCTCAAGCCTGTAATCCTAGCACTTTAGGAGGCCGCAGTGGGCAGATCTTTTAACCCCAGGAGTTCAAGACCAGCCTGGGTAACATAGGGAGACCCAGTCTCTACAAAAATAAAAAAATTAACTGGGTGTGGTGGCACAAGCCTGTAGTCCCAGCTACTCGGGAGGCTGAAGCAGGAGAACCGCTTGAGCCCAGGAGGCAGAGGTTGCAGAGAGCCGAGATCACGCCATCGCTCTCCAGCCTGGGCAACAGAGCTAGATCCTGTGTCCAAAAAAAAAAAAAAAAAAAAAAAAATCAGCTTCGGTTAACATTCCCATTCTAATTTAATATTTAAAAACTCATATATACTACAAATACAGGGCTCATTACCTTGAACCCCTAAAAGAATTCATTAAAATATAACTGGCTTGACTTTCTAAAAAGAGTATCTGACACAATCACAAAACAAAAAATTTTAAATTCAATTTTTAAAGTTTTTTATTTATTTAGAGGCCAATTTGAAACTATAGTGGAAATCAGGCTAATACTTTTTTAAAAAGCACATTTAACTGAATTTTAGCCGCACATGTAACATGCGTTTATGGTTAATTTAGTTTAAATATAGTTTAATAATACTTGCTTTGTTCAAATAAAGAACATTTTTCCAATAATTCAGAAAGGTCATGAAGTCCTCTCCATCTTCCCTCACTCCCTTATCCTCTGTCTCATAGGTAACCATTATGAACATTTCTTATGTATCCCTCCAAAACTTTCATATGCGGATACAAGTTTGTGGACATACATCTTTAATAAGGAACACACACTTAAACTGAATCATTCTAAAACCTTTTTCAACTTAAAATCTTAGACGTTTCCATAGCAGTGGATCTGCCTTTTTAAAAATATTACATTCTTAAAAACCGTCACATTAATATGTTTTGTTTTTCTTTTTTTTTTTTTTTTTTTTTGAGACGGAGTCTTGCTCTGTCGCCCAGGCTGGAGTGGTGCGATCTCGGCTCACTGCAACCTCCGCCTACCGGGTTCAAGCGATTCTCCTGCCTCAGCCTACCGAGTAGCTGGGATTACAGACGCCCACCACCATGCCCGGCTAATTTTTGTATTTTTAGTAGAGACGGGGTTTCACTATGTTGGCCAGCCTGGTCTCAAACTCCTGACTTCAGGTGATCCGCCCGCCTAGACCTCCCAAAGTGCTGGGATTACAGGCATGAGCCACCGCGCCTGGCCTCAATGTACGTTAACACTCTTTTTACTCTAGTCCATTTTTAACACAGTTCAGATGAAGCTACCATAATTATTGCTTGTAAAATTGTGTAACAAATCTAATCAAGGGCAGTATTATGGCAGTAAATACCAGCTCTTTTCCCCCTCAACAATTCAGATTCCAAAGTGTTTTGTTCAAGTAAAATGAACTTTAATTCATACATCATATTTATGGGAGGGAGGGGAGAAAACTCACAAAATGTTGCAACATCAAAATGGTTAGAAATCACTATAGAAGTCATCCAGAATAAATAATATTTCCATCTTCTAATTTGCTGACTTTGCTACCCAAAATACATTTTTTTTTAATCTGGCAAGAGGGAGGTCTGAATGAAACAATTTTTTTTTTTTATAATTGAGACGGAGTTTCACTCTTGTCGCCCAGGCTGGAGTGCAGTGGCGCAATCTCGGCTCACTGCAACCTCCGCTTCCTGGCTTCAAGGGATTCTCCTGCCTCAGCCTCCCAAGTAGCTGGGATTACAGGCAAGCACCACCACGGCCGGCTAATTTTTGTATTTTTAGTAGAGACCGGGGTTTCACCACGTTGGCTGGGCTGGTCTCGAACTCCTAACCTCTGGTGATCTGCCCGCCTGGGCCTCCCAAAGTGCTGGGATTACAGAAACAATTTTCAAATAGTTTCTAAATCAGTGCTTTAGTCAGATTTTACAATTTTTGAATCTTAAAGGCTAACATTACCTGTATACTGAAACGAAGGGAAAAAAGGGGGCTGGGGGTGGGATAATCAACACTAATTAACTTCCCCTAAGGCTAGTGGAATTAACACTTGAGTCTTGCGGGATCCTAGGTCACCCAAAACCACTCAATGGAACATGCTGGTCTCCGTGGGCCTACTCCTGGGCCAAATACTAGTATGTAAAACAAAAAGTGAACGATGCGCTGCCGATCTGGACCCCTTCCCTCGAAAAAACTAATAAAAAGCCCAACAAACACAGCGAAAGGGCTGAGGTCCACACTCCATGACAGCACTTCCCTTTTTTTTTTTTTTTTTTTAAGTAAACCCGCTTCCTGCTTCTCGTTTGGTGTATCTTCAACTATACAGGAAGAGGAAGGCCTCTAGGTCTTTCTCCTTTTTACAAACCGGTGGCCCTGGGGAAAAGAGCCCTTCTCGGAACACACAAACCGAGCCTTTTACGCTTCCGTCCGCTTTAGCCCAATTGCCCCCGCATTAGCGCGGAGCAGGTCCCTGCCGGGCGGTCAGTAGGCTCCATGTCCAGTGCCGGTCTCGCCCGCCGCCCCCACCCGGAAGGGTGAGGGGGTGGCAGGCTAAATGGGTGGCAGGCTCAAGGGAGACCAGGGAACGGCCGGCTCGCTCCCACGCCCGCGGAGGTGGGAGGCACCGCCCCGCGCCCCTTCGCCCCGAGGGCCCGGAGGTGCAGCCCTGGGGGCCGAGGGCCCGTGCGCCAGCTGCTCGTCCCCGCCGGCGTCTGTGGCCGCCAAGGCCTCCTCGCGCGGCCCTTACCCCGGTGCCGTTGTCGCACACCACCACCTTCCTGCCCTGGCTGTCCATCGTCCGCCCAGGGAAGAGCCGCTGCAGCCGCACAACCTACAGCCACCGCCGCCCGGCCGTTTTCTCTTCTTCCTCTTGCGTCTTCCCGGCCCCTCCTTCGGCCCAACTTTTTTCCCCCGACCGGAAGCCGCCGCCGGGCTCCGCCCGTCATTTAGCTGAATGCCTGCACGAAAAGGGTGGGACGGGCAGGCAGCGCGACTGGCAGCGGTGAGCTCCAATAAAAGATGGAGGAGCGTCGAGGCCCCTCCCGCAGCTCCGCTTCCGGCTCGGCTGTCACGGTCGCTGCCCACCCGGGTTCTTCGCTGCTTCTAGTTCCGGGCGCTTTGCCGGGCGTTAATGGCGGCCAACATCGCCGGTGCTGCGGCTTTCTCCCTAAAGTGTCACAGGAGCTAAGGGCGCTGCTTAACGAACTGCAGAAGACGCAGGCAGGTGAAGGACACCGGTTCTGCTGCGGCAGTGGAATGTGGCGGAGAAGCTGGCGGGTAGGGCGGGGAGCAAGCCTGGAGGTCCTGGCGGACCCCACCATTCGACAGGGCTTGGTGTGTTATTGCTTCTAGGCCTTTTCAGCGGACAGAACTGGGATGGATACACACATGCTTATTTGAAATCATGCGTTTGTTCCATACTCCAATGTCAGCCCACCCCTTCTTTGCCCAAGTTGCTCTATGGTCAAGTGAGCGAGAGCAGGTGCCTGCATTTCCAGCCTCGTGGCTCACCGCCTCCTTCCAGTAGTCCCATGTTGCTTCACACCTCTTAAGTACATGTACTTCTGTGAACCCAGAGCCTTGGCTTTGAAATCAGACAACCCCAGTTTCAAACGTGGCGCTGCCACTCACGAGTTTTGTGATTTTGGCATACCCCTGTCTGCATGGGGATAATAACTTCTATCTCCATAGGTGTGGTGAGGATAAAAGTCTATGCATGGAGGAAATGTTCATTCAGTGGTAGCTATTTCTAATTCTGTTCTTCTGGACCTATGATTCTATCTACGATGCCTCATTTTTTTTCCTTTTTAATCAATTGGCAAACTTGTGCTCTGAGACCCAGCTTGTTACATCTCTGATGACAGCTGATATCCTCAGGATATTCCGTACTTCCTTTCTCCCTATTACTTTACTATGAATATATGAATAACATTGTGCTTATTGCATGCAACAAATATTTATTAGATGAATGACATTAAAATTCACCTTTAAAATGCCATCCTTTATGAGAGGTGAGAAATAGAACTTTTCCTTCGACATGGCTGTACATGTTCAACAACTAGAATAAAACAGTCATCATGAACCCTCAATCCAGTATTCTTTTTATAATATAGCTGCCTGTCAGTTTTCACTGTTCTTTTATTAGACCAGTGATTTTCAAACCTTTTTAAAGGCATACAGTGCTTTATTCAAATCTAATCTTATATGGAACCCTCAACACATAAATATTAAGATAAAAATAAAGCTGCCATTGTTGCAATTAGAAGTTTGAGAGGTTAGAATAGGTAGGAAGTCTCGGAGGAACATTTCTTCGTTTTACCTGCTTTAACAGTCAGAGAAGTACCTCAGCCAGCAGAAAAATTTATTTGTTCATAAATTCCTTGAGTATAGAGTCCGTATCTTATTTTTGTGGCCTCCAATGCTAGTGCTGTGCAGTTTTCTTGAAAGTGCATTTTATTGGTCTCAGCAAATTGAACTCAAGCATTTCTGTGTTCTTTTACTTTTCCTCTTTGTGGAATTAAGGGGATTGCTAATTTGTATTTTTAAAGAAAGAACATTATTCCGGGCGCGGTGGCTCACGCCTGTAATCCCAGCACTTGGGGAGGCCAAGGAGGGCAAATCACCTGAGATCAGGAGTTCAAGACAAGGCTGACCAACATGGCAAAACCCCGTCTCTACTAAAAATACAAAAATTAGCTGGGCGTGTTGGCACGCGCCTGTAATCCCAGCCACTCAGGAAGCTGAGGCAGGAGAATCGCTTGAACCCGGGAAGCAGAGGTTGCAGTGACAGAGATCGTGCCACTGCACTCCAGCCTGGTGAGAGCAAGACTCTGTCTCAAAAAAAAAAAAAAAAAATTGGCAAGTTTGGCCCTAAAATTTATATGAAATGAAAAGGAACCAGAATAAAAGGATTTCGAAACAGAAAAAGATGGAGAACTTCCACTACCTGAATTCAAAACTTATTATAAAGCTACAGTAATGAAGACTGTAATACTGGCATAGAGGCAGATATATCGATCAATGGAATCAAATAGTCCACAAATAAACCTTTACATTATGGTCAGTTGATTTTCAACAATGGTGCTAAAACAATCCATGGGGAAAGGGTAATCTTTTCAATGAATGATGTGGGAGGGAAAAAAAAGAACTTTGATTCTTACCTCACATCACACATAAAAATTGATTTAAGTGGATCATAGACCTAAATATAAAAGCTAAAACTATAAATTTCAGAAGAAAAAGAGGAAAATCTTTTGATATTAAGTTAAGCAAAGTTTGCTTAGATATGACGCTAAAATCGTGATCTATAAAAGAAAAAATTGATAGTTGACATAATAGAAATTTAAAGCTTTTAGTTCATGTATTGAAACAAAAAATCTAGACTGGGACAATGGCTCACATCTGTAATCCCAGCACTTTGGGAGACCAAGGTGGGTGGATCGCTTGAGCTCAGGAGTTCAAGACCAGCCTAGGCCAGATGGTGAAACCCCATCTCTACAAAAAATACAAAAATTAGCTGTGCATATAGTCCCAGCTACTTGGGAGGCAGAGGTGGGAAGATGGTTTGAGCCCAGGAGGCAGAATTTGCAGTGAGCTGAGATTGCGCTACTACGCTACAGCCTGGGTGACAGCCAGACCCTATCTAAAAAAAAAAAAAAAAAAAAAAGAAGAAGAAAACAAAAACAAAAAATCTTGGTCTGTCTTAGGCAACAAGCAATTAAAAAAAAAGTAGAAAATAAAGCAAAAGGGCCGGGCGCAGTGGCTCACGCCTGTAATTCCAGCACTTTGGGAGACTGAGGCGAGTGGATCACCTGAGGTCAGGAGTTTGAGACCAGCCTCGCCAACATGGTGAAACCCCATCTCTACTAAATACAAAAATTAGCTGGGCGTGGTGGCGGGCACCTGCAATCCCAGCTACTTGGGAGGCTGAGGCAGGAGAATTGCTTAAATCCAGGAGGCAAAGGTTGCAGTGAGCCAAAATCATGCCACTGCACTCCAGCCTGGGCAACAGAGCATAACTCCATCTCAAAAAAAAAAAAAAAAAAGAAAAAGAAAAAGAAAAGCCATGAACTAGAAGAAAATATTTGAATAGATATTTTACCAAAGAAGATTTATGAATGGCAAATAAGTACATAAAAAGATATTCATCATCATTAATCATTAGAGAAATGCACATTGAAAGCATAATAAGATAACACTTAATACCCACTAGAATGGCTATAATCAGAAAAATAGAAAACAAGTTTTGGCGGGGCTAGGTGGCTCACACCTGTAATCCCAACACTTTGGGAAGCCAAGGCGAGTGGCTCACTTCAGGTCAGGAGTTTGAGACCAGCCTGACCCAACATGGTGAAACCCCGTCTCTACTAAAAAATACAAAAATTAGCCGGGCGTGGTGGCAGGTGCCTGTAATCCCTGCTACTTGGGAGGCTCAGGCAGGAGAATCGCTTAAACCTGGGAGGCAGAGATTGCAGTGAGCGGAGATCGTGCCACTGCACTCCAGCCTGGGTGACAGCGAGACTCCGTCTCAAAAACAAACAAAACAAAATAAAACAAAAAAAAATGGAAAACAAGTTTGGCAAGAATGTGGAGAAACAAACACTCCTACATTCCTGGTGAGAATGTAAAATGGTACAGGCACTTTGGAAAGCAGTTTGACAGTTTTTTAAAAAATTAAGCATAAATTGCCATATAACCCAGCAATTTCACGCCTAGGTATATACCTAAAAGAAATGAAAACATATGTCCATGGACTCATACCTACATGTCCATTGCAGAATTACTCATAATAGGCAAAAAGTGGAAACTATTCAAATGTCTTATCAGTTTGTGAATGAGTAAACAATATGTAGTACAGCCATACAATAGAATATTTGGTGATAAAAATAAACCAATACATGCTGTAACATGGATGAAAGTAAAAAAACACTATAGCAGATAAAAAGACTGTGATTTCATAGGAAAATCACAAATATAGAAAAAGCAAGATTATAGATACAGAAAGCAGGTTAGTGATTGCTGGGGCTGAAACTGGAAGCCAGGTTTGGCTGCAGATGGGCATGGGACAACTTTACGGATTGATGGAATACTAAAACTAGATTTTGGTAATGGTTACACAACCATAAAAATTTACTAAAAATAAACTGCACACTTGTAATAGGTAAATTTTGAGATGTGTAAATTTCATGTTGTAACTCCAATAAGGCTTTAAAAAATTTAAGTTACCTGCCCAAATGTACCTATCATGTAGCAGAAGCAGGATTAGACACAGGTGTGCCTGTCCTCAAAGCCTGAGCTCTGTTTACCCAGAGTTTTGGAAACTCCAGATCTATCATGAAAACCTAAGTCATTCTTAACCCGAGTCATCCTACTCAGGAATGACTTTTTTATTATAATTTTATTGTTTTTTATTTTATTGTATTTAAAAGAAATAGAGATTGTGGCTGGGCACGGTGGCTCATGCCTGCAATGCCAGCACTTGGGGAGGCCAAGGCAGGTGGATCAGTGGAGGCCAGAAATTCAATACCAGTCTAGCCAACATGGTGAAACCCCATCTCTATTAAAAATACAAAAATTAGCTGATTGGCCTGGGAGGCAGAGGTTGTAGTGAGCTGAAATCACCCCACAGCACTCCAGCCTGGGTGACAGAGTGAGACCCTGTCTCAAAAAAAAAAAAAAAAAAAGGAAAGAAAAAGAAAGAGGGAGAGCAAGAAAGAAAGAGAGAGAGAGAAAGAAAGAAAAGAAAAAAAAAGGAAAGAGGGAGGGGGAGAGAGAGAGAAAGAGAGAGGGAGAGAGAGAGAGAGATTGGGTCTCGCTATGTTAACCAGGTTGGTCCCCAACTCCTGGCCTCAAGTGATCCTCATCTCATTGGGATCCTCCCTCCCAATCCCAACGTGTTAGGATTACAGGTGTAAGCCACTGCACCTGGCCTAGGAAGGACTTTTTGGGAGGGATTCTATCATCTCACTTGGATCTGGGAATACAGGTATGAGCCACCATGCCCAGCCTGAGAACAATACAATTATTCTTTTCTAGCTATTTTGAAATATATGATAAAATATTGTCAACTATAATTTCCCTATTGTATTTTCAAATACTAGAACTTCTATCTAACTGTATTTTTTTGACAATTAACTAATTTCTCTTTGTCTTCGCCCTCCCCAGTTTCCCTTCCCAGACTCTGATAACGACCATTCTATTCTCTATCTCCATGGTATCTACTATTTTACCTCCCATATGTAAGTGAGAATATGTAATATTTGTCTTTCTGTCCCTGGATCATTTCACTTAGCATAATGTCCTCCAGCTCCATCTATGTTGTTGCACATGACAGGATCTCATTCTTCTTTATGGCTGAATAGTACTCGATTGTGTATGTGTACTGCATTTTCTTTATCCATTCATCCATTGATGGACACTTAGGTTGATTCCCTATCTTGGCTATTGTGAATAGTGCCGCAGTAAACATGAGAGTGCAGATATCTCTCCAATATACTGATTCCTTTCTAGGGATGTATACCTCGCAGTGGGGATTGCTGGATCATATGGTAGTTCTACTGATAAACACACTTAAAACAATTTCAATACCTGCCAGGTGCGATGGCTCATGCCTGTAATCCCAGCACTTTGGGAGGCCAAGGCAGG
This sequence comes from Homo sapiens, assembly GCF_000001405.40. Taxonomy (NCBI): domain Eukaryota; kingdom Metazoa; phylum Chordata; class Mammalia; order Primates; family Hominidae; genus Homo; species Homo sapiens. Next base: position 65,222,060 of record NC_000002.12, on the reverse strand, counting down.
TGGGTCACCTGAGGTCAGGAGTACGAGACCAGCCTGGTCAACATGGTGAAACTCTATCTCTGCTAAAAATACAAAAATTAGCTTGGTGTGGTGGCACGTGCCTGTAATCCTAGCTACTCCAGAGGCTGAGGCAGGAGAATCGCTTGAACCAGGAGACAGATGTTGTAGTGAGCTGAGATGGTGCCACTGCACTCCAGTCTGGGTGACAGAGTGAGACTCTGTCTCCAAAAAAAAAAGAGATAATAAAACAATTACAATGCCTTTATTATAACTAACAAAATTTACAGTAATTTCTTATTGGCTAATAGCCCATATCCAGTTTTTCCTAATTGTCTCAAAAATGTTCTAAACAATGTCCAAAAATTACATTTGTTTGATATGTCTATTTTATTTTATCTTATTTTATTTTATTTTTGAGATAGAGTCTTGCTCTGTCACCCAGGCTGGAGTGCAGTGGCGCTATCTCGGCTCACTACAATCTCCACCTCGCAGGTTCAAGCAATTCTGCTGCGTCAGCCTCCTCAATAGCTGAGAGTACAGGCGCATGCCACCACACTCAGCTAATTTCTGTAGTTTTAGTAGAAATGGGTTTTCACCACATTGGCCAGGCTCTTGACCTCAGGTGATCCACCCGCCTTGGCCTCCCAAAGTGCTGGGATTATAGGCATGAGCCACTGCTCCCAGCCGATATGTCTATTTTAGTTTACAAAATGGTGCGGCCACTTTGGAAAGCAGTCTTGCAGTTCCCCAAAAGGTTTAATATAGAGTTACCATATGACTCAGTAATTTTACTCCTAGGTATACACCCAAGATAAATGAAAAAAGTTTTTTTTAAATCATATTCTAAACAAGATTCACAAATTGCATTTGCTTGATATTTGTATTTTAGTTTATAACACTTTCTTCTCTCTCTCTCTGTCTCTTCCTGAGACAGGGTCTCTCTCTGTTGCTTAGGCAGGAGTGCAGTGGCATGATCATAACTCACTGTAACGTTGAACTAGACTCAAGCAATCCTCCCGCCTCAGCCTCCTGAATACTAGGACTACCGGCATGTACCACCATACCCAGCTAATCTTTAAAAATTATTTTGGAGAGATGGTGTCTTGCTGTGTTGCCCAGGCTGGTCTTAACTCCTGGCCTCAAGTGATCTCCCCACTCAGCCTCCCAAAATGTTGGGATTACAAGCATGAGCCACCACACCTAGCCCCTCTCTTTTTTTATGCCTTTTTTTTTGTCTGAAGCCTGGGTCATTTGGCCTGTAGGATTTCTCATGTTCTGGATTTGGCTGACTGTTCCCATAGTGTATTGTTCTTGTTCCTCTAACCTCCATATTTTTTATAAACTAGTAGTTAGATCTAGAAACTTGATTAGGTTTAGGTTCAGTTATTTTGGCAAGATTATTCATAGGCAGCAGCATGTACTTCTCATTGCATCACATTTGGAGGAATGTGATGTCTGGGTGTCCCACATTTAGTGATGTTAAAATTATTCAGTGGGTTCTGGTGTTATCACATGATCTATCACAGAGTTCCCACTGAACCTGTCACCTAATAGTTTTAGCAGCCATTAATAATTGCTGCCTTATTGGACCAGGTAACATGACTAAGTGCAGTTTGCCTAACTCATAACTTTTTATTTCCAAAAACTTATAGGTTTTGACCTTATTAGCCATTCCAGTTGCTTTCAAATAGAAGAATTATAGTTTTGAAGCTAGTTGATGATTTTTTAAAATAAAAAAAACTCTTAGGCACTTCTTGTGTACAATATAAACTATAATTTTAGTAGACATTTTAGTTGTGATATTCGTTATTCTTTTTCTTATTTTTTTTTTTTTTTTTTTTTTTGAGATGGAGTCTTGCCCTGTTACCCAGGCTGGAGCGCAGTGGCATCATCTCGGCTCACTGCAATCTCCATCTCCTGGGTTCAAGCGATTCTCCTGCCTCAGCCTCCTGAGTAGCTAGGATTACAGGCATGTGCTACCATGCCCAGCTAATTTTTTGTATTTTTAGTAAAGATGGGTTTCACCATGTTAGCTAGGCTGGTCTCGATCTCCTGACCTCGTGATCCACCCACCTCAGTCTCCCAAAGTGCTGGGATTACAGGCATGAGCCACTACGCCCAGCCTTGTTTGTTTTTTTGTTTGTTTGTTAATGAAAGTCTCGCTCTGTCAGCCAGGCTGGAGTGAGCAGCCTGATCTCAGCTGACTACAACCTCCACCTACCAGGCTCAAGCAGTTTTCCTGCCTCAGCCTTCCAAGTAGCTGGGACTACAGGTGTGTGCCACCACATACAGCTAATTTTTGTATTTGTAGTAGAGATGGGGTTTCACCATGTTGGCCAGGCTGGTCTCAAACTCCTGGTCTCAAGGGATCCTCCTACCTCAGCTTCCCAAAGTGCTAGGATTATAGGTGTGAGCCCTGCGCCTGGCCCCTCATTCTTTTATCTCTCTCTCACCTCACATCATCTACAGAAACTAACTCAAAATGGATCAAAGACCTAAATATAAGAGCTAAAATCATAAACATAGAAGGGATAGGTATAAATGTTTATGACTTCAGATTAGGCAATAGATTTTTAGATATAACATCAAGGGTACAACAACAAAAGAAAAAATAGATAAATTGGACTTCATCAAAATTTAAAATGTGTGCACTACAAATGACTCCATCAAGACAGTGAAAAGACAACTCACAGAAAGATAGAAAATATCAGCAAATCATATATCCTATAAGGGACGTGTATGTAGAATATACAAAGAACTTTTACAACTCAGTGAACAAAACAACCAAAAAACAAAACAAAATAGCCAGGCACAGTGGCTGGCATCTATAATCCCAGCTACTCGGGAGGCTAAGTTGGGAGCATCACTTGAGCCCAGGAGTTTGAGGCTGCAATGAGCCATTATCACACCACTGCTGTACTCCAGTCTGGGTGACAGAGTGACATCCCAACTCTAAAAATAAAAAAAAAAAACAAAGAACCAAAATTTTAAAATGGGCCAAACCATTTGAGCAGACATTTGGCCAAAGAAGATATAAAAATGGCCGATAAGTACACGAATCATTAGCCATCAGGTAAATGCAAATCAAAATAGCAAGATTACATTTCATACCCACTAGGTTGGCTATCATCAAAAGGACAGTAAATGTTTTTTGTGTTTTTTTTTTTTTTTTTTTTTTTTTTGAGACGGAGTCTCACTCTGTCGCCCAGGCTGGAGTGCAGTGGCGCGATGTCGGCTCACTGCAAGCTCCGCCTCCCGGATTCACGCCATCCTCCTGCCTCAGCCTCCCGAGTAGCTGGGACTACAGGCGCCCGCCACCACGCCTGGCTAATTTCTTTTTTTGTATTTTTGGTAGAGACGGAGTTTCACCATGTTAGCCAGTATGGTCTCGATCTCCTGGCCTCGTGATCCGCCCGCCTCGGCCTCCCAAAGTGCTGGGATTACAGGCGTGAGCCACCGCGCCCAGCCAAAGGACAGTAAATGTTAATGAGGGTGTGGAGAAACTGGAACCCTCATGCATTGCTGGTGGAAATGCAAAATGGTGCAGCCACTTTGGAAAGCAGTCTGGCAGTTCCCCGAAAGGTTTAACATAGATTTACCATATGACTCAATAATTTTACTCCTAGGTATATACCCAAGGGAAATGAAAACATGTGTCCATACGAAAACTTGCACACAAAGATTCATAGCAACATTAATCATAATACCCAAAAAGTGGAAACAACCCAAATGTCCATTACCTGGTGCGGGGATAAAATGTGGTGCTCATATATCCATATAATAGACTATCTTTGGCCATAAAAGGGAATGAAATACTGATACATGCCACAGCATGGATGAACCTCCAAAACAACATGTGCTGAGGGAAAGAAGCTGGTTGCAAGAGGCCACATATTGTATGATTCAATTTTATATTAAGTTTCCAGAATAGGCAAATCTATAAAGACAGAAAATAGACTAGTGGTTGCTTGAACTGGGTGGGAGGTGGGGGAGCAGGTGGCAGAGAAATGGGGAGTGACTGCTAACAGGTATGAAATTTCATTTTGTGATAATGAAAATGTTCTAAAATTGATTGTGGTGATGGTTGCACAAATTTACCATTGAATTATACACTTCAAATGAGTGAATTATATGATATGTTGATTGTATCTCAATAAAGCTATTAATGTTATTTCAGGAAAAGAAATTTGGGGATGAAAGTTAAAGCACTTCATTCAGGGATACGCTGCTCCGCTGTTAGGACTAGAACTTGATTGATTGATTTTGTCAGTACTTTTTCCAATCCAAAAGTTATCTTTCATATCAAATACTCTGATTTTGTGACTGAACTAACTCCAAATCCTAAATGCTGAGTCTTGCTTCACCAAATAAAGCTGAGATTTTTAGAGAGAAAAAAATATTCTCTTTAAGCCAGTTGAAGTGATGATCCAACTCTGACAAGGACAGTCACAGAGGCCTTTTTAGTGGTGGCACAATATAGAGGCTAAGAGCTAAGAATCCAGCATCATATCGAAGACTTGAATTTAAAACCTGGACCCCCTACTTCTTAGCTCTCTCCTTGAGGAAATTGCTTAATCTCTTACATGGATTGTCTCATTTGATACTCCCATTGGTCCTGAAATGCAGATATTACTATTCCCCTCCGGTTTTTTTGTTTGTTCGTTTGTGTTTTTTTATTTATTTTTTTAAACAAATGAGAAAACTAAAGCTCAGCAAATTTAAGTAACTGGTCAAGTTCACACTTCCATAAACAGTAAAACTGCTGTTCATAGCTTTGTCTACTTACCTCCAAAACTATGCATCCTAATCAATTATAAACCATAATCATCCCAATTTATCAATTTAGAATGGAAGACATTCCATTTATTTATTTATTTATTTATTTATTTCAGACAGTCTGGCTCTGTCACCCAGGCTGGAGTGCAGTGGTGAAATCTCGGCTCACTGCAACCTCTGCCTCCTAGGCTGAGACAATCCTTCCACTTCAGCCAGTAGCTGGGACTACAGGCAGGCACCACCAAGGCCCAGCTAATTTTTGTTTGTTTTTTTGTTTTGTTTTTTGTTGTTGTAGATACAGGGTTTCACCATGTTGGCCAGGCTGGTCTTGAACTCCTAAGTTCAAGCAATCCTCCGTCCTCGGCCTCCCAAAGTGCTGGGATTACAGATGTGAGCCACCACGCCTGGCCCATACCTTTTATTAACCAACAGATGTGAGCCATCTCTTCAGAAGCCTCATTTTCTGGTTTTAAAACGCTTGAAAGTTGAATTCGTAATCAGAAAATTGATAGGCAAGTGTGGTATCTGAACAGAGAGGCTGGAACTATTCCATGCAGATAGAGAGAGAATCTCCCTCCCTTCCTAACACCAGTAGGGTTCTGACCCAACCAGATGTTATTAGTCAACAAATATGTACAGAACACCCACGGTATGCCAGGCTCCATTCTAGGACCTGGGCATGGTTTTTGCCTTTATGAAGCTTACATTCTTGTTGGGAGAGACATATTGAACAAGCAAACTTAAAAAATGTGATAAATTCAGATAATGAGAAGTGCTATAAGGAAAAATAATTAAAAGTGACTTAGAATGGGGAACACCGCTCTAAGGAGGTAGCACACAACCTGAACCTTTTATCATTGTTAGATTCAGCTGTGAGCGACAGAAGACCCTGGTAACAGTGTCTTAGAACATCGATGTTTATTTCTCTGCCACCTAAATGAAGTTGGTAGGTAAACATTCTAGGGCCGAATGACACTCCACAGCAACAGGGATCTGGCCTCCTGTCCTTATGGCTTTGCCATCTTCATCATACAGCTTCTGCTTCATAGTATATAATGGTTGTTTTTGCTACCCTTATCATTTTTACATCTCAGCCAGTAAGAAAGAGGAAGGGGTGGGGTTTGGGACATGGAGATGATGAAGTGCAAGCTTCTTCCTTTTAGGGACTGTTTCTGGAAGCTCCATATTTTATAGTGTTTCTAGTTCCATCTCACTAGCTAGAACTTCGCTAGTCCTATTTACCTGTCAGAGAGGCTGGAAAATGTAGTCTTTGTTCTGGATAGCCATGTGCCGAGATAATAATTAGGAGTTTTATTTCCAAGAAAGAGGGAAGGATGGATATTGGGGGACAACTAGTGATCTTTGCTTTGAAGAAAAGAAAGACAGAGTGAAATAAAAAAAATTAGTTTAGTGTGTTCATTCAAGGAATAGAAGAAGGCCCGTGGGACTAGAGTATACTAAGTAAAGGGAAGAATGGTAGATGGAGGGCTTTGTAAACCATAATAACATTAGCTTCTAGTCCAGTAAGAGTGGCATACCTTTGGCAGGTTTTGTTTTAAAACTAGACTTTGAGAAATAATGACATCTGGTCAAGCATGACACATTTTCTCCACTCTTTCCTTGATTCCAACAAAGTGACAGCTAAGGTTTTGGGTTTTTTAAAAAAACAAAACCCACAAGAAGACAAAAAGACATGGAAAAGAGAGAAAAGAAGATGATCAGCAAATATAAACTGGAGAGCAGATGAAGGAATGACAATTAACTAAGAAAACTTTAGAAGGCTGAAAACTTAATGCCTGAGGTGAAAATGGAGGGAAAAAAAGCAAGCCTGTTCATGAAGCAGAATCCCGAAAAGGACCTGGTTGAAAATATGTCCAAATCAGTTGGACTCTTAAATAACCTCCTTCAGCCCTTGCAGCCAATGACCCACTCCTCTGTAATGGAGTAGAGCAGTTTTACTCTCAGGTTAGTTGAAGAAAAAGGCAGTCTATTCTCAGGGACAAGCATATCTGAGGATGAGAGCCTTATTAGAAACAGGGAGGTAATGAGAAGTCTATATCCAAAGGGTGAGAAACCTAATCTCCTTCCCAATAAGCCGGTAGTCAATTTTCCACTTCCACCCTACCTCATTCATCTTTCTCTTTTGGTGAAGAAAAAAAAAAAAAAACACCTATTCAGAGACAATATCAGCAGATACTGACAGCTGGTGGTCCCCTAACAAAAGTAGTCAAACCCCTGCTGACAGTGAAACCCACTAGTCAGCGAGACTCAGCATTTCAACACACAGCTTCCAATCAGTGGGGCTTTTTTGGTTTTGTTTTATTTTTAGTGTTTTATTTATTTATTTATTTTCTTTCTTTCTTTTCTTTCTTTCCTTCTTTAGAGACAGAGTCTTGATCTGTCAGCCAGGCTGGAGTGCAGTGGCTCAATCAGAGCTCACTGCAGTTTTGAACTCCTGGCCTCAAGTAATCCTGCCACCTCGGTCTCCCAATGTGCTGGGATTATGGGCATGACAGCCTAAACTCATCAGACCAATATCAGAATATTATTTCTAGAAAGAAAGAGCAGAAAGCAGAGATAAAAAATTATTTGAGAAAAATAAAATATTATTTTCAAGAGTCTAGAAACAATTTTCTAGATATGCTGCCTTCCTCAGATAGTTACTGAAGGGAAGTGGGGGAGTTACTCAAGAAATATGAAATCAGAGGAACTAGGAGGCCAGGGATCCAATACAGGAGGGAGACAAGAATTCCATGAATGCTGATGGAACAAAAATCCCAAGGAAGGAAATCAACCTCTCTCTCTCTTTCTCTCTCTCTCTCTCTCACTCACACACACAATAGATTTTCTGATGTATTTTAAAACTTCGAGAAATATATACTTGTAGTTTGGTGATGAATTAGTGATAGCAAGAACAAAGAAAAACTAAGGGCCGGGCACAGTGGCTCACACCTATAATCCCAGCACTTTGGGAGGCCGAGGCAGGCAGATCACCTGACATCAGGAGTTCAAGACCAGCCTGGCAAACATGGTGAAACCTTGTTTCTACTAAAAAAGAAAATCCAAAAAATTAGCTGAGCATGGTGATGCACGCCTATAATCCCAGCTACTCGGGAGGCTGAGGCAGGAGAATCTCTTGAACCTGGGAGGCGGAGGTTGCAGTGAGTTGAGATCGCGCCACTGCACTCAAGCTCAGGCAACAAGAGTGAAACTCCATCTCAAAAAAAAGAAAAGAAAAAAAGAAAAACTAAGGGAAAAATGATTAAGTCTATGAAATGATTAAGTCTAGGAAAAAATTTTAAAACTATAGGCCGTGCGTGTGGCTCACACCTGTAATCCCAGCACACTGGGAGGCCGAGGCAGGCAGATCACTGGAGGTCAGGAGTTCGAGACGAGCCAAAATGGTGAAACCCTGTCTCTACTAAAAATACAAAAATTAGCTGGGCATGGTGGCACGCGCCTGTAATCCCAGCTACTCAGGAGGCTGAGGCAGGAGAAGCGCTTGAACCCGGGAAGCAGAGTTTGCCGTGAGCCGAGATCCCACCACTGCATTCCAGTCTGGGTGACAGAGTGAGATTCCGTGTCAAAAATAAATAAATAAATAAATACAATTGTAATACCAAGGAAATGTCATCTTATGGACTATATGACTCAGTATGAATGTAAATATTGAATACTGGTCTAATCCGATATGATATATTGGTGTTCGGATGATAAGGGGAAAGGAAATGTGTATTGGGGAGGTATCCTAAGATAATTAAATGATCTCCCACAGTAGATGGTTAATAGAAGATGTCTACACTGAAAAAGATCAAGAAATAGTCAAATAAGGATGTTTAGAAATAGAGAGTTAAATATCAGAAGAAACAACTAAAGGAGTTAAAGTTTTTGCCTTATGGGAGCAGAAATTAGGAGTAGAGAGAATAAGAAATTAGGAGTAGAGGGAATAAGGCAGGGGTCTGATGCTCATCTTTCTAAATCTTGTTAAACCATTTAACTTTCTAACACGTGCGTGTGTGTATGTGTGTGTGTGTGTGCGCGCGCACGCGTATGCATACGTATTTGTAGGTAGGTAGGTTGTGGATGGAATACTCAGTACTAAATAAACAGTGGTAGATTTTTTGCTTTTTGTTTCTCCTTTTGTCAAGGCTCTATTACCTTACACACTATAAATTGCAAGATGATAGTGTATCCTGTTTAATTAAATGTTAAGCCTAGAGCTCCCTTGGGCTTCTGGATAAAATACGGAAGACACTCTACTATAAATTCATCAACAGCACTTTTACAAACCTTTGCAACATTTTAATACATGTTGCTACCAAAACTCAGGCACTTACTGTTGATTCTTTTAGGCTTTTGCTTCCAAGTTTAATTTTTTTGTCCTTGAGGCCTGCTGACCCAATGTGCTGTCCAACAAGTGAACAATGAAGCTCCTGTTGTTTAAGTTTTATTGTAAGTTGTATAATAGGTCTACACTGTAATTAAATGTCTATCACTTCTATAAATATAAACATATATGCAATAAAACACATAGATGATAAAACTTATGCCTATAGGATCTATTACACAATGATGTATCATTTTTATTGCTCTCAGAGTTTGACTTCTAGTAGCTGACTTTTCAATAAATGTCCAGTGCCCCTAGTTTTAAAAATAAATAAATTTGAGTTTCTCTTTTCATGTGATTTTAAGGAAAAAAAAAAGCTTGACAACAGTATTCAACATCAAAATGTGAACTTCTGACCTCCACATGATCTGTCATCACCAAAAGAAAAGTAAATGATCACAGCAATTGCAAATGTTTAAACTTAAGAATCATTTGGACTATCTAGATAAGATGTGTAAAATGTGATTAAATTCAGAATTTATAAATCTTTAACCTAAATAAGATATGCTATAGTCTCAATTTTGTGATTAAAATCTGATATAATAGTTTGCAATTGAAAAGAGAACAGTCTGGGTGTGGTGGCTCATACCTGTAATCCCAGCTCTTAGGGAGGCAGAGGTGGGAGGATAGCTTAAGCCCAGGAGTTCAAGACCTGCCTGGGCAATATATCAAGACACCGTTTAAGAAAAAAAAAAAATGAAAAGAGAACAGACCAGGCATGGTGGCTCACACCTGTAATCCCAGTACTTTAGGAGGTCGAGGTGGGCGGATCACCTGAGCCCAGGAGCTTGAGACCACCCTGGCCAACACGGCAAAACGCTGTCTCTATTAAAAATACAAAGATTAGCTAGGCATAATGGTGCACACCTGTGGTCTCAGCTACTTAGGTGGCTGAGGCGCGAGAATCGCTTGAGCCTGGGAGGTGGAGGTTGCAGTGAGCCCAGCTCACACCACTGCACTCCATCCTGGGCGACACAGTGAGACTCTAGCTCAAAAAAAAAAAAAAGAAAGAAAGAGAACAAACAGAAGACTTGTGTGTTCAGTGATAAATTTACATCTCTAATGAAAAATTAAAAAGGAATATATTCCATGGCCAAGTCCCCCAAAGGCAGTGTACCTGGAACAGAATGAGCTTTTTTTCACAAGCTGTTTCAGGCCTTGAAGCTTAACAAACAAGTCTAAAATAAAAAATATGTGTATTTATGGAAATAAAAATAGAGCCTAGTAAAACTAAGCTCAGATCCTGCCTCTTTCATTGGCTTGGAAGCCTAAGGTCTATGTTGTCAACCTCCCTGGGGGATTACTTCTTTTTCTTTAATTGATACATAATAATTGTACATATTCATGGATACAATGATATTTTGATGCATACATGCAATACATAATGATGACATCAGGGTAATTGGGATATCCATCACCTCAAACATTTATCAGTTCTGTTTTTTTTTTTTTTTTTTTTTTTTTTGGAGATGGAGTTTTGCTTTTGTTGCCCAGGCTGGAGTGCAATGGCTTGATCTCAGCTCACTGCAACTTCTGCCTCCCGGGTTCAAGATATTCTCCTGCCTCAACCTCCCGAGTAGCTGGGATTATAGGCATCCACCACCACGCCCGACTAATTTTTGTATTCTTAGTAGAGACAGGGTTTCACCACGTTGTGCAAGCTGGTCTCAAACTCCTGACCTCAGGTGATCTGCCCGCCTCGGCCTCCCAAAGTGCTGGGATTGCAGGCCTGAGCAACCACGCCCGGCCAAGTTTGTTCTCTTTTTAACATATAGAGCATTTTAGATGTACCATGAGTCCCTTTTTCTTCCCAGTATCACTCCCAGTTTCCTCTCACTTTCCCAAGAAGTAGTATTGCCTTAAGTCATGATGAGTTCTTAGAGACCATTTAAAAAAACACTCATTAGATGCACATGAAAAGAGGTTCAACACCATGAGCCATTATGGAAATGCAAATTAAAACCACAATGAGGCCGGGCATGGTGGCTCACACCTTTAATCCCGGCACTTCAGGAGGCCAAGGCAGAAAAATCATTTGCGCCCAGGAGTTGGAGACCAGCCCAGACAACGTAGTGAGGACCCCATCTCTACAAAAAATAAAAAATTAGCCGGGAATGGTGGCTCACACCTGTGATCCCAGCTACTTGGGGGGCTGAGGTGGGAGGATCATTTGAGCCCAGGAGTTTGAAACCAACATGGGCAACATAGTGAGACCTCATCTCTACAAAAAAATTAAATATTAGTTGGACGTGGTGGTATGCACCTGTAGTCCCAGCTTCTCGGGAGGCTGAGGTGGGAGGATCACTTGAGCACAGGAGATTGAGGCTGCAGTGAGCTGTAAGGTGCACTCTAGCCTGGACAATGGAGCAAGACTCTGTCTCCAAAACAAACAAAAAAATGAACAAAACCACAACGATATACCATTACATACCTATTAAAATATTAGAATAACTAAAATTTTTAAAAATAATGCCAAATGCTATTGAAATACCAAATACAGAAACTGTATTTCTCATATATTTCTGGTCAGCCTATGAAACGATACACTCAGGGTGGAAAATACCATTTCTTATAAAACTAAACACTTACCATACAACTCAGCAACTGTACAACTGATGTGCACTTACCATACAACCCAGCAACTGTACAATTGGGCATTTACCCCAGAGAAATGAAAACATTTATTCACATGGAAATGTATGCATGAATGTTCATAACAGTTCTATTTGCAATAACCAAAAACTGGAAACAACCAGTTTTTGTCCTTCAATGAATGAATGGTTAAACAAAATGTGATACACTCATCCCATGGAGTACTATACAGCAATAAAAAGAAAGAAATTATTGATACACACAACTTGAATAGATCCCAAAGTAATTATGCTAAATTTTTTAAAAACTCATTCTTAGAAAGTTACATACTGACATACTGTATACTTCCATTTCTATAACATTCTTGAAGTGACACAATTATAGAGATGGAGAACAAATTAGTGGTTGCCAGGCATTAGGATGTGGGAGGCAGGGAGTGGGATGGATATGACTATAAACAGGTAGCATGAGGGATCTTTGCAATGATGAAGCAGTTCTGTATCTTGACTGTGGTGGTGGTTACATATATGATAAAATTGCATAGAAGTACACACACAAATGAGTGCATATAAAACATGAAATTTGAGGTTGTGGATTATATCAATGTCAATTTAATAGTTTTGATATTGAACTGTGCTTATGTAATATATTATCACTGGGGGAAACTGAATGAAGGGGACATGGGACCTCCCTGTACTATTTTTTGCAATTTCTGTTTATTTATAATTATTAAAAAGTTAAAAAGCCAAATTGAAAAGTATCCACTAAATGCATATATGTTCCTATATAAAATTCATACTATTGATTGCTGTATGTGTCTTTTCTATAGGTAGTATCATCCCAAAAGTGTCATTCTGCAAACTTGCCTGCTCACTCAACATTCCAATTTTGAGATCCATCCAAACTAATACATAGAGAACTAGTTCCTCTAATACTGCATAGGATTCTATTATATTAATATGTCACATTTTATTTATCCCTTCCCCAACTTACGAACATTTCGATTTTTTTTACTGTTATAAAGCTTGCTGCAATGAATATCCTTGTATGTGACTTGTGCACATACAAGTTTTTCTAGTGTAGTATTTCTTAGACCTAGAAGTAATAAAAATACTAGCTGTCAATATTTCCTGAGCACTGACTGTAATATTACTATGATTGGTGAGAAAACCGAGAAGTTAGCTTACTTGCCAAAGGTCACATAGCTAGTCAAACCTATCATGTCCAGCTCCAGCATCTGCATTATTATCCACTGCAGCACATGGTTGCCTCCAGCAGTCGGATAAAAAACTGTTTCATTGGCCGGATGTAGAGGCTCACGCCTGTAATCCCAGCACTTTGGGAGGCTGAGGTGGGCAGATCACTTGAGGTTGGTAGTTCCAGACCAGCCTGGCCAACATGACGAAACCACATCTCTACTAAAAGTACAAAAAGAAAAGAAAAAAAAAAAAAAGCTGGACATGGTGGCAAGTGCTTGTAATTCCAGCCACTCAGGAAACTGAGGCAGGAGAATCGTTTGATCCCGGGAGGCAGAAGTTGCAGTGAGCGAGGCCACACCACTGGGCGATAGAGCAAGACGCAAGACTCTCCAAAAAACAAAAACAAAAACCTGTTTCACCACCTGCAAAGGATATACTAGAAAAGTGCAGTGAAGCATTACCTTTAACCAATTATATCATACAGTTTTCTTTTCTTTTTTTTTTTTTTTTTTTTTTTTTTGAGACGGAGTCTCACTCTGTTGCCCAGGCTGGAGTGCAGTGGTGCATTCTCGGCTCACTGCAAGCTCTGCCTCCCGGGTTCACGCCATTCTCCTGCCTCAGCCTCCTGAGTAGCTGGGACTACAGGCGCCCGCCACCAAGCCCAGCTAATTTTTGTATTTTTAGTAGAGGTGGGGTTTCACCTTGTTAGTCAGGATGGTCTCGATCTCCTGACCTCGTGATCCGCCTGCCTCGGCCTCCCAAAGTGCTGGGATTACAGGCATGAGCCACCGCACCTGGCTCATACAGTTTTCTTATTTTGAACTCATGTTCAGTTAAAATTTTCTGGTCTCTTTCCCGAATGCTTATCCAGGTGTCTTCAATTTTACTTTGCGATTTAATGTTTAAACCTAAAACAGTCTTTTAAAATCTTATTCTGGTTAATTTAGTCTTCTTGATTTGAGACTAATTCCGGCATGTTGAGATAAATATTTATTTTAAACACAAGAGTTTTCAGAGCATTACCTATAAAGTATTCCTGCCAAAAATGTTGAACCAGAATAAATTGGATTTTTAGAGGTAACTTCCATTTAGAGGAAATAAAAAGGGTAGAGGAATAAGTTAAATGATACCACAGGGAAGCAAATACACACATCCATAATGCATAATATTCTGTACAACGGTTAACACAGTTTTTGCAACAAATCGTTGACAGGATTAATGTGTGTGCGTGCATGTGTGTGTGTGCACTCAGGTGCGCATGTGTGTGTCGACGGGGAGGGGGAATCTTCTCTAAATGGAAAGAAATCTAAGAAACAAAACAACCAATTGTAATAATATAGACCTTTTTTGTACCTGAATTTGAATAAACCAACTAAAAAAAAGATATTTAGAGACAATTTTGAAAGTAGGATTATGTGGATTAGATGGTATTAGAAGATGCCAAGGGATTATTGTTAATTTAGGTAAGTACTATAAAGGCATTGTGGTAATGACAGAAAATATCCATTAAAAAAAAAAGATTCTTACCAAGTACTTGTAGGTGAAATGATATGATGTCTGGAATTTGCTTTAAAATACTTCAGGAAAAAAAGGATAGATTCAGCAAATGGGGCAAAATCTCGATGATGATTGAATCTGGGATATAAATATATAGGAGTGCATCCTACTCTTCTCTAGGTATATTTTTAATACGTTTAATAAGTTTTATAATAAAATGTAAGGTGTTTTATTATAAAAGTAACAGAAAACATGTCATGGGGAGAGTTTAGAAGCTCAGAAAAGTAAGAGAAAAAAATAGACTTTATAACCCCCTACCTACTACCGACTGTTAAAGTTTAGATACATTTTCTTCTAATATTTTTCTTTTTCTTCTTCTTCTTCGTTTTTTTTTTTTTTTTTTTTTGACACAGGGTCTTGCTGTGTTGCCTAGGCTGGGGTGCAGTGGCACGATCTCAGCTTACTTCAACTTCCGCCTCCCAGGTTCAAGCGATTCTCCTGCCTCAACCTCCCGAGTAGCTGGTATTACAGGTGCGCACGACCACACCCGGCTAATTTTTGTATTTTTAGTACAGACAGGGTTTTGCCACGTTGGCCAGGCTGGTTTCAAACTCCTGACCTCAAGTGATCTGCCTGCCTTGGCCTCTCAAAGTGCTGGGATTATAGGCATGAGCCACCGCACCCGGCAACATTTTCTTCTAGTATTTTTCTATGTCTCTTCTGATTTGATTTTCATAATTGAGATGAAATTATATAATTTCGTGTCTCATTTTTCCATTTACATACATAAGCATTTTAAAATATTATCATGAATTTTCTTAAGCATCATACTTAATGATGAACATAGTACTGTAAAGTACCCAAGTTAAAATAATTTTTTCTTTTACCTTAAAAATATGTTATTGAGGAATAATTTGCAAAGACTATACTGCATCTATTTAAAGTATGCAATTTTATTAATTTTGACAATGGTGATCTTATCTTTTTTTTAAAGACAGGGTCTCCCTCTGTTGCCCAGGCTGCAGTGCAGTGGCACAGTTATAGCTCACTGCAGCCTCAAGCTCCTAGGCTCAAGTGATCCTCCCATCTCAGCCTCCCAAGTAGCTGGGACTACAGGTGTGTGCCACCATGCCTGGCTATTTTTAGTTTTTTTTTATTTTTGTAGAGATTGAGTCTCACTATGTTACCCAGGCTGGTCTTGATCCTCCCGCCTCGGCCTCCCAAAGTGCTGGGATTACAAGTGTGAGTGACCACACCCAGCTGGTATTCCTGTCTTGAGGTTTATTTTATCTTATGTTAATATAAAAACTTCAGCTTTCTTAGACTTTTTTTTTTCATAAAGGTCTATTTCATTATTGGTGGGTAGCGCATTTAACAGTTAAATACATTTAAATAATGTATAGGTGACTGCAGGACTGCAGCATTGGTAACTAGATAACCAATTCAACTAGAAACCAGCTAACAAAGAACTGTCTAAATACTTAAAATACAGCTCTTGTTGAGATCATCCTTTGTTTTGATCATCTTCTTGGGGGAAAAAAGCCTGCTGCTGGTCACAATGGAAATATATTAAGGCCAAATCTTCTGATATCCATTCCCAAAGGTTTCTTTCAGCTGGATTAAGCCTCCAACTCCAGGGCGAGCCCAACCTTGTGGCCTCCAGCATTAATGCTCTTCCCGTCTACCAGAGCAGAGAGTGTAAGCTTCACACCAGGCCTCAGAGTCTGAGTATAGCCTACTCCAATTAAGCTAGAGTTGTTGACTTTTGCAGAAATGGAAGCAGTGGGATCCAACTGATATTTAGCTGCAATGCCAAAACGAGTGCAGTTGGTACCTGATGTCCAAGCAAGGTTTACTGAAGTGTCAAGATCTTCACAAACTTTCTGATAAATTGATCCTCCAAATTCTGTCCCATCATTGACATTAGTGTGTAGCTGGAAGTCCCCAGTCCTGTAGCCCACTGCAAAGTTATTCCTTGTCAGCTTTGATTTGGCACTGTCAAAGGTCATCTGGTAGCCAGCAAGCCAGCCCTCATAACCAAAGACAGCTGAACCATGGATTGCAGGTCCAGCAAAATCAAAGTCAACATCACAACCAAGGTTTATACACTCCCTCTTGTAAGACTTGATTTTACCACTTTTCTTTCCTGTGTTTGGTGAGAAGGTAGTATCAAATGTCAGTTTCAAACCTTGACAAATCTGGTCTTCAATTGCGATTTCTGTTCCCAGAGTGTTATCAGTGTTCCACTTTTCTGTGAAAGTCAGACCATACTCACACCACTTGTATTTGGTCTCCAGGGTCCCAGTAACTTTACCAGTGTCTGTATTAGATGAACCGGACGTTGAAAATTCCACGCCACTGCAAGACTTTGTTTTCACATCCAGTTTCACCAACCCAAAACCAAATCCTTTGTTGAAAATATCTCTGGCAGCTTTGCCAAGGTCAGCATATGATGGAGGAATACACATTGGACGCGCGCAAGTCTGTCCGTGGGTCGCCATGGCGAGGCCGCGGGAAGAGGGGAATCTGGTGGTCTCCTGAGCGGGGCCGCCGCCACCGCTCCGCTAGCTGCTGAAGCCGCTTGGCACGCTCGCGGTCGGGCTGCAGCTGCAGCAGCTGGAGGGCGAAGTGAAGGGCTTTCTTAGACTTTTTGTTTACATGGTTTATTTTTTCTTCCATTTACAATCAACCTCTCTGTGCCATTTATTTATTTATAATTGACAAATAATAATTGTATATATTTATGGTGTACAACCTGATGTTTTGAAATATGTATACACTGTGGAATAGCTCAATCAAGCTAATTAGTGTATGTATTACCTCACATATTTATCATTTATTTGTGGTGACAGCACTTAAAATTTACTCTCTTAGCAATCGTCAAGCATACAATACATTTTATTAACCATGGTCACCATATGGTGCAATAGATCTCTTGAACTTATTCCTCTTGCCTAACTGATATTTTGCAACCTTTGACCAACCTCTCTTAATTTGCCTCTCATTCCCCCAGCCTCTGGTAACCACTATTCTACTCTGCTTCTGAGTTAAATTTTTTGAGATTTCACATATAAGTGAGATCATATGGTATTTGTTTGTAAAAGGAGTCTAACAAGCTATTGGCTTAATGAAATTACATTAAACTGGCTTAATCAAAATACAGAATTTGTTGACATGTGGCTGAAAGGTTTAGGAGTAGACCTCAAGCATGGTGTGACCAGGGACTCAAATAATGCTATTAAGACGCAGTCTCTCTTCTCCATCTCATGGCTACGTTTCCACTGTGTTGGTTTTATTTCAGGCAGGATTTACTTTGAGGTGGTAAGACGATGTCAGCAATTCTCCATCCTATATCATTCTAGGTTCTAAGTTACTTGAAGAGAAGTATTTTCCCATGACTCATTATGATTAGATAAGGCTCTAATCCATTTTGATTTGATTTTTGTATATGGTGAGAGATAGGTATCTAGTTTCATTCTTCTGCATATGTTCTTGGCACCTTTGTTGAAAATGAGTTAACTGTAGATGTATGGATTTATCTCCGGGTTCACTATTCTGTTTCATTTGTCAACATGTCTGTTTTTATGCCTTGCTGTTCTGATTACTACTGTTCTGTAATATAATTTTAAAAAATTTTTTTGAGACAGGGTGTCGCTATGTTGCCAAGGCTGGTTTCAAACTCCTGGGCTTATGCAATCCTCCTGCCTCGGCCTCCCAAAGTGTTGGGATTACAGGCATGAGCCACCATGCCTAGCTCTGTAATATAATTTTAAGTCAGGTAGAACAGAGGGGACAAGAGTGCAGGGGTTCACATGCAGAGTCAGAAAGGGAAAGAAGAAGCAAGAAATTCAGACTCCATGTGTTTGAGAGATCAAGAAAGACTAAAAGCCAGTCTGCAGCAAGCACTTTGGAGAGTGAATCTGAGTGGAGAGTAACGTGGAGTGTCAAGAGATGTGCAGAAAATCCAAAGAAGTCTGAGGACATTGTGTGCATCAAGAAAAGAAGAACCAGAAGTCACTGGGACAGTGATGATACTTAACGTAGAAATCTAAGTGGGAAAAATATAACAAAGTTAGTTTTGTGATTAAAAAAATTTTAAGTCAGGTAATGTGATTCCTCCAGTTTTGTTCTTTCTGCTCAGGCTGGCTTTGGCTATTCTGGGTCTTTTGTGGTTCCATATACATTTTAGGTTTTTCTTTTTTGTTTTTTGTTTTTTTTTCAATTTCCATGAAGAATGTCATTAGGATTTTGATAGGGATTGCATTGAATCTATAGATTGCTTTGGGCAGTATGGACATTTTAACAATATTGATTATTCCAATCCATGGACATGAAATATCTTTCAATTTTTTGTGTCCTCTTAAATATCTTTCTTTTTTTTTTTTTTTTTTCTTTGGAGACAGAATCTTGCTCTATCACCCAGCCTGGAGTGCAATGGCATGATCATAGATTACTGCAGCCTTATACTTGGAACTCCTGGGCTCAACTGATCCTGCCACCCCAGCCTCCCAAGTAACTAGGACTACAGCTGTACACCACCATGTCCAGCCAAATTTTAAAATCTTTTGTAGAGACAGTGTCTCACTATTTTGCCCAGGCTGGGAATTTATTTCACCAATGTTTTATAGTTTTCACTGTAGATATCTTTCACTTCTTTGGTTAAGTTTATTCCTAGTCATTTTATTTTGTTTGTAGCTATTGTAAATGCGATTCCTTTTTAAATTTTTTTTCAGATTGTTCACTGTTGGCATATAGAAATGCTACTGATTTTTGTATGTTTGATTTTGTATCCTGCAACTTTACTGAATTTATCAATTCTAATAATTTTTGATGGAGTCATTAGGTTTTTCCAAATATATGACTATATCACTCGCAAACAAGGATAATTCGACTTTTTTCTTTCCAATTTGGATGTTCTTTATTTCTTTCTCTATCTCATTGCTCTAGCTAGGACTTCCAGTACTATGTTAAATAACAGTGGTAAAAGTGGGCATCCTTGTCATGTTCCAGATCTCACAGGAAAGGCTTTCAGTTTTTCCTCATTCAGTATGATGCTAGCTGTGGGTCTATCATATATGGCTTTTATTGTGTCGATATATGGTCCTTCTATACCAAGTTTTTTGAGAGTTTTATCATGAAGAGATGTTGGATTTTATTGAATGCTTTTTCAGCATTAATTGAAATGATCATATGGCTTTTGTCTTTCATTCCGTTGGTAGATCACATTGATTGATTTGCATATGTTGAACCATCATTGCATCCCTTGGATAAATCCCACTTGGTCATGATGAATGATCTTTTTGTTACGTTGTTGAATTTGGTTTGCTAGTATTTTGTTGAGGATTTTTGCATCAATGTTTATCAGGAATATGGGTCAGTAGCTTTATTTTTTTGAGGCACCTTTGTCTGATTTTGGTATCAGGGTAATACTAACCTTGTAGAATGAGTTCAGAAGTATTCCCTCCTCCTCTATAATCTGAATAAGATTGAATCTGGAATAATCTGAATAAGATTGGTACTAGTTCTTCTTTACATATTTAGTAAAATTCAGCAGTGAAGCCATCGGGTCCTGCGCTTTTCTTTGCTGGGAGACTTTTTTTTATGGCTTTAATCTCATTACATGTTATTCATCTGTTCAGATTTTTTATTTCTTCATGGTTCAATCTTGCTAGGTTGTATGTGTCCAGGAATTTACCAATTTCTTCTAAATTTTCCAATTTATTGACATATAGATGCTCATAGTAACCGCTAATGATCCTTTGAAATTCTGTGGTATCAGTCTTAATGTCTCCTTTTTTATCTCAGATTTTATTTATTTGGGTCTTCTCTCTTTCTTAGTCACATTAACTGTCTGTCAGTTTTGTTTTTCTTTTCAAAAAATCAAGGTCTTATTTCATTGATCTTTTGTATTTTTCTCATTTCAATTTGATTTATTTCTGCTCTGATGTTAACTATTTCTTTTCATCTACTAATTTTGGGTTTTGTTTGCTCTTGCATTTCTACTTCTTTAAGATGCATTGTTAGGTTATTTGAAGTTTTTCTACTTTTTTGATGTAGGCACTTATTGCTGTAGGCTTTCCTTTTAGTACTGCTTTTGCTGTATCCCATAGATTTTGGTATCTTGTGTTTCTATTTTCATTTGTTTTAATAACTTTTTAAATTTCTTTATTAATTTCTTCATTGACTCACTGGTCATTCAGGAGCATATTATTTAATTTCCATGTGTTTGTATAGTTTCCAAAATTCCTCTTGTTATTGATTTCTAGTTTTATTCCATTGTTGTCAGAGAAGATACTTGATATTATTTTCAATTTTTTTAATGCTTTAAGACTTGTTTTGTAGCCTAACATACAGTCTATCCTTGAGAATGATCCATATGCTGAGCAGAAGAATATGTAATCTGTAGCTGTTGGATGAAATGTTCTATGCCTATCTATTGGGTCCATTTGGTTGATAGTGCAGATTATATCCAATATTTTTTGTTGATTTTCTGTCTGGATAATCTGTCCAGTGCTGAAAGTGGAGTGTTGAAGTCTCCAGCTATTAATGTATTGGGGTATATCTTTCTCTTTAGCTCTTGTAATAGTTGCTTTATAAACCTGGGTGCTCCAGTGTTGGGTGCATATATATATATACAATTGTTATATCCTCTTGCTGAACTGACTCCTTTATTATTACATAGTGACCTTCTTTGTCTCTTTTTATAGTTTTTGTCTTGAAATCTACTTTGTATAATACAAGTATAGCTACTCCTACTCTTTTTTGGTTTAACCTTTTCAAGCTCACTAATTTGTTCTACTTGATTTATCCTGCTGTTGAGAGACTCTGATGCATCCTTCATTAGGTCAATTGCATTTTTCAACACCACAATTTCTGCTTGATTCTTTTAAGTTATTTCTATCTTTTGTTTAATTTATCTGATAGGATTCTGAATTCCTTCTCTGTGTTATCTTGTATTTTGTTGAGCTTCCTCAAAACAGCCATTTTGAATTCTCTATCTGAAAGGTCACATATCTCTATCTCTCTGGAATTGGTCACTGGTGCCTTAGTAAGTTCATTTGGTGAGGTCTTGTTTTCCTGGATCATTGTGATGCTTGTGGATATTTGTCAGTGTCTAGGCATTGAAGTTAGGTGTTTATTGTAAGCAGTCTGGGCTTATTTGTACCCACCCTTTTTGGGAAGGCTTTTCAGGTATTCAAAAAGACTTGGATGTTGTGATCTATGTCTTTGGTCACTGTAGCCATGTCTTCTTTAGGGGACACCCAAGCCCAGTAACATTGTGAATCCTGTAGACCTATAGAAGTACCTCCTTGATGATCTAGGTAAGATCCAGGAGAATTCTCTGGATTACGAGGTAGAGACTCTTGCTCCCTTCCCTTTTTTCCCCTAAACAGAGTCTCTCTCTCTCTCTCTGTGCTGAGCTGCCTGGAGCTGGGGGAAGGGTGACATAAGCACCCCTGTGGCCACCACCACTGGGACTGTGCTGGGTTAAACCCGAAGTCAGCACAGTACTGAGTCATTCCCAAGGCCTGCAGTGACCACTGCCTGGCTACTGCCTATGTTCACTCAAGGACCAAAGGCTCTACAATCAGCAGCTGGCAAATCCAGCCAGGCTTGTCCTTTCCTTCAGGGCAGCAAGCTCCCCCCAACCCCAGGTGGGTCCGGAGATGCCATCCAGGAGCCAAAGCCTAGAGTTGGGAACCTGAGGAATCTATCTGGTACTGTATTCTACTGTGGCTGCGTTGGCACCAAAGCCACAAGACAAAGTCCTTCCCATTCTTCTTTTCCCTTTCCTGAAGCAGGGGAGTCTCTCCCTATGGCCAAAACTGCCTCAAACCCACAGTAAATACTGCCTGGCTACCCCTGATGTTCATTCAAGTCCCAAGGCGTCTTCAATAAGCTTTTGATGAATGCTGCCAGGCCCGAGTCTCTCCCATCAGGGCAGTGGGTTCCCCTCTGGCCCAGGGCAGGTCCATAAATGCTGTCCAGGGGCCAACACCTGGAACTGGGGACCCCAAGAGCCCACTTGTTGCTCTACCCCACCATGGCTGAGCTGGTACCCAAGCTGCACGACAAAGTCCCCTTTACTGTTTTCTTTCCTTTCCTCAAGCAGAAGGGGACTCTCCCTGTAGCCACCACAGCTAGGAATGTGTTGGGTCACACCTGAAGCTAGCATGGCTCTGAGTTTCACCCATGGCTCATGACAAGTACTGTCTGGCTACCACTGCTAATTATTCAGGGCCCAAGGACCGTTTAGTCAGCAAGTGATTAATTCTACCAGGGATGGGCCCTTCTCTTCAAGGTAGTGGGTTCCCTTCTGGCCAAGGGTGTGTCTACAAATGTTGTCTAGGAAATAGGGCCTGGAATGGGGACCTCAGGACTCCACCTGGTGCCCTGTCCTGCTATGTCTGAGCTGGTACCCAAGTTGCAAGACAAAGTCCTCTTTACTCTCCCCTCTCCTCAAGCAGAGGGAAGGAGTGTCTCCTGGAGCTGCCAGCTGTGCTCCCTGAGGTTGGGGGAAAGGCGATGCAAGCACATTATTGGCTGCCCCAGCTGGTGTCTCACTATGTCACATGCATCCCAAGTCCACTGGCTCTAAGCCCAGCACAGCACCAAGACTTGCCCAGGAATTGCAGTCCTTGTGGCCTAGATTTCCTTTCAATTATATTTAGAACCCCAGAGCACTTTAGCCGATGGTGGTGGGCCTTGCCAGAACTCAGGTGCTGACTGCTGGGTTGGACTATTTTCCTCTGGCTAGGACTGGCCTAAATGCTTCCTCTATGGGTGGCTGCTAGGTTCTGCCCCATGTAGCTTTCTACTGTGACAGGACAGCACTGAGTTCCAACAAAGTCTCACAATCACTGCAATCTCCCTCCCCCAAGGGCACAGAGTCTCCCTCTGCACTATATGGCTGCTGCTGGGGGATGAGAGATGGGTGTTATAGGTGATTCAAGACTGTCTTTCTTACTTTCTTCGGTATATCTTTTCTTAATGTAATATTAAAGCCAGGTACTGTGATTGCTCACCTGATTTTTGGTTCTTATGATGGTGCTTTTTTGTGTGGATAATTGTTCAATTTGGTGTTCCTGTGAGGGGACAATTGCTGGAGGTGTCTCTTCGGCCATCTTGCTTTATCTCCTCCTAGTCCTCACTCTTATTGTCCAGATTTGGGCCACATGCTCATCATTGGACCAATCTGTAGCCAAGGGGTTGGGAGTTGCTTATTGATTTAGGGAGCATCCCGAGCCTCAAACCACAAGGATTGAGAAGAGAAGAGGGGTGGCTCTCTGAGGGCATTCTGGCATGCTGTTTTCCCAGAAAAATGGTGAATGGATGCTGAGAAGTAAAACCAACAGCTGTCCACTACATACTAATTCTTTATAAACAGTGTTATGCATGTTTATCCTGCAGTAGCCATTACCTTATAATTATTGCTGACTTATTTAGTATTACTTTGAGTAACACTTTTTATCTAGTAACATATGCTATAAAAAACTGTAGTATTTTAAAATGCCTTACTAATACTCAGAAGTTGAGAACCACTGTCCAACGGGTTGGTTTGATATATTTGTTGTTACAGTTGATCTCCCATCTATGTCTTACCATCCCCACCCACACCTTTTAATATTGTCTACAAATGTCTATAACAATATTTAATCTATTTTTCAAGATTATTCAAATTACTGTCAGCTGTTCCATGATCATGTCTGCAAAGTTTTATTACAAGACGTTGCAGTTTATCTTGACATTTGAATTCTGCCATGATAAGCTTCAATTTCATCTTTAAAATATACATTTTACTGGCCGGGCGTGGTGGCCCACGCCTGTAATCCCAGCACTTTGGGAGGCCGAGGTGGGCAGATCATGAGGTCAGGAGATCAAGAACATCCTGGCTAACATGGTGAAACCCCGTCTCTACTAAAAATGGAAAAAATTAGCCAGGCGTGGTGGTGGGCGCCTGTAGTCCCAGGTACTCGGGAGGCTGAGGCAGGAGAATGGCATGAACCCAGGAGGCGGAGCTTGCAGTGAGCTGAGATGGCACCACCGCACTCCAGCCTGGGCGACAGAGCGAGACTCTGTCTCAAAAAATACATATATATGTGTATACATTTTACCAACATCTATTCACTCATTGCTTATAATGTAGCAGCCACAAGACTTGGGGGGCATATGGATGGATCCCCATCTCTGGCTCCAAGAGATGTCTCTGGTTTAATTCAATCAGGGTAATTCCATCTCCCTTGCAACAGTCATGTTTAGGTAATCTAAATATAAACAGGAGTTTTGAGACAGAGTCTCGCTCTTCACTCCCAGCTGGTGTACGGTGGCATAATCATAGCTCACTGCAGCCTCAAACTCCTGGGCTCAAGTGATCCTCCCACCTCAGCCTCCTGAGTAGCTGGAACTACAGGCACATGCCACCATACCCGGCTAATTTTTTGTTTTTTTAATTTTTAGTAGAGGCAGTGTCTCACTATGTAACCCAGGCTGGTCTCAAATTCCTGAGCTCAAACAATCCTCAGCCTCCCAAAAGTGCTGGGATTACAGGAGTGAGCCACTGGCCTGGCCTCATTTTCATTCCTCATCCAGATGGTATTTTGTCCCTACTTTCATTGAATTTACAGTGTAGTTTAGAGATAAGATATAAAAATAAGAAAAATAAAGTAATTTCCCCAGAGCATCCCCTCTGAAGCTTTCTCACCCTCCTTGCCCTGCTCCCTTATGCTACCTTCTCTGCTCCCATGGCAATTTAGGTGGTGATCATGGAAGAAACCTCCAATATCGACAGGAGACTGTAGTTTCAACTCAATTTTAATACCAATACATTTGAGCATGCATTGTTAGTTCTGTCTTTAGAAGTTCATGCTGTTGTGTGTGTGTGCATGTGTGTGTGTGTGTGTGTCTATATAGCTATATTTTTGTTAGTCATTTTAGTATTGTGGATCAAAAGATCATAATGATTTATTTTTATTAGCAAAGTTGGAAGTTTTTATAGATAAAACTTTAAGAAATAATGGGTCGGGCGCACTGGCTCACGCATGTAATCCCAGCAGTTTGGGAGGCCGAGGCGGGTGGATCACCTGAGGTCAGGCGTTTGAGACCAGCCTGACCAACATGGTGAAACCCTGTGTCTACTAAAAATACAAAAATTAGCCATGCATGGTGGCACATGCCTGTAATACAAGCTACTTGGGAGACTGAGGCAGGAGAATTGCTTGAACCCAGGAGGCGGAGCTTGCAGTGAGCCGAAATTGTGCCATTGCACTCCAGCCTGGGCAACAAGAGCAAAACTCCTTTCCCCCCAGCCCCCCCAAAAAAAGAAATAATGAAGAATGTGTGCAAAGATTTAGCTGCTAAAGATTGCTCTTAAAAGTGTTTTCAGAAAAATTTTATAGATGTTTATTAATGTTTTATAGCAACATTGCAATAAGCATCTTTAGTAGTGAAATCTTTGTGTACATAAGTATTTCCTTAGGATATAAATTCCCAGAAGCAGAATTTTTTTATGTACACATTTTTAAGGGCTTTGCTCTCTGCGATAAGCACCTTAACTTTCTAACTAATTTTCTTGCCTCTGGCTTCCCTCCGTCTCCATTCTGAATGTCTTATGCTGGTAAATTTATCTCCCTAAAACACTGTGTTCATCATTTCACATACTTGCTGAAAATCCTTCCTTACTCCTTCCTTGCTGGAGCCCAGTTCCTTGCCCTGACATCTGAGGACTCTCACAATCTGCCTCTGCCGTGGATTTCTAGTCTTCCCTGGCACCACTCCCCTACATGAACCTTCCATTATAACTAAATTCATCTACTCCCTCTCCTCCCTTACGCCATGCAATTTCCCATCTTTACAATTTTGTTGAATTTATTACTCCTGTAATAAAGGGGGTGGGGATCATATAATAAAGGAAATGTTAGGATTAGAAATGAGTAATATCGCAACCATCTATGAACCTTTTCCCCATCTGCTTTTCTCCACCTCAGCCCAAACTATGGAGTTGTCCTAACCTCAGTGCTAAAAATATCAAAGTGTTTTCTGCTGATACTCCCTCCCTTCCCATTCAGCCCCTGACCCTCCCTGGGCTGAGGCCTATGCCACCTTTCCACCATTTTTACCTTTTTCCCTCTCTCCTGAGGTGGCTAGGTTCAACTTCTTTTGCTCAGGACTATCTCTACCAGATTCTTTGCTCCTCTGTTCCCTGTTTGTAGCCTTCTGTGTTACTTTTTGCTCATTGTTTCGAATCTTCCTTGTTTCTGCTGTCATTCTCTTCTCTCTCTTTTGGTATGCTTTCTTGTTTTGTTATGTTTCCCATATCTCAGCTTGGAGCCTCTTAGTTCTTGTGCAGAGAAAAAAGGCTTCACAGTGCCAAGAGCACGCCTTTCTGTCATTTTCAATAACTACTTTCTCAGTGTCCATTAATCAGAACATGCTTTTCCATCCTTCTAGGCTCATGTTGTCATTGCTTTCCTTCTTTTCCGTTCCTTCCGTAAATATTTTACAGCTGTTCCTGATACTTGAATGCCCTGATCTCAAAATAACAAAGACCTAAGCCTCAGTGAAGGAATTTTAATCAGTTGGGATGAGCTGAGAAGATAATGTAAAATAACTACAAAAGGTTTAGAGAGAGTAAAATATATTATTTGCTTAATAAGGTTTTTCTAGCATCAGTTTTGGTTTCTACAGCACATCACTTAAAGAAGCATGAAAGTGATATATATGGGATTGAGGAAAAAATAAATATAGCATACATAAATTCTCAAGTGTTATTAGAGTAAGAGGAACTGATATAAATAAGCTTAAAGTTAAAAGGCTTACATAAAGTACAACCAAATTGTTAACAACTCTGAAATTGTGACAGTTGCTAATGATAAAGGGAGAGTTCAGAAATAAAAACACGTAATTTGGTTAGAGAATTTAGATCTAATCAAAGAAGACATATATATATATATAATTCTCAGACAGCACAGACAAATAGATTTTTAAAAACAGTTTCCTTAACTTCATTTGGCTGTCTGGGGTTGTTATTCCCATTAAGAAACCAATTCAAAGATAAAATAAGAGATAAAAGTTAGACTTTTTAATACATTATAGGTTTTTCTGAGAGTAGAGTCAAATGATGAAGCCCTATTTTGTTTTTTCTTAGCAAATAGAATTATTTTTTATATTATGTCAATTTGTAGTAATTTGAATTTAGACATTATATACAATAAAATAATTATTTTCATTTGTTTCTATGTCCTTTGTTCATGGAATCCTGTTTGAAATGAAAAGGATTTTGAAATCAATATAGCATAAGACATACAAAGACATAAAAATGTGATTTGGTAAGAGTAAAAGGAGAGAGAGAAAATGATCAAGTAGAAAAATACCATTATCAATATTTTTAATATTCTCACTGTTCAAACATCTTACAGGATTAACTAATAATTTTTCAAAGCTTCTCATTGTCTTTTAGGTAAAGTTACCTGCAAGCACTATTTTCTTTGGTATTTTGAATTATTTTATCAATTTCCTTTTGGAAATTTGTAACTCATTTACTTCTGTTTTTTAAAAATAGCTTTATTGGCTCATGCCTGTAATCCCAGCATTTTGGGAGGCCAAGGTGGGCAGATCACATGAGGTCAAGAGCTCCAGACTAGCCTGGCCAACATGGTGAAACCCCATCTTTACTCAAAAAAAAAAAAAAAATTAGCTGGGCATGGTGGCAGGTGCCTGTAGTCCCAGCTGCTCGGGAGGCTGAAGCAGGAGAATCACTTGAACCCAGGAGGCGGGGGTTGCAGTGAGCCGAGATTGCACCACTGCACTTCAGCCCGAGTGACAAAGCACGACTCCGACCAAAAAAAAAAGTTATTAAGATATAATTTGCATATCATGCAACTCACCCATTTAAAGTATACAATTCGATGACTTTTAGTATGTTCACAGAGTTGTGCAACCATCACCACAATCTATTTTAGAATATTTTATTACCCCCAAATGAAACCACATACCCCTTAGCCATCACCCCTAACTCCCCCATCCCCTGAGACCTAGGCAACTACTAATATACTTTCTGTCTCTTTAGATTTGCCTGTCCTGGACATTTTTTTTTTTTTTTTTGAGATGGAGTTTTGCTCTTGTTGCCCGGGCTGGACTGCAATGGTACGATCTTGGCTCACTGCAATCTCTGCCTCCCAGGTTCAAGCGATTCTCCTATCTTAGCCTCCCGAGTAGCTGGGAATATAGGCAAATGCCACCACGCCCAGCTAATTTCTGTATCTTTAGTAGAGATGGCATCTCATCATATCGATCAGGCTGGTCTCGAACTCCTGACCTCAGGTGATCCTCCCGCCTTGGCCTCCCAAAGTACTGGGATTACAGGCATGAGCCACTGCTCCTGGCCCTGTCTTGGACATTTTATATAAATGGAATAATATACTATATGGCTCCTTTTCTGACTGGCTTCTTTCACTTAGTGTAGTGTTTTTAAAGTTCATCCATGTTGTGGTATGTATCAGTACTTCCTGTCTTTTTATTGCTGAATAATATTCTATTGTATGAGTATACCATATTTTATTTATCCATTCATCAGTTGATGGACATTTGGGTCATTTCCACTTTTTTGCTGTTATAAATAATGCTGCTGTACAAGTTTTCATATGGACATATGCTTTTATTTCTCATTTCTCTTATATATATCTCTAGTAGTAGAATTGCTGGATCACATGATAACTCCATGTATAACTTTTTCAGGAACTGCCAGACGATTTTCCAAAGTGGCTACACTTTATACACCAGCAGTGTAGAAGGGCTCCAATTTTTCCACATCCTTGTCAACACTTGTTATTATCTATTTTTTTATTATAGCTATCCTAGTAAGTGTGAAGTGGCATCTCATTGTGGTTTTCATTTACATTTACCTGATATACATTACCTAATAGCTAATGGTATTGAACATCTTTTCATGTGTCTTCTAGCCATTTGTGTGTTTTATTGAGAGAACTGTCCATTCAGAGTCTTTGCCTATTTTTAATTAGGTTATTTGTCTTATTATTATTATTATTCTTGTTATTTGAGACAGGGTCTCACTCTGTTGCCCAGGCGGGAGTGCAATGGTGCAATCTCAGCCCACCACAGCCTTGACATCCCAGGCTCAGGCAGTTCTCCCACCTCAGCCTCCCGAGTAGCTGGGACTACAGGTGCATGCCACTGTGCCTAGCTAATTTTATTTTTTGTAGAGGTGAGGTCTCACTATGTTGCACAGGCTGCACTCAAGCAATCTTCCCACCTTGACCTCCCAAAGTGCTGAGATTACAGGCGTGAGCCACTGTGCCTGGTCTTGTCTTTTTATTAAGTTTTAATAGTTTGTTATATATCCTAGGTAAAAGTCCCATTATCTATTTTATTTTTTGTTGCTCATGCTTTAGACATCATGTTTAAGAAACCGTAATAGTTTCACAGTTTAGCTCTTATATTTAGGTCTTTGATCCATTTTGAGTTAATTTTTGTATATTGTTTTTTGTAAGAGTCCAA
This sequence comes from Homo sapiens, assembly GCF_000001405.40. Lineage (NCBI taxonomy): Eukaryota > Metazoa > Chordata > Mammalia > Primates > Hominidae > Homo > Homo sapiens. The sequence goes on along the minus strand of NC_000002.12, from coordinate 65,192,096 downwards.
CCTCATTCTTTCGTGTGTGACTATCCAGATGTCCAAGCACCATTTGCTGAGAAGACTATTCTTTCCCTGTTGAATTGTCTTAGCTCCTATGTCAAAAATCAACTGACCATAAATGTAATAGTTTATTTCTGGACTCCTAATTATATTCAATTGACCTCTCTATCTATCTTTATTCCAGTCCATATTGTATTAATTACTGTAGCTTTGTAGTACATTTTGAAATCAGGAAAGGTGGGTCCTCCCATTTTATTATTCATTTTCAAGATTGTTTTGGCTATTCTGAGTCCCTCGAATCTCTGTATGAATTTTAGGATCAGTTTGTCAATTTCTGCAAAGAAACAAACTAGAATTTTAATAGAGATTGAGTTAAAACTATAGATCAATTTGAGGAGGATAGATCTCTTAACAATATTAAGGCTTCTGATTGATGGCTATGGGATATCTTTCCATCCATTAAATGTTCTTTAATTTTTTTGAACAATGTCTTGTGGTTTTCAGAGTTGTGGTCTTACACTTCTTTTGTTAAATTTGTTCCTAGATAACAGTTTGTTTTCATTTGTAGATTCGGAATTGTGAATTTGCCTATTTGCTAAAATTTATTTGCAACCCCAAAATCAATACTTGCAGCAATTTTACAGTCATTTGGGGACATGCACAGAACAATGAAAAGTTTGAGTGACCTGACACCTGACTGAAGTCAACTGCCTTTTTTTTTTTTTTTTCCTGTCACCCAGGCTTTAGAGTGCAGTGGTGCCATCATAGCTCACTGTAACCTTCTGGGCTCAAGCGATTCTCCTGCCTCAGCCTGCAGAGTAGCTAGGACTACAGGCACATGCCACCACACTTGACTAATTTTTTATTACTTTGTAGAGACAATTCTCACTCTGTCACCCAACAACCCAACCCAAGTGTTGAGGTCTGAGACAAAGTTTGTTGCTTATTTCCCTCTCCTTCCCCTAAGTGGAGGGTATACCTGGCCACACTATGCTGACTGAGGTTGAGGCAGGGGTGATGTGGATCATGCAAAACTGTCCTTCCTACCCTCCTCAATATGTCTTTTCTTATTTCTTTTTCTTTTTTCTTTTTTTTTTTTTTTTGAGACAGAGTCTCACTCTGTCGCCCAGGCTGGAGTGCAGTGGCGCCATCTTGGTTCACTGCAACCTCTGCCTCCCAGGTTCACGCCATCCTTCTGCCTCAGCCTCCTGAGTAGCTGGGACTACAGGTGCCCACCACCATGCCCAGCTAATTTTTTGTATTTTTAGTAGAGATGGGGTTTCACCATGTTAGCCAGGATGGTCTCGATCTCCTGACCTCGTGATCCACCTGCCTCTGCCTCCCAAAGTGCTGGGATTACAGGAGTCTTTTCTTATTTCTGCACTACATTCGGGTGCTGTAATCTCTCACCTGGTATCCTTAGTGCTTGTGAAGGTATTTTCATGCATGGACAGTTGTTCAAATTGATGTTTCTGTGGGAAGCAAGTGTTGGAATGGCCCATTTTGCCAACTTACTGATGTCTAGACCCTGTCTTCTTCTAGGAAGAAAGATGTTTGAGCAGGCAAGAGGAACAGATGCACAGGTCACCATCCAGAAGCCCACATGCATGCAATCCCAACAATTTCTTTGTATTGAATTATGTGGGATGTGAATTAGTAGCAACCATAATCACTTCACTTCAGTGAGTTATTAGTTACCTCCTTGGGTTTGGCTCTTTATTTTGAAGATTTAGCCTTTAGTGGCACATGTGTGTACTACAGAGGGACAGAGCATTTCTTTGTAAACTTAGAAAACCTACGAACATCGGGAAATATTTTCAAATTCAAGGGAAAAAACTTAAGTAAACCAATAGATTAAAGAAAATGAGGACGGGTACAGTGCCTCACTCCTGTGGCTCAATCCCAACACTTTGGGAGGCTGAGGTGGGCAGATCACTTGAGTCCAGGAGTTCAACACCAGCCTGGGCAAACACGGCAAAACCCCATCTCCTCAAAAAATTAACCAGGCATTGATGGCCCATGCCTGTAGTCCCGGCTACTGGGGAGGCTGAGGCAGGAGGATTGCTTGAGCTCAGGAGGTTGAAGCTGCAGTGAGCTGAGATCATGCCACTGCACTGCAGCCTAGGTGACAGAATAAGATTCCTGTCTCAATAAATAAATAAATAAGGAAATCAGAAAATCTACAAGCTGTACTAATGCTTAGTTCCTGAATGTTGGCCAACAATGAATAATTCAGGACATCCAAAATACAGTAAACACCAAAAACTTACTCGACCACTCTCCCATTTCAGAACATGAAGCATACTGAAGTAGAGACGGCAGGATTTTCTCATGCATGGAATATGGGATGTGAATGAAAACAGAAGGATCACTTGATGGCTGCGGACCTGAGCAACTGGAGGGATGGAGTTGCAATTAGGTGAAGTGAGGAATTCAGCAGGGGAAGCAAGTTTTGGGGCAGAAGATTTTATCAGGGATATTTTAGTAATTAAATAGTTAGATTAGTGTCTTAATCACAACTCCACATCCTTACCTGATTTGGAGCTTCTGTCAGTCTCCCAGCTCTGAGCTGCTTCAGGCTGGGAAGCCGACAGTCGGGGAGAAGTCATGGATAGCTTCTGGTCCTCTTTTCCCACTGTGGCTGTCCTCCTCTTCCCCGGCCCTCACTATGTTGTCTCCAGCTCCTCTTCTGGGACAGGAAGGGACAGAAAGATCTTACTGACAGGTACCCCATGAAGGTACCCCCTAGGGGATGGAGATCCCAGGGCTTCCCCTCCTTGAGTCCCTCAGAGATTCCTGGTAATGCCTCTCATCTGACTGCCATTTTGACCGCTCCCTGTCATCTTTCAGGCCACCTCTCTTTTGGGATCCCATGGTCTTTCTAGGGAAGGATCCAAGAGGGACCCAGGATCCACATTTGGTCCATAAGAACCACCCGTACTTTGCCCTGTCCTCAGAGGGCGTGTAGTCCACATCTAACACAGCCCTCTCTACTCTGCCACCTCTGGCCACTTTGGCCTGGAGAATGTTTTCAGAACTCATCTCTGTACTACACAAACTCTAAGGACCTCAAGTCAGATTCTCCAAGGAGTTCTCTTGAGGTCCTTTCTGTTGCCTACTTAAAGTGACCTGGCAACTAACCAAACATATGTGTGTGTGTATATGTGTGCATGTGTGTGTATGTGTGTATATAGACATACATATCTGTACACATATGTATGTGTGTATACATATACATACACAATACATATATACATATACACACACATACAATTAACAGAAGACATATGGATGGATGGCCATAGGAGCATAATAGTCATAATCTGGAAACAATCCAAATTTTAATCAGTAATAGAAATGGATAAATAGTGGGCCTGGCACAGTGGCTCACATCTGTAACCCTAGCACTTTGGGAGGCTGAGCTGGGAGAATTGCTTGAGCCCAGAAGTTTAAGACCAGCCTGGGCAACATGGCAAAACCCCATCTCTAGCCAAAAAAACCCACAAAAATTAGCCAGTTGTGATGGTGCACACTTGTAGTCTCAGCTACTACTTGGGAGGCTTAGGTGGGAGGATTGCTTGAGGCTGGTAGGTGGAGGTTGCAGTGAGCTGAGATCCCACCACTGCCCTCCAGCCTGGGTGACACAGCAAGACCTCGTCTCAAAAAAAAAAAAAAAAAAGAATGGATAAATAATGGTAGCATATTTTTTAATGCAATTTTTTAAAAAAGAATGAACTACTACCACAATGTGGGTAAATTTCACAGGCATATGTTAAGTCAAAGAAACAAAATACAGGCAGGGCATAGTGGCTCACGCCTGTAATCCCAGCACTTTGGGAGGCTGAGGCGGGCGGATCACAAGGTCAGGAGATCAGGACCATCCTGGCTAACACGGTGAAACCCCATCTCTACTAAAAATACAAAAAATTAGCTGGGCATGGTGGCATGCGCCTGTAATCCCAGCTACTTGGGAGGCTGAGGCAGGAGAATCACTTGAACCCGGGAGGTGCAGGTTGTAGTCAGCTGAGATTGCGCCACTGCACTCCAGCCTGGGCGACAGAGCGAGACTCCATCTCAAAAAAAAAAAAAAAAAAAAAAAAGAAAAAGAAAAGAAACAAAATACAAAAGAATGCATACAGTTTGATTCCATTTATATGACTTTCAACAACAGGCAAAACTAATCTATGCTGTTAGAAGTCAAGATAGTAGGGTAAGTAGTGAGTGGACAAGAGGGAGGTTTTGGGGAGATCTACTGGAATATGCTCTAACTTAATCTGGGTGATGATTACATTTGTTACGTAATGGGCTTATACATTTCTACAGTTTCATCTAGCTCTACAGTTGAGATGTGTGCATTTTATTACATATATGTTTACTAAGAAAGTGAAAAGACAATTCACGGAGAAATTTTTCTCCCTATTATTCATACATTGCATTTTCATCATTTGATAACATGAGTTGGGGATTATTTACAAAGAATGCTTTAGTTGTGAGGACATTCTAAGCCTAAAACTGGCAGAGACATTTCAAAAATGAAAATGTTATGTCTAAGGAAAAACAGCCCTCTTCCTTTGCTGCCTGTGACCGCTGTTACCACACTTCTCAGGTTCTCCTAAGCGAGCAGCGTGGCTTCCTGGGCTTCTACCAGAATTTACCAGCAGGGGTCAGCCCTGTACAAAACCCAGGCGCTTGAGCCTCCCGTGAATTGGAACTTGCTCTCTGGTTCTGTCAAGCCATTCTGGCCTTTTAGCTTTCTCACTTCACATTCCCAGCTACACTTCCTTCTGCTCTGTTACCACCACCCACTCCCGTGATCACAACATGGACCAGAAACTTCACAGCCTTCCTCACTCATTCAAACACGCTCTCCTCTCCTTCCGTGCTCTCAAGTAACCCCCGCAGCAACAGTCCTTTCAGCTTAGCAAGCTCTTCAGTCCAAGCCCTGCTGCTTTCTCTCCATCCTGCAGTCCCCTCCTCTCTTCACTCTCCCCTTTTCAACCCAGACATCACGGGTCATCAATGAAATCACTTTTGCAAACACCTCCAACTCTTTGACCATTCTAGGCCTCAGCTCCTAACCCCTTAGGATTTTCTGGCCGGGCGCGGTGGCTCACGTCTGTAATCCCAGCACTTTGGGAGGCCGAGGTGGGCGGATCATTTGAGGTCAGGGGTTCCAGACCAGCCTGGCCAACATGGTGAACCCCGTCTCTGCTAAAAATACAAAAATTAGCTGGGTGCGGTGGTGGGCGCCTGCAATCCCAGCTACTTGGGAGACAGGGGAATCGCTTGAACCCAGGAGGCAGACGTTGCAGTGAGCCGAGATTGCGCCACTGCAGCACTGCCGCTTGGGCAACAAGAGTAGAAAAAAAAAAAAGTTAAAAAAAAAAAAAGGATTTTCTGTTGCACTTGGGATAAAGTACAAAGCCCAATACAGAGCCCCCAAGGCCCTGAGTGACCCAACCTTGGGCTGGTATCTCTCCCACCATGACTCATGCACAGCACTCCCCTCTCCATGTTTTCCACTCTTCCCTCTCCCAGTGGAGAAAAAGTCATTTCCTCCAAGTCCACTCTCTCATTCTCTTTCCTAACAAGGGGTTTATTTCCTTCAAGACACAATATAAAACTTTATCATATTTGTATAATTGCGTATTTAATGTTTGTCTTCCGCTTGGGGCTGTGCACTCAACAGAAGCAGTGCCAAGCACTTGCTAGGTTCATAGAAGACACTTAAGTGTTTGTTGGCCAGGCGTGGGGGCTCACGCCTATAATCCCAGCACTTTGGGAGGCTGAGGCGGGCAGGTAGCTTGACCCCAGGAGTTTGAGACCAGCCTGAGCAACATGGCGAAACACCGCCTCTACAAATAATTGAAAAAATTAGCCGGGTGCGGCCAGGCGCGGCGGCTCACGCCTGTAATTCCAGCACGTGGGAGGCCGAGGCGGGTGGATCACAGGGTCAGGAGTTTGAGACCAGCCTGGCCAACATGGTGAAACCCCATCTCTACTAAAAATACAAAAATTAGCCGGGCGTGGTGGCACTCGTCTGTAGTCCCAGCTCCTCAGGAGGCTGAGAAGGGAGAATCGCTTAAACCTAGGAGGTGGAGGTTGCAGTGAGCAGAGATCATGCCACTGCACTCCAGCCAGGGCGACAGAGCCTCCAGAGCGAGACTCCGTCTCAAAAAAAAAAAAAATTATCCGGGTGCTACTCGGGAAGCTACTGTAACCCCCAGCTACTCAGGAAGCTGAGGTGGGAAGATCTCTGGAGCCTGGGCTGTTGAGGCTGCAGTGAGCTGAGATTGCGCCACTGCATTCCAGCCAGCCTGGGTGACAGACTGAGACCCTGTCTCAAAAAAAAAAAAAAAAAAAAAAAAAAAAAAGAAGAAAGAAAGAAAGAAAGAAGGAAATGTTTGTTGAATTAGAATGTCAATCTAGACCTTGACCCCACCAAGACAGAAGACAGGTGTAGTGCCCTCTGTTATTTAGAAAAATAATCGTAGTAGCACTTTACATTTGTATAGTATTTGTCTTTTCAAAGTACTTTAACATCTATTATCATAATAATAAAGATAGGTAAAAATAGGTTGCATACAATAGGTAAGTGCTATTTTCCCATTTGACAGGTTAAAAAAAAAATGAGTCACGAAGAAAGTTGGCTAAAATATCAGAGTAAGGACTAAAGCCAAAATCTCTAACCTACCCATTTGTACATCTTAATTAGTAAGTAAATATTCTGTCTTATGATCAAACTTGCAGTTGAGATAATAGCTTAATAGGTAAGTGTTCAGCCCTAGAGACATAATGTTCAGTTTCCAAACCCAGCTCCAGTACTTAACTTGCTGTGTGACCTGGCACAAGTTACCTAACTTCCCTGAGCTTCAGTTTCTCCATGCTTAAAGTGTGAATAATAATGCCTATCTGAGGTGGTTGTAGTGAGGTTATAAAGAGTATATTGCTAGGAGTGGTGGCTCATGCCTGTAATCCCAGCACTTTGGGAGCCCAAGGTGGGCGGATCACCTGAGGTCCCGTGTTCAAGACCAACCTGACCAACATGGAGAAACCTCGTTTCTACTAAAAATACAAAATTAGCCAGGTGCGGTGGCTCATGCCTGTAATCCCAGTACTTTGGGAGGCCGAGGCAGGCGGATCACCTGAGGTCAGGAGTTCGAGACCAGCCTGACCAACATGGAGAAACCCCATCTCTACTAAAAATACAAAATTAGCCGGGCGTAGTGATGCATGCCTGTAATCCCAGCTACTCAGGAGGCTGAGGCAGGAGAATAGCTTGAACCTGGGAGGCGGAGGTTGCGGTGAGCCGAGATCGCACTATTGCACTCCAGCCTGGGCAACAACAGCAAAACTCCATCTCAAAAAAAAAAAAATTAAGTAAATAAATAAAAATAATAAAAAATAAAAATACAAGATTAGCTGGGTGTGGTGGCGCATGCCTGTAATCCCAGCTACTCGAGAGGCTGAGGCAAGAGAATCACTTGAACCCGGGAGGCAGAGGTGGCAGTGAGCCAAGATGGCACCATTGCACTCCAGCCTGGGCAACAACAGCAAAACTCCATCTAAAAAAAAAAAAAAATGCTGTAATATTTTTCTCTCCTGCAATTATTAATATAAATATATAAGAATAATGACCCTTAATGAAACTTGTGAAGCAGATAAATCCATATTTAAATGGAGGTTTCCCTGGAAAGCTAACACAAATGATTAATAGGTTGCAATCTGTTAGAACAGACTAAAATGCTTTGTTTATTTACAATGAGGCCTCTTTCTCTATCTTTGTTATAATCTATTAACAGTTATTGCATGGCTACCTGAGGTGATGAATCTGCAGGAAAAATCTGTTAAAAGTACAATAAAAGCATTCTTCCCTATTCTAGTACTTTATAGAATTCAATAAACTATTAACAGCATAGGACAGAATGGTCTGTATCCTAATTAATGTTCAAGGATGCAAAGTAATGAGGTCCAGCCTTCCAGTTTTCATTTAAAAAACTACAAAGTTTTCTCTCATACCCATAGTCGACTTTTCAGAAGTGTTTGATTCCTTCCTTTTATTTAATTTTCAAAATAATGAGTTGGTTTTCTAGCATTCTCCAAAAATGACCAATGAGATTTTTAAAGTAGAATTTTGGACTTAATATTTACACCTTTTTTTTTTATACTTTAAGTTTTAGGGTAATGTGCACAATGTGCAGGCTAGTTACATATGTATACATGTGCCATGCTGGTGTGCTGCACCCATTAACTCGTCATGTAGCATTAGGTATATCTCCTAATGCTATCCCTCTCCCCTCCCCCCGCCCCACAACAGTCCCCAGAGTGTGATGTTCCCCTTCCTGTGTCCAGGCGTTCTCATTGTTCAATTCCCACCTATGAGTGAGAATATGCGGTGTTTGGTTTTTTGTTCCTGCGATAGTTTACTGAGAATGATGATTTCCAGTTTCATCCATGTCCCTACAAAGGACATGAACTCATCATTTTTTATGGCTGCATAGTATTCCATGGAATATTTACACCTATTTAATGTGTTTTCATTAATTACAGCTATTATTCTTATTGATGCTTAAAATGTCCCAACTCTGACTAGTGAGAATGTCTTCAAATTTCTCTAAGTCATGTTGACAGGACCCTGATGGCTTCCTTGCTTTCTAGTAGAATAAGATGGTCCAGAGTTCATCTTGCATGTTTCCTATTTCAGACTTGCAGTTAGCCATTTCTCCAAGAAGTTTGGTTCCTGTTAGTAAGCAACTTTATTTAGAAACTACAATCTAGTTGTTAAATGTGTTAATTGTTACTGAGTTCATAATTATTTGTAGGATTTTTCAGCAAACTACTTTTAACAAAAATTCTAATCTATCCATTCAATGTATGTTGTATCTCATTCTAGCACTTCACTTAGAATGCCTTGTTTTCCCCAAGTTCCTTGTGACTACTTGTATGGTCTTAACACTCATCTTCCTACCTGGATTTATAGAAAGTGCCCTTTCCTTCTCTTGCACACAGTGCAAACTGTCAGTAGATCTACCATTCTGGGGTCTGGAGGATGGTGACCCTCTTCTCACAGCTGCACTAGTTAGTGCCCCAGTAGGGACTCTGTGTGGGGGCTCCAACCCCACATTCCCCTTCTGCACTGCCCTAGCAGAGGTTCTCCATGAGGACCCGCCCAACATGATGAAGCAAATGTCTGTGTGGGCATCCAGCTGTTCTCCTTACATCCTCTGAAATCTAGGCAGAGCTTCCCAAACCTCAATTCTTGACTTCTGTGTGCCCACGGCCTCAACACCACATGGAATCAGCCAAGGCTCGGGGCTTCCACCCTCTGAAGCAACAGCCTGAACTGGACCTTGGCCCCTTTTAGTCACAGCTGGAGTGGCTGGGACGCAGGGCACCAAGTCCCTAGGCTGCACACAGCATGGGGACCCTGGGCCTGGCCCACAAAACCATCTTTTCTTCCTAAACCTCTGGGCCTGTGATGAGAGGGGCTGCCACGAAGGTCTCTGACAGGTCTTGGAGACATTCTCTCCATTGTCTTCATGATTAACATTTGGCACCTCAATACTTAGGCAAATTTCTGCAGCAGGCTTGAATTTCTCTTCAGAAAATGGGATTCTCTTTTTCCTTTCTTTTTTTTTTTTGAGACGGAATTTCACTCTTGTTGCCCAGGCTGGAGTACAATGGTGCCATCTCGGCTCACTGCAATCTCCGCCTCCCAGGTTCAAGCGATTCTCCTGCCTCAGCATCCCGAGTAACTGGGATTACAGGCATGTGTCACCATGCCCGGCTAATTTTTATTTTTAGTAGAGATGGGATTTCTCCATGTTGGTCAGGCTGGTCTCGTCCTCCCGACTTCAGGTGATCCACTCACTTTAGCCTCCCAAAATGCTGGGATTACAGGTGTGAGCCACCACGCCCAGCTGGGATTCTCTTTTCTATTGCATTGTCAGGCTGCAAATTTTCCAAACTTCTTTGCTCTGGTTACCTTGTAAAATGGAATGCCTTTAACAGCACCCACTTCACCTCTTGAATGCTTTGCTGCTTAGAAATTTCTTCCGCCAGATACATTAAATCATCTCTCTCAAGTTTAAAGTTCCACAAATCTCTAGGGCAGGGGCAAAATGCTGCCAGTCTCTTTGCTAAAACACAACAAGAGTCACCTTTGCTCCACTTCCCAACAAGTTCCTCATCTCCATCTGAGACCACCTCAGCCTGGACCTTATTGTTCATATCATTATCAGCATTTTTGTCAAAGCCATTAAATAAATCTCTAGGAGGTTCCAAACTTTCCCACATTATCCTGTCTTCTTCTGAGCCCTCCAAACCGTTCCAACCTCTGCCTTTTATCCAATTCCAAAGTCACTTCCACATTTTTGGGTATCTTTTCAGCAATGCCCCACTCTACTGGCACCAAAGTATTGTATTAGTTTGTTTTCACACTGCTGAAAAAGACATATGCGAAACTGGGAACAAAAAAAGGTTTAATGGGGCCTGGCACGGTGGCTCATGCCTGTAATCCCAGCACTTTGGGAGGCCGAGGTGGGTGGATCACGAGGTCAGGAGTTCAAGATCAGCCTGGCCAACATGGTGAAACCCCATCTCTACTAAAAATACAAAAATTAGCCAGGCATGGTGATGCGTGCCTATAGTCCTAGCTACTCAGGAGGCTGAGGCAGGAGAATTGCTTGAACCCAGGAGGCAGAGGTTGCAGTGAGCCGAGATTGTGCCACAGCACTCCAGCCTGGGCGACAGAGCAAGACTTCGTCTTGGAAAAAAAAAAAAAAGGTTGAATTGGACTTCCAGTTCCATGTGGCTGGGGAGGCCTCAGAATCATGGCAGGAGGTGAAAGGCACTTCTTATGTCATGGCAGCAAGAGAAAATTAAGATAAAGCAAAAGTGGAAACCCTGATAAACCCATCAGATCTCGTGAGACTTGTTCACTATCACAAGAATAGCACAGGAAAGACCGGCCCCCATGATTCAATTACCTCGCCCTGGGTCCGTCCCACAACACGTGGGAATGCTGGGAGATAGAATTCAAGTTGAGATATGAATAGGGACACAGCCAAACCATATCACTCCAGTTCCCAACAAGTTCTTCATCTCTGTGTGAGACCACCTCAGCCCAAATTTCATTGTTCATATCATTATCAGCATTTTGGTCAAAGCCATTCAACAAGTCTCTAGGGAGTTCCAAACTTTCCCACATTTTCCTGTCCTCTTCTGAGTCCTCTCAACTGTTCCCACCTTTTCCTGCTACCTAGTTCCAAACTCACTTCCACATTTTTGGTATCTTTTCAGCAGCACCCCACTCTGCGGGCACCAATTTGCTGTATTAGTTGGTTTTCATGCTGCTGATAAAGACATACAAAAAAAGAGGTTTATTGGACTTACAGTTCCACGTGGCTGCAGAACCCTCACAATCATGGCAAAAGGTGAAAGGCATGTCTCACGTGGTGGCAGACAAGAGAAGACAGCTTGTTCAGGGAAACTCCCGTTTTTTATATAATCATCAGATCTCATGAGACTTATTCACTATCATGAGAACAGCACGGGAAAGACCTGCCCCAATGATTCAATTACCTCCTACAGGGTTCCTCCCACAATAGTAGGAATTCAAGATGAGATTTGGGTGGAGACACAACCAAACCATATCACATAGTTCTTAAGATAATGGGCTTTGGAATCAGATTGCCTCGATTTTCATCTAGAATATGGGAAATTAAATTGATGCAATGGTAACTTTCAAGCATTCTCCCAGGCATGCTATCCTAGGCTAGATCATAGTACAGAATGGCTCACACACCAAATAAAGATGCTTGAATCACTTTAAAACATACGAGTAGGCTGGGCATGGTGGCTCATGCCTGTAATCCGGCACTTTGGGAGGCCAACGTGGGCAGATCACCTGAGGACAGGAGTTTGAGACCAGCCTGGCAGGTCTCTACTAAAAATACAAAAAAATTAGTTGGACATGGTGGTGTGCATCTGTAATCCCAGCTACTCTGGAGGCTGAGGCAAAAGAATCGCTTCAACCTAGGGGTGGAGGTTGCAGTGAGCTGAGATTGTGCCACTGCACTCCAGCCTGGGTGACAGAGTGGGACTCCGTCTCAAAACAACAACAACAAACAAACAAACAAACAAAAATACAACTAGAAGCAAGAGGGTAAGAGATGGGGAAGGCTGACACATTTAGGAATGGATCCCAGGGTGGTGGAGGACCACACTACCTGAATGTCCTCTCTCTCTCTCTCTCTCCTCCCACCCCCAACATTAGTCTTCCCTGCCGAACGGTTTGATTACAAAGACCAAAGCTGAGACTGAACAAGGGTGCTCTCAGCAGGTGGAAGGTGCCTGAAGCAAACATACTCCTACTTTTTCTGGGAGAGAAGTAGGGACAAGCACTTCTGACACAAAAGTGTAGTTTACCAATTAGCCTGCTGAACAGCTGTGGATTTTGTCTGCATCTCTTGAATTGAGCAAAATGGGTGCCTGATTTTGGAGATAATATTAAAGTATGATAAAAATATGGTGTTATATTTAGAAAAAATGGTATTTATCTTATAGCAAGACATGCAAAAATATGTATGGATAAAGTGAAACAGGTGGGGATGTAAATGAAAGTAGATTGACCATGAGTTGATAATTGTTAAAGCTGGGTGTGGGCCCAGGCTGCAATGAGCTGTGATTTTGCCACTGCACTCCAGTCTGAGCAATAGAGTGAGACCCTGTCTCTAAAAAAAAAAAAAAAAAAAAAGGCTGGGTTGTGGGTAAATGGGGACACATTACATCATTCTCTCAATTTATGTCTATGTATGACTTTTTCAGATAAAAAGCCTTTTTTTCTTTTTTTTTTTTTTTTTTTAACAAACAGGGTCTCACTCTATCCCCAGACTGGAGTACAGTGGTATGATCATAGCTCACTGCAGCCTTGGACTTCTATGCTCAAGCAATCCTCCCACCTCAGCTTCCCAAGTAGCTGGGACTATAGGCATGCATCACCACACCCAGATAATTAAAAAAAAACTTTTATAGAGACGGGGGTCTCACTGTCTCCACACTCTGGTCTGGAACTCCTGATCTCAAGCAATCCTCTCCCCTTGGCCTTCTAAAGCACTGAGATTACAGGTGTGAGCCACCTTTTTTCATAATAAAAAACTTTTAAAAATGAACTTGTGTCTACACACACAAAATCTTGTTTATTTGACAAATAAATGGCATGAAAAATAGGAAGAAGGAACCATTGTAAATTAAAAGAGAATTCAAGAGATATGGGTTTGAAACAATGCAGGAGAGCTTGACTTCCTCATGTTCTTCGTATATTTTAGCTCTTGAGGTTTGTAGAGCAGTTGCCTTATATTTCTGTTTGTTGGTTTTATTTTTTATTTTATTTTATTTTTTGAAATGGAGCCTCACTCTGTCACCCAGGCCGGAGTGCAGTGGCGTGATCTTGGCTCACTGCAACCTCTGCCTCCTGGGTTCAAGCGATTCTCCCACCTCAGCCACCCCAGTAGCATGAGCCACCAAGCCCAGCTAGTTTTTGCATTTTAGTAGAGATGGGGTTTCACCATGTTGGCCAGGTTGATCTTGAACTCCCGACCTCAAGTGATCTGCCTGCCTTGACCTCTGCCTCCCAAAGTGCTGGGGTTACAGGCATGAGCCACCATGCCCAGCCTGTTTCTTGGTTTTAAATCCACATTAGCAGTTCAGAAGGTGGTATACAGAGTGTGCTCTTCAGAAGTGGCCCTCTCAAGAATTTTTCAGTGCTCCATGAGCTGAGCAGGATAAGAGCTCAGCAGGATAAGGGAGAGGGATAGGGAGTAGGAAGTAGGACTGCAGGGTTACAGAGGACACCACCACATTCACCACTACAGATTAATGGTTTCGTGGGCAAATACACTTTGAAAAGTTGTGGTTGAACCAGCTCAAGCTGCATTCTTAATGGCCAGACTTCTTAAAACATTAAGTAACTATAATAATGATGGCAGTGGTAGCCTGTCTGGAGTGGCTGCTGCCATGACACCAAGGGAGGTGCCGACAGGGCTGCACGCCGCTTGGAGCTAGGGAACCAAGAACAGATGGGAGCCCTGCCCCGTTTTTGTTGGAAGGGTGGGAGCCCTGCCCTCCGGGGCACAGCTGCAGCTGCCCAGTCGCAGATGTGGAATCCAGTATCCCTGAACTCTCAGCGACCAGGAAGGCCCCCTGCCCCCCACAGTCTTGGGTGTGCCTGCTCCCACTGCCTGGCCTCTCCCCACTCCTGGTGCCTGCTCCAACTTCAGAGCAAAGGTGAGGCCAAGCCCAGATGCTGTCACAACCTAGCCAGGTGTGCACATGCTCAGGACAGCACTGACACACCTGCTGCCTCAGCCCCCTTCAGACTGTGGGCGCCTAATGAGCATGGGAGGGAGGCTGAGTGGGGGCCGAAGGCAGCTTGATGTGGGCCTGCAGGTGCTCTTTGGCATGAACAGCCTGGGTGCCATGGGCACCATGGATGGCAGAGTGATGGCAGCAGGAGGCAGACAGGCTCCTGGGCAGAAAAAGGCAGGTACCAGTGAAGCCCCACCTTCAAGCCAGGAATGGCCTGAAGCCTGGTGGCCATGCTATCAGTTCCGTTGACTGGAGTGAGAACTTATGGGTTTTTTTGGGGCCTGCCCATGGGCACCCATGGACCAATCAGCATGCATTTCCTCCCCTCTGAAGCCCATAGAAACCCCCAGACTCGGCCAGGCGTGGTGGCTCATGCCTGTAATCCTAGCACTTTGGGAGGCCGAGGGGGGTGGATCACAAGGTCAGGATATCGAGATCATCCTGGCTAAAACGGTGAAACCCCGTCTCTACTAAAAATACAAAAAATTAGCCGGGCGTGGTGGTGGGCGCCTGTAGTCCCAGCTACTCGGGAGGCTTAGGCAGGAGAATAGCGTGGACCTGGGAGGCGGAGCTTGCAGTGAGCCAAGATCACGCCACTGCACTCCAGCCTGGGCGACAGAGCAAGACTCTGTCTCCAAAAAAAGAAAAACCCCGGACTCAGCCAGACACAGACAGACTGCTGGACAACCTGCCTGCAGAGAGGAGATACCCACTGTGGGTGTCCTCTCCACTGAGAGCTGGACACTTGACAGGACAACTTGCCTGTGGAAAGGAGCTACCCACTTTGGTCTTGAATTCCTGGCCTCAAGTGATCCTCCCATCTCAGCCTCCCAAAGTGCTGGGATAACAGGCATGAGCCACCATGCCTGGCCAGGAGCTACCCAATTTGGGTCTCCTGAGAACTGTTCTGCTGCTCAATGAAGCTCCTCTCCACCTTGCTCACCCTGCAGTTGTCTGCATACCTCGTTCTTCCTGGATGCAGGACAAGAACTCAGGACCCACTGAATGGCAGGACTAAAAGAGCTGTAGCAGGCTGGGTGCAGAGACTCACTCCTGTAATCCCAGCACTTTGGAAGGCCTACATGGGTGGATCACTTGAGGTCAGGAGTTCAAGACCAGCCTGGCCAACATGGTGAGACCCTGTTTCCACTAAAAATACAAAAATTAGTCAGGCATGGTGGCGTGCGCCTGTAATCTCAGCTAATTGGGAGGGTGAGGCACGAGAATCGCTTGAACCCAGGAGGCGGAGGTTGCAGTGAGCTGAGATTGCGCCACTGCACTCTATCTGGGTGACAGAGTGAGACTCCATCTCAAAACAAAAAAAACCTGTAATAGAAACAGGGCTGAAACATGAATCCCCTGACACACACACACACACACACACACACACACACACTCGCCACATTGCGCAACGAGAAGAAGAGCTGCAGCCTTCTGGGGAGCCCAGACCTAGGGGCGCCCCGAGCCAGGACTGCGACCCCCTCTTTGGGGTTCTACGGTTCCTGCTGCCTCCAGGCTTCCAGGTGCCACTGCATTCCCCTTGTCCAGGTACGGGTGCCTGCAGCAGAAGCTGCGTGCAGTATATCTGGTTCAGTCACAGCCTTGCACGGGGCCTGTGCTGGCACCTGGAGCTGCTTGCCCTGCTGCAGCAGCCAGCACGCCTGGCTGTGCACAGTGGGTGGACCCCGCGCTTGCTCACCTACACAATCCTCGCAGCTCTGCGCCTGGTTTGCGTTTAGCAGGTATGGGATCCTGGCTGGTAGCGTGAGCTGAGTACAGCCTGCCGGACAGAGTGGGCAGAACGAGCCCAGTGGGTGCAAGCAATACTCAGGCAGAAGGTGCTGCTGACCACAGAGGTTTCTGGCTGGTAAAGCAACACCTTAAGGAACCTGTGACACTAATATACATGGTGATTCTCCCAGAGATGAAATTTAGAATGAAGTCATTCTGAAATGTATCTGACTATAGACTCCTTTTTCAAAGAGCATCTCCAGAAATTTTCATCTGAGCCGGGCGCGGTGGCTCACGCCTGTAATCCCAGCACTTTGGGAGGCCGAGACGCACGGATCACCTGAGGTCGGGAGTTCGAGACCAGCCTGACCAACATGGAGAAACCACATTTCTACTAAAAATGCAAAATTAGCCGGGTGTGGTGGCACATGCCTGTGATCCCAGCTACTCGGGAGGCTGAGGCAGGAGAATCACTTGAACCCAGGAGGTGGAGGTTGCAGTGAGCCGAGATTGCGCCATTGCACTCCAGTCTGGGCAACAAGAGCAAAACTCCATCTCAAAAAAAAAAAAGAAATTTTCATCTGAGCCATTTATTTGCTGTGAGAACTTATATGATTAGCCTCTTTAAGCCTCAGTTTCTTTATTTAGAAAATGGAGATAATAATCCTACCCCATTGCTATTGTGGAGGATTAAGTTAGAAATTGGATAACAAGTTTATGGTCCCCAGCACGAACTCATTAAAGCTATAACTATTATTAGTAATACATTCTATCCAATTTAAATACAAAGCATTGTGTGTGTGTGTGTGTGTGTGTGTGTGTGTATGTATTTAGAGAGAGAGGCTCACTCTGTCACGCAGGCTGGAGTGCGTGATCATAGCTCACTGCAGCCTAAAACTTCTGGGCTCAAATGATCCTCCTGCCTCAGCCTCCCGAAGTGCTGGGATCATAGGTGTTAGCCACTAGGCCCAGCCCTAATTATCATTTTAATTCCTCATATTTTACTTTGTTGATGTACCATAGTTTACTAAGCTATTCTAATGTCAGATACTTAGTTTGTTTTCCACTTTTTAAAATATATCATAGTCAGTGCTGTAAGGAAAAACTATACTGTTGCTTTTTTTTTACTTTACTTTAAATATTGTCTTTAGGATAAATGTTTAGAAGTCAAATTACAATAAAATAGTATGAGCTTCATTCAGTGTTTGCTATATATAGTCTCATTGTTTCTAAAAGAATTGTATCATGCACATTTTTTACGGGATATGATATTATGCAGTAGTTCCTAATCTATTTCAAAATGTTTATCTAAACTCCTTTAAAAATGCTGTTAAGGCTGGGCGCAGTGGCTCACGCCTGTAATTCCAACACTTTGGGAGGCTGAGGCGGGTGGATCACCTGAGGTCTAGAGCTCAAGACCAGCCTGGCCAACATGGTGAAACCCCATCTCTACTAAAAGTACAAAAAATTAGCCCAGCATGGTGACGGCCACCTGTAATCCCACCTACTTGGGAGGCTGAGGCTGGAGAATTGCTTGAACCCAGGGGATGGAGGTTGCAGTGAGCGGAGATCGCGCCATTGCACTCCAGCCTGGGCAACAAGAGTGAAACTCTGTCTCAAAAAAAAAAAAAAAATGCTGTTAATATTCATACATCTAAAAATAGTCCTTGAACAGCAAATAATGTAGCAGTAACAATCAACAGAAATTCTTCTCATTTACCTAAAGAGTTTAAAAATAATTTTAGGCCAGGAGCAGTGAGTCATGCCTGTAATCCCAGCACTTTGAGGGGCCAAGGCGGGTGAATCACCTGAGGTCAGGAGTTCTTGACCAGCCTGACCAACATGGTGAAACTCTGTCTCTACTAAAAATACAAAATTAGCTGGGCATGGTGGTGCACATCTGTAACCCCAGGTACTTGGGAGGCTGAGGCAGGAGAATCACTTGAACCTGGGATGCGGAGGTTGCGGTGAGCCGAGATTGCCCCACTGTACTCAAGCCTGGGCAACAGACCGAGACTCTGTCTCAAATAAATAAATAAATAAAAATAATTTAATAATATAATTAATAGATATATTAATTTAATAATATAATCTAAAATTTTCTTCTCTCTTTGAACCTCTTATTGGAAAAATTATCAATAGTCACTGACATAGCATATGGGCAGCATGAAGAAGGACATAATAATTTACAAAATTTATCCCAATTTTGTAAAATGTATACTTTCTGGAGAAATAAAAACTTTAATTTGAGGGAGAAGTTATACCAATTACCAAATAAAATTTACTTCAGCAACTCACCCTAGCATCCAGAGCTACCTTCATGCTGTTAAAAATGTTAGAATTCAGCCGGATGTGGTGGCTCACGCCTGTAATCCCAGTGCTTTGGGAGGCTGAGGAGGCAGATCACAAGGTTAAGAGTTCGAGACCAGCCTGGCTGACATTGCGAAACCCTGTCTCTACTAAAAATACAAAAATTAGCCGGGCGTGATGGCGGGCGCCTGTAATCCCAGCTACTTGGGAGGCTGAGGTGAGAGAATCGTTTGGACCGGGGAGGCAGAGGTTGCAGCTCACTGAGATCATGCCACTGCACTCCAGCCTGGGCAACAGAGTGAGACTCTGGATCAAAAAAAAAAAAAAAAAAAAAAAAAAAAGATGGAAAATACCAAGTATGGTGAGGAGGTAGAACAAACAGAAAGAACACTCATACAATCAGACATACAAAAGTGCTTTCTTTATGATTTTATTTACATAAAGTACAAAGACCAGCCAAAACTAATCTATTAGTTTGAAGTCAGCATAGAGGTTATCTCTGTGGGAGGGAGGGTAGTGATTAAAAGGGAACACAAGGAAATTTGGGAATAGTGATACTGTACTGTTTCTGGATCTCGGTGCTGATGACGTAGTTGTGTTCAGTTCATAACAATTCATCAAGCTGTATACTTATGATATGTGCACTTTTATGTATGTATAGTATACTCAATAAAAGTCTTTCTTAAAACTACAATGCAATACCACTTCATACCCAGCAGAATGGCTAAAATAAAAGAGACACAAAATACAGTTGCCCCTTGGTATCCATGGAGGATTGGTTCCAGGATCTCCCTTGGATACCAAAATCTGCAGATGCTCATGTCCCTGATGTAAAGTGGTGTAGTATTTGCATATAACCTATGACATCCTCCTGTATACTTTAAATCACTCTAGATTACTTA
This sequence comes from Homo sapiens, assembly GCF_000001405.40. Lineage (NCBI taxonomy): Eukaryota > Metazoa > Chordata > Mammalia > Primates > Hominidae > Homo > Homo sapiens. Next base: position 65,172,792 of record NC_000002.12, on the reverse strand, counting down.
TAATACCTAATGTAATGTAAGTGCTATGTAAATAGTTGTGATACTTTTTAAAAAAATTTTGCTGTTTATTGTTGTTTTTTATTGTGTTTTTTTCCTGCAAATATTTTCAGTCCTTGGTTGGATGAATCCACGTATGTGGAACCCATGGATATGGAGAGCTGACTGTAACAAGTACTGGCAAAGATATACAGCAACAAGTATGCTCACATGAGGTGGTTGTGATGGTTCACATCTGTAATCCCAGCACTTTGGGAGGCTGAGATGGGAGGATTGTTTGAGGCCAGAAGTTCCAGAACAGCCTGGGTAACATAGCAAGAAAAATAAAAAATAAAAATAAGCCAGGTGTGGTGGTGCATGTCTGCAGTCTCAGCTACTCGGGAGGCTGATGCAGGAAGATTGCTTGAGCCCAGGAGAGATCAAGTCTGCATTGAACTATGATCGTGCCACTGCCCTCCAGCCTGGGCAACAGAGCAAGACCTGTCTCTAAATAATAATTTTAAAAAATTTAGAAATAGAATGCTCATATATATGGTTGGACACATCTAGTAACACTATACACACACACACACACACACACATACACACACACGTGTGTGTGTATGTATATGTAATTTTATTTATATTACACAGGTGTACATACCCAATAGAAATGAGTATATATGGTTATCAAAGGACACTTTTTTTTTTTTGAGACGGCGTTTCCCTCTTGTTGCCCAAGCTGGAGCACAATGGCACGATCTTGGCTAATTGCAACCTCCGCCTCCTGGGTTCAAGCAATTCTGCCTCAGCCTCCCAAGTAGCTAGGATTACAGGTGCCCGCCACCACCCCTGGCTAATTTTTGTATTTTTAGTAGAAACAGGGTTTCGCCATATTGGCCAACCTGGTCTCTAACTCCTGACTTCAGGTGATCCACCCGCCTCGGCCTCCCAAAGTGCTGGGATTACAGGCGTGAGCCACCACGCCCAGCCTAAAACATGCATTTAAGAATATTAAGAGCAGTATCCATAATAACCAAAGCTGGAAGCTGCCCAGATGTCCCTCAATGGTAGAATGAATAAATTGTGGTATATACACATGATGGAATGCTAATGTATCAATGAGAATGAATGAACTACAGCTGCATAAAACAACATAGGTGAACTTCACAAACTTAAAGTTGAGAATCCAGATATCAAAACATAGTATTCTGGCCCAGAGTGGTGGCTCACACCTATAATCCCAGCACTTTGGGGGGCTGAGGTGGGCGGATCACCTGAGGTCGGGAGTTTGAGACCAGCCTGACCAACATGGAGAAATCCTGTCTCTACTGAAAAAACAAAATTTGGGCCGGGTGCGGTGGCTCATGCCTGTAATCCCAGCACTTGGGGAGGCCGAGGCAGGCAGATCACCTGAGGTCAGGAGTTTGAGATCAGCCTCACCAACATGGAGAAACCCCGTCTCTAGTAAAAATACAAAAATTAGCCGGGCTGGGTGGTGCATGCCTGTAATCCCAGCTACTCTGGAGGCTGAGGCAGGAGAACCGCTTGAACCTGGGAGGCGGAGGTTGCGGTGAGCCGAGATTGCACTATTGCACTCCAGCCTGAGCAACAAGAGGGAGACTCCATCTCAAAAAAAAATTACCCAGGTGGGGTGGCGCATGCCTGTAATCCCAGCTACTCGGGAGGTTGAGGCAGGAGAATTGCTTGAACCTGCGAGACAGAGGTTGCAGTGAGCTGAGATTGTGCCATTGCACTCCAGCCTGGGCAACAAGAGGGAAACTCTATCTCAATTAAAAAAAAAAGAAGTGCCCTTTGATCTGAGATACAGTCTGATTTAAACATTACCTGAATGCTATCTTGTTTCTTAGGGTCACTTTTTTTTTTCTTCCAGGGCTTTCAGAAAGACTGTAACTATTAAAAAGGAAAGTTGCTTCTTTCAGCACTGTGAACATAATATACACAAATGTTCTAGAACAGCCTAGTGACACAGCATTAAGCTACATCATTAGTGTGCAATAGCTAACCAGTTTGGGAAAATAGACTGAAACGCAGCGTTGCAATAGATATGGCTTTTACCTCATTTAGATAAATCATTAACCCAGCCACTCTGTGGTACAGGGTATTTGACTAACCTTGTAAACCAAGTCAGGGAGCAAATGCAGAGGCTGTGGTTGCCTTCCTCCCTGAGGAAACAAAGGAAGTGAAATGATTTGGTGAAGAATTCCAAACACCAAGTGTCCCCTGTCTAGCTCTTGATTCTCATCACTAAATGTGTCTTTTCTCTGATTTTGAAGGGAAGAAACACCTTCGGAGAGGATTTTTAAGTGACTGTATAGAAATGTCCAACCAAAACATCCCATTCCCCTGTCAATTAAGCCGTGGGAAAATTTCAGGGGAGTTGGAAAGAGCTGTTGGTTTATCTACCACCAAATGTCGACAAATAATCTAATGAAAGTTCACATTTTATCTTTCTGTGTTAAGCACTTCCACACTCTTTTTTTTTTTTTTTTTTGAGACGGAGTCTTGCTCTGTCACCCAGGCTGGAGTGCACTGGTGCGTCTCGGCTCACTGCAACCTCCATCTCCCAGGTTCAAGTGATTCTCCTGCCTCAGCCTCCCAAGCAGCTGGGATTACAGGCACCCACTACCACACCCGGCTAATTTTTGTATTTTTAGTAGAGACAGGGTTTCACCATATTGTCCAGGCTGGTCTTGAACTCCTGAACTCAGGTGGTCCAACTGCCTTGGCCTCCCAGAGTGCTGGGATTACAGGCATGAGCCTCAGCGCCCAGCCTTTATCTTTCTTTTTCTTCTTTCTTTTTTTTTTTTTTTCACTTATCACTAGAGAAAGAGACTTTTTTTTTTCACAATAAACTTTTCCTTCCCATGGCAACAGCAATTTCTGCATCAATGTCTGTCTTTGTCAGCCACTACAGTTAATAAAATGGCTCATTTGTTGGCCGGGCGTGGTGGCTCACTCCTGTAATCCTAGCACTTTGGGATGCCAAGGTGGGCAGATCACCTGAGGTCAGGAGTTCGAGACCCACCTGGCCAACATGGTGAAACACAGTCTCTACTAAGAATACAAAAATTAGCGGGGCATGGTGGCGTGGACCTGTCATCCCAGCTACTTGGGAGGCTGTGACAGAATGGCTTGAATCCAGGAGGTGGAGGTTGCAGTGAGCCAAGATCATGCCACTGCACTCCAGCCTGGGCAAAAGAGCGAGACTCCGTCTCATAAATTAATTAATTAATTAATTAATTAAATTTAAAATAAATAAGAAATAAAATGACATCATTTAGCGATGAGCGCTTACTCAGCCAGAAGGGGGCGTGCAGAAACAGCAAACGAACATTTTGATTAAGTCTGAGATCTGTTTATATCCCACCTGTGGCTGCCAGATTAAGCTAGCTGAAGTTAAAGTGAGACTTCCTCAAAGACTTTGAACAGCTCTCCACCGCTTCATATATTAGGTGCAAACTCTCAGAAATTCAAGCTTAACTCAAAATAATTATTTCAGTTAAGGATGATGGTGTATTTTGGTCTCTGTTGGAAAAGTCTGAAATCAGATACTGTATATTGTAGCAGTGTGAGTAGTGGGAGCTATGGCAACTTTTTTGTTTCTTTCTTTATTTCTTTGAGACAGAGTCTCACTCTGTCGCCCAGGCTGGAGTGCAATGGCACTTTCTCAGCTCACTGCAATCTCCGCCTCCCGGGTTCAAGTGATTTTCCTGCCTCAGCCTCCCGAGTAGCAAGGACTACAGACATGTACCACCACGCCTGGCTAATTTTTGTATTTTTAGTAGAGACGGGGTTTCACCCTGTTGGCCAAGCTGGTCTGGAACTCCTGACCTCAGGTGATTCGCCCTCCTCGGCCTCCCAAAGTGCTGGGATTACAGGCATGAGCCACAGCACCTGGCCAATTTTTTAATTTAGTGACCTCATTTCCTCTATCTCCTCGCCATTGTCAAAAAGTACATTGCTCTTGAAGGTAGGTCTTATGAGAACAAAGCAAAGAGAGCTTTGCTTTGTTTTTGTTTTTGTTTTTTTGAGATGGAATCTTGCTCTGTCGCCCAGGCTGGAGTGCAGTGGCACGATTTCTGCTCACTGCAAGCTCCGCCTCCCGGGTTCACGCCATTCTCCTGCCTCAGCCTCCCGAGTAGCTGGGACTACAGGCGCCCGCCACCACGCCCGGCTAATTTTTTGTATTTTTAGTAGAGACGGGGTTTCACCGTGTTAGCCAGGATGGTCTCGATCTCCTGACCTCGTGATCCGCCCGCCTCGGCCTCCCAAAGTGCTGGGATTACAGGCGTGAGCCACCGCACCCAGCTGCAAAGACAGCTTTGCGTTGGTAAATACCGAACACCCCAAATGGCTCTCTCTGGTATTTAAATTTAAGCAATTATTTGCACCTATTCTTAATATTCATCCCTAGGCCTTGCAAAGTAACTAGAATATTTTCAAGGACTGTCACGTTTTTCAAGTAACGTTGAGGAAAAAAGTCACAGATTAAAGATCCTCATCTACACACACCTATACAGTCCTAGCTGCTTGAAAGGCTGCAGTGGGAGGATTGCTTGAAGCCAGGAGTTCAAGACTCGACTGGGCAACAAAGCAAGAACCTCCCCACCCCATCTCAACAAAAAATAATTTAAAGTTATTTTTATCTGTATTTAAAACAATTTTTAATTTAAATTTAAATTTTTACAATTATATGTGTTTTAAAAATAAAAATACATATAAAAATCATCTGTAGGCTGGGTGCAGTGGCTCACGCCTATAATCCCAGCACTTTGGGAGGCCGAGGCGGGCAGATCATCTGAGGTCAGGGGTTCGAGAGCAGCCTGACCAACATGGAGAAACCCCGTCTCTACTAAAAATACAAAAATTAGCCGGGCATGGTGATGCATGCCTGTAATCCTAGCTACTAGGGAGGCTAAGGCAGGAGAGCTGCTTGAATCCGGGAGGCAGAAGTTGCAGTGAGCCAAGATTACGCCACTGTACTCCATCCAGGGTGACAGAGCAAGACTCCATCTCAAAAAAAAATAAGATAAAATAAAATCTCTCCTAAAATTAATAAGCAAGGAAAAATCCAAAGGAAAAATAGGCCAATAATATGAAAAGGAAATTCATAGAAGAGGAAACAGGAGAAAGTCCTCAGTCTCACTGGGGGTCAGGAAAAATGCAATGAATTCATGGATATAAGTATATTCATGTGAAGGTATAAAAATACGCAATTTATGAGTGGTTGCAGGGTTAAGGAGAGAGTAATGGGATTGGGATTGAAAGTCAAAGGAGGCTTCAACTTTAATTACAATGCTTAATTTATTTTATTAAAATATATCGCTGGGTGCGTTGGCTCATGCCTGTAATCCCAGCACTTTGGGGGAGGCTTAGGCGGGCAGATCACCTGAGGTCAGGAGTTCGAAAGCAGCCTGACCAACATGGAGAAACCCCGTCTCTACTAAAAATACAAAATTAGCTGGGTTTGGTGGCACATGCCTGTAATCCCAGCTACTCGGGAGGCCGGGTCAGGAGAATTGCTTGAACCCAGGAGGCGGAGGTTGCAGTGAGCCGAGATTGTACCTTTGCACTCCAGCGTGAGCAACAAGAGCAAAACTCTGACCCCCCACCACCCCGCCCCGCCAAAATATATATTAGGCTGGGGCTGGGTGTGGTGGCTCATGCCTGTAATCCCAGCACTTTGGGAGGCCGAGGTGGGTGAATCACGTGAAGTCAGAAGTTCACAACCAGCCTTGTCAACATGATGAAACCCTGTCTCTACTAAAAATACAAAAATTAGCCGGGCATGGTGGCACATGCCTGTAATCCCAGCTACTTGGGACACTGAAGCAGGAGAATTGCTTGAACCCTGGAGGTGGAGGTTCTAGTGAGCCGAGATCACACCACTGCACTCCAGCCTGGGTGATAGAGCAAGACTTTGTCTCAAAAAAAAAAAAAAAAAAAAAATTAGGATTTAAGGTGAAAGTGACAAAATGATAAGAGTTACTGAACTTGAGTGGTGTCTTTTGGTGAACACACATTTGCATTTCTTTTTTTTTCTTTTTTTTTTTTTTTTGAGACTTAGTCTCGCTGTCGCCCAGGCTGGAGTGCAGTGGCGCAATCTCGGCTCACTGCAGGCTCCGCCCCCTGGGGTTCGCGCACATTTGCATTTCTGTTAGGTATGTACCTAGGAGTAGAATTGCTACGTGATAGAATATGCACATGTTCTAGTAATGTTCTGTTTCTTAATCTTTTTTTTTTTTTTGAAACAGGGTCTTGCTCTGTCGCCCAGGCTACAGTGCAGTGACATGATCATGGCCCACTGCAGCCTCGACCTCCCAGGCTCAATCAATCCTCCCATCTCAGCCTCCCAAGTAGCTGGGATTACAGGCACACACCACCACACCCAGGTAACTTTTTATTTTTTCTAAAGACAGGGTCTTGCCAGGTTGCCCAGGCAGGCTATTTTTAATTTTAAACTTACTAATCAAGTGAAGTCAAAAGTTATTCAGTGCCAGCCAGGCACAGTGGCTCACGCCTATAATCCCAGCACTTTGGGAGACCGAGGTGGATGGATCACCTGAGGTCAGGAGTTCAAGAATAGCCTGGCCAACATGGTGAAACACCATCTCTACTAAAAATACAAAAATTAGCCAGGTGTGGTGGTGCGCGCCTGTAGTCCCAGCTACTCGGGAGGCTGAGGCAGGAGAATCATTTGAACCCGGGAGGCAGAGGTTGCAGTGAGCTGAGATTGTGCCACTGCACTCCAGCCTGGGCGACAGAGTAAGACTCTGTCTCAAAAAAAAAGAAAAAGGTTATTCAGTGACAAGGATTGTGATGCTGAGGCAGGAGCTGCTAGTGAAGTCGGTAGGAAAGAAGCAAGGGAGGTGGAATGCAATTAATGTTAGCAGATCGCCTGGCCCTGCGAAATGGACGTGTGGGCTTTTACAAGACACAGATATTTTCACATCAACTCTAGATGCTTTGTTACTGGGGAAGAACTTGAGAAAAAGGGAAGTGTCTCCATGCAACGGCAACAAGGGAAACTCACTATGCAGCCAAAACAGGGAGGAAAACAACTTGTAAAAGATCATGTGTTAGTAAGTCAGTTCATTCATTTATTCAACCATTCAATCAGCATAAACTCCAAAGCACTGTGCGGGAGGTCAAGAACATGGCAATAAATGAGGTATGAAAACAGTACCGTAAGCCACCCCCCTGGCCAAGTCTTCTCCTGGTTGTGTGCTGCCATCTCAGAGGAAAGGTGGGGCTGAGAAGGCTGCACCCCCTCCAAGCCTGCCTCCCACCCCTCCTCAGCCCCACTAACAGTAATACCACTTTCCCTGTCCTCTTCAATTCTCTACCTTCTACCCATGGGGCTTGGCTTCTCCCATCCTCCCATCCACCTTCCCCCAACTACCAGGATAGTCCTCAAACCATAATAATCCCAAGCAATCTACTTCTGAGGCTGACTTTTGCAAATAATTCTATGGGAGTGAGGCAGGGGGTGATTTCTAGGACCCAAGGAAGCAAGAATGGGGCTTATGTCTGGAATGAACAAATTGAATGAATAGTTACACTTTGGTTGTGTCTCTTAAGCAAAATAACCTATAATGAGCACTTTAATAGGCCAGAAATTAAAGGAAGTGTACAAGGCAGAGCAGAAAGGAGGAGCAAGGACCGTTCAATTCCCATCCTCCGAAGTGTTTAAAATCCTGCTGTCTAAGGTCCAGATTACTTGGGTTCAACCCGGCTTGTCCATTTGTCACTTGAGTGACCTAGGACAGATCCTTTCACCTCTCTGTACCTGTTTCCTTATTCACAAGGTTGGAGGAATAGTTATTTCACAAGGTTACAAAGATAAAGCCTTGGGAGCAGCACCTCGCATGTAACAAACACTACATGTTAGCTGAACGCATGATTTTGGGCCCCTGTGCCATTGTGACAGTCAGGACAGGCCTGCCCACTTCCCCCAGCTCTCTTCTGCAACTCTATTCCTGGTGGCCCGTGGGTAGCTCTTGGACAAAACTCAACATACCCAGTCTCCCAAGACTAGCAGCAATTCCTAGTGACAACAGTTTAAATTCATGTTAAGCTGAAAAAGGAAGTCTGCGTCAAAGGAACAAATCTGCAGAGGTTTCCCTGGTCCAATTGTGTAGCTCACCTCTGAGGTTATTACACAAAGTACTTTTATTCTTCTTTTCTAAACTTCCTGCTTCTAGATTAGGCCTAGGGAACCTACTGCTGCATTATAAAGCCCATTTCAGTGCCTTTCTGCATCCCTTGGCAACCCTCCTAGAATGTGGAAGCAGCTCATTTAAAAATAGAACTCTTTTTTTTCTTTGGTCCTTCTACACTTAGTAGACAGTGTACTAAGTGGAAAAATAGTCATCATAGTCTTTCCCCCCATTTTCTTCCCTTCTCTCTGCCCCTCCTCTTTTCTTCTCCACTTTTTTTTTTTATTTTTTTTCCCCTTTTTTCCTCTGTTTCTTTAAATCCCTCCCTATGGGTCAGAATGGAGCTGATTCTGTTCTGGACTTCATTTTGTTCTGAACTTCATTTTGTTCTGAACTATATAGACACAAGTCTAGGAAATGGTAGTTTCTTTTCTGAACTTGGTGCATGGCTGAAAGATGAGACAGAAGAGGTTCCTGGACAAAGAACAGGAGATGAAGAGAAAAGGAGCTGGCTCTGGGAAGGGGCTTAGAGACATTTCCCAAGCTGATTAGTTCGTTACTAGCAATTACTATTTAGCCTCCCACGAGTGGCCAGACTTAGATTCTCTTAGAATGAAATTCATAATGCTAGAGCCAAGCATTTCCTTGGTCTTCAATCCAGTGTCTTTTATCTCTGGATTTCTTTTCTTTCTTTCTTTTTTTTTCTTGATACAGAATCTCTATCTGTCACCCAGGCTGGAGTACAGTGGTGAGATCTTGACTCACTGCAACCTCCGCCTCCAGAGTTCAAGTGATTCTCCTGCCTCAGCCTCCCGAGTAGCTGGGACTACAGGCGTACACCACCACGCCCGGCTATTTTTTGTATTTTTAGTAACGACAAGGTTTTGCCACGTTGGCCAGGCTGGTCTCCAACTCCTGACCTCAGACGATCTGCCCACCTTAGCCTCCCAAAGTGCTGGGACTATAGGTGTGAGCCACCGCGCTTGGCCTTATCTCTGGATTTCTAGCTACAGCCAACATCAACTTCTTTTTTATTATTTATTATTAAATACATGTCTGATGTTAGTTCCACATATGATTTATTTTGTTGGTTGTTATTTTCTGAGTCGTAAAGGGAGGGGTTCCAGTGTTCAGGAAGCCCAAAATGAATGAAATTTGCTTGACTGCTTAGCAACCTCCTACCTAAAAATCAATCTTTTGAGCCGGGCGTGGTGGCTCTTGCCTGTAGTAGTCCCAGCTACTCAGGAAGCTGAGGTGGGAGGATCCTTTGAGCCTAGGAGTTCAAGGCTGTGATAAGTCATGACCATGCCAGTGCACTCCAGACGAGGTGACAAAGCAAGACCCCCTGTCAATAATCAATCAATCCATCTGTTTGTAGTTATGCCCAAGGACCAGGTACAGGAAAGGAGTTTGCCCTGAAGCTGCAGATACCCTATTTTATGTCAGCTGTGGACAGGCTATGAATAATATTTACGACGAAAGAAGGTAGTTTCAGTTTTTAAAAAAAATTTAAATATGTCTTGCTTCTTTGAACAGTCATACTTTTAGTTTTTAACCAGTTTATTTTGTGTAGGTTGATGTGAGGAGCACTTTTTAAAAAGTGTTAACTCTGTGGTTAAAAAAAAATCAAAATTGTCATTCAGCTTCTTAATTTCCTAAATTAGCCTCTGACTTTGATTGATTGGTTTGCTTTGAGTTTGTGCTGAAAACTGAACTGAATCTTTGCCAATTCAGACAGCAATACTGTGACTTGATATCTTCTTCTTCTTTTTTTTTTTTTTTTTTTTTTTTTTTTTTTGAGACAGGGTCTCACTCCTCTGTCACCCAGGCTGGAGTGCGGTGGGGTGATCACAGCTCACTGTAGCCTTTACCTCCCAGGCTCAGGTGATCCTCCCACCAGAGCCTCCCAAGTAGCTGGGACTACAGGTGCACAACAAAGCCCAGTAAATTTTTTTGTAAAGATGGGGTTTCACCACATTACCCAGGCTGGTCTTGAACTCCTGGACTCAAGTGATCTGCCTACCTTGCCCTCTCAAAGTGCTGGGATTGCAGGCGTGAGCCACCATGCCCAGCTGACCTCTTCATTCTTTATGGAGTCTATGCCCCTGGGTGTATTAGGGTGCTCATTTCAAACAATCAAAAGGAATTATTTGATTCCTTTTGTAATTACCCCAGTCTTAAGAAGACTAAGAAAAAAATAGTTTGTTCCACAAGTGTGAAGAAGAAATTCTGAAATTAGAAGGACAATTTGCATGCATGCCTTTTGTATCTGCCTCTTTACATTTTGGTAAATTTCAGCAATCAGCTGGGTGCAGTGGCTCATGCCTGTAATCCCAGCACTTCGGGAGGCTGAGGCGGGTAGATCACCTGAGGTTAGGAGTTCAAAGGCAGCCCAGCTACCATGGTGAAACCCTGTTTCTACTAAAAATACAAAAATTAGCCAGGCGTGTTGATGTGCACCGGTAATCCCAGCTACTGGGGAGGCCGAGGCAGGAGAATCGCTTGAACCTGGGAAGCAAGGGTTGCAGTGAGCGGAGATCGTGCCATTGCACTCCACCCTGGGCAATAAGAGTGAAACTCTGTCTCAAAAACAAAAACAAACAAACAAACAAAAATCAGCAATCAGAAGAAAGTGTCCGCCCGCCCTACATTACATCTACTTTCTCAGGTTCCTCCTCCCTTAATGGCTGCTCCTTCTCCCAGACCTCTTACCCTTGGGGTGCCCCAGGGCTCCTTCCTTGACCCTGGTCATTGTCTGCATTCATTTGCTTCGTTCTCATTGATTTGGGGGATTTTACATTCCTTTCAGGAATGCCAGAGTATTCAAGAGTGAAGCAACAAGATGTTTCCTACTCTGAAATGGCTCAGTTAAACAAACAAATAAAAGCGTGTATAAATAGACAAATATGGCTGGGCGTGGTGGCTCATGCCTGTAATACCAGCACTTTTGGAGGCCAAAGCGAGAGGATCGCACGAGCCCAGGAGTTTGAAACTAGCCTGGGCAACAAAGTGAGAACCTGTCTCTATTTTTATTTTAAAAAGATAGAGAAATATAGAGCTAATATGGCAAAATGTTAATAATTGTTGAATGAAGGTAGAAGGTATATGTACTAAATGTATGCACATTTGTGTATGCTTAAAAATGTTCATGTTAAAAGGATGGGAAAAAATGAATAACTATTATCTATCTATATACTTACAACTCCCAAATTATGTCTCCTGCTCAGCCTCTCTCCTGAACTCCAGATTCACATATCCAAAGCCCACTTATGACCCCATTTGGATGTCAAAGCAGTGTATCCAAAACTGAACTCCTGATCTACCCCCAAGCCTGCTGCATCAGCAGCTTCCCCACCACAGCTGATGACAACTCCATTTTTTGTAGTTGTTTAGGCTTCAAACCTTGGAGTCACTTTGACTCTTCTCTTTCTCTCCCAGCCCGCATCCCATCCCTCTGTAAATTCTGTTGGTTCTGTTTGCAGAACTCATCCAGAATGTGATCCTTTTTTACCCCTGCCACTCTACACGCTGGTTTGAACCACTCCCAGCTCTTGCCTGGATCATTACAGTAGGCTCCCACCTGTACCACCTGGTCTCCTTGTTTCTGTCTTGTCCCCTTCAGTCTATTCTCAACAGGGAGGCACAGAGCCCCCCGCCCCCCCGCCCCCCCGCTTTTATTTTTTTTTATTTTTTTATTTTTTTTTTGAGACGGAGTCTCGCTCTGTCGCCCAGGCTGGAGTGCAGTGGCACAATTTCGGCTTACTGCAACCTCCACCTCCCGGGTTCAACGCCATTCTCCTGCCTCAGCCTCCCGAGTAGCTGGGACTACAGGTGCCTGCCACCATGCCCAGCTAATTTTGTTGTTGTTGTTTTTTTTTTTTTTGTATTTTCAGTAGAGACGGGGTTTCACCGTGTTAGCCAGGATGGTCTTGATCTCCTGACTTTGTGATCTGCCCGCCTTGGCCTCCCAAAGTGTTGGGATTACAGGCGTGAGCCACAGCACCTGCCTCCCCCGCTCTTTTTTTTTTTTTTTAAGACACTGTCTTGCTCTGTCACCCAGGCTGGAGTGCAATGGCATGATCTCAGCTCACTGCAACCTCCGCCTCCTGGGTTCAAGCAATTCTCCTTTCTCTTGCCTTAGCTGCCCAAGTAGCTGGGATTACAGGCGCTGCCACCACACCCAGCTAATTTTTGTATTTTCAGTACAGATGGGGTTTCACCATGTTGGCCTGGCTGGTCTCGATCTCCTGACCTCAGGTGATCCACCCACCTCGGTCTCCCAAAGTGCTGGGATTACAGGCGTGAGCCACTGCTCCTGGCCCACAGAGACCCTTTAAAATGAAAGCCAAATTGAGTTCCTCTCTGCTCAAAAGTGCTTTGTTCAGAGGAAGCAAGGAAACAGTGGAAACTGAAATCCTTCAACAGCCCTAGGCCCTACCCAATCTCCTTGACCTTCCCACCTGGCCCGCTATGCAGTCACTTTGGCCTCCTTGCTGTTTCTGGAATAAGCCACTATACTGCTTTCTTGGGACTCTGTGCAGCTGTTACCACTTCCTGGATTGTTCTTCCCCTAAACATTTGCACCGTTTGCTTAAAATTACTTCTCAACAAAGCCTACCCTTAAGATTGCAACTTGCTTCTCCACACATGCCAGATCCACCTAACCTTGATCTTATTTCACTATAGCACTCACCACCTTCTAACACATTACCTGATTTCCTTATGCATTATGTTTCTCGTCTGTCACCTTCACTTGAATATCAGCTTGGTGAGGATAGGGATGTTTTACTTGCTGTTACATATCATGTGCCTAGAACAGTACTCAGCTCAGTGTGGGGCCTGGCACGCAATATTTGTGGAATGAATAGGTACACTTTGGTTGTATCTCTTAAGCAGAAAGACCTATAATGATAACGTTTATAAGTCAAAAATGAAACTTGGCTGGGCACAGTGGCTCACGCCTATAATCCCAGGATTTCGGGAGGCTGAGGTGGGAGGATGGCTTGAGGCGGGGAGTTCCAGACCAGCCTGAACAACATAGTGAAACTCCATTTCTACAGAAAAATCAAAACATTAGCCAGGCGTGGTGGTGCACGCCTGTAGTCCCAGCTAACTTGGGAGGCTGAGGTGGGTGAATTGCTTGGGCCTGGGAGGTCAAGGCTGTAGTGAGCTGTGATCGTGCCACTGCACTCCAGCCTGGCCAACAGAGTGAGACCCTGTCTCAAAAAACAAAATAAAACAAAAGCAAAAACAAACAAACAAAAAAATTAAACTTGGCTGGGCATCGTGGTTCACACCTGTAATCCCAGAACTTTGAGAGGCTGAGGCATGAGGACTTCTTGAGCTCAGGAGTCAAGACAAACCTGGGCCACATAGCAAGACCCTATCTCTAAAAAAAAAAAAAAAAAAAAAAATCTTTTTGAAAGAAAAGAAATTAAACTGAACCCAAAACTTTTTTTTTTTGAAACAGGGTCTTGCTGTGTCACCCAGGCTGGAGTACAGTGGCACAATTTTGGCTTACTGCAACCTCCACCTCCTGGGTTCAAGCGATCCTCCCACCTCAGCCTCCTGAGTATCTGGGACTACAGGTGTGTGCCATCAGGCCCAGCTAATTTTTTGTATTTTTAGTAGAGACAGGGTTTCACCATGTTGGCCATGCTAGTCTCGAACTCCTGACCTCAGGTGATCCGCCCGCCTCAGCCTCCCCAAGTGCTGGGATTATAGGCGTGAGCCACCACACCTGGCCTCAAAATTATTTTTTTCAACAGAAAAGATTGTTTGCACTCAGATTAGGACCGACTCCACAGGAGTCATTTCACTCTCAGAAGTGCAAAACACTGCCCAAAGGTATACTTGGCCCCACACCAAAACAGCACCCGGAGCCAAGCCTCAATTAAGACAGTGCTTGCTGTTCCAACAGTGAAACACCATCACAGGCATCACACTAGCCAGGAGAGCTAACGACTGCTGGATAAAACTTTTAAAATCCAGAATCCTGAGCTATACTTTCCTTTCACTTCAGTTTGTTCTATATTTTTTTTTTACTACAGTTGTACCAAGCTGTCTGTGAATGGCCTCTTTTGTGAATGATTTCATTGTTCTTTTTATTCTATTTGTTGCAATTCTTGGAACTCCTATCAATTCAGCTGTTTCATTGAAACTTTGTACTTCCTTAAAGGAAAATGACACAACTCGATATATTAGAATTAATGTGGGTTAAAGTCAGAATAAGAATAATCTCCCTTTGACCTGGCAAAATTTAAACAAGTGTCCTATGGGATATGAAGATGTACCTTTGACATCCACTGTTTTTTTTTTTTTTTTTTTTTTTGAGACAGAGTCTCACTCTGTCACCAGGCTGGAGTGCAGTGGCGGGATCTCAGCTCACTGCAACCTCTGCTTCTTGGGTTCAAGCGATTCTCGTGCCTCAGCCTCCCAAGTAGCTATGATTACAGGCACACGCAAGCACGCCAGGCTAATGTTTGTATTTTTAGTAGAGACAGGGTTTCACTATGTTGGCCAGGCTGGTCTTGAACTCTTGACCTCAAATGATCTGCCTTCCTCAACCGCCCAAAGTGCTGGGATTACAGGAGTGAGTCACCACTCCCGACCATGACACCCACTGTCATTAACACTCACCCACATCCTCTACATTCCATGGCAAGCCAGGTTCTTCCTAAATGTTGTTAGTCCCTTGGACTAGTATGAAAAATTGCTTTTTGACAATATAATTAGATTTCTCCCAACCTTTCTTGGCTGACTTCTTAAAAAGCAGAAGCAGAGTTATCACTATGCTCCCAGGAAGAGCTATTTATGAAATGTAACATAATTCTTACGGCCAGGCATGGTGGCTCACGCCTGTAATCCCAGCACTCTGGGAGGCTGAGGCGGGCGGATCACGAGGTCAGGAGATCGAGACCATCCTGGCTAACAAGGTGAAACCCCGTCTCTACTAAAAAATACAAAAAAATTAGCCGGGCGTGGTGGCGGGCGCCTGTAGTCCCAGCTACTTGGGAGGCTGAGGCAGGAGAATGGCGTGAACCTGGGAGGCGGAGCTTGCAGTGAGCCGAGATCGCGGCACTCCAGCCTGGGCAACAGAGCGAGACTCCGTCTCAAAAAAAAGAAAAGAAAAAAACCCACTCACCCACATCCTCTACATTCCATGGCAAGCCAGGTTCTTCCTAAATGTTGTTAGTCCCATGGACTAGTATGAAAAATTGCTTTTTGACAATATAATAGATTTCTCCCAACCTTTCTTGGCTGACTTCTTGAAAAGCAGAAGCAGAGTTATCATTATGCTCCCAGGAAGAGCTATTTATGAAATGTAACATAATTCTTTTCTATAGTAATTCTGCTAGTAAAAATAGCCTATTCTAGAAGGTAGCTCCTCTTTTTTTCCTAGCTTGACCATATTTATAGACATGTTAAATGCCTTTCTTAGTGTCTCAATAATAAATCTCATAATTGTATTTATTTATTTATTTTTGAGACAGGGTCTTGCTCTGTCACCCAGGCTGGAGTGCAGTGCTGCGGTCACGGCTCACTGCAGTCTTTACTTCGTGGGTTCAAGCGATCCTCCCACTTCAGCCTCCCTAGTAGCTGGGCCCACAGGCACCTGCCACCACACCTGGCTAATTTTTGTACTTTTTGTAGAGACAGAGTTTTGCCATGTTGCCCAGGCTGATCTCGAAATCCTGGCCTCAAGCAATCCACCCACTTCCGAAAGTGCCGGGATTACAACAGGCATGAGCCACCATGCCTGGCCAGTCTCGTAGTTTTAAATGGATGAAAAGCCAATGGTTCACAAGTTCATCTGATCCTTTTTACTCCCTCTCCTCCCTTTTGTTGGTGTATGAAAATTGCTAAATTCAGAGAGAAAAGACAACTAATATAAGGCACTAAATGGAAATGAAAGTAAGTTGAACAAAGGATTTAATAAAAAAGACTGATTCCTGAAAGAGAAAATGATAGAGCTAACATGGCAAAAGATGAACAATTGGCGAATTGGGCAAAAGGTATCAGAGAGCTTTTGTAGAATTCTTGTAGCTTTTCTGCAAGTTTGAATTACTTAAAAATAAAGAGATAAAAACATGTCTGATCTTTTTGGGCTAAGTATTAGTAAATAAGTCATCAATATCTAGTAGCTGCTAGGGATACAATGATGAATCATGCATAGATCTCGTCCACAATCTAGAAGGAGAGAGAGACATGTAAATAAATGTCTCAAGATTATGAAGTGGGGCTCCTTCGTTTCAGCAACACTGTGGCACCAGTGAACAGGTAATCAGGTTAACAAAGTCAGCTGAAGCTAACAGTCCTCTCTGCCTAGGAGGAATTTTCAAAGGGAATGGGAAAAAACCTGTTTTACAATTCTTAGACTCCTCAGTTCTACCAAGGTTATAGAAAGGAGAGAGAGCCCATTCCCTGAGGGAGGAGAGCTGGAATGCCACCTTCTTAATCCCACACTTGCAGAACAATGCCAAGAGGATACCTTGGAGAACTTAAAATGCATTTCTTCAGAGGGGACAAACAGAAAACCAAAAACAAAATGGCAGATGTAAACCCTAACTTATTATTGAAAATAAATAGTCTAAAGACAGCAGTTAAAACACAGAATTTGGACCAGGAGTGGTGGCTCATGCCTGTAATCCCAGCACTTTGGGAGGCCAAGACGGGCAGATCACTTGAGGTCAGGAGTTCGAGACCAGCCTGGCCAACATAGTGAAACACTGTCTCTACTAAAAATACAAAATTTAGCTAGGCGTGGTGGCAGGCGCCTGTAATCCCAGCTACTCGGAAGGCTGAGGCAGGAGAATCACTTGAACCAGAGAGGCGGAGGTTGCAGTGAGCCAAGATTATGCCATTGCACTCCAACCTGGGGGACAAGAGCAAGACTTCGTCTCAAAAAAAAACCAACCAACCAACAAAACAAACGAACAAAAAACACAGAATTTGGTCTGGGTGTGGTAGCTCAGACCTGTAATCCCAGTGTTTTGGGAGGCTGAGGCAGGAATATCACTTGAGGCCAGGAGTTTGAGATTACAGTGAGCTGTGATTGCACACTGCACTCCAGCCTGGGTGACAGAGCAAGACCCTGTCTCTCAAATAGTAGACAGGGAAAGTGTAGACCCTGTCTATTATTTTCAACTTGTACCAGAAGAGAAACTCCACTGAATAAAAATGCTGATATTGATAGTATTAAACAATTATGGGGTCTGGGTGCGGTGGCTCACTCCTGTAATTCCAGCACTTTGGGAGGCTGAGGCAGGTGGATCACCTGAGGTTAAGAGTTCGAGACCAGCCTGGCCAACGTGGAGAAACCCCCTCTCTACTAAAAATACAAAAAATTAGCAGGGCGTGGTGGCAGGCAACTGTAATCCCAGCTACTTGGGAGGCTGAAGCAGGAGAATCGCTTGAACTCGGGAGGTGGAGGTTGCAGTGAGTGGAGATCACACCATTGCACTCCAGCCTGGGCAACAAGAATGAAACTCTGTCTCAAAGAAAAACAAAAAAGGAGAATTATGGGCTGGGTGCAGTGGCTCACGCCTGTAATCCCAGCACTTTGAGAGGCCGAGGTGGGCAGATCACCTGAGGTCAAGAGTTCGAGACCTGCCTGGCCAATATGGTGAAATCCCGTCTCTACTAAAAATACAAAAATTAGCCAGTCATGGTGGCGGGCGCCTGTAATCCCAGCTACTCGGGAGGCTGAGGCAAGAGAATCGCTTGAACTGGGGAGGTGGAGGTTGCAGTGAGTCGAGATTATGCCACTGCACTCTAGCCTGGGCAACAGAGCAAGACTCCAGGAAGTGGAGGTTGCAGTTAGCCGAGATTGTGCCACTGCACTCCTGCCTGGGTGACAGAGTGAGATTATCTCTCCAAAACAAAAACAAATAAATAATAAAAGTAAGAATTAAAAAAGAGGCAAAATAAGAGCCTAAAAATGTACTACCAAGGTAAAAGGTAATATCAAAAAGCTACCTGGTGTCTGGCAGGAATGTTGCAAGAGTGTTATTGTATAACAGGGCTTCACAAACTTTCATGTTCCTAGAAATCACTCAGGGATTGTGTTAGGATGCAGATTCTGATTCAATAGGTCTTGGGTAGGCCTGAGAATCTGCATTTCTAATAAGCTCCCAAGTGATGCTGATGCTGCTGGTCCAGGAACCTCAGTTTAATGAGTGAAGTAGAGGACATGTGGACCATGGTATCTGCCTTACTTGATAACCCCTCATAGCTGAAACTGATCATACTCCTCCACGGTCCTCCATTCAGGACTTTTGTGAGGAGTCGAGAGGGGAGCATATTCATTGGCCCCACAGTGGGCTTCTGACTCAAGGAGAACTCTTCCATAGGCTAGGCTTCAAAATGCAAGATGCTGGGGCCTAAGGCAGCTATGACAATTAGCTGGGCCACTTGGACAAGGAATTTGCACGAAAGCACAGGCCAGGCCCCAGAGGTAGTGACTATAACTCCCAAGGGGCCAGATAGGCTTGCTAGTTCCATTCATTCTGTGTGTCCAAAACACTTCCTCCCCTTTTCTTCACATAGTCTGGATACATTCACTCACTCATTTCTTCCTTCAACAAGTATGTATTGAGCATCTACTCTACTGGAGGCACAGTTCTGGGCTCCAGAGGTACAACGGAGAGTAAAATAAGGCCCCTCATCTCAGGAAGTTTGCATTCAGACTTTTCAGACAAATTGGTGCATGAATTATATACACTTCCAGGTGATAAAGAAAGTGAGAGGTGAATGAAAATACTCTTTAATTTTTTCACAATTATACTTTAGAGCAGGGGTCCCCAATCCTCAGGTTGTGGACTGGTACTGGTCTGTGACCTATTAGGAACTGGCCCACACAGCAGGCGATGAGTGGCGGGTGAGCAAGCAAAGCTTCATCTGTATTTACAGTCTGTCCCCATGACTCACATTACCACCTGAGCTCTGCCTCCTGTCAGATCAGTGGTGATATCAGATTCTCATAGGAGCATGAAACCTATTGTGAACTGTGCATGCAAGGGATCTAGACTGCACGTTCCTTATGAGAATCTAATGCCTGATGATCTGTCACTGTCTCCCATCATCCCCATATGGGACTGTCTAGTTGCAGGAAAACAAGCTCAAGGCTCCCACTAATTCTACATTATGGTGACTTGTATGACTATTTCATTATGCATTACAATGTAATATTAATAATAGCAGAAATAAAGTGCACAATACATGTAATGTACTCGAATCATCCCAAATCAATCCACCCCGCCATTCTGGTCCATGAAAAAATTGCTTTCCACGAAACTGGTGACTGGTGCCAAAATGTTGGGGCCTGCTGCTTTAGAGGGCATTTATTTTTAAACAACATTATCTGAAAATGGCGTGGGATAAGTTGTTGGTTCCCACTTTAATGCTGAGCTTTTTTTTTTTTTTTTTGAGACAGGGTCTCGTTCTGTCACCCAGGCTGGAGTGCAGTGGTGCCATCTCGGTTCACTGCAAGCTCCACCTCCTGGGTTCTCGCCATTCTCCTGCCTCAGCCTCCCGAGTAGCTGGGACTACAGGCGCCCGCCACCACACCTGGCTAATTTTTTTTTGTATTTTTTTGTAGAGACGGAGTTTCACTGTGCTAGCCAGGATGGTCTCGATCTCCTGACCTCGTGATCCACCCGCCTCGGTCTCCCAAAGTGCTGGGATTACAGGCATGAGCCACCACGCCCGGCCTGAACATTTTTTAAGTACTATTGTAGGATACAAAAGAAAGTCACATACTTATATTGAATGTATGAACTTAAAAGAAAGACTACAAGTCAGCCGGGACAAGTCTAAAATGGAGCAACTAAAAGCATTTGGAATTCTGACATTCCAAACCTGTCCTTGTTTTCCTTTTTTTTTTTTTTTTTTTTTTGAGATGGAGTCTTGCTCTGTCACCCAGGCTGGAGTGCAATGGTGCAATCTCGGCTCACTGCAACCTCAGCCTCCCGGATTCAAATGATTCTCCTGCCTCAGCCTCCTGTGTAGCTGGGATTACAGGCACATGCCACTATGCCTGGCTAATTTTTGTATTTTCAGTAGAGATGGGGTTTTACCATGTTGGCCAGGCTGGTCTTGAACTCCTGACCTCAAGTCATTTGCCCGCCTCGGCCTCCTAAAGTGCTGGTGTTACAGGTATGAGTCACGGCGCCTGGCCTGTCCTTGTTTTCTACATTAGGAAGCAGTAAAGCACAGCAGTTAAGAACATGGGTCTTAGGGTCAAATATACTTTGGTTCTAATCTCAGCCCTGCTTCTTGGGAGCCATGTGGCCTAGGGAAAGTTACTTAACCTTTCTGAGGCTCACTTTCCACATCTGTAAAGTGGAAATAATAATAATAATAATACCACCTTCACAGGATATTATTATAGGGGTTAAATAAAGCTATCTGTGTGTAATTCAATATCTACTGGCTTTTATGAATTGCTGTACTCATAAAGAGACTCTCAGGCTGGGTGCAGTGGTTCATGTCTGTAATCCAAATACTTTGGGAGGCTGAGGCAGGAGGATCAGTTGAGGCCAGGAGTTTGAGACCAGCCTGGTCAACATATCGAGATCCTGTCTACAAAATTTTTTAAAATAAAAGGTTAAAAACCTAAAAAATAAGAGATTCTCTCCTCCTTCCCTTCACAGTGACCCTGCATTACTATTTGGAATAGCCAAAGGGGTGCTTCCTAGTGCCCATCATGACCTGCCCCCTGCCCCCGCCACCCACCTGCGTCTTCTCCAGATTTGGATCCTCTTCATCCACAGTTGCTGTCTGTGGCCTCATGGTGCTACTACCCCCAAGCTGTGGTCTCTGGGTACCCTTAATGCTTCCGGGTCTCAGAGTCCAAGAACAGTGCTGGGACAAACAGAAGTGGGAGAAAGGGGCCTCTTCCTCTTCCTTCTCTGTTATTGACAGGTCTCTCAAAGTCCCTCTTGAATAATTCCATCAACGTCTGCCTCTAACCCTCACAAGTGAGCTCAAAACCAGTCCAAGGAAGGAGGTAGGATCCTTTTGCTCTCTTCCCATTCTCCAGTTCCTTAACTTCAGCTTCTCCCCTTCTCTGAATGAGCTCAGTGAGTTCCTGTGGGAATGACTTTCTCTCCACATTCTCAGTTTCAAAATAAAAACTCCCTTACATATGAATCCATATATGTTAACTGATACTGACTTAGGTGTAGGGGTTCATGGTAGAAGAAGGGGGACTATGCCATCTATAGCCACCAGGCAACAAATGCCCTGACTTATATGCATTTAAATATTGACTGCACTTCATCCCACATGAGTTGCGTGACAACTCTTTTGCAACTTTGAGTAGTATAGAGAATAATTTTGTGCACAATGCACTCTACTAGAGACACACTCAATTTTTTCTGTTACCAACAGAACAAATCAATTTCACAGACATAGTGTCAAACGTTTATTAATAAGATTTTGTGCAAAGGAAAGAAGTGGGGTGCTGCTTGTACCTTGCTTTCCCAGTCGATGAGAAAAACAATATTAATTCTCAACTCCTAATGATCTGAATGATTTTTGATGTTAATGAACTAAATTCAAGGTTGGGACTCAGAAAAAAAGAATAAAGAGGGCCAATTTCTTCTGAATGTCAGAATGAGCTCAGTGAGTTCCCATGGGAATGACTTACCTAAGCAATTGGATTTCAGGGATGACCGAAATCACTGGATTGACTATAGTGCAGTCCAGCAGGACATTTGGAAACATATTAGATAAAATTCCAAGGAACAGTGAGTATGTCCATGGATATCACACAGAAAAGAGCTTTTGGTGAATGAAATATTAAGGTTGCATGTTTTTATGTACAGTATATATTGCTGAATGTTTGATTTGATTTTTTATTGTGGTAAGATACATATAACGTAAATTTATCATTTTAACTAGTAAGTATACAGTTCTGCGGCATTAAGTACTTTCCCATTTTTGTACAAACCATCACTACTATCCATTGCTAGAACTTTTCCATCATCCCAAAGAGAAACTCTATACCCATTAAAAGTTAACTCCCCAGACTGGGTGCAGTGGCCCATGCCTGTAATCCCAGCACTTTGGGAGGCAGAGATGGGAGGATCACTTGAGGCCAGGAGTTTGAGACAAGCCTGGCCAACATGGTGAAACCCAGTCTCTACTAAAAATACAAAAATTAGCTAGGCGTGGTGGTGGGTGCCTGTTATCCCAGCTACTCAGGACACTGAGGCAGGAAAATTGCCTGAACCTGGGAGGTGGAGGTTGCAGTGAGCCGAGATTGAGCCACTGCACCCCAGCCTGTACCACAGAGCGAGACTCCGTATCAAACAACAACAACAACAACAACAAATAAAACTCCTCATTCCCTCCTCCCTCTAGGCCCTGGTAATCACCATTCTACTTTAGTTTCTATGAATTTGACTAATCTGGTACCTCATATAAGTGGAATCATACAATATTTGTTCTATTGTGACTGACTTACTTCACTTAACATAATATCTGCAGGGTTCATCCATGTTGCGGCATCTATCAAAATTTCATTCCTTCTTAAGGTTGAATAATATTCCACTGTATTTATATGTACCACATTTTCTTTATCCATTCATTTACTGATGGACATTTAGGTTGAGCTCACCTTCTGGATATTGTGAATAGTGCTGAAAGGTACATTTTTGACTAATGGAGGACTTTTCAGTTATCTCAAAGTACTTTGAAAATAACTTTTTTTTTTTTTAAATGGAGTCTCACTCTGTCACCCAGGCTGGAGTGCAATGGGGTGACCTCTGCTCACTGCAAACTCCACCTCCCAGGTTCAAGCGATTCTCCCCGCTCAGCCTCCCGAGTTGCTGGGATTACAAGCACCCATCATCATGCCCGGCTAATTTTATTTTTGTATTTTTGTAGAAAGGGGATTTCACCATGTTGGCCAGGCTGGTCTTGAACTCCTGACCTCAGGTGATCCACCTGCCTCGGCCTTCCAAAGTGCTGGGATTACAGGCGTGAACCACCACACCCAACCTTGAAAATAACTTTCTTATGAGGAAATTAAAAAGAATTCAAATAAATTTCCCAAGATAATGTAGAGTTTTTATAATTAAGAAAACATTAAAGATATTATAAATCTAAAAGAAACAGAAATTATTGAACATGTTAGAAAAATATCAAGAAAGAGCATTCTATAGCTGGGCGCGGTGGCTCACGCCTGTAATTCCAGCACTTTGGGAGGCCGAGGCAGGTGGATCACGAGGTCAAGAGATCGAGACCATGCTGGCTAACACGGTGAAACCTCGTCTCTACTAAAAATACAAAAAATTAGCCAGGCGTGGTGGCAGGTGCCTATAGTCCCAGCTACTAGGGAGGCTGAGGCAGGAGAAAAGTGTGAACTCAGGAGGCGGAGCTGGCAGTGAGCTGAGATTGTGCCACTGCACTGCAGCCTGGGCGACAGCCAGACTCTGTCTCAAAAAAAAAAAAAAAAAAAAAAGAAATAGCATTCTATATATCATAAGTGAGGAGAAGAATGTGAACCCGTTATTAGGTCTATACATCATACAGTTCAAAGATAGGTGTTTGCTCTTGGCTGCCTGCCCGATTTAATAATTCTATTTGTACTTAAATGTGGCCAGAACATGGGCAAGAGGGACAATTTTGATCAAATTGTAGTGTTCCCAGGCCAGGCATATCATGTAATCCCATGCCTGTAATCCCAGCACTTTGGGAAGCTAAAGAGGGAGGATCACTTGAACCCAGGAGTTCAAGACCAACCTAAGCAACATAGTGAGATGACCCCGCCACCTCTACGAAAAATAAAAAAAAAAATTATAGTGTTCCCTTAATGAAAAAATCTTGTCTTTTCCTTTCTATATTAATTCCAGTTCTGAGCTGTAGTTTTTGACCTTCAGATAAAAACTGAATAGAGTTTGGAAATATGTTTAGAACAAACCCACTAAAACAGTGTTTTTCAATTGGAGAACTGTCTGAAACATTTGGCAATGTCTGGAGACAGTTTTGGTTGTCACAACTAGGGGAGTGTGACTAGCATCTTGTGAATAGAGGCCAGGATACTGAGAAACATCCTACAATGCACAGGACAGCTCCCACAGCAAAGAATTATTCAGCCCAAAATGTTAGTGGTGCCACTGTTGAGAAACCCTAATTAAATGAACAATGTATATCAAACAAGTATAATTAACACAGAAAGAATTGATATTTGAAAAAGGATGATAGCTGGGTGCGGTGGCTCAAGGCTGTAATCCCAGCACTTTGGGACAAAGTGGGAGGATTGCTTGAGCTCAAGCGTTCAACACCAGCCTGGGCAACATAGTGAGACCTTGTCTCTACTAAAAATAAAAAATAAAAAAATAGGCCAGGCATGGTAGCTCATGCCTGTAATCCCAGCACTTCGGGAGGCTGAGGTGGGTGGATCACCTAAGGTTGGGAGTTCAAGACCAACCAGGCCAATAGGGAGAAACCCCTTCTCTACTAAAAATACAAAACTAGCCGGGTGTAGTGGCACATGCCTGTAATCCCAGCTACTCGGGAGGCTGAGGCAGGAGAATTGCTTGAACCCAGGAGGTGGAGGCTACAGTGAGCTGAGATCACGCCATTGCACTCCAGCCTGGGCAACAAGA
Source organism: Homo sapiens (assembly GCF_000001405.40). Taxonomy (NCBI): domain Eukaryota; kingdom Metazoa; phylum Chordata; class Mammalia; order Primates; family Hominidae; genus Homo; species Homo sapiens. The sequence continues at coordinate 65,148,017 of NC_000002.12, read as the reverse complement.
GAGAAACTCTGTCTCGAAAATAAAATAAGATAAAATAAAATAAAATAATAGCTGGGCGTGGTGGCCCGTGCCTGTAGTCCCAACTACTCAGGAGGCTGAGGCAAGAGGATGGCTTGAGCTCAGGAGATCAAGGCTTCAGTGAACCAAGCATCCAGCCTTCTGGGTGACAGAGTGAGACCCTATCTCAAAACCAAACCAAACCAAACCAAAACAAAACAAAAATGCAGAGTTATTATACATAACTTCACTCCACTCCAGCATGGGTGACAGCCTGTCAAAAAAAAAAAAAAAAGAAGAAAGCAAGCAAGAAAGCAAGAAAGAAAGAAAGAGAGAGGAGAAAGAGAAAGAGTTAATCAAAATGAAGCTAAATTTCCAGTTCTCATAGAGGTGCTCAGTTCAGCTGGTAACAGGGCTCCAATAGTTTCTTCCTTCCTCCCTCCCTTCCTTCCTTCCTCCCTCCCTTCCTTCTTTACTTCATTCCCTTCTTCTTTCTTCCTTCCTTATTTTTTTCCTCCCTTTCTTTCTGGTGTAGTGATAAGAGGGACACATATACCATCCGCACTACTCATTTTGGAGTTCTATCGTTCATTTTAAAGTGGTAGGGGCTGAACACAGTGGCTCAAACCTGTAATCCCAGCACTTTGGGAGTCTGGGGCAGGCAGATCACCCGAAGTCAGGAGTTCAAGACCAGCCTGGCCAACATGGTTGAAACCCCGTCTCTACTAAAAATACAAAAATTAGCCGGGTGTGTTGGTGGGCGCTGGTAATAATCCCAGCTACTTGGGAGGCTGAGGTGGGAGAATCACTTCAACCCAGGAGGCGGAGATTGCAGTGAACCAAGACCACACCACTGCACTCCAGCCTGGGTGATAGAGTGAGACTCCATCTCAAAAAAAAAGAAAAAATTAAGTGTGGTGGAAAGTATAATGGGTGGAGGGGTTTCAGATTGGAAGTCAGGCAGCCTGACAGTCCTACTACCTTGAAGTAGAAAATATTGACCATGTGACCGCAGGCATAGCTTTCCCGACCATCCATTTCCTCCTCTCACAAATGGCCAGGGCCGGTTTTCACTGCGGGATCTGCTCTGGCTTTATGAAGGGTTCACTGCTGCCATCACTTCTAACTAGTTCATGTCTCATTTAGACTGGTGGGGTGCCCAAGTCCAGTATCTTCATTATCACCACTAAAAGTAGATATAATAACTACGTTGCCCACCTCAAAGGGTTTGGAAGGATCTCGTGCAGTTATTGAAAATACTTTCAGAAGCATAACAATTATAAAATGTGAGGTCCTGAGGAAAGGAAGGATTGGAAAATACTAAAGATGACAACCCAAAGACCAAAATCTGTATGGTCCCATCTGGGGACTTAGGGAGAGGTTATTTTTAAGTTGTTTTTTTTTAAGCTGAGTTTTTATTTTTTGCGGCGATTTAATTTGAGGGAAAACAAAGGCCATTATGGCCTTGAATTTTATCTCAGAGTTATTCAAATCCCTTTTTGGTCACAGGAGAGTAAATTATAACAGAAAAGAAAAAAAACCCTAAATAATTGGGTCGTCATGGCTTGGATCCATGTGAGCTCTTCTGGGACAAGATTTAATCACTTCATAAATTGCATATGTTGATTGTGTTATAAATAATAATCCTGTGTGCCTCATTAAGCCCCAAATGCATGTTCTTATGTGAAACTCATTCCTGTTCTTGCCAGCCTGACTAGATGCATTGTCCGTGGAGTTCTGTCTTGGGAAACAGGTGCACGTGGCTCAATGTTAGCCAGATGCCAGATGTCTCAAGAGCAGTGAATTTATATGCTCATCAGTTTTGACAACCCATGCACTACATTAACTATGTAGACTTCTCTCCTTTCCCTCCCACCTTAACTGGAGGATCAATTAAAATTAATAAAAATTACCAGATAGGAAAAGTAGCTTGCCTCCTAAGACTTGGGACAATCTGTCTTACGCTACATTTAAGACTTGAGATGGAGTTTTACAAAAGGCAAGCCTGTCCTAATTTCTTCTAACAAAACCATTTAAAATATATTTACCTTGAGCCAACTTTTTTTTTTTGATGCAGCAATGCAAAATAAACCATTGGCTGGGTGCAGTGACTCACGCCTTTAATCCCAACATTTTGGGAGGCCGAGGCGGGTGGATCACCTGAGGTCAGGAGTTCAAGAACAGCCTGGCCAACATGGTGAAACCCTGTCCCTACTAAAAATACAAAAAAAATTAGCCAGATGTGGTGGCGTGCGACTGTAACTCTAGCTACTTGGGAGGCTGAGGCAGGAGAATCACTCGAACCTGGGAGACGGAGGTTGTAGTGAGCCGAAATTGTGCCACTGCACTCCAAAAGTAAATAAATAAATAAATAAATAAATAAATAAACAAGCCATAGAAATAGAATAGATTTTCCTTTTTTTTTTTTTTTTTTTTTTTGAGACAGAGTCTCACCCTGTCGCCAGGCTGGAGTGCAGTGGTGCAATCTTGGCTCACTGCAACTTCTGCCTCCCGGGTTCAAGTGATTCTCTTGCCTCAGCCCCCCGAGTAGCTGGGACTACAGGTGCGCACCACCACACCCAGCTAATTTTTGCATTTTTAGTAGAGACGGGTTTAACCATGTTGGCCAGGATGGTCTTGATGTCTTGACCTCATGATGTGCCCAACTTGGCCTCCCAAAGTGCTGGGATTCCAGACGTGAGCCACCGTGCCTGGCCCTAGATTTTATTTTAATAATAAAGAATGTAATAAGGAATTCGCACCTGTTTTGTTTTTTTAATTTAAATTTAGGGTTTTCTTTTGTTTGTTTGTTTGTTTTTTGACAGAGTCTCACTCTCTGTTGCCCAGACGAGTGCAGTGGCACGATCTCAGCTCACTGCAACCTCTGCCTCCTGGGTTCAAGCGATTCTACTTGAGTAGCTGGTATTACAGGCACATGCCACCATGCCTGGCTAATTTTTGTATTTTTAGTAGAGACAGGGTTTCACCATGTTAGCCAGGATGGTCTCAATCTCCTTACCTCATGATCCGCCTGCCTCAGCCTCCCAAAGTACTGGGATTACAGGTGTGAGCCACCGTGCCTGGCGAGTGAGTTGATTTTTTCAGCAACTCTTCAGAGGGCAAAGGGGAAGTTTCCCTTGGCCTCTACAGCAGAATGCTCTCCACCCCCTCCATCAGCCTTCATAGTGTGCCTCTACCCTCTCACTTCTTGTGCTCCAGCCTCACTGATTTTGCAAGTACTTAAATACATCATGTTCCTTCCTGCCACAGGACCTTTGCACATGTTATCTCAGCCTGCCACATCCACCTCTCCACTTCCTCAAGCCAAACTCAACATTTTGCATTAGTTCAAAGATGAGTTTCTCAAAGATGCTTTTTCTGACCTCTGTAGAATTGGTAAGGTGCCCCAGTTATATGTTCCTATTGCACCCTATATTTCTCCACAGCATATTTCATAACTGTAACTACATATCCTTAATTGTGTAATTACTTTATTTCGCCTAAGGTGCATATTTTTGACATGTTCATGACATAGCTTACCTTAAACATTAACATGGCTTACTATTATACTGCCATCCTCAACATAATTTTACTATTCCAGGAGATGCTTACCAATGAAGATAAAAGTTGAAAATAGCCTGGGCATGGTGGCTCACACCTGTAATCCCAGCACTTTGGGAGGCTGAGGCGGGTGGATCACCTGAGGTCAGGGGTTCGAGACCAGCCTGGGTAGCCTGGTGAAACCCCGTCTCTATTAAAAATACAAAAAACTTAGCTGGGTGTGGTGGCAGGCGCCTGTAATCCCAGCTACTCGGGAGGCTGAAGCAGGAGAATCACTTGAACACAGCAGGCGGAGGTTGCAGTGAGCCAGGATTGCACCATTGCACTCCAGCCTGGGCAACAACAGAGTGAGACTCTGTCTCAAAAAAAAAGTTGAAAATAATTTTATTATTGATTTCAGGACTTCCAGAAAGACCCGTCAATTCTTTAAAATAAGGCATCAAATGACAAATTGTATCCCAAGATTCTTTGAACCCCTTGCCTCAAACTGCTGTGCCTACCAATCCTAAATTGTTGTATCATGACTCTTATCCAGGGCCAGCCAAGACTTCCCTTTTCCCTCATTAAAAGATTCTCCTTAAACCAAATTTTTACAGCTCAATAAATAGCCCAATCTTGCCCTTACTCTCCTCTGAGATGCTACAAACAAAGACTGTCTAGAAAGTGCTCTGCCTTACCAGAATAAGCAATAAACTAAATTTTGTCTTAGTGACGTTGCTTTGGTGATATTTTGGGGAAGACATTTTTGATACTAACATCTAATCAATGTGTATATTTAATGTGGTAGCACTTTTTTTTCTTTCCTGAAAAGCTGTTATGAAACCCATTGTGGCAATCAATGGTGCCTCAGATTTGAGGAAATACAGTAATTGATCAATAGATCTCTCTCATGAAATTTTTTTTTTTTTCGAGACAGAGTCTCAGCCTGTTGCTCAGGCTGGAGTGCAATGGCGCGATTTTGGCTCACTACAACCTCTGCTTCCTGGGTTCAAGTGATTCTTCTGCCTCAGCCTCCCAAGTAGCTGGGATTATAGGTGCATGCCACCACACCTAGGTAATTTTTGTATTTTAGTAGAAATAATATTTCACCATATTGGCCAGGCTGGACTTGAACTCCTGACCTCAAGTGATCCACCCACCTCAGCCTCCCAAAGTGCTAGGATTACAGGCGTGAGCCACCACGCCCAGCCTCTCGTGAGAATTTACATTATCCATGAGGGTCTAGACTTGGTGAGTTTTGATCACTGGTATATCTCCATATCACAACAGAATAGGTAATTAATACATAATTGAGTGAATGAGTGGATCAATGAATAGTTGAAAGATCAACACAGAATGGATTTCATGGAGTATGCAAAGGCAACTCTTACTGATAAGACTTCCTGGCTGACCCTCTTGTGGCAAAGTGAGTAGGAAAAGATAACTGCACTTTCTCACCCTTCCATTCTAACCCAATTCCAGAGAAATCGCTCAGTATATAACATTTCACATGGAGCTCTGATGTGAACTCATATTGTCATGTAGCTGCTTATCTGCTCGTTCAGGATTCTGATTTGCCCAGCCTAGTTATGTGGTATCACCATTAGATGAAATAGAAGTTCTCCACAGGGTTGTCAATGACAAGGGAGCAAAGATGGGTTCCTTTGGGGCACATAGCATGTTGTTATAGCTTGGCTGACAGAAGAGTGTCAGCCCACATTGAGTAACCAGTGAGGAAGGCTATGGTACCACACCCATAGGTGGTGCCACAGCAGCAGCAATCTTTCATAAGAGAGCCATTATTGAGATTTATCAAACAATGGTTTGGTTGATACAAGCCTCTCATTGTTACATACATATTAGAATACAAGTGACCAGAGGATTGTGACTTGCTTTTTTATTGAGTTTATCTAGAAACTTCACATACTAAACATTTCCTCAGTGCTTAAAACATCTTAGACACTGTGTAAAGTGCTTTGAGATATATAATTTTTTTATTTTTTAGAGATGGGGTCTTGCTATGTTACACATGCTGTAATGCAGTGGCACACGACATCCCCCAAACTCCCGGGCTCAAGCAATCTTCCTACCTTAGCCTCTCAAGTAAGTGGAACCACAGACACATATTATGGTGCCCAGTGATATACTGATTTTTTTTGTGTGTGTGAGATGGACAGTCTGGCTCTGTCGCCCAGGCTGGAGTGCAGTGGCACGATCTCGGCTCACTGCAACCTCCATCTCTTGGGTTCAAGTGATTCTCCTGTCTCAGCCTCCCAAGTAACTGGGACTACAGGCACATGCATGCCTCACTAATTTTTGTATTTTTGTATTTTTATTTATTTATTTTTGAGATGGAGTTTCGCTCTTGTTGCCCAGGTGGAGTGCAATGGCGCTATCTTTGCTCACTGCAACCTCCACCTCCTGGGTTCAAGCGATTTTCCTGCTTCAGCCTCCTGAGTAGCTGGATTACAGGCGCTCGCCGCCTTACTTGGCTAATTTTTGTATTTTTAGTAGAGACGGGGTTTCACCGTGTTGGCCAGGCTAGTCTTGCCACCCGCCTTGGCCTCCCAAAGTGCTGGGATACAGAGGTGAGCCACCACGCCCGGCCAGAAAGTGGACTTTAAACTGCATCTTTAGAAAGAGCAAGACTTGAAGAAATAGAGAAAGGAGGCATGCTTCAGGTCTAGATTTTGGGAAAGGAGACAAAAGCAGAGGGAGTTTACATTTTTGAGGCATCCTCTATGGAAGGCACTTCCACAAACATCAGCTTCATTTAATCATCTCAAAGAATGTGTAGGACAGTGATGGTAATGAGGGCCCTGCCCTCAAGGGTACAAATATAACACTTATAACAATGAGACAACAATAGATGTTAAGTTAGAAAACAATGAACTGAATATAATCAGGTGTGGCTCAGCTCTTGTTTGCTGGTGAATTTCTTTTTTTCTTTTTTTGAGACAGAGTCTCACTCTGTCACCCAGTCTGGAACGCAGTGGCATGTTCTTGGCTCACTGCAACCTCTGCCTCCTGGGTTCAAGCAATTCTCCTGCCTCAGCCTCCTGAGTAGCTAGGAGTACAGGCACATGCCACCATGCCTGGCTAATTTGTGTATTTTCAGTAAAGATGGGGTTTCCCCATGTTGGCCAGGCTGGTCTCAAACTCCTGACCCCAAGTGATCCGTCTGACTTGGCCTCCCAAAGTGCTAGGATTACAGGAGTGAGCCACCACGCCCGGCTTGCTGGTGGATTTCTTAGGTTCCAGGAACTAAGTCCTAAAGCTATCCTGATTGACTAAGATCAGTAGGTGGGTGAGAGCTGGGTAAGGTTGGAGGTGTGCTCTGAAACAGGTCATCCAGGTTGACTAACTGAGCCTTGTGTCACCCTGAGCCCAGGGTATCTGGAATGGTTCCGAGCCCTATTTAGAAAATTTCAATTTGACTTTATCCAACACAGTTGTGGCCTGCTCTACCTATTGCTGAAGGCCACACGATGGTGGCCTTGGCAGTACTCTGGCCTCATAAGGAATATTTCACCATGGGAGCTGGGAGTCAGGGAACTAGGTGTTCAGGTAGATGTTCCTTTCAGAAGATCGAAGGTCTGGACTCTGGTATCTACAGTAGAACCCTTCTTTTGCCCTTTCTTCACACTTGCCATGCCTGGATGGACAGAATTTTTTTTTTTTTGGGGGGATGGAATCTCGCTCTGTCTCCCAGTCTGGAGTGCAGTGGCACAATCTAAGCTCACTGCAACCTTTGCCTCCCGTGTTCAAGCAATTCTCCTGCCTCAGCCTCCCAAGTAGCTCGGATTACAGGCGTCTGCCACCATGCCCCAATAATTTTCTGTATTTTTAGTGGAGACAGGGTTTCACCACATTGGCCATGCTAGTCTCAAACTCCTGGCCTCAGGTGATTCCCCCACCTTGGCCTCCCAAAGTTCTGGGATTATAGGCGTGAGCCACCACGCCCTGCCTGAAATTTCTGATCTGTTAGGCATCAATATATTACTCCTCTTCCTGGAAGATGGGCTGATTTATTTTTGGCTGAGGAAAAAGTAAAGAGATTTATGTCATCCTAAAGCTTATTAATATGACAGTTCTGGCCAGGCTCGGTGGCTCATGCCTGTAATCCCAGCACTTTGGGAGGCCGAGGCAAGTGGATCACCTGAGGACAGGAGTTCAAGACCAGCCTGGCCAATATGGTGAAACCCTGTCTCTACTAATAGTACAAAAATTAGCCAGGCATGATGGCGCACACCTGTAATCCCAGCTACTCGGGAGGCTGAGGCAGGAGAATCGCTTGATCCCAGGAGGTGGAGGTTGTAGTGAGCCAAGATCATACCATTGCACTCCAGCCTGGGCAACAAGAGTGAAAATCCATCTCAAAAAGAAAAAAAAAAAAATGACAGTTTTTCCTGAGGAGCACATCAACGAGTATGTCCAACATCTATTAGGTGTAAAGTACTGTGCTAAATGCTGGTGGGAAAGAGTACAGAAGGGTAAAGAAAGCTTCCTGCACTCAAGGAGCTTATAGTCTAGCTGGAAAAATAAAACATACACACGTAGAAAACATACACATGTAAAATTATAACTAATTGTATACTAATTGCTATCCAATGGAACTTTCTGCAGTGATGGAAATAGTCTCTATCTGCACTAATATGGTAGCCACTAGCCACATGTAGCTGTTGAGCACTTGAAATATGGATAGCACAACTGAGGAGCTGAATAATTGAAATTTAACTTAATTTTAAACACATTAAATAGCCATATGCATCTCATGGCTTCTTTTTTTTTAGACAGAGTTTTGCTCTAGTTGCCCAGGCTGGAGTGCACGATCTCGGCTCACTGCAACCTCCACCTCACAGGTTCAAGTGATCCTCCTGCCTCAGCCTTCCCAAGTAGCTGGGATTATAGGCATGCGCCACCAAGCCCGGCTAATTTTGTATTTTTAGTAGAGATGGGGTTTCTCCATGTAGGTCAGGCTGTTCTCGAACTCCCGACCTCAGGTGATCCGCCCAGCCTCCCAAAGTGCTGGGATTACAGGCGTGAGCCACCGCGACCGGCCTTTTTTTTTTTTTTAATGGCTTCTTAATTGGACAGCTTAGTATGAGACATTCCATGCGCACTAAAAAAGAAGAACCGAGGTAGATCACAAAAGATGAAGGTCATCCATTTCAGGTTGATGTGGACAGGTAAGGTTTCCAGGAAGGGGTCCCAACTAGAGTTGGGACCTTAAAGACATGTAGGATTCTGATAGGAGAATAAGTAGAAAGTAATATTAGCTTCTGGGAATTTTCAGAGAACTGTTGAGGAAACCAGAGAGTAAATACGGAACAGAGTAGAGTCCTCTTCTGGCTTTCATTTCATCTATGGTGTTAAAAAGATAATTGGAGGCTGGGTGCAGTGGCTCACAGCTGCAATACTTAGGGAGGCTGAGGCAGGCAGATCTCTTGAGCTCAGAAGTTCGAGACCAGCATGGGCAACATGGTGAAACCATATCTCCACAAAAAATAAAAACATTAGCTGGGCATGGTGGTGCGCACCTGTGTTTCCAGCTACTTGGGAGGCTGAGGTGGGAAGATCGCTTGAGCCTGGGATGTGGAGATGGCAGTGAGCCATGATCGGGCCACTGCACTCCAGCCTGGGTGACAGAGTGAGACCCTGTCTCAAAAGAAAAAAAAAAGACAATGAAAACAAAAACAAAAACAAAACTCAACAATGCTCGAGAATTTATTGTTTGTTCCAGTCAAAACTTGATGATAAGGAGATAAGCCCTGAACCCCCTCTTAGAGCAGTTACTTTAGAAAGTTTGCAATTATATGGCCAAGTGTGGTGGCTCATGCCTATAATCTCAGCACTTTGGGAGGCAAAGGTGGGAGGATCACTAGAGCCCAGGAGTTCAAAACGAGCATGGGCAACACAGGGACACCTCATCTCTCTCTCTCTCTTTTTTTTTTAAGATGGAGTTTGGCTCTTGTTGCCCAGGCTGGAGTGCAGTGGTGCGATCTCGGCCCACCGCAACCTCTGCCTCCCAGGTTCAAGCGATTCTCCTGCCTCAGCCTCCCGAGTAGCTGGGATTACAGGCATATGCCACCACGCCCAGCTAGTATTGTATTTTTAGTAGAGACGGGGCTTCTCCTTGGTCAGGCTGGTCTCGAACTCCTGACCTCAGGTGATGTGCCCGCCTAGGCCTCCCAAAGTGTTGGGATTACAGGCGTGAGCCACCACATCCAGCCATCTCATCTCTATTAAATATATATATATATATATATATATATATATATATATATATATATATATATATATGAAAGTTTGCAATTATACATCCCTTTTCTGCCCTTTGAGATGTAAAGCTACCATCCAGAATGGTTCTTCAAGGACCTGAAAGCCTCTCTTTGAAAGGCCAACATTCAAGGAGGTAACTCTTGCCCTTACTCCCAGCCCAGTGGGCACCTTGCTGTAACTTGCACTACTGCCTCCTGTCATAAAGATGCAAAAAGTTTATTTCTCCTCCAGATAAGTGCCAGTGAACAATCCCTGGTGGCCTAATCATATGGACTAGCCCCCTTAACACCCCTCAATGCCTTTCCCTTAGCACATCACAGCCTTTAAAAAGTCTCCTGCCTTTTGCTTCCACGATGTTGAGTTCGGCTTACACTGGGCACTCTTCCCTATTGCAATAGTTATTTCTGAATAAAGTCTATACTTACTATTTTAACTAGTGCCTGGCTTTGTTTACCTTTGATAGTTCTATTTTTTGTGCTGATTCAGAAGGCGAACAATGTCCAGTATTTCTAGTACTTTCACACCAGGGCAGCTCTAAGTCTGACCTCAAGCCACACAGCACTGCCTGTCTTCCTCCTCCATCCCACTCCAAGCCCCTCCTTGTCTGTTTGCTCACTTGGGGCCCTTGTTCCCTTGTGGGAAGGTAAGCTGGATATCTCTGGGTTATCTTTAGCTCCTCCTTTCATGCCTTTAGAGTCTACCTCCTCCTCTCTGGCATCTCCCCTTCTTTCCCTTCTTGATGCAACTGCCCTAGGTCAGGATACAACATCTCTTGCCTGAATGAATCTAATTACCTTTTTTTCTTATTTATTTATTTATTTATTTATTTATTTATTTATTTATTTATTATAGAGATGGGAGTCTACCTATGTTGACCAGACTGGTCTCATGGAACTTCTGGCCTCAAGCAATCCTCCCATCTCTGCCTCCTAAAGTGCTAGGATTACAAGGCTGAGACACCACGCCCAGCTTTAATTACCTTTTAACTAATCTTCCTACCTCCAGTTTCCACAGAGCTCCCAAGAGTTCCTTCTAAAACACTGAACTGGGCTGGGCATGGTGGCTCATGCCTGTAATCCCAGCACTTTGGGAGGCCGAGGGAGGCGGATCACGAGTTCAGGAGTTCGAGACCAGTCTGGACAACATACTGAAACGCTGCCTCTACTAAAAAATGCAAAAATTAGCCAGGCGTGGTGGCAGGCATCTGTAATCCCAGCTACTAGGGAGGCCGAGGCAGGAGAATTGCTTGAACCCAGGAGTCAGAGGTTGCAGTGAGCTGAAATCGTGCCACTGGACTCCAGCCTAGGTGACAGAGCGAGACTCCATCTCAAAAAATAAAATAAAATAAACACTGAACTGATGAGCTCACATCCCTTCCTTCTCATTACTCTTCTTGGCTCTCCACTGCCTACTGAATAGAGTCTAATTCCCTTAGCAGGCATCAAGGCTCCCCATGATCTGACCTTAGCCTAAGCTTCTCCCACCTCATCTCCCATGGAACCTGTGATCACTATTCCTTAAACTCATGTGCATTTTCACACATTTGTGATTCTGCTTACATCCTCTTGTCATTCTGAGATAAATGGCCTCCTCACTCCCATTTCTGCCAATGATCAAAATTTTATCCCTTTTTAAGACCTAACTCAAATAATACCTCCTTCATGAAACTGTTCCCAGTTGTTTGAGTTGGAATTGTTTCTTTCCTCTGTACTTCCACTTTCATTTTTTGTTTTTAGATGGAGTCTCACTGTCACCCAGGCTGGAGTGCAGTGATGCAATCTCAGCTCACTGCAAACTCTACCTCCTGAGCTCAAGTGACCCTCCTGCCTCAGCCTCCCAGGTAGCTGGGAACACAGATGTGTGTCACCACGCCTGGCTAATTTTTGTATTATATTTTTGGTAGACATGGGATTTCACCATGTTGCCTAGGCTGGTCTCAAACTCCTGAGTTCAAGTGATCCACCCACCTCAGCCTACCAAAGTGCTGGGATTACAGGTGTGAGCCACCATGCCCAGCCCACCTTGTATCTTTTTTTTTTTTTTTTGAGACGGAGTCTCACTCTGTCTCCCAGGCTGGAGTGCAGTGGCACGACCTCGGCTCACTGAAACTCTGCCTCCTGGGTTCAAGTGATTCTTCGGCCTCAGCCTCCTGAGTAGCTGGGATTACAGGCACCCACCACTGTGCCTGGCTAATTTTTGTATTTTTAGTAGAGATGGGGTTTCACCATGTTGGTCAGGCTGGTCTCGAACTCCTGACCTTGTGATCCACAGGCCTTAGCCTCCCAAAGTGCTGGGATTACAGGGGTGAGCCACTGCGCCCGGCCAATTGAGGTACAATTTATGTACAGTTAGGTTACCCCTTTTTGGCACACAGTTGTTGTTGTTGTTGTTTTTTGAGACGGAGTCTTGCTCTGTCACCCAGGCTGGAGTGCAGTGGCACTATCTCAGCTCACTGCAACCTCCACCACCCAGGTTCAAGAAATTCTCCTGCCTCAGCCTCCCCAGTAGCTGGGACTACAGGCACATGCCACCACGCCTGGCAAATTTTTGTATTTTTAGTAGAGACAGGGTTTCACCATAATGATCAGGTTGGTCTTGAACTCCTGGCCTCAGGTGATCCACCTGCCTCAGCCTCCCAAAGTGCTGGGATTACGGGAGTGAGCCACCACGCCTGGCCTCAGCACATAGTTCTAAGAGTTTTGACAAGCATTTGCATTTGAGTTACTTATCATCACCACAATGAAGATACAGGATATTTCCACCAAACCAAAAAGTTCCTAGCCTGGGAAACATAGTGAGACCCCATCTCTTTAAAAAATTTTAAAATTAGCTGAGCATAATGGCACATGCCTGTAGTCCCAGCTGCTTGAGAAGCTGAGGTGGATCACTGGAGCCCAGGAGGTTGAGGCTGCAGTGATCTGTGACCCCGCCACTGCACTCCAGCCTGGGTGACAGAGGGAGACCCTGTCTCAAAAAACAAAAACAAACAAAAAACGGTCCCTTGTGTCTCTTTGTAGAAAATTCCCTCCTCCCATTCCTAGTTTCTGGCAATCATTGATCTGATTTCTGTTCCTATACAGTTTGTATCATTTTAATATATTTTTGCATTTTTCCTATAGGCGTTCTCTGTGTTCTTATCTTTCTCCTGCTGGATCTTAATTTCATTGAAGACAGAAAGCTGTAATAATTTATCTTTATCTTCCTCACTGTTCCAAACACAAGTACAAAACACATTTACTATGTGTCAGGTCATAAACATTTGATAAAAGCAGGAGGGAGGAAAAGGAAAAGGAAGGAAGAAAAAACTTTTAAAAAGAAAGAAAAAAGCAAGCTAATGAACAAATGGACAAACAGCCCTAGGATAATTCTGATTCAACAATAGGGCAGCCAACAAGGCTCACACTAGTTTAATGAATTAGATTCTGAGTTATTCACTTGAGCTAGAAATGTAACTACTTCTAAAAACCTAAACATAAAATATATATTAAAATTTGAGCTGGGCGCAGGAGCTCACGCCTGTAATCCCAGCACTTTGGAAGGCTGAGACGGGCTGACCACCTGAGGTCAGGTGTTCGAGACCAGCCTGGCCAACATGGTGAAAGCCCGTCTGGTCTCTACTAAAAATACAATAAATTAGCTGGATGTGGTGGTGCGCACCTGTAATCCTAGCCACTCGGGAGGTTGAAGCCAGGGAACAGCTTGAACCCGGGAGAGGGGAGGTTGCAGTGAGCTGAGATCGTGCCACTGCACTCCAGCCTGGGAGACAGAGTGAGACTCCATCTCAAAACAACAACAACAACAACAACAAAAAAACACACACGAAAATATATATATTAAAGTTTGAGTCAGCAAAACTTTTAAAAAGTTTAATTTTTAGCCACTTTAAATTTGGAAAGGAAGTCTTAATGTAATTGCACATAAATTTCAGTGGGGGTAGAAAACACCCACCTACCATTCCCAGGCTAAGCTGCCTCTGACCTCTTCGCATAATATTCTACAACACGGAAGCTAAGCTATGAGGCTTTCTGTCCTTGGTACACAGCAGGTACACTTAAGACTTTCAGAGAAGCTGAGAGAAGTAGATGTTGGGGACCAGGACATACCACCTCAAATATCACTCTGGGGGACCAGAATATGCTCTCCTAAAATATTCTTCTTTGGTGGCATATTTTGAGCTGGTTATTCTAAGAAACTGTAGACACAGGAGTAGCTCTGAAAAGCTGTCCTTTTGTAAAATAAGTTTATGTCTACAAAGGAAATCTACATTAGTAACGTATCTATATCAGAGAGAGGGCTGCCTCAAGATAACTTTTATTACCTGAGAGACTTTTTATCTGCATGGCAGGACAATCTTTCTTTACCATGCATTTCCCCTCTTGCCCTCCTGTAGCTTATCATTACCTCTCCGAAGGCCCCAAGCCCCAGTTTTGTTTTTTTTTTTGAGATGGAGTCTTGCTCTGTCACCTAGGCTGGAGTACAGTGGTGTGATCTCAGTTTACTGCAACCTCTACCTCCCGGGTTGAAGATATTCTCCTGCCTCAGCTACCTGAGTAGCTAGGATTACAGGTACCCGCCACCATGCCTGGCTAATTTTTTCAATTTTTTTTTTTTTGAGATTGAGTCTCGCTCTGTTGCCCAGGCTGGAGTGCTGTGGCACAGTTTCGGCTCACTGCAATCTCCGCCTCCCAGGTTCAAGCGATTCTCCTGCCTCAGCCTCCCGAGCAGCTGGGATCACAGGTATGTGCCACCATGCCCAGCTGATTTTTGTATTTTTAGTAGAGACGGGTTTTCACCATATTGGTCAGGCTGGTCTTGAACTCCTCAAATGATCCACCTGCCTTGGCCTCCCAAAGTGCTGGGATTACAGGCGTGAGCCACTGTGCCTGCCCAATTTTTTGTGTTTTTAGTAGAGACAGGGTTTCGCCAGGTTGGCCAGGCTGGTCTCGAACTCTTGACCTCTAGTGATCCACCCACCTTGGCTTCTCAAAGAGCTGGGATCACAGCCGTAAGCCGTAAGCCACCGCGCCCGGCACCAAGCCCTATTCTTTTTTTTTTTTGAGATGGACTCTCGCTCTGTAGCCCAGGCTGGAGTGCAGTGGTGCCATCTCAGCTGACTGCAAGCTCCGCCTCCCGGATTCACGCCATTCTTCTGTCTCAGCCTCCCGAGTAGCTGGGACTACAGGCAGCCGCCACCACGCCCAGGTAATTTTGTTTTTGCATTTTTAGTAGAGACTGGGTTTCACCGTGTTAGCCAGGATGATCTTGATGTCCTGACCTCGTGATCCACCCGCCTTGGCCTCCCAAAGTGCTGGGATTAGAGGCGTGAGCTACTGCACCCGGCCACCAAGCCGTATTCTTTTCTGTAGCTCAGGATGCTTCAATCATCAGACCCTTCTTGGAGTCTCTTATTTTGAGGAACTCCCATGCATATGTACTTAATCAAATATGATTTTCTCCTGTTAATCTGTCTTAGGTTAATTTAGTTCATAAACTAGCCAAGGAACCTAGCAGGGTGGAGGGAAGTCATTTTTTTGCTCTCCTACAGAGAAAAGTAATTAACATTTACCAAGGGTCCCAAAGCCATTGTACTATATGCTTTACATTGTGTTTATTCAACGCTTACAGCTATCCTGTCACTTAGATTAAAAGCTACTAGGAGGTAATTTTTTTTTTTTTGGTGGTTGTTGTTGAGACTGAGTCTCGCTCTGTTGCCAGGCTGGAGTGCAGTGGCGCGATCTCGGCTCACTACAACCTCTGACTCCCTGGTTCAAGCCATTCTCCTGCCTCAGCCTCCCGAGTAGCTGAGATTCTGTAATCTCACGTGCCACACGCCACCACGCCCAGCTAATTTTTGTATTTTTAGCAGAGACGGGGTTTCACCATGTTGGCCAGGATGGTCTCGATCTCCTGACCTCATAATCTGCCCGCCTTGGCCTCCCAAAGTGTTGGGATTACAGGCGTGAGCCACTGCGCCTGGCAGGGGGTAATTCTTTGTTGGGAAAGAAAATAGTTAATTAAAGGAAGTTTGGGAGTATACTTCCCAGGGGAGGACAGATTGTATTTTTGGCTGAGGACGAGTTCTGGACAGTTTTCTGAGGGTTTTTTGGGGGTGTGTGTGTGTGTGTGTGTGTGTGTGTGCCTTTACTAGTGACTCAGGTCACAGTTTTCTGAGATTTTTTTTCTCCCCTCAAGACAGAATCTTGCTCTGTCGCCCAGGCTGGAGTGCAGTGGCCTCTCGGCCCACTGTAGCCTCCGCCTCCCGGGTTCAAGCAATTTTCCTGCCTCAGCCTCCCGAGTAGCTGGGATTACAGGCACGCGCCACCATGCCTGGCTAATTTTTGTATTTTTAGTAGAGACAGTGTTTCACCATGTTGGCCAGGCTGGTCTTGAATTCCTGACCTCGTGATCTGTCCGTTTTGGCCTCTCAAATTCCTGAGATTACAGGCATGAGCCACCGAGCCTGGCCAGTTTTCTGAGTTTTTATTTGAAATCAAAATAAGCTTTTTTTTTTTTTAATGGGCTTTAGAGTCCAGGGTAACGAACACTTTTTGGTGCCTATTACTGAACCATTCAGGGTATTCCTGGGGTGGTGACCGTGTTCATTTCAGAAACCAACATGTTCATTTCAGAAACCAAACTCGGGTAACTTTTGATAAGTTCATCAACTAAGGCCCATGGCAGAATTTGAGGGCTAAGGGGTGTAATTAGTGTATGGGTAGAAATAAGTGCCTTCTTTCTATATTTTGGCGTTGTAGGAATTTAAAGTGATTCTGCAGTAAGTCTCAGGAGACAATTTTCTTAGTTCTTAGAAGTTGGAAGATAAACTTTGGACAATGTATTACACTATGCCCTTTGTAATTAAATAACTCAAGATAATGTGTTAAAGTTTAGCGGAGATTTAAATTCCTGAGCTGATTAAAGAGAGCTGTTAAGGCCATAGGTTTTTTAAAAATGAGTTAATATTACTCCCAGAAATTGTAGGCACTATATAGTGATGAATTGCCTATTTTTATTGCTTATTATTTTCCAGTCTTGCAGAATGGCTCAGGGTTAGTAGCAACTAAAAGATAATACATTACAATTCAACCTGAAGGCCGGGACGAAGGTAGGAATTGGATTTTAGGCTGGCTCTGGGCTGTGTCCCTCCCATCCATGGGATGTGGAGCCATTGAAGGTTGTGGGGTCACGATGCAGGTGCTGTCTCAGAAAGATACATCCGACTGTGTGTGCAAATGGGCTGGGGCGGAGAGGAGAGAGAGAGGTAGAGTCCATTTGGAGACTACTGCAATAGCCAGGCTGACGAGTTAAGAGCGGGGCACAGTAAGAATGGGAAGAAATCTAAGAAGAAAATGGTAGTGCGCGGGGCCAACAATGGACGATGACCGAACCCAGGTGGGGATGGGTGAGTGACGAGAAGAACCGCTCCGTGCCGTCCAGGGAGCCCCTTGACTTCCCTTCTGTTCTTAGAGCGGACGTCCTCCTACCAGCCCCCAACCAGCGCCACCAGGGTGGCGCAAGCCTCAAGCTGGTCAGGTCAGCAACAGCCGCAACGGAGGCAGGAGCCGACACGCTCGTACCCCGGCCCCCTCCCCGCCCCCGCACCCCCGGCAGTCCCTCCGGTTTGACCACTCCCCCCGGTCCCTTGCCTCCCCCGACCCCCAGCCTCCGTCGGCCGCCGGCACCACCCTCCGCCCCTCTCCGCCCCCTCCCCCGTGGGGCGCTGACTCGCCCGGCTGCCACGTCTCACTGATGACATCACTAGGGCAGCTCGGCCTTAGCCAATCCGCCAGGGGGAGTCCGAGCGAAGTCCTAGCCAGCGAGTCAGAGGGGAGGGGAGCAGGGAGGGGCCGAGGGTGGGGAGGTGAGGGAGTGGGGAATGGGGCGGGCGACAACCCTTCAGGTACGCATGCCCCAGAGGCGCGGCGCTTGGCGGGAAGCTGAGTCCTGGCCTTGCGTCGCACTGTCTGTCCTCAGCTCGCGTAGCCGCGCTCGCGACTCCCTTTCCCGGCATGCCAGGCGGTGCGGCCGCCCTCTGGGCCGTGTAAAGGCCCCTCGGTCTAAGGCTTCCCTATTTCCTGGTTCGCCGGCGGCCATTTTGGGTGGAAGCGATAGCTGAGTGGCGGCGGCTGCTGATTGTGTTCTAGGGGACGGAGTAGGGGAAGACGTTTGCTCTCCCGGAACAGCCTATCTCATTCCTTTCTTTCGATTACCCGTGGCGCGGAGAGTCAGGGCGGCGGCTGCGGCAGCAAGGGCGGCGGTGGCGGCGGCGGCAGCTGCAGTGACATGTCCAGCATGAATCCCGAATAGTGAGTTCAGGAGAGCACCGGTCGGCTGGGTCCGTGGGCCAGCTTGGGGGATCTTAAAGGGGTCGAGGAGGGTTGGGGCAGAAGTCGGGGCATCGGCTGGGGTGAGGCGAGGGTGATGGGTCAGGAGAGGCTGGCGGCCGGGAGTCGGGCCCCATTGTCTGACGCGGAGGGGCGGCCGCGCGGGGGAGGGGTCGGGCCGGAGGGGTGAGCCGCCCGGGCCTGGACCGGGTCAGGTTAGAGGGCCTGACTGCGGGGCGGGTGCTGAGGAAGCCTGCCGAGGGGCCTGGGGCGGTGTGAAGGGGTATCTTCTCTCGGAGGCAGTGACTTTTGAAGGAGGACTTGTCTCTAAGGGGAGGGGATGGGGTGGGAGAGCCCTTCTAGAGGGCACTGTCAGACCCTGCGCCCGCACTCTGCGGAGCTGTCAGGATCTTCGGGGTAGAAACCAGCTTTACTTGTAAATCCTGAGCTTGTTGGCTCTCTCTCCTTCCATCCTCCCCGCCAGGTTTCAGGTAATATGGATGCTTTTCGGGACTGCGTGGGATTGAGGGGAATGAGTAGATGGTGAGAAGCAACTGAACATTTATTAGTTCTCTTTTTGAGTTGTGTCTTGGAGGAGTTGTTTAAGAGCTCGCCGGGTCCATTGCCCTCCTATAAAAACCTGGGCATTTGTGAGAATTTTGTTTTTTTTTTTTTTAAAGAGGACACCTAAGTCATTTTGTCTTCTGTGGGTCAAGGGAAAAAAAAAAAACTAAAGCCAAGAAATGTCTTTTTGATACTCGCAGATTAAAGGAAGCTTGCTGTCAAGTTGAAAGAGAAACGAACGGGACCTATGATAGATCTGTATGTAGGTTTTGGATTACCTGCTTGGATGCTTGCAGATAGGGAATGAGGTTCCATGACGTGTCATGAAAAGTTAATGCATTTCTTTTTCTTGCTTACTCAAGAAGTCACCACAGCAGATGTGACACACCTGGCACCTTTCCTGGGAACTGGTGTTCACTTCCCTTGGGTAGAGTTTGTTGGGCTCTCCTCAA
The DNA here is from genome assembly GCF_000001405.40 of Homo sapiens. NCBI lineage: Eukaryota > Metazoa > Chordata > Mammalia > Primates > Hominidae > Homo > Homo sapiens. The sequence continues at coordinate 65,128,858 of NC_000002.12, read as the reverse complement.
TGGCCCTTTAAAAATTTCCTCTACAGTTTACATGCATGTAAAGTAATGAATAATTGGAAGAGACCGAATTGGTATTCCTTTTCAGTGTCAAAGGCCTTTGAGGGATGGGGGAACATCAGTATTTGTTGTAAAAGTTGAGTTTATTTGCTGGTTTGGTCAATTACTGCTAGACATTTTCCCCTAAAAGGTCCACCCACCAGTTTAGCTGACTGTCATATGTGTGTCACATGGCTCTTGCAAAATGCTTACAAGTTTTGTAATAGTGTGGCTTGAAGCTGAAATCTTTTGCACTAAACAGAAACCGTAGTATTTTATTAGAATTTCATGTTTTAGAAGTTGAGGGTAGTGTTCTTGTAGTGACATTTGCTGTGTTGACAGTTTAAAAAAAATTTTTTTTCAAGGGCTCCAAGGACAAAGTTGGTTTTGCACAGTTGAACGGAGGTGAACTTGAGGTTCTTAATTTAGTAGTTTTCTTGGTAACAATAAAGAACATGGATTTACTGCTTTATCGAGGTTTATAGACCTCTACTGTTCAGGAAATTTTCTGAATTTGCTATATATATGTTTATTAGTGTAAATAAATCTTCAAGATTAGTTGAGAACTTTGACAAGTTACTCAGCCTCTGAATTTTTTTTCCCTTTTGTAAAATAGGATAATTGGAGTCATTATTCCTGTCAGGGTAGTGGTGAAATTCAAATGTATATAAAAGAATTTGAAAAACCGTGTGAGCATTCTTCAGGTGGTATGCATCATTTTCATGAAAGGCATTCTATTAGTACCAGGATTTAGGAATATAATCCTTGCGCTTAAGAAGTTTAGATATAGGCCAGGCGCGGTGGCTCACCTCAGTAATCCCAGCACTTTGGGAGGCCGAGGCGGGCGGATCCCGAGGTCAGGAGATCGAGACCATCCTCGGTAACACGGTGAAACCCCGTCTCTACTAAAAATGCAAAAAAATTAGCCGGGCGTGGTGGTGGGCACCTGTAGTCCCAGCTACTCGAGAGGCTGAGGCAGGAGAATGGCGTGATCCCGGGAGGTGGAGCTTGCAGTGAACCAAGATCTGGCCACTGCACTCCAGCCTGGACGACAGAGCAAGACTCCGTCTCAAAAAAAAAATTATTTATTGTTTTGAGACGGAGTTTCAATCTTGTTGCCCAGGCTGGAGTGCAATGGCGCAAATCTCCTCTCACCGCCACCTCCGCCTCCTGGGTTCAAGTGATTCTCCTGCCTCAGATTCCCGAGAAGTTGGGATTACAGGCATGTGCCACCACTCCCGGCTAATTTTGTATTTTTGGTAGAGACGGGGTTTCTCCATGTTGGTCAGGCTGGTCTCAAACTCCCGAAGTGATCCGCCCGCCTCAGCTTCCCAAAGTGTTGGGATTACAGGCGTGAGCCACCGCGCCCGGCAGAAATAGATTTTATACATGTCAAATACCAGTAGATATAGCAAATTCCAGATGTGTGGCATGGATGAGAGCAACAAGATTTCAGGGGGATGGTGGGTTGTGGTTGGCTATCTGGGTTTTGGAAGACTTTATAGAAGAGAGACCTGAAAGGGATTTATCAGCAATTAGATTTGGAGGAACAGAGGGAGTGACTAGGAATTTTCAAGGGGGAGAAGAAGGAGGAATGGCTCATAAATGACAAGGACAGTAATTAATAAGTAAATACGGTGTCAAATCATCCTTTCTTTTGAAGACTAATGACCTCAAAGGGATCAAACCCAGAAACAGTTTTTATATTTTTTCTGGGATCAAATACATGGGTATCTGGCCTACTATATTTGTATTCTAGACTGTTTAGTAAAATAATACAGGAATTTGAGAAAACCTTTGCAAAAGTGTTAGTGAAAATTACTTAGGGTGAGAGGAAGTGAGGGATATTTTATTAGGGGAGGTCACAAGGGCAGTGAGCAATCAGATTTTTAGTAATCTGACTTAAGCAGTTTCTTTTTGTTTTAATGAAGCTTGTTATCTTTATAAAAGTAATTAGAGAAAATTTGGAAAATAAAGGAAAGAAAGAAAAGTTCTTTAGTGTTTTATCACGCAAATACAAGCTCATTCGTTTTTAACATCTTGTTCCAAACTCCAAAGTCTTGCTTTCTCTTCAATTAAAACTTTAATGGGTGGATGCTTTTCCTGCTTCCAGTATGTTATCTTAATAACTAACAATGGTATATTAGCTAATGTTTACAAATGTACTCCAGATGTTCCTTAAGTTACTTTGGTTTATCATTACCAATTTATATTGTTTCTTTTAGAAATTTATAATCTTTGTTAATGGGTTCTGCTAAATTTGGTAGTGAAAATGGGATCTTGAGAAAAAAGATTCTGAAGCAACAGAATTTTTAGATTTATATTGGTTTACATAAGAGTTGGTAGCTGTATTACTTTTTTTGTTTGTTTTGTTTTTTTTTTGAGACGGAATCTTGCTCTGTCGCCCGGGCCTTGGCCTCCCAAAGTGTTGGGATTACAGGCGTGAGCCACTGTGCCTGGCTGTTTGTGTTTTTTTTTGTTTTTGTTTTCTTTTCTTTTTCTTTTTTTCGAGATGGAGTCTCACTCTGTCACCCAGGCTGGAGTGCAGTGGCGCGATCTTGGCTCACTGCAATCTCTGCCTCCTGGGTTCAAGCGATTTTCCTGCCTTGGTCTCCTGAGTAGCTGGGATTACAGGCATTTGCCACCATAACCAGCTAATTTTTGTATAGAGTACCCAGCCATCTCTAATGTTGATCAGGCTGAAGCAGGTGGATCACCTAAGGTCAGGAGTTCAAGACCAGCCTGGCCAATATGGCAAAACCCTATCTCTACTAATACAGAAAATTATCTGGGTGTGTTGGCTGGCGCCTGTAATCCCAGCTACTCGGGAGGCTGAGGCAGGACAATCTCTTGAACCTCGGAGGTGGAGGTTGCAGTGAGCCGAGATCACACCATTGCACTCCAGCCTGGGCAACAGAGCAAGACTTGTCTCAAAAAAAAAAAAAAAAAAAAAAAAAAGGCAATTGAAAGTGTAATCTGAACAGTTAAAAAAGTAGATAGAAAGGGTTAAAGCTTTTTTTTGAGGATCTGAAGAAAAATGTGGATTTTTTTTGAGCTACGTTTTGAAGCAGGCAGTGATTATTTCAGCACATTAAGAAATGCTTAACATGGCCAGGCGCAGTGGCTCACGCCTGTAATCTCAGCACTTTGGGAGGCCGAGGTGGGCGGATCATTTGAGGTCATGACCAGCCTGGCCAACATGATGAGACACTGCCTCTACTAAAAATACAAAAATTAGCTGGGTGTGGTGGTGCACGCCTGTAATTCCAGCTACTCAGGAACCTGAGGCAGGAGAGTCACTTGAACCTGGGAGGCGGAGGCTGCAGTGAGTCCAGATCATGCCACTGCACTCCAGCCTGAGGGACAGAGTGAGACTCCTCAAAAAAAAAAAAAAAAAAAGAAAGAAATACTTAACATTATTCTCGTGATTATTCTCATAACATTTTTCATAATCCACTGGCTTCCAGTGGATTTTTTTAGTGTCAAGAAAATAATTTTGATTGGTTCATCTTTAAGGAATGTGTTAAGAATAAAGCATGTCTACCTGTCTTCAGTATACCAGCTAACTATAGTAGGAAGAAATATAGTAGTCTACTTAGATCAACTATAATTCTTTAATGCAGAAAAAGTTTAAAGTATTTACCTTATTTTTAGCCCCCATCCCCTTAAGTATATCATGGCTCCAGAATCTCTGAAAATGTTATCAGTCTTTCAGACTTTGCTCTTCTTTCATGTTATACTCAAGAAACATTTGACCTTTTTTTTTTTTTTTGCTTGCATTGTGTTTCAAATAATTTTTAACAAAACTTAAGTGTTTGAAAGTGAAAGCAGGTTGTCTTTGTGACTTTTGGTGGTGGTTTGAAAAACTCAGAAAAGTTTAAAGAAGAAAGATAACTAGTATTCTCATTGTCCAGAATATGATTTTTTAAATGTCTATAGAATATCACCATCTGTAATTCTTCCGGTAATTTAAGTATTCAGTAGTTGTATAAAACCTTTAAAATATATATATTGAGAATTTTGTGTGAATGAGATGATGAGATAATCTTGTAGGATCATTTAAAGATAAGAACTGAGGCCTGGCACAGTGGCTCATGCCTATAATCACAGCACTTTGGGAGGCCCAGGCGGTAGATCACCTGAGGTCAGGAGTTTGAGACCAGCCTGGCCAACATGGCAAAACCCTGTCTCTACTAAGCATAGAAAAATTAATTGGGTGTGGTCGTGCCTGCGTGTAGTCCCAGCTGCTTGGGAAGCTGAGGCGGGAGAATCTCTTGAACCCTGGAGGTGGGCATTGCAGTGAGCTGAGATTGCGCCACTGCACTCCAGCCTGGGCGACAGAGCAAGACTCTGTCTCAAAATAAAGTAAAATAAAATGAAGATAACAACTGAAATTTCACATTAAAAATTTTTTTGTAGCGACTGTGCCTCCTATGTTGTGCAGGCTGGTCTCAAACTCCTGGCCTCAAGCGATCCTTCCAAAGCACTGGGTGGGCCACCATGTCCAGCCTGAAATTTTGCATTAAAAAATTTCCCGCTTTTGGCTGGGCGAGGTGTCTCACGCCTGTAATAGCAGTTTGGGAGGCCGAGGCAGGCAGATCACTTGAGGTCAGTTCTAGACCGGCCTGGCCAATGTGGTGAAACCCTGCCTCTACTAAAAACACCAAATTAGCTAGGCGTGGTGGTGTGCGCTTGTAGTCCCAAGCTACTGAGGAGGCTGAGACAAGAGAATCGCTTGAATCTGGGAAAAAGAGGTTGCCGTGAGCCAAGATTGGCCACTGCACTCCAGCCTGGGTGACAGAGTGAGATTCTGTCTCAAAAAAATAAAAAATAAAAATTTCCCCCTTTAATCAAATTAAGTTAAAATGAGGGATGTTAGACAGTTTTTAACCATCAAATATTTTAGTTTAGTTTTTTTTTTTAACGTTGTCTTAAAGATGGAAGTGCTTCAAAATCAAATCTTCCTTGCCAGTTCTCTACTTGGCTTCTTTTTTTTTCTTTTTGAGACAGAGTCTCACTTTGTCACTGGAGTGCGTTGGCGTGATCTCGGCTCACTGCAACCTCCGCCTTCCAGGTTTAAGTGATTCTTCCACCTCAGCCTCTCAAGTAGCTGGGAGTACAGGTGTGTGCCACCACACCCGGCTAATTTTTGTAGTTTTAGTAGAGACAGGGTTTCACTATGTTGGCCAGGCTGGCCTCAAACTCCTGACCTCGTGATCCACCCACCTCAGCCAAATTGCTGGGATTACTTGTGTGAGCCACGCGCCTGGCTTCTACTTGGCTTTTAAAGGGAATTTTGCTTTCTGAGTAATTTTATTTCTCAGGTATCTTGGTCTTTTTAATTCTGGAAGCAATCTTAATAATTTATGTATGTGCCCTGTAATCCCAGCACTTTGGGAGGCCGAGGTGGGCGAATCACGAGGTCAGGAGATCGAGACCATCCTGGCTAACACGGTGAAACCCCATCTACTAAAAATACAAAAAATTAGCTGGGCGTGGTGGCAGGCGCCTGTAGTCCCAGCTACTTGGGAGGCTGAGGCAGGAGAATCATTTGAACCCGGGAGGCAGAGCTTGCAGTGAGCCGAGATCGCGCCACTGCACTCCAGCCTGGGCGACAGAGCGAGACTCTGTCTCAAAAAAAAAAAAAAAAAAATTTACGTATGTGCTAACATCCTGCTATATTCACCTTCCATAGCAATCTGTTGGCTGTGTGTTGTGTATGTGTGTGTTTTCTCTTCTGGGTAGTTTTGACTATACCTATGTGATGGTTTCACTATTTGTAGTTTGAATAGTTCAGTTTTATTTTGGATAGTAAAGAAGAGCTTGCTTTTTTTTTTTTTTTTTTTTTGTCTGAGACGGAGTCTTGTTCTGTTGCCCAGGCTGGAGTGCAGTGGTGTGATCTGGGCTCACTGCAAGCTCTGCCTCCTGGGCTCACACCATTCTCCTGCCTCAGCCTCCCGATTAGCTGGGACTACAGGTGCCCGCCGCCAGGCCCAGCTAAATTTTTGCATTTTTTAGTAGAGATGGGGTTTCACTGTGTTAGCCAGGATGATCTCCTGACCTTGTGATCCACCTGCCTCTGCCTCTCAAAGTGCTGAGATTACAGGCGTGAGCCACCACGTCTGGCCAGAATAGCTTTCTTTTGTGGCAAGCTATATACTTTCCTAATATATGAACATGTTTAGGGTAAAATAAGATGCTTCTTAACGTTTTGAGATTTAAAAAAAATTTGCTAATCAACTTTGAGTGTCTGTTTTTTGAGATATAGGGTCTTACTCTGTCACGCAGGCTACAGTGCAGTGATGCAATCATAACTTACTATAGCCTCCAACTCCTAGCCGGGTTTCAGTGATCCTCCCACCTCAGCCTCCTGAGTAGCTGAGAATACAAGCGCGTGCCACCACACCTGGCTAATTTTTTTTTTTTTTTTGTATTTTTTGTAGGGATGGGATTTCAATATGTTGCCCCAGGCTAGTCTCAAATTCCTGGTCTCGAGATCCACCTGCCTCAGCTTCCCAAAGTGCTGGGATTATAGGCATGAGCCCCACGCTTGGCTGAGTGTCTTAAGATGAAGAAAAACTGAAAATGGGTGTAGTGTGCCAGTGCATGAGGTATTTTAAATGTGTAGCTTACCAGCTTTTTTTTTTTTTTTTTTTTTTTTTTTTTTGAGATAGAGTCTTGCTCTGTCACCCAGGCTGGAGTGCAGTGGCACAATCTTGGCTTACTGCAACGTCTGTCTCCCGGGTTCCAGCATTTCTTCTGCCTCAGCCTCCTGAGTAACTGGGACTACAGGCGTCCACCACCACGGCCAGCTAATTTTTATATTAGTAGAGATGGGGTTTCACCATGTTGGCCAGGCTGGTCTCCAACTCCTGACCTCAGGTGATCCGCCTGCCTTGGTCTCCCAAAGTGCTAGGATTACAGGCGTGAGCCACTACGTTTGGCTGCTTATCAGCTTTTTACCACTTTGTCGCCACTACATTTTGGAATTTTCCTTTGAGAATTAGGCAAAATGCCCAGACTCCCCCCCGGCCCCCGCTTTAGAGGGAGAGGGGAGCAATTAGACTATTCCTTTGTTTCCCTATAGAAGGTGGGGCTGAGATTACTGCTTTGATATCTGGAATGTAATTTAGGGAAGAAAATTTAGGTCTTGGCCTTTCTTTGGAACCACCCTGGGAGTGTTGCAGATTATTAATAGGGTAATGGTGGAATGATATTCAGGGGAAAAATGGTCCTGAGGAGCCAGAGAACTAAGTGTTAGTTTGTTGGCTGACTGAAACATGTGAGAGATAGGGTACAGAAGAAGTAGGAAATAGTTTTCCTTGGTACTTCTGTGACAGGTTGGCTCAATTGGCTGGAACACCCTACACTGCTTTATTAAATCCAAGGTTGTGATAGGTTCCAGTTAAGTTTACTGTGTTCTATGCTTGTAGATTTCCTAATTAGGACAAGTAGTGTTAAATATGCATGCCTTTATTCACAAGAGGGACCATTCTTTTGGAAACATCACTTTTTAATAATACTAGGTGCTATTTAGCACTTACTCGGTGCCAGCCACGTGGCTATGGTTTTTTTTTTTTTTTTTTTCGAGACATGATCTAGCTCTGTCTCCCAGGCTGGAGTGGTGGTAGCACAGTCATGGCTCACTGCAGTCTCAACCTCCTGTACTCTAGTGATCCTCCTGTCTCAGCCTCCTGAGTAACTGGCACCATGCCTGGCTAATTTTTTTTTAAGAGATGAGATGTCGCTATGTTGCCTATGCTGGTCTCGAACACCTGGGCTCAAGTGATCCTCCTGCCTGAGCCTCTCAAAGTGTTGGGATTACAGGTGTGACCCACCTCACTTGGCCATCTATGGTCTTTACATAGGGCATTTTGTGCAGTCTGCGTCTCAAACTAGTGATCTTCAACAGTGAAACTCAGTGAATTATGTAATTCATGTTTTCCAAGAACAATGATGGATTTAATTTCTCTGAATGTATTTCCTTTGTATAATAATAGTACTTAAGTGGAATTACTCTTTGTCCTTTCTACTCTCCTTATAGATATTTTCTGGTATCTTGATTTGGGACTGTTACATTTAACCCATTTATGGTCGTGTAGCCATACTCACGTTACATTTGATGCATCTGCTCCCTTTGTGTCTATATACTCATATAACATTTTGCATAAAGTTATAGGCAGTTCACACCAAGGCTGTTCATGAACCTCAGATTAAGAATACTTGATTTAGGAGATTGAAAACAGAAAAGAGAATGTTAACTATCATTATCAATATTAAAATGTGAAAATCTGAGAGTGACAAAGCTTAGCTTTAAATCTGGTATCCCAAACTCATTTGAGTTTTTTTTTTTTTTTTTTTTTTTTTGAGACAAGGTGTCGCTTTGTCCCCCAGGCTGGAGTGTAGTGGTGTGATCTTGGCTCACTGCAACCTCCACCTCCCAGGTTCAAGTGATTCTCCTGCCTCAGCCTCTGAAGTTGCTGGGATTACAGGCTGCGCCACCACGCCCAGCTAATTTTTTGTATTTATAGTAAAGACGGAGTTTCACCTTATTGGCCAGGCTGGTCTCAAACTCCTGATCTTGTGATCCTCCCGCCTCGGCCTCCCAAAGTGCTGGGATTACAGGTGTGAGCCACTGTTCCCGGCCTAATTTGAGTTTTAAAATGTGGAGTTTAAGATGTTAGTCTTAAAGTGGGTTAGATGAAATTTATAAAAATAGTCAAATAGCTAAATTTATAAAAGGCCATTTGAAACAATTTTGTGAAATATATAATGTGGATAATTATGTAGTGCTTTATGTGTAGATTGGTGGTTAGCATCTGCCTGATGAAGAGCAGTTGGATTTCTTACTTACTAAAGCTAGTGAAATCTGAACTCCAAATTAGGCATCTTCACCAGGCTTTTTTGAGCCGAGCTAACTTACTCTCTTTTTTATTTTTATTTTTTAATTAATTAATTTTTTTTTTTTTTTTTTTTTTTTTGTAGAGACAGGATCTCCCCATGTTACCCAGGCTTGTCTCTGGCTCCTTGGCTCAAGCAGTCCTCCTACCTTAGCCTCCCAAAGTGCTAGGATTACAGCTGTGAGCCACTGCGCCAGGCTGAGCTTATTCTCTACTAACACAAGTGTTCTAATTTAATTTAAGCAGTGAATCACACTTTTCTTTGTATTTGGTCAGGTTCTGGGTGCTAGTTTATATATGATTTGATTCATTCTGATAGGGTTTTTTTGTTTTTTTTTGTTTTTGTTTTTTTGTTTTTTTTTGAGACAGAGTCTAGCTCTGTCGCCCAGGCTGGAGTGTGGTGGCTCGATTTCGGGTCATTGCAACTTCTGCCTCCCACCCAGGCTGGAGTGCAGTGGCTCGATTTCGGGTCATTGCAACCTCTGCCTCCCAGGTTCAAGCGATTCTCCTGCCTCAGCCTCCTGAGTAGCTGGGATTACAAGCACCCACCACCATGCCCGGCTAATTTTGTGTATTTTTAGTAGAGACTGGGTTTCACCATGTTGACCACGCTGGTCTCGAACTCCTGACCTCAGGTGATCTGCCTGCCTTGGCCTCCCAAAGTGCTGGGATTACAGGTGTGAGCCACCACACCAGGCCTCAAGAACTTTTTATTTTTGAGACAGGGTCTCACTCTGTCACCCAGGCTGGAGTACAGTGGTGAGATCATGGCTTACTGCAGCCTGGACTTCCCAGGCTCTGGTGATCCTCCCATCTCAGCCCCTGGAGTAATTAGGAATATAGACACACACCCATGCCTGGCAGTTTTTGTATTTTTTTTCTTTTTTCTCTTTTTTTGTAGAGACTGGGTTTCACATGTTGTATCAGGCTGGTTTTGAACTCCTGAGCTCAAGCAATCCTCACTCTTTGACCTCCCAACGTGCTGGGATTACAGGCATGAGCCACTGTACCTGGCCTTTTCTACATTAAAAACTTTTTATTAAAAAACCCAAATCTTCCTTGTGGTTGTATATACATATATACATAGGTACACACATGGAGAATTTTACCTTGGAGGAAGGCTTGGTAAAGAAAATAGCCCTTTGGGCCGGGTGCGGGGGCTGACGCCTGTAGTCCTAGCACTTTGGGAGGCTGAGGTGGGCGGATTGCCTGAGCTCAGGAGTTCAAGACCAGCCTGGGCAACACAGTGAAACCCTGTCTCTACTAAAATACAAAAAATCAGCTGGGTGTGGCAGCATGTGCCTGTAGTCCCAGCTACTTGGGAGGCTGAGGCAGGAGAACTGCTTGAACCCGGGAGGCAGAGGTTGCAGTGAGCCGAGATTGTGCTACTGCACTTCAGCCTGCGCGACAGAGCAAAACTCTGTCTCAAAAAAACAAACAAACAAACAAAAAAGGAAAATAGCCTTTCTCTATCATCAGAGTATATTAAGAGTTGAGTTTTTTTTTCTGTTTTTTAAAATTTTTGTTGTTTATTTTAAATTACAAAACATGGACTCTGCTTACAAATTAAGAAAATGACTCATGTTCAAACAAGCATAATCAATATAACAGTTAATACAAGTTAAATATTGTAATATGTTTACGGAATAGCATGGCAAAATAGTGCAAAAGATTTGGGGAAGGGGCCTATAATTTCTGTTAACAGAAAGTTTTAGTTATGTTGATTCAACTGGAGAGGAACAGAGCTCCCAGAAGGACTCCAGAACACTTGATGCTTGTCTGAGTGGGGTCAGCAGCACTGAGTTCCCACCAGACAGAAAGTTTGTGTGTGTACATTATTTCCCTTAACTGCCACAATAATCCCATGAAGAAAATGCCCTAGTTTTACAAACAAGGAAACAGAGGCAGAGAAGAGTTAAATGACTTGCCCAAGGGCATTCAAAGTAAGCAACTGAATTGGAATTTTAACTCAAAGGCTTGGATGTCCCACTACAACAAATAGGCTGTTTCTGCTTTACTACATGTGCTTACTTCTAAGAATTTAACATTTTAGGCTGGTTGTGGTGGCTCACTCCTGTAATCTCAGCACTTTCGGAGGCTGAGGTGGGTAAATCACTTGAGCTCAGGAGTTTGAGACCAACCTGGGCAACATGGTAAAACCTCATCTCTACCAAAAAAAAAAAAAAAAACTAGCTGGACGTGGTGGCACGCGCCTGTGGTCCCAGCTACTCAGGAGGCTGAAGTAGGAGGATCGTTTGAGCCTGGGAGGTGGAGGTTGCAGTGAGCCCACATTGCATCACTGCACTCTAGCCTAGGTGACAGAGTGAGAGCCTATCTCACACACAAAAAAAAGAATTTAAAATTTTAGTCAAGTAATTAGGCACTAACATTTTGTGGTCAGTTACTTTACGAATTCATGGTTGGAGGCCTGATGTGGTGGCTCATGCCTGTAATCCCAGCACTTTGGGAGGCTGAGGCAGGAGGATTGCTTAAGGCCAAGAGTTCAAATCAGCCTGAGCAACCTAGTAAGATCCCCTTTCTGCAAAAAATTTAAAAATTAGCTGGGCATGGTAGTGTGCACCTGTAGTCCCAACCACTTGGGAGGCTGAGGTGGGAGGATTGCCTGAGGCCAGGAGTTTGAGACCTGGGCAGCATATGAAGACCCTGTCTCTAAAAAACTAAAAATAAAAAATAGCCAGGTGTGGTTGGTGTGCTTGTGGTCCCAGCTACTCAAGAGGCTGAGGCAAGAGGGTTGCTTGAGCCCAGAAGTTGGAGGCTGCCGTGAACTGTGATTGCACCACTGCACTTCAGCCTGGGTGACATAGCAAGACCCTGTCTCTGTGGTGGTGGTGGGTGGGGGTGGGGGAAGGATTTAAGAAGGGTTTGTGAGGTATGTATTATTTATAAATGGGCTTTTAACTTTACCCTTCACATCTTGGGTTGAAATTAATTGTATCCATTCTCAGTTTTTCTGTCTTGCTATATATTTAAACTTGGAGACTTAGAGGTCATGGATGTCTTTCTATGAAAAGCAAATGAAGCAGAGGGCTGCCTTCTCTTGCTGTAGAGGGCACACTTGCTGCAGAGCATGTTACTGTTTTATGCATTGCTAGGCTTTGGGAGTTGTGACTTGTATGATCATAGTACTTACAACTATTAGTTGGCAATTTTTAAACTTTAACTTTAGATTATATATGTAAACTCCTGTGTTCCTTTGTCACTGATAATCTGAACAGAAGCCTTGGATAAATAATTTTGAAGTTTTTGTCTGAACCTCTGAAATTTGTATTGTTATCTCATGGTTTTGCTGGGAGGAAGGAGAAATAACAATGGCCACTTACTGTGCTTCTGTATGTGCCAGACAGTATGTGCTAGATGTTTCAGAAACGTGATTTGTAATCCTGACAAGAAGCCTAATTGGGTGGTAGTGGGTGCTAATTGAACCTTATAGATGAGGAAATTGAGGCTCATGGTGGTAAGTGAATAACTTGCACCAAGATCCTATGGCTGGTATGCAGTAGAGCCTCAATTCAAGTACGGGTCTTCCAGGTCCAAACCCATGCAGGCTTTGAGAGGTAAGGAGGTAGAGAACGTTGACACCCCGTTCTTGGTGTGTTTTTCAGCAAATACTTGTATGCATATTAAAGACTGTCTACCCTTTTGTCATCTTGTGTCACTTGCTGCTTCCTTTGGTACTACCCAAATTTCTTTCAGCATTTCAGCTTTGAATTTTTATTTTTATTTTATTTAATTTATTTATTTTTTTGAGATGGAGTCTCACTCTGTTGTCCAGGCTGGAGTGCAGTGGCGTGATATCAGCTCACTGCAACCTCTGCCTCACAGGTTCAAGCAATTCTTCCTGCCTCAGCCTCCTTAGTAGCTGGGACTGGAGGTGCCCACCACCACGCCCAACTAATTTTTGTATTTTTAGTAGAGATAGGGTTTTACCTTGTTGGCCAGGCTGGTTTTGAACTCTTGGCCTCAAGTGATCCACCCACCTCGGCCTCCCAAAATGCTGGGATTACAGGCATGAGCCACTGCACCTGGCCAGCTTTGAATTTTTAGAATACTGTTCTAAACAGAACTATATTGGAACCTGGAAAATTAATCTATTGTCTCTAAATACCAAAGAAAAACATGTAATTTTAGTGGTTGATTATGGGAACAATTTTTTTTAAGATGGTTCATCTGAATGGAAGCATTTTTTTTTAATTGCTTGACTATTTCTTTAAATTTGGAGAAAAGACCATTGCCCTCTCAGATTTCTGGTAATTGGTCACATTGATCATTTATATTGACTGACAGGCTGCTTTGTCCACAGCTGAAGGATTGTTTAATTTTTTTTAAATTATAGGAATAATATGTGCTCACTGTAAAATTCACAGTACAGAAGCATATGAACTAACTAAAAGTTCTTACCTCTTGTCTCCAGCAAGGAGTAAGTGTTTCAACCTGAAGGTTGGTTTTGAATTGTGTTCTGTGGAGCATACTTAAAGTGAGTGAAGAAGAAAAATTTATGTCAATCATGATCATTGCAGCTGAAGTTTTTATTGTTTCACCCCCTAAAGGTTATTAAAATAGTATGTAGTTTAGTAGTCTTGATAATTTTCCCTTAAGATTTATTGGCCAGTATATCAGGATTTTGTTTTAAATTTGATATGTGAGCTTAGTTTTATGCTATTTTCAAATAAGACATTTAGAAGAAGATAAAATAACATTTCTGTCTTAGTCTGTTTTCTGCTGCTATAACAGAATAGCACAGACTGGGTAATTTATAAACAGTAGAAGTTTATTTGGCCTGTGGTTCTGGAGGCTGGGAACTTCAAGAGCATGGTTCTGCCCTTTGTGCTGTGTTATCATATGGTGGAAGGTGGAAAGGCAAGTGAGTATGTCAAGACAGAGAGCAAGAAGGGGCTTGAACTCACTTTTATAACAGAGTGACTCCAGAGATAGCTAACCCACTTTTGAGAGAATGCATTAATCCATTCATGAGGGCAGAGCCCTTGTGACCTAATCACCTCTCATTAGGCTCTGCATCCTTAAACTGGTTTTTTTTTTGTTTTTTTTTTTTGAGACGGAGTCTCGCTCTGTTGCCCAGGCCGGACTGCGGACTGCAGTGGCGCAATCTCGGCTCACTGCAAGCTCCGCCTCCCGGGTTCACGCCATTCTCCTGCCTCAGCCTCCCGAGTAGCTGGGACTACAGGCGCCCGCCACCGCGCCCGGCTAATTTTTTGTATTTTTTTAGTAGAGACGGGGTTTCACCTTGTTAGCCAGGATGGTCTCGATCTCCTGACCTCATGATCCACCCGCCTCGGCCTCCCAAAGTGCTGGGATTACAGGCGTGAGCCACCGCGCCCGGCCCCCCTTAAACTGTTGTATTGGGGATTAAGTATCTAACACAGGAACTTTGGAGGATACATTTAAACCATAAGAATTCCTGTCATGCAAATGAATCCATTCTAGATGAAAGAGAATGAATTTAGTTTCCATTGAACTTTATAAATAGGCCTTTTCTAAGGTACTTACAGCTGATATTATAAAATTTATATTTGTTTTTATAAATTTGTATTTGTATTTCTGTTTGTACAAATACAATTATACACTATAGTTCTCTGCTGTTAGATTTTTTTTCTTCCTTAGCATGTTTCCAAAGGGTGGAATGTTGAAAGTTGGGTTAATGTCAATCAGCTTTCTTTTGTAAAGTGTTCATTGACATGTGAACCTTGTCTGAGAATCTAAATTTTATTTCATGAAAGAAGAAAACAGTATATTCTCATTTAACCCAGAATTTAACTTCATATACTTGTGGCTGTATTGGGAGTATGCCATTGCTGTCTGTTTACAACCTGACCTACTCTACCTACTTAGAAGTAATTTGTGTTATGATAGGTGTGCTGTGCTGACATATGCTGAACATATTTGTAAGGGTGTTAAGTCATTGAATAAAACGCTTTTCTCCTCCTTTCAAATAACATTTTTTATTTCTGGTTATAAAAGTCATACAAGCTTACTGCAGGTTGTTAAAAAGGTATAAAGAAGAAACCGTCAATCCATTATAGTCCTACAGTTTAGACTTCCTGCTCCAGCCTCTCAGAGTGCTGAGATGAGCTAGCCATGCCCAGCCCCTCAAAAGATTTTTTAAAAAACAAAAATGAGGTTATACTTTAAAAAATTCTATATTCCTTTCACATAACAGTGTTATTTTGGAGGTTTTAGAATTTCCAGTAGCATTTTAGATTCAGAAACAAGCTGATTCATCCTCTACTTTGTACTTTAGGCAAGAAAAGAATTTTACCTAAATAGAATTTTGAACTGAAAATCTGTTTTTCTAACTTTTTATTTAAAGAATATTGTTCCATGCTTTCACAGTAGTGACTTTTAATTTTTATATTTTTTATTTTATTTATTTAGAGATGGGGGTCTCACTCTTGTTGCCTAGGCTAGAGTGAGTGCAATGGTTCTATTCCTAGCTCACTGCAACCTTGAACTCCTGGGCTCAAGTTACCCTCCTGCCTCAGCCTTCTAAGTAGCTGGGACTACAGGTGTGCACCACTGCACCAGGCTTTTTTTAAAGGCATAGAAAATGGTAGTGCTTGCATACAAAAATGGCGTAGGTACATACATCAGCGGACATCAAGACTATGTTCAGATCATAAATGTACATATATGTACCGATGCCATTTTTGCACGCAAACAAATAATGGAAATTGAACTCTAAACTGAAATTTGAAACAAGGGTTCTGGGGTGGGCCCTCTTGCTGATTTGTAATTGAATGTATAGTTCAATTTTTCCCCATCTGTTAAGCAAAAGACAATTCTAATGTTAGCAAAAATCCACATATCCTGTCATTGATCATTTTTTCCTTAATTTTCTTTAAGAGATGGGGCTTCTCTCTATGTTGCCCAGGCTGGTCTGGAACTCTTGGGCTCAAATGATCCTCCAGCCTCAGCCTCCCAAAGTGCTGGAATTAATAGGCACAAGCTGCCGTGCCTGGCCCTGTCATCAGTCATTTAACTTCATGCAAACTGAGTAGAATAAAACTCGTCCTTACTGTACCTTATTGCTTTTGTTTTATTGTTGGAACCTCCAATATTGCGAAAGTAGACCAAAAGTTGACTTATAGGAAAAACTGATAGCAAAAATAATTTTTCTCTTGTTGCTGTATTTCATGCCCACCATCCAGTTGTTAAAGCCTACTGTTAATTTCTCTCAGCCTCCTCCTTTCTGTCCAGGCTTATTCTATGCCATTCTTACCTTAACTGTTTTTAGCTTTCTCATAGAGTGAACTTTTTAAATTAAAATAAAATATCTGCTCGTAGTATTATAAAATTCAAGCAGTTCAACAGAATTTTTCACTAATAGAAATACTTGTACCTCAAAAGCAGCTTTATTTTACAAACCCAGCCCAATTTGTGATTAGATTTAACTTGAGAAAACATGAAATGTCTCTCATATTGTTTAAAAATATCATAAGTGGCTGGGTACGGTGGCTTATGCCTATAATCCCAACACTTTGGGAGGCTGAGGCAGGTGGATCACTTGAGGTCAGGAGTTTGAGACCAGCCAGGCCAACATGGTGAAACCCCATCTCTACTAAAATACAAAAATTAGCTGGGCATGGTGGCACACACCTGTAATCCCAGCTACTAGGGAGGCTGAGGCAGGTGAATCGCTTGAACCCGGGGGAGGTGGAGGTTGCAGTGAGCTGAGATAATGCCATTGCACTCCAGCCTAGGCAACAGAGCAAGACTCTGTCTCAAAAAAAAAAAAAAAATCATGAGCTAGCATTTTTGAAGTGATTGTTTGTCATTTTTCGTTTTGTTTTGTTTTGTTTTTTTTGAGATGGAGTCTTGTTCTGTTGCCCAGGCTAAAGTGCAGTGGTGCGATATCAGCTTACTGCAACCTCTACCTCCCAGGTTCAAGCGATTCTCCTGCCTCAGCTTCCTGAGTAGCTGAGACTACAGGTGCGTGCCACCACGCCCGGCTAATTTTGTATTTTTAGTAGAGGCAGGGTTTCACCATGTTGGCCAGGCTGGTCTCAAACTCCTGACCTCAGGTGATCCACCTGCCTGGGCCTCCCAAAGTGCTGGGATTATAGGCTTGAGCCTCGCCTGGCCTCCTCATAATTTTTTAACCTTTATAAAAACCTTTTCTAAAACCCTTTTTATTTTGAACTAAATTTAGATTTACTGAAATTGTGAAATCAATGTGGAGTTCTTGTATACCCTTCTTTCCGCTTTTCCTAATAGTAACATCTTACATACATGGTACATTTGTCCAAATTAAGAAATAAACATTGGTACAGTGTTAACTATAGACTTAATCTGGTTTCTCTAATTTTTTCACTAATGTTCTTTTTCTGTTCTAGGATCTAATTCAGTATACCATATTGTATTTAGTTGTAGGCCATGTTAGCCACCTTCAATCTGTGACAGTTTCTCAGTCTTTCCTTCTTTTTCGTTATCTTGACAAGTTTGAAGAGTGCTGATAGGTATTTTATAGAATGTCCGTCAGTTGTCTGTCAGTTTGTATTTGTCTGATGTATTTTTTTTTTTTTTTTGAGATGGTGTCTCGTTCTGTCGCCTAGGCTGGAGTGCAATGGCATGATCTTGGCTCAATGCAGCCTCCACCTCCGGGGTTCAAGTGACTGTCCTGCCTCAGTCTCCCAAGTAACTGAAACTACAGGCATGTGCCACCACGCCTGGCTAATTTTTTGTATTTTAGTAGAGAAGCAGTTTCACCGTGTTGCCCAGGCTGGTCTCGTGCTCCTGAGCTCAGGCAATCCACCCGCGTTGGCCTCCCAAAGCGCTAGGATTACAGGTGTGAGCCACCATGCCTGGCCAATATTTTGAGGGATATACTTTGGTGAGGTCATGCAGATATCCTGTTTCTCCTTAGTTTTATCCATTAATTTAGCATTTATCCAGTAAATCTTCCTTGCAGCAATTATTTTTTCTTTTTCTTTTTTCCTTAATTTTTTTTTTAAGAGATGGGATCTCACTCTGTTGCCCAAGTTGGAATGCAGTAGTGAGTTCATAGCTCACTGCAGCCTCAAACTCCTGGGCTCAAGTGATCCTTCTGCCTCAGCCTCTCAAGTAGCTGGGACTACAGGCATAGACCACCACACCCAGCTAATTAAAAAAAATATTTTTAGAGATGGGGGTTTTGCTATGTTGCTCAGGCTGGTCTTGAACTTCTGGCCTCATGTGATCCTTCTACCTCAGCCTTACAAGTAGGTGGGAATTACAGGTGTGAGCCACCACACCCAGCATTGCAGCAATTATTAATGTAGTGCTACTGGTCATTTTCTGTTTTTCTCATTTCTTCAGCATGTGTTATTGACTTGTCTCTTCCCTCCCATTTATAATCATTTATACTGCTATGAATTCATGAGTATTTATTTTGTGAGTTATAATCTAATACGTACTTAATTTATTTTGTGCCTCAAATTGTTCTGGCTTGGCCATTTTTTTTTTTTTTTTTGAGACGGTCTCGCTCTGCTGCCCAGGCTGGAGTGCAGTAGCGCCATCTCTTCTCACTGCAACCTCCACCTCCCGGGTTCAAGCGATTCTCCTGCCTCAGCCTCCTGAGTAGCTGGGACTACAGGCGTGTGCCGCCACACCCGTCTAATTTTTTGTATTTTTAGTAGAGACAGGGTTTCACCATGTTAGCCAGGATGGTCTCGATCTCCTGACCTCGTGATCTGCCCGCCTCAGCCTCCAAAAGTGCTGGGATTACAGGCGTGAGCCACCAAGCCCGACCGGCTCCTGTATCCTTTTAACATGAGGTGCTGTCATCATTTTTTCCCCCTAATATTTTGGCCAAAAATGTTAATCAAGGATGGCACAAATTTTCTGTAGCTGTATCTCACAACGAAAGAGGCCTGATTAAAAATGTAAAACTAAAATGTTCTCTGATCTCTTAGCACATGCTTTGTAAAAGGCACAGTGCTAGATCCTTGTATACGTAGATGAGTAAGTCAGCTTACCTTCCACACCCACAGATAGCTATGTCAAACGTAAGGGTGGAGAAACACAGACCCCAAACTTCTCGAGGGTAGAAAATATGAGGTTATAGTAGATTAGAACTACAAAAAGCTAGAGGAAGTTCTGAACTGGAAACAGTGGATAGGATTTACTAGAATAATTTACGAGGGTGACAATTGTAAATCTTCATAGGTTTCTTTTTTTTCCTTTCTCTTTTTTTTTTTTTGAGATGGAGTCTCGCTCTGTTGCCCAGGCTGGAGTGCAATGGCGCAGTCTCTCCTCACTGCAACCTCCGCCTCCTGGGTCCAAGTGATTCTCCTGCCTTAGCCACCCAAGTAGCTGGGATTACAGGCATCTGCCACCATGCTGAGCTAATTTTTGTATTTTTTTTTTTAGTAGAGACGGGGTTTCACCATGTTGGTCAGGCTGGTCTTGAACTCCTGACCTCAGGTAATCCACCCACCTTGGCCTCCCAAAGTGCTGGGATTACAGGTGTGAGCCACCGCGCCCAGCCAAATTTTTATTGGTTTCTAAACTAGCATAATTTAGTTTTTTTCACTTAAGTCAAAATTATATTATTGTAGGATAAAAACTTAGTGATCCAAATTCATGAGGAATGAAGAATAAATACATTTAAAGTCTTACCATTTGCTAAATTAGTCTTGGCTCTTTGTACCAAAATTCTGTCCTTGTGCTCTGTAATTTTATATTTGTATATTTTCTATCAACATTTTTACTGTGTGGTGTTTTGTAAATTATAAAAACGTTTTAAAGCAAACTCAGAACAATGAATTCTCACGAATATTCAGTATATTTACAGTTGAGAAATAAACTACTTCTGTAGTAGGTAATTTAAAATGTCCCAATGCAAGTTAACGTGTCACTGATCACGCTATTCAAGTGTGTGTCTTTGATAAGGGGAGGTGGGGAAGTTTGTGGGTTTGATTTTATTTGCCTTTCTCATGTGACTGTTGTCATGTTAGTAAACAAATGGTTTGCGAGAGAACCAGTAGTCTTTTGCAAAGATTGTCTTATACAGAGCACTCAATTCTTCATATTATTTATAATGGCTTTAATTTAAGCCTTAAATTATTAGAAACTCATAAATAATTTTTTTATTTGTTTTTTTGAGATGGAGTTTCGCCCTTATTGTCCAGGCTGAAGTACAATGATGTGATCTTGACTCACTGCAACCTCCGCCTCTCGGGTTCAAGTGATTCTCCTGCCTTTGCCTCCCAAGTAGCTGGGATTACAGGCATGCGCTACCATGCCTGGCTAATTTTGTATTTTTAGTAAAGACGGGATTGCACCATGTTGGCCAGGCTGGTCTCGAACTCCCAACCTCAGGTGATCCACCTGCTTCGGCCTCCCAGAGTGCTGGGATTACAGGCTCACTGAGCCACTGTGCCCAGCCATAATGCGTTAAAATAAGAGTGTTATATTTGTAAAACTTAAAAAAATGTAGTGGTTGAAAAAGGTAATTTAAAAAGAATTGACTATTAATTTCTTGAAACCATAATGTAACTTGTAGTGCAATTAGGAAACCTTCATGTTTCTTTCTTTCTTTTTTTTTTTTTTTGAGATGGAGTTTTGCTCTTGTTGCCTAGGCTGGAGTGTGTGATGTCAGCGCACTGCAACCTCTGCCTCCTGGGTTCAAGCAATTCTCCTGCCTCAGCCTCCCGAGTAGCTGGGATTACAGGCGCCTGCCACCACACCCAGCTAATTTTTGTATTTTTAGTAGAGGCGGGGTTTCATCGTGTTGGCCTGGCTGGTCTCGAACTCCTGAACTCAGGTGATCCACTGCACCTGGCCCCCGTTCATGTTTTTTAAAGCTTTATGGTTGCTCTGAAATAGAGTTGTTGATTTTTTTTTTTTTTTTGAGACTCCTCTTTTGCCCGTGCTGGAGTGCAGTGGTGTGATCTGAGCTCACTGCAACCTCCACCTCCTGAGTTCAAGCAATTCTCATGGGTCAGCCTCTCAAGTAGCTGAGATTAAAGCTGCCCACCACCATGCCTAGCTAATTTTAGTATTTTTAGTAGAGATGGGGTTTCACCGTATTGGCCAGGGTGGTCTGGAACTTCTGACCTCAGGCATGAGCCACTACGCCTAGCCTGGGTTGTTGATCTTTAAGGTGATACTTCAGGCAACATCTGAGGCCCAGTACAGTCCTTTACTTCAACTGGCTCCAGTACAGCAAATTCAGGGAATGTTTTTGAGTGTTTACTGGATGCCTGGCGTGGAGTTCAGGGAGATTGGTACATTGAGTCCAGTTGTTGTGTTGAAACTTCTGTTTAAAAACCTCCCTACTAAGTCCCAGCTACTCAGGAGGCTGAGGCCTGAGAATCACTTGAACACCTGGAGGCAGAGGTTGCAGTGAATCGAGATCGAGCCACTGCACTCCAGCCTGGGCGACAGAGTGAGACTGTCTAACAACAAAAACAACACCCCCCAAAAAACCAACCTACTATGGTAGTATCAATGCTGTGATAGTCTTCCTTTCTTCATACAGGTAAATTCTTAACATATACTCATTGTTAATGTTCAGTGTTCAGTATTCTTAAGAGTATTTGGGGCCAGGCACGGTGGCTCATGCCTGTACTCCCAGCACTTTGGGAGGCTGAGGTGAGCAGATTACCTGAGGTTAGGAGCTTGAGAACAGCCTCCAACATGATGAAACTCCCGTCTTTACTAGAAATACAAAAATTAGCTGGGTGTGTTAGCACATGTCTGTAATCCCAGCTACTTCAGAGGCTGAGGCAGGAGAATTGCTTGAACCTGGGAGGTGGAGGCTGCAGTGACCTGAGATTGCTTCACTGCACTCCAGCCTGGGCAACAGAGCGAGACTCTTGTCTCAAAACAAACAAACAAAAAAAGAATATTTGGGGCCAGGCATGGTGGCTCACACCTGTAGTCCCAGCACTTTGGGAGGCCAAGGCGGGTGGATCACTTGAGATCAGGAGTTGGAGACCAGCCCGACCAACATGGCTAAATCCCGTCTCTACTAAAAGTACAAAAATTAGCTTGAGCAACAGAGCAAGACTCTGTCTCAAAAAAAGAAAGAAGAATATTTGGTTTAATTAAGAAGGAACCTTATCAATAGTAGTAAAGTCAGCCAGCTGAACTGCCAAGTACAAATTGTTGGTATTAGGTATCAATCATTTATTAAGGATAATATTCTACAATAGCGATCTTTTTAAAAATTTTAAAATCTCAAACTGGAAAGGATGTCTAGTTCATTCTATGCTTCAGTCCCCTCTTCTGATTTACTTGTTTAGAAGATTTTTGTTTCCTTCTCTGACTTCTATTTTGCTGCTGACTGGCACTTGGGATTTTTAAAAAATTATTTTCCTCATATATAATTAAAGACAATAAGTATAACAATAAGTATAATATGGTAATTTGCTAAAACCCAAACAATGTTTTAAGTAATGCATATCATTATGTAAACCTACGTAATAGTTGAATATTCACAAAGATAATCGCTTATAGAAGTTTTATATCCTCTCTTCTTTGGCAGTGCAATTAAAACAAAAAAAATAAGTTTTATGTCTTGTTTACATGTAAATAATTTTAATCTAAATTGTGACGTGGTTTTCACTTTAGCATATTTTTGAAAGTAAATCAAAAAGGACAAAATACAAAATCATGTATATCTTCTACAAAAACGATATATAAATTCTAAGGTTTTTGTCCTTTTGAAATTGCTTAAAAGAATGCATAGAACTGGTGTCTGAGTTGGGAAGGATCTATGAGGGATTTCCTTGGAGACTGTGGGTGAATAATAATGTTGTCTTAGTTCCATGAAGGAATCTCTGGGGATAGTTTTTGAGTTAGGCCTGGCAATGTTAGAGATACATAAAGAGAGCCTTGTTTTATCACTGGGTGCGGTGGCTCACACCTGTAATTCCAGCACTTTGGGAGGCTGAGGCGGGCAGATCATGAGGTCAGGAGATCGAGACCATCCTGGCCAACACGGTGAAACCCGTGTCTACTAAAAATACAAAAATTAGCTGGGCGTGGTGGCGCATGCCTATAATCCCAGCTACTCGGGAGGCTGAGGCAGGAGAATCACTTGAACCAGGGAGTTGGAGGTTGCAGTGAGCCGAGATCGCGCCACTGCACTCCAGCCTGGGTGACAGAGCAAGACTCCGTCTCAAAAAAAAAAAGCTTGGTTTTCAATGGTTCTGAAAAATGCTTTAATACAAGTGTAGAGTGTTAGTCAAGTTTTGCACTTGGATAAACAGCCTGTGAATTTATCACATTTCTAGTTTATAATATGGGCTTTCAGAAGTTATATGAACATTGTTTTGACGGGAGAATTCAAGCTGGATGCTAGAGAAGGATCGTGAGAACCCCTTCATTGGAGGAGTGCTATGAAATTATTTGATCTTGGAATTTTTTTTTTTTTTTTTTTTT
Organism: Homo sapiens; assembly: GCF_000001405.40. NCBI lineage: Eukaryota > Metazoa > Chordata > Mammalia > Primates > Hominidae > Homo > Homo sapiens. The sequence continues at coordinate 65,105,519 of NC_000002.12, read as the reverse complement.
TTTTTTTTGAGACAGAGTTTCGTTCTTATTGCCCAGGCTGGAGCTGGAATGCAGTGGCACGATCTCGGCTCACTGCAACCTCTGCCTCCTGGGTTCAAGCAATTCTTCTGCCTCAGCCTACCAGGTAGCTGGGATTACAGGCATGCGCAACCATGCCCAGCTAATTTTTGTATTTTTAATGGAGACGGGGTTTCACCATGTTGGTCAGGCTGGTCTTGAACTCCTGACCTCAAGTGAACTGCCTGCCTCAGCCTCCCAAAGTGTTGGGATTACAGGTGTGAGCCACTGCGCCTGGCCTGATCTTAGAATTTGAAGGAGAGACTAATATTTCATGGGCAAAAACAATGAAAAGTTACCTTTCTGTATTCTAATACTATAGAGGAGTGGGATTTATTTAGAATGTTTTAAGTATCTTGGGCAGTCCAAGAGTGCGTATCACTTATTTTTCTTTTCCTTCTTTCTTTTTAAGTGGAAGTTCACTGATGTTAGAGATCATAGGTGGCATTGCCTACTTTTTACATAATTTTATCATGTTTAGTGATCTGTCAGAAGGGCTGTGGCTGTTTGCAGTTTTGGCTTAAGCCATGCATGGGCTTTATAGGAGATGTAGTCTTCACAGTGAGTTGTTATTTGTAGCTGTGTTTTTGTTTTTGTATAGCTTATAGCAATGCAGTGTGCTTTTTATTAACATCATTTTCTTTTTCTTTTTGCAGTGATTATTTATTCAAGTTACTTCTGATTGGCGACTCAGGGGTTGGAAAGTCTTGCCTTCTTCTTAGGTTTGCAGTAAGTTGAAATTGAAATGTCTTTACAATTAATGGTACAATTAATGCTATGTATGTTTTCTAGGTAGATAAAATTAAACAGTTTTATTCAGAATAAGTTAATTCTTCCAGAATTTATATATTTAAAGACTCCAAATATACATCCCCAGTGGTATCTTGGACTGTTAAATAGAAAAATATTGTTGCTCTTAAAAGAAATTCAGTGAAGTATGGTTATAAAGTCAGAATGTCTAATACTTTTGGTCAGAGTCAAACAGCAGTTCCAATATAGGCAGCAAGTTAAAGGGGTAGTTGGTGGCCTGTGTTGAAAGCGACTTGATGAAAATAAATCTTTAAATTAAACTTTAGTAGAATAAGAAGAAAAAGCAGAGCCAGGTGACGCAGTGGATCATGCCTGCAGTCTCAGCTACTCAGGGTGCTGAGGGTGGAAGGATCACTTGAGTCTAGGAGTTTTGAGACCAACCTGGACAACATAGCATGACTCTGTCTCTGAAAAAAAAAGTTAATAAAAGAAAAAGTAGGGTCTTGGACAAACTTCGTTGGCCAATGGCATAGTTCTAAATGCTGAAGCTGACAGATAAAGGACTTTTGACTTAACAGAATCCACAGTGTCCTTCATAGTCTTTATCAACTACCTTTAAATTTAGCATGTTTCCTGGCCAGGTGCGGTGGCTCACGCCTGTAATCCCAGCACTTTGGGAGGCCGAGACGGGCGGATCACAAGGTCAAGAGATCGAGACCATCCTGGCTAACACGGTGAAACCCCGTCTCTACTAAAAATACAAAAAATTAGCTGGGTGTGGTGCCACACGCCTGTAGTCCCAGCTACTCGGGAGGCTGAGGCAGGAGAATCGCTTGAACCCAGGAGGCGGAGGTTGCAGTGAGCTGAGATGGTGCCACTGCACTCCAGCCTGGCAACAGAGCAAGACTGTCTCAAAAAAAAAAGAAAAAAAATAAAAAAACAAATTAGCATGTTTCCCTTCTAGAGATCATTGTTTCTCAGAGCATGGACCAAAGACTCCTGGGGGTTACCAAGACCCTCTCAGGTAGCCCATGAGGTCAAAATATCCTAATAATACTAAGATGTTAGTATTTGTAAGGAAATATTTACTTGGTAATAATACTAATATAAAAGATGTTTGCGTTTTTCAGTGATGACATTGGCTCTGGTACAAAAGCATGTGGGTAAAATTGCTGCTGGCTTGGTACACATCAAGGCAGCGCTAAGCTCCAAATTGTACTCATGGTGATGGCATTCTTTACCTCTGTGCCCTCACAGGAACAAAAACAAGCCGTGCCATTTTTATTGAAGATTGTCCTTGACAAAACAGTTAAAATGATTAATTTTTGAAAAATGTTGATCCATGAGTATTCCTTTAAAAATATTTGTGAAGAAATGGGAAGTTCACATAAAACAATGTTTTTTTTTTTTTTTGAGACAGATTCTGGCTGTGTTGCCAAGGCTAGAGTGCAGTGGCGTCTGGCTCCCAGGCTCAAGCTGTTCTCCCACTTCAGCCTCCCAAGTGGCTGGGACCTCCCAAGTGGATGCGCCATCATGCCTGGCTGATTTTTGTATTTTTTTGTAGTGACAAGGTCTCACTGTGTTGCACAGGCTGCTCTCAAACTTCTGAGCTCAAGCGATGCATGTGCCTCAGCCTCCCAAAGTGCTGGAGAAAGCACTTTTTACTGCATACTGGCTAGTGTGTTGGTTATTTTGGAGAAAAGAAAAGCATTTGTAGTTTTTTGAGTTGTAAGCTGAGCTAACTGCTTTATTTTTTTCTGTGGAACACCATTTCTTTTTTTTTTTTTGAGATGGAATATTGCTTTGTTGCCCAGGCTGGAGTGCAGTGGCACAATCTCGGCTCACTGCAACCTCCGCTTCTCGGGTTCAAGCAATTCTTCTGCCGTAGCCTCCCAAGTAGCTGGGATTATAGGCACCTGCCACCAAGCCCAGCTAGTTTTTGTATTTTTAGTAGAGATGGGGTTTCACCATGTTGGCCAGGCTGGTCTCGAACTCCTGACTTCGTGATCCGCTTGTCTCAGCCTCCCAAAGTGCTGGGATTACAGGCGTGAACTACTGCACCTGGACATTTTTTTTTTTTTTTTTAACTTGAAAGAACAGCTAACAGACAGATTAGAACAGAATTGGCTATTTGACAGATTTTCTCAGATGAACTGTGATAGTCATTTCAAGGGAAGTAGCTGCAAGCATTTGTTGGCTGAAATAAAATTTAAGTTTATCATGGAAAATTAGAATTTGAAAAAACTTAGAGTTTACCACTTGACAGTATCCTAAATACATATGACTTTTCTGATGAGTGCCGATATTAATGAAGGTTATTTAAAAAATATTAAATAATGTATAATTCTTTTTATATAACAGTTAAAAATAAAACCATGAGTACTAGAATAAAACATAGGTGGCTCTTTAATCTTGGTTTGTGAAGGTATTTTTTAAAATAAGAAAAAAGCAAGAAATCACTGCTAAATTTGACTATTAAAATTAATTTATCACAGGCACAAAAATGTTAGAAAACTAATGGCAATAGCAAATATATATATATGAGGATTGGTATTCTCAACATATAAAGCACATTTGCACATCAACAAGAAAAGAATATTTCTCCTAATGGAAATAGTGGCAAATACATGAGCAGTCAGTTGAAAAAAGAAGTAATACAAATTGCTGGCTGGGTGTGGTGGGTCACGCCTGTAATCCCAGCATTTAGAGGCTGAGGCTGGCGGATCATCTGAGGTCAGGAGTTCGAGACCAGCCTGACCAACATGGAGAAACCCTGTCTCTACTAAAAATACAAAATTAGCCGGATGTGGTGGCGCATGCCTGTAATCCCAGCTACTTGGGAGGCTGAGGCAGGAGAATTGCTTGAACCCAGGAGGCGGAGGTTGTGGTGAGTCGAGATCGCACCATTGCACTCCAGCCTGGGCAACAAGAGCGAAACTCCATCTCAAAAAAAAAAAAAAAAAAAAAAAAGGAAGTAATACAAATTGCCAATAAATATGGAAAAAAAAAAAGGCTCAACTTTATTTGTAATTAAAGGCCTTTAAGTTAAACTTAGGTGTCATTTAATTTTTATTAAATTGGCAAATATTAAAATTAAGCATAATTCTTAAGCAACTCTCGGTAGGTGGGAAGAATCTAGCTGTAGCCTCAGGCGTTTGTGCCTCAAGGAAAACCCTCTCTGGGATGTCCATTGCTTGAAGTCAAAGGTTTTCCAATAATACCTGGAAACTATTTTTAAAATGCTGATCCCCATACCCTCAAAATATTAATAGAGACAATCGTGAGGACTATAATAAAGAAATGTGCAATAAGCTCTGGGGGCACAGAGGGAAGAATCTATTGGCTGAGGAGTTGAAGAAATTGTTTGGACACTCAGTATTGCCTGAGCTCAAAACTGAAGGATGAATAAATGCCACATGACCTTGGGGCTGGGGAGTAAGTAGGGTTATGCAGAGAGAGATAACTGAGGCTTTTGGGCAGACGAATAGTAACGGCTCAGGCATGGGAGTAAAGGTCATTTAGAGATTTACAAGAATTCAGCATTTCTTTCTTTTTCTTTTTTTTTTTGAGATGGAGTCTAGCTCTGTCATCCAGGCTGGAGTACAGTGGCATGATCTCAGCTCACTATAACTCCCACCTCCCGGGTTCAAGTGATTCTCATGCCTCAGCCTCCCGAGTAGCTGGTATTACAGGCGTGTACTACTGTGCCTGGCTAATTTTTGTATTTTTAGTAGAGATGGGGTTTCACCATGTTGGTCAGGCTGGTCTCCAACTCCTGAGCTCAAGTGATATGTGCACCTCTGCTCCCCAAAGTGCTGGGATTACAGGCGTGAGCCACTGTACCCGGCCAAGAATTCAGTATTTCTATCCAAGTACCTGGGGGATAGATGTGCTACATGAATATTTATTGCATTCATTTTGTTCTCTGCATTTTTTTTTTTTTTTTTTTGGTTTGAGATGGAGTCTCGCTCTGTCGCCCAGGCTGGAGTGCAGTCGTGCAATCTCGGCTCACTGCAGCCTCCACCTCATGGGTTCAAGCGATTCTCCATCTTGGTCTCCTGACTAGCTAGGTTTACAGGCGTGTGCCATCACACCCACTAATTTTTTGTATTTTTAGTAGAGACAGGGTTTCACCATGTTGGCCAGGCTGGTCTTGAACTCCTGATCTAAAGTGAGCCTCCCACCTTGGCCTCCCAAAGTGCTGGGATTACATATGTGAGCCACTGCGCCTGGCCTCTATATACTTCTATAGTACCTGATACTTATTAGGCACTCAATTACAACATAACTTTTTTTTTTTTTTTTTTTTTTTGAGACAGAGACATGCCTTGTCGCCTGGGCTGGAGTGCAGTGGCACAGTCTCGGCTCACTGCAACCTTCACCTCCCGGGTTCAAGTGATTCTCCTTCCTCAGCCTCCCGGGTAGCTGGGATTACAGGCGCCCGCCACCACGTCCAGCTAATTTTTTGTATTTTTAATAGAGATGAGGTTTCACCATCTTGGCCAGGCTGATCTCAAACTCCTGACCTTGTGATCCACTCACCTTGGCCTCCCAAAGTGCTGGTATTACAGGTGTGAGCCATCATGCCCGGCCCATATTTCTAAAAACATTTTCTTATAAAATGACATTGCCATTATCAACCTGCAAAATACAGTTTCCATTTGGTTGTTTTCTTGCTTAGTCTTTTAATCTAGAGTTTTATACCTTATCTTTTTTATTTATATATTTTTTATGTCATTGACTTTTTGCAGAAACTGAAGCACTTGTCCTGTAGATTGTCCAATATTCTAGATTTGTCATTTTGCTTCCTTGTGATGTCCTTATGCTTATTTGTTTGTCCCTCTTTCTGTAATTAGAAGACCTAGAACTGCACTATCCTTAGAGTAGCTACTAGCTCTATGTAGCTATTTAAATTTAAATTAATTAAAATTGAAAAAGTTTGGTGGCTCACACCTGTAATCCCAGCACTTTGGGAGGCCAAGGTGGGAGGATTGCTTGAGTGCAGGAGTTCAAGGCTTCAGTAAGCTACGATTGTACTCTAGCCTGGGAGACATCAAGACCCTGTCCCTTTAAGGGGGAAAAATAATTGAAAAAATCAAAAACTTAGTTTCTTGTTTCACAAGCTGCATAGGGCTAATGGCTACCATATTGGCTAGCACAGCTTATAGAACCTTTCCATTGTCACAGGAAGTTCTGTTTGGCAGTGCCGTTCTCATTAGACCTGATTCGATTAAGGTCCATCTTTGTTGACAGAGTACTTCTTAGGTGGTGCTTTGTGGTTCATATGATGATAGCCTGGTCTGTTCATTCATATATCTTTTCACGAGAAATATTTTTATTCCATTCTGAATAAAATTTCATGGCAGGTACTTGCAAGAAGCAGTTATAATTTTAAAAGTTTAACATTAGGTTAAAAAATTGACAGGAAACATATATTCACAGGAAAACTTGTACACAAATGTTCATGGCAGCATTATTCATAATAGCCAAGAAGTGGAAACAACCCAAATCAATTTATGAATGGATAAAATGTTGTATATTTGTAGTACATGTAATATTATTCAGCCAATAAAATGGGCCAGGCATGGTGGCTCACACCTGTAATCCCAGCACTTTGAGAGGCTCAGGCAGGGGGATCACTAGAGGTCAGGAGTTTGAGACCAGCCTGACCATCATCACGAAACCCTGTCTCTACTAAACGTACAAAAATTAGGCAGGCGTGGTGATGCACGCCTGTAGTCCCTACTACTCAGGTGGCTGAGTCATGAGGATTGCTTGGACCCCGGGAGACAGAGGTTGCAGTGAGCTGAGATCATGACACTGCACTCCAGCATGGGCAACAGAGCAACATCCTGCCTCAAAAAAAAAAAAAAAAAGAAGTACTGTTACATGGTACAACATGGATGAACCTTGAAAACATTCTGCTAAATGAAGGAAGACAGACACAGAGGGCCACATATTTTATGATTCCATTTATACGAAATGTCCAAAATTGGCAAATCTAAAGAGAAAGTAGATTAGTGGTTGCCAGGGAGTGAAGACGGGTTCTTTCTGGAGTGAAGAAAATGTCCTGGAATTCGTGGTTGTAGTTTGCAACCTTGTGAATGTATAAGGACCACTGAATTGTCCACTTCAAAAGGGTGACTTTTATGTTATGTGCATTATATCTAAAAAAAAAAATCATAATTAGGAAGCAAGATTGACTTCTAAGAAAAAGCGGAGTGAAATTGTTGTTTTGTGGTGAATAAATTGGGTGGGTGGGTCGCAAGAGTTTTGCTGATTAGTGATTAGAAAAATTATTCATAATCATTGAAAATATAAAATATTTTTCTATATGATGTATGTAAAGAATTTGGCAAGAGATGATGTTTGGAAAAAATAAAGAATGGCTATTGTAGAGATCTTAAGGAAAGAAACTACAGTTAAGTAGTGCTTTGTAATCAGAATATGAAGTAAGTACTGAAAGTGGATGGAGTGGCTGTTGTCAGCATGTTATACTTTATACATTTCATTCATAAATTTGGACTGTAGATAAAAGTAAACTTTTTTTTTATTTACTCTTGAACAACAGTTTTTTTTTTTCCACTTAGACTTGCATCTGCTCCACTGAACAATACATTTAATTGTTAATTATTTCCCCCTTCAGGATGATACATATACAGAAAGCTACATCAGCACAATTGGTGTGGATTTCAAAATAAGAACTATAGAGTTAGACGGGAAAACAATCAAGCTTCAAATAGTAAGTGACTTGGCTAGTAATTTTTTTGAAATTTATTTTGGTAAATTTGTAATGTATTGTTATTTTGTATATATTTACTATGCTAACAAAATTGAATGTAAAATGTCTTAAGATTCATGTACTTAAGATAGAATGGTAGAATAAGAATTACTTAGATTAAAAATAATATTTTCAAGATTACTTAAGCCTCATTGAATTTTCTATTCATGAAGCAGAGAAACTCATGTTTTAAGTCAAACTTGGTCCTCATCTTTTTCTTTTATCAGTGGAAATCTAAGTTCAAGTTTACCTTGTCCTACACTGCAAATGTTATAGACCATTTTTGTTTGTCTTTTACTGTGCTAAGTGCATGGAACATTAAAGGAACCCTAGGAAGAGATTCTTCATATGTGGCTCAGTTGAAGAGAAGTACTTATGTAGTTCTAAGTATTTTTATTAGATAGTGTGCACCAACTCTGTAGAAACACAGAATTTTGTTGGAAAAAGGAACTTAGTTTTTGTAACATGTTCATTTTACTGCTCAAAAAAACGAATGCTGAAAGATTTAATGACTTGCCTACAGTTACTGGTAGAACCAAGTGACCGAAGCTCTGTCTTCAATATTTTGTGTCTCTGTGCCATCCTATCCCCCTTATCCATCTTTACACCCCCAGCCCCCAATTAAATATAGGCAATTATAATAGTTCAGTTGTGCCTCTTCAGTATGGGTCTGAGTCCTGTCAGTGTGGGCATATCTGTGGTCTTTTAAAAAATAAATCTCTCAGTATTTTTCAGAGTAGGCTATTAGCAAGAAGTAGGCTATAAACACAGGAAACCAGTGACTGCCCCTTTTCATGGAACTGATGACACATGGAATTGGAAGGAGTCCTGCATTAGGAGTCAGAAGACTTAGATTTGTTGTCTTGGTTCTAGTATTTACCTGTTAGAGAATCATGGGTTTGTGTCTCTGGGGAAAAGGCCGAAGTAACCCTGAGACCCAGTTTCCTTTCTAAAATGTGTGTGATGACACCTGATTTACTAATTTATAAGCTAGTTGTGAGAACCAACTGTAATAGCTTTGTGTATGTGACAATACGTGTGAAAGCCCTTTGTAAACTTTTGGGCAGCATATAGATACTACTTATGATATGACATGCCCAGATAAATGGGTGTTTGATAGGTTAAGTTGCTCCCTTTTCTTACATGACTCTGATGAGGAAAAGAAGGTATGTTAACAAAAGATAGGTGGCTGTGGATATTGATATAAGTAAACACACTTGATGTGTCAAATTAGGACTTGCAAGGATTTAGTTTTCAGAAATAGCTTGAAATACTTTCAATCAGTGAACAAATTACCCTCCATATTTTTTCCCACGATATAAGTACAGTCTCAACCTTTTATTTGGCACCATAAAGAGCACATAAAGATCTACCCAAAACTGTACTTTAAAGCACTGGTATGGAATAATTGTATTATGTGTGATCATTGGTGTTTATAAGATTTGGGTGTGTATTCGTGTGTGAAACATTCATATTTTGTTACTTTCCTGTGGCTGGAAGGGATCTTATAGGACACTGTCTTTCATCTTTGTCTGTCTTTCATCTTTAATAGGAATTTCTTTTCCATGCCTGAAGGCCTCATTTTGAACATTTTGTTTGTTTGTTTTTTTATTTTTTGAGATACAGTATTGCTCTGTCTCCCAGGCTGGAGTGCAGTGGCGCGATTTGAGCTCACTGCAACCTCCGCCTCCTGGGTTCAAGTGATTCTCCTGCCTTAGCCTCCCTAATAGCTGGGATTATATGTGTGTACCACCATGCCCGGACAATTTTTTTTTTTTTGAGATGGAGCCTTGCTTTGTCGCCCAGGCTGGAGTGCAGTGGTGCAATCTTGGCTCGCTGCAGCCTCCGCCTCCCAGGTTCAAGCAGTTCTCTTGCCTCAGCCTCCTGAGTAGCTGGGATTACAGGCGTGCGCCACCACACCCTGCTAATTTTTTGTATTTTTAGTAGAGACAGAGTTTCACCATGTTGGTTAGGCTGGTCTCGAACTCCTGACCTCGTGATCTGCCTGACTCGGCTTCCCAAAGTGCTGGGATTACAGGCATGAGCCACTGTGCCCAGCCTTCCGATAATTTTTGTATTTTTCGTAGAGATGGGATTTCGCCATGTTGGCCAGGCTGGTCTCAAACTCCTTACCTCAAGTGATCCACCCGTCTTGGCCTCCCAAAGTGCTGGGATTACAGGCGTGAGCCACCACGCCTGGGTTTTTGAACATTTTTAAGAAGCTTACCATTTTTTCGAAATAGCTAGTTCCATTTTACACATAACTTCAGCTAGGCATGTTGCCTCATGCCTGTAATCCCAGCACTTTGGGAGGCCGAGGTCAGAGAGTCACTTGAGGCCAGGAGTCAACATAGCTCCTGTGACCAGCCTGGTCAACATAGAGACTCTATCTCTACCAAAAAAAAAAAAAAAAAAGTAACCAGGTGTGGTGGTCCATGCCTGTAGTCCTAGCTCCCCAGGAGACTGAGGTGGGAGGAATGTTTGAGCCCAGGACTTCAAGGCTGCAGTGAGGCAAGATTGCACCATTGCACCCCAGCTTTGGGGACAGAGTGAGAGACCCTGTCTCAAAAACAAAATAAGGCTGGGCGCAGTGGCTGTCCGGGCGTCGTGGTTCACGCTTATAGTCCTAGCACTTTGGGAGGCCAAGGTGGGCAGATTGCCTGAGCTCAGGAGGTCTAAGACCAGCCTGAGCAACATGGCGAAACCTCATCTTTGCAAAACATACAGAAAAAAACAAAAAAAACCACAAAACCTCTAGTTGCCAGTTATTTTTTTTATTTATTCCTAGTGATTCTTCTTTTTTTCTTTTTTCTGAGACAAAAATTTCACTTTGTCTCCCTCGCTAGAGTGCAGCGGTCAGCTCACTACATGATTCTTTTAGAGACATGTTAATTCTTTATATTGAGCTGAAGCCTGTTTCTTTTACTTCTGTCTCTTCTTATTCCTCCGCCTTGTAGAGCTGCCTGAATCAGATTAATTCCTCTTTTATTGGCAAGCCTGCCCTTCAGATTGATCTTATCACAACCTTTCTTCTACCTCTGAAGTCCTCATTCTTTCCTGTAATGATATTTTCAGAACCTTGTGCAATTTGGGTTATTCTTACATTTTATAAATGCCTTTTATTAAATTTGATTTCTTAAATCAAGTATGAGATATAACACATGAGGTAAATCCTGTCTTGATTTGGAGCCTGAATGAATTTCTCTCTTGAACTTCAAGGGCTCATGGCCCTTTCTTATTATTAATCAAAGACAACCATTTGTTGTTTCAGTAGCTATATTATTTCTAGTTTGGGTCTTAAGGTTTTTGATTTGCTTGTTTTTTCTTTTTTCTTTTTTTTTTTTTTTGAGACGGAGTTTCGCTCTTGTTGCCCAGACTGGAGTGCAATGGCGTGATCTCGGCTCACTGCAACCTCCGCCTCCCAGGTTCAAGCGATTCTTCTGCCTCAGCCTCCCTAGTAGCAGGGATTACAGGCATGTGCCACCACGCCGGGCTAATTTTGTATTTTTAGTAGAGATGGGGTTTCTCCATGTTGGTCACGCTGGTCTCGAACTCCCGACCTCAGGTGATCCGCCTGCCTTGGCCTCCCAAAGTGCTGGGATTACAGTCGTGAGCCACGGCGCCTGGCCGATTTGCTTGTTTTTAATTAAAATAGGGGCCTTGGCCAGGTGCAGTTGTTCACCCCTGTAATCCCAGTACTTTGGGAGGCTGAGGCAGGCAGATCTCTTGAGTTCAGGAGTTCAAGACCAGTATGGGCAACATGGTGAAACCCTGTCTCTACCAAAAACACAAAATTCAGCCAGGCATGGTGGTGTGTCCCTGTAGTTCAAGGTACTCAGGAGGCTGAGGTGGGAGGATTGCTTGAGCCCGGAGATGGAGGTTGCGGTGAGCCAAGATTGTGCCATTTGCACTCTAGCCTGGGCAACAGAGCGAGACCTTGTTTCAAAAAAAAAAAAGAAGAGGGTCTCACTTTACACTTCTGTGACTGGTGTTTTAAAAATCTAAACACAGGCCGGGCACGGTGGCTCACGCCTGTAATCCCAGCACTTTGGGAGGCAGAGGCACGCAGATCACAAGGTCAGGAGTTCGTGACCAGCCTGGCCAGCATGGTGAAGCCCATCTCTACTAAAAATACAAAAAAATTAGCTGGGCATGGTGGCAGGTGCCTGTAATCCCAGCTACTTGGGAGGCTGAGACAGGGGAATCACTTGAACCCAGGAGGCGGAGATTGCAGTGAGCCAAGATTGCGCCATTGCACTCCAGCCTGGTGACAGAGCGAGACTCCGTCTGAAAAAAAAAAAAAAAAATCTAAACACAAGATTTTACTTTTAATCCTATCATTTCCTCTTGCTTGGCTTCAGTAATCCTTCAAGTTTTCTAGGTCTTTTCAAAATCTTGATTCTGTTGATTTATATTTTAATTATCTTTTCCTTTCAGCTTTTCCTGTTCAGGTGTGACATCTGGGTCTTTATCTGAGTTTTATTAGATTATAAAACATTCAGCAAGATAGGGCAGGTACTGAGTCCAGTTGTACACCATGGAAGGCCTCTTTCTGTGATTGTTCATTCATGAGGCTTTATGAAAATGTCTACATTACACCAGGCACTTGGAGGTTACAGAGATGAATAAAACATAGTCCATTAGGAGGCAGACAATGGGAGAGACAAACATGGGAAAAAGTTACTCTGATTATGAGGAGTAATGAGAATTACATATGAAGGAAAGTATTGTTAGTACTGTTAGGATTTAGTGTCAGGAAAGTTTTCAGAGTAGCAAGGAAACATCAGAAATTTTACTCTTTCTGCCAGGCATGGTGCATGTATTATTCTGTTCTCACACTGCCACAAGGAACTGACCAAAACTGGGTGATTTATTAAAAAAAAGGTTTAATTGACTCATAGTTCTGCATGGCTGAGGAGGCCTCAGGAAACTTACTGTGGCAGAAAGGGAAGCAGGCACGTCTTACATGGCAGGAGGCGAGAGAGTGTGAAGGAAGTGAAGGGGGAAGAGCCCCTTATGAGACCATCAGATCTTGTGAGAATTCATTCACTATCACTTGAATGGGGGAAACCGTCGTCATAATCCAATCACTTCTCCATAATCCAATCACTTCCCTCAGTGATTACAACTTGAGATGAGATTTGGGTGGGGACACAGAGCCAAACCATATCAGTGCCTGTAGTCCCAGTTACTTGGAGGCTGAGGCAGGAGGAACACTTGAGCCCAGGAGTTCAAGATCTGCCTGGGCAACATAGCAATACCTCCATTTTGGATAAAAAGGAAATTTTACTTTTTGGGTGCCATTGCTTACTTTAATCAGCTGTAACTTCTTGTTGACTTTTAGTCAAAAAACAATTTTTCCTTCTATCTTTGTGAAAGAGGTTGGTGAGCAAGGAAGAAAAGGAAACTTGCTTTATTGAGCAGCTTCTATAGTCAGGCACATTTTACAAACATTAGTTCATTTAAACCCCTTTAGCTGTTGTACAAGGTGAATGCTATCTAGCATTTACAGATGAAGAAACTGTTAGGTGACTCTCCCTAATATTAAATAACCAGGAACCTGGATTTGATGTTTTGAAGTCAGGGTAGCTTGATCCTCGAGTTCATGCTTCCTCCAAGGATACACTGAAAGACTTTGAGCCTCTTTTTTTTTTTTTCTCTTTTTTTGAGACAGGATCTGGCTCTCTTGCCCAGAGTGCAGTGGTGTGATCTCAGCTCACTGCAACCTCTGCCTCCTGGGCTCAAGCGATTCTGCCTCAGCCTCTCGAGTAGCTGGGACCACAGGCGCACGCCAGCATACTTGGCTAATTTTTGGATTTTTAGTAGAGACAGGGTTTCACCATGTTGGTCAGGCTGGTCTCGAACTCCTGAGCTCGTAATCCGCCCGTCTCGGCCCCACAAAGTGCTGGGATTACAGGCGTGAGCCACCGTACCCAGTCCCAACAGTTTTTTAAAACCCAGAACTATAATGCAATAATGTTAGCATTTGTTTTGGGAGTTTGAGCCTAAATGGTTGAAGTGCAGTAAATTGTTCTTAAAATACGTTTTATGAAAGTATTTGGAGTCATCTTCCTTACATTTTTTTCTCTAGGATGAAGACAACACCTAGCCAGGCATGGTGGCTCATGCCAGTAATGCCAGCACTTTGGGAGAATGAGTTAGGATAATTGCTTGAGTCCAGGAATTTGAGACCAGCCTGGGCAATGTAGCGAGACTCTGTCTCTACAAAAAAGAAAAAATTAGCCGGGTGTGGTGGCATGTGCCTGTAGTCCCAGCTACTCAGGAGGCTCAGGTGGAAGGATTGCTTGAGGTGGGAGGTTGAGGCTGCAGCGAGCCATGATCATGCCACTGTACTCAGCCTGGATGACAGAATGAGACGCTGCTTGAGAGGGGAAAAAAAAGACACCTGCTTGGGATGATTAAAGTTCTGTCTTGACTGGTAGTTATTTGAATTAGGTCCCTCCAGTGCTTTTAATCATGGTAGAATGTGCTAGCAAGTGAGTTTGTCTTACATGGAAGAGTTCTGTGTTCAAGGGCTTTCGGCCAGTGGCATTCCTAAACACAGTGTTAAAGGCGGTAGGGAATGTGAAAAGTATGACATAGTTCCTGCTCTCAACAGCTTGTAATTTTAGTATTATTATCGTAAGCTCAATTGTAGGTACTACTTCTTTTCTGGACTTTCAGGTGCTTATTACCGTGCAATTTAGTGGTATGAGTTGAGGACTAATGTTTCTATATCACATCCTGATAATCTCCACAGTTATGAAAACTAAACTATTTCCCCTCCCTCCTACACTTTTCCCCAACTTTATTTTAATGGAATTGTTTGGATTTCTTGATTGTTTTGTAATAGTGGGACACAGCAGGCCAGGAAAGATTTCGAACAATCACCTCCAGTTATTACAGAGGAGCCCATGGCATCATAGTTGTGTATGATGTGACAGATCAGGTAAGTTCCAAGAGGAGATTGTGTTACAGTGACCAAGTAGGAAGCCATTATTTGATTAATGTCAGATTCATTTACTACTTCATATATAAGCCATCAGTATTAATTTTATGGCAGAAAACTTTGTCCACTCTCAAATATAAATGTGAATCACTTAAAAGACATTTGTTTTCCTGTAATAAATAAAAGATTAGTAATTAGTTTTACGTTTGCTTTCAAGGGATTCTGGTTGTATTTATTGTCAACTAAATAACTTTGATCAAATAGCCAAGACTCTAACATATAGGCAAGAGTTTGTAGGGAATCGTGAGTTGCTTGGCTTATACTGTGTTCTTGGTGTTAAGTATTAACAGGAATATGGCCTGGTAATTAGAACTTGTCCATCAGAATTGCCAAAAGTGGGATTCGGGGGTCTCTGCCTATGGAGGATGTGGTTCAGAAATAAAGAATTTGAATAGGATAAGCTGTAGGAGGATCTTAGTATGAGAATGAGTATCTGAAGATTAGCTGTGAGAGAGGGCAGAGCGATGGAGGGAACAATGTGGGACAGTGTGAAGCATGTGATCCAGGGGCCATAACTTTTTTTGTTACTATTTTTTTAAATCAGAAACTTAGATTTCAGTGTCCTTTCTATCAAAGAAAAGGACAAAAGATAAACGTTCAAAATTGGAATTTATTTTTCTTTTGGCAAATGTTAAATCTCACCTCTAATGAGAAATCATAGCTAATTAGGAGATAACTTACATGTAAGCATTTAGATTCAGTGCCATTAGAAGTGCTGGGTGGGTGATATCTGCAGGAGAAAAAAATGATGCTAGTTTAAAAAATCTCTACTATTACCGTGAAATATTTTTAAATGAAAACTTTCGTCCTCTAAATATGACTGTGGAAAAGAAAATGAGTATATTTAATAACATCTTTTGACATCTCTAGTAGTAACAGTAGGTCATCTTATTCATAAACCAAAATTTTACCAAATTTCAGGCCAGGCGCAGTGGCTCACGCCTGTAATCCCAGAACTTTGGGAGGCCGAGGCGGGCGGATCACCTGAGGTCAGGAGTTAGAGACTAGCCTCGCCAACATGGCAAAATCCCATCTCTAGTAAAAATACAAAAATTAGCCAGGCGTGGGGGCCCGTGCCTGTAATCCTAGCCACTTGGGAGGCTGAGACAGGAGAATCGCTTGAACCCAGCGGGCAGAGGTTGCAGTGAGCCGAGATCGCGCCATTGCACTCCAGCCTGGATGACAGAACAAGACTTTGTCTCAAAAAAAAAAAAAAAAAATTAATCAAATTTCAAAACCAGGTTTTGTAGTACATTTAAATTGCATATTCCAAAGCAGTTGGGTTTGCCTGCGTTGCAGTTTAATATTAAGCTATACTTCCCTTTCAAATAAGGTATTTTCATCGTTAAGCCTGTAAATTCTAGTTTGTCATTGTTTAGATATTTATAGTCATTTTAATATATCTGTTTACGGCCAGCTGCAATGGCTAACACCTGTAAACTCAGCACTTTTTGAGGCCAAGGTGGGCCGATTGAGCTCAGGAGTTCGAGACCAGCCTGGGCAACATAGTGAAACTCCATCTATACAAAAAATCCAAAAAAAAAAAGACAGGTGTGGTGGCATGTGCCTGTAGTCCCAGCTATCCCGGAGGCGGAGGCGGGAGGATGGCTTGAGCTTGGGAGGTCGAGGGTGCAGTGAGCTGTGATTGTGCCACTGCACTCCGGCCTAGGTGACAGAGCAAGACCCTGTCTCAAAAAAAAAAATCTCTTCACTCCTTAGCAGTGGTTATTTTGTAGCTAGAGTTGTCTCACTAGCTCTTTGTTATTTGTCTGTTAGGTCAGGAACGATGTTTCTGTTTATTCCAGAACTATATTATCGAACTATATTATCAGTCTTTCAAATGTCTTTTTAGGAGTCCTTCAATAATGTTAAACAGTGGCTGCAGGAAATAGATCGTTATGCCAGTGAAAATGTCAACAAATTGTTGGTAGGGAACAAATGTGATCTGACCACAAAGAAAGTAGTAGACTACACAACAGCGAAGGTATGTTTAAAGTTTAATTTTCATACTGAATTTGAAGGTGTTGAATTATGTATGGGTTCTGCAGTAACAGTAAGGCCACAGCCTTTTAAAAATATGTGCACTAGAATACTGTGACAGTGACAATTTGTGTAGCATCTGTTTGGATCCAATGAACTTAGTTCCTCACGCTCCATTATGGATGGTAGAAATGCACTAAGAATTAGTGAAAAAGATTTTTCAGTGTTAATTGTGCCTCATTATTCTCTTAGGAATTTGCTGATTCCCTTGGAATTCCGTTTTTGGAAACCAGTGCTAAGAATGCAACGAATGTAGAACAGTCTTTCATGACGATGGCAGCTGAGATTAAAAAGCGAATGGGTCCCGGAGCAACAGCTGGTGGTGCTGAGAAGTCCAATGTTAAAATTCAGAGCACTCCAGTCAAGCAGTCAGGTGGAGGTTGCTGCTAAAATTTGCCTCCATCCTTTTCTCACAGCAATGAATTTGCAATCTGAACCCAAGTGAAAAAACAAAATTGCCTGAATTGTACTGTATGTAGCTGCACTACAACAGATTCTTACCGTCTCCACAAAGGTCAGAGATTGTAAATGGTCAATACTGACTTTTTTTTTATTCCCTTGACTCAAGACAGCTAACTTCATTTTCAGAACTGTTTTAAACCTTTGTGTGCTGGTTTATAAAATAATGTGTGTAATCCTTGTTGCTTTCCTGATACCAGACTGTTTCCCGTGGTTGGTTAGAATATATTTTGTTTTGATGTTTATATTGGCATGTTTAGATGTCAGGTTTAGTCTTCTGAAGATGAAGTTCAGCCATTTTGTATCAAACAGCACAAGCAGTGTCTGTCACTTTCCATGCATAAAGTTTAGTGAGATGTTATATGTAAGATCTGATTTGCTAGTTCTTCCTTGTAGAGTTATAAATGGAAAGATTACACTATCTGATTAATAGTTTCTTCATACTCTGCATATAATTTGTGGCTGCAGAATATTGTAATTTGTTGCACACTATGTAACAAAACAACTGAAGATATGTTTAATAAATATTGTACTTATTGGAAGTAATATCAAACTGTATGGTGATAAGTATTGTTTTGATTCTTATGGTTAAAGGGAAATAGAGCCTTGCATTATATTCAACACAGCCATTTGTGTGTGCACAATGCAAACTAAGGTATTCTAGACCTATCTTAGAGCAGCATCCAGTATTTGCTTTCTAGATAATATGCCCAATAACATGACCTAGAGGGGCTTCTGTGCTGTGTAGGGATTTAACCAACTTCAGTGGTTCAGGGAGCTCAAACTATATGTAAAACAAGTTTAGAATGTATGCTATCTAGCCCGTTATCTCTGATCCTTCTCTAAAACCATTTGAAATAGCTTCATTGATCAACATTTCATAAATGCATCTGTGGTAGAGGTAGAAAGCAGCACCTTTCCTAATTGGCAAATGATCAGACTAATGTGTGCTAATGTTTTTCTTCCATGCTTTCAGTCAGATTCAACTATTTTATCCTCCACAGTTGCTTAACTTGGTGTTGGAGGAGGGTTTAAGCATTAAGATAGGAAGCAGGAAATTTGATTGCTCTAAATTTAGAAATTATATCCCTAAAAATTAAAACATGAATACTGGGTGGTAATGATAATTGAGGCAAATGTATTTATTTTGGTGACATTTTGCATATATGAAGATTTTCTGAAATAGGACCTTCAAGATCCTAGGGGGTTTTGTTTGGTTTTTAATTGTGAGGAATAAAAAATCTTCTGCCCACACTGGCATTTTAAGGTGACTGAGGTCAAACGTTGTTTCCTTAGGTTGAAATAGCAGCCAAAACATTCTTCACGCAGGGGCTTGGGATATGGCTGCTGGCAACACATTTTGTTGTGGGCTCCTTAATTTAATGATAAAATTTAAGCTAAACACAAGCCAAAAATGAATAGGTTTTTTTAATTTTTATTTTTCACTAAACAGGCAATTGAAATACATGGTACAAAAATAAGTGGTAAGATAATTGTAAAATGAAATGGACAGAATATTCAATTTTCCATCTATGAAAATTTCACAATAAAAATCATAGTTTACTTTGTATTATAGGCGTGCTTGGTGGATCTATTCATCCTCACATAAGGCAACTGACAAATTCCTGAAGTTACCAATAGTTATTTTGGTGAAGATCTTTAATGCTTCAGAAGTTTTGTTTTTGCCTTAATACAGTATAAAGGGGGAAAGAGTTCAGAAACTATTTTCTAAAGTAGCTAAATGACACAAAACAAATGTCAAGATACTGTGATGCCATGCCGTGCACTTCATTTTTACACAGTAAAAGTTGTTTAAATTGTCAGCTTATTCTTGGTGAGTTAGCGGAAACATTACATGAACTTAAGATGAGCATATTTACAGACTTAAGTTTGGAAAATTCCAGCGTTCTTTTCCCCATGGCAGTAAAGATTGGGATTTACAACAAATTTCAGCATGCCTTAAGATTTGCTTCTATGTATACGCCAATAAATGTGGTTCTGGAAAAAATATATACCCCTTTATACCCCCATTTTCAAGTACAAACGGTTCAAAGCTACTACAGGTTTTAATAATCTGTTCACTTAGTAAAGGGAATTACCACTTGTTCTAAATATAAGGTGCTGCCATAAATTAGTTTACATAGTGAAGAAGAGTGTTCTTAAATCTAAGCAGCTGCACACTCTGTGAAATCCTTTCAGAATGATAGTCATTGTGGTCTGAGCAGTAATTTCCTATTCTTCGACCTTGGATTGAATTTCCCTTAGCCTACATCTTGCCTTTCCAGCATATCTTACCTCAAACCTTCTTTGTGTTCCATTCCCACCTAAGCTTCAAAATAGCCGTGTTGACGTCGTCTTCCATTTGCTGAGCTTACCTATGGATCTCCAAGAACCCAGATCTTGAAACTGCTGATCCAGCTTTGAGTATCATCACTTCCCTGTGGATTTAACTTCCATTAATTTTAAGGGACTACTAAGTTATTCCAGTGTGGCATCACAGTGCAGTTAGCAAGCTCAGCTACTTGACTCTAATTTGGCCATGTTTGCTCATAGAAATGCTGCTGGCAGCATCTTACTAGGCTGAAACAATTTCAGCTTGATTTTTTTTTTTTGAGACAAGAGTCTCACTCTGTTGCCCAGGCTGGAGTGCAGTGGTGCCATCTCAGCTCACTGCAAGCTCCGCCTCCCGGGTTCATGCCATTCTCATGCCTCAGCCTCCCAAGTAGCTGGGACTACAGGCGCCCATCACCACGCCTGGCTAATTTCTTTTTGTATTTTTAGTAGAGATGGGGTTTCACCGTGTTAGCCAGGATGGTCTCGATCTCCTGACCTTGTGATCCACCCGCCTCGGCCTCCCAAAGTGCTGGGATTACAGGCATGAGCCACCGTGCCCAGCCTTCAGCTTGAGTTTTAAGGTAAGTCTTAAACTTAAAGCACGGCGGTATAATTAACAGTTGTGTTGATACTCTTCAGTAGCATTCACAGCCAGGTCCAGGGAGTTAGCACCCTTTAGTCTCACCTTATTCAGAGGATGAACAAAAATATCTTAGATCATCTCTAGGTAAGGTAGTACTTTCTTGGGAAACAGGGTATTGTGTAACATTCTGTGCAAATTCCTGTCAGTTGAAGCTGATTATTAGTTGAATGGGAATAGAATGCCACATTCTGCATTCAATTAGTATAATATTGGCCAATTTGTTTCTATAGGGTTTTCATCTCCAACTTTTATGCTAATTAATACACTTCTATGCCTGTCAAATATTAGTAAATAAATGGGTTTAATTTCCTAAGGGCTATTCAGTAACATACTCAGTGGAAGGACATGTTCCTACTTATAAATGTACATCTAAGAGAAGGTAAAATATATCAATTTAAGAAGAGGCCGTCAGACATCTCTACCTTTTTAACCAACTCTAGGTTTTCAAGAATGTTTTACATACAGGTTTATAATTGACAATTATTTGCTAGAGTGGTTTTTCCCTTTTAAAGTCTCAGTGTGTATGGAACTAAGATGATTAATATGGCAAACTCATAAGCCATTTTAATTTTGATCATGCCCTTAAGCATTATGATAAAGCATACCACAGCAGCATCAGGCACTTGAAATACTGCATTTTATGTGTAGCTACTGTTGAAGAGCTAATCTTTAAAGAATTTAATGGCTATTTTCCAGTGACTATAAAGTCTCAGAAATTCTGAAGCAGAAAAGTCACATTAATAATAGGACTTTAGTTTCCATTGTTACTGTGCTTTCCTCCTTCCAGGTTCATTCATGGCCCAACAGAACTTTAAAAGTGCTTTTCTGTAGAATCTGCAGTTACCAGCAATAACTGATCATCTTGCTGCAAAAAGCTATAGAATTGATGCTTTGAATGGTTGATCCATAGTTTTTTTTTTTTTTAATCAAAGTACTTATGTGTCAATGCCAAAGCAACGAAGAATTCCCCTTTTTCCTTCACTATTGACAGCTTCAGTTTCTGTACTTACTGTGTCATCCTATCCGTTCCCTTCCCTGAGCCTGGACTGCTCTTCCAAGGGAGACTAGGAGTGAAGGGAGGAGTCCTCCCAAAGTTACCCTTTAAGCTTGATAATTAGCTCCATAGCCATGCTAAAGCATGACTGTAGATCCCCAAGTCCCTGACACATTTTCTTCTAAGAAACTGGTTAGCCAAGAAAGTAAAGACGTAAGCCCTGAAGATGGCAAAAGGTGTCATAATCTCCCAAAGTCATCTGTATAGATGCTTCATTTAACCCTTTTTCTTTTGCAGACAAAGGGTTAAAAATCTCTTCTTTCTACCTATATCTTTAAAGAGGGATTGACAAGCCCAAATTTCCTTTTATGAAAAGACCCAAGGTTTCTGGCCAACAATTCACTTTTTTCAGTCTCTTAGGTCCTCTTGCATGCCTGAGAATATTGAGTATTCGGAATCTCCTACCAGCCCTTGGTAAATGACCCTACCAGGTGGAATAGTTTGAGCTTTATCTGCTCTTTTTTAATGGGATAGAGGGGAAGGCAACACGTCTTATTTTATCAAAAATTGCAAAGCTACACGCTCTTTGTGGAGAAGCACCAAAAGGAAAACCTTAGTTTGGAAGGATTCATTGTAAATAAAAATAGTAACTCAGCCCTCCATTCAGGGAGGAGAAAGGCATTTTAAAGCTAGTATATTGAAGGTTTCCCCCTTGACTTCAGTGTTGAATGGCTCTTGCAAGGACTTCTTGAAGGTTTTTTTTCTCACTAGCCAGTGTTTGGCCGACAGGTTGCACCTCTGCCTGAGAAGATGCCTGAAAGAGAAAAGGCAGCATTTGTTACAGGCATAATGTTGTAGAGGAAGAAACGACAACAGCAGTCCCCTGCATTCATTTTAGAACCAAGATGACGTCTCACAGTTGCTCTGATAAAAACACAGGGACTCCCTGCTCTTAGCATACCTATAGTGCTCACCTAGAAAATCTATGAGTTAAGCACTACAAACATTTTGTTGTAGGAGCGACGTACGACAGTCCAATTGCAGAATTATGAAAAGCATTGGCAGTAGCAACTCTGTGGTGGACACACCCACCTTTGCTCTCCTAGCTCCTTTTCTGTCATTCTGTTTGACTTTCTCAAGGGAGCAAAAGAAAGTTGTACTACCAGTTAAGTCTCCAAGGTGTCTTTAACCCCTCCATCCCCCTAGCCTTTTTGGAAGGGAGTGGTGTGGGAGATATGTGGAGACCCTTTGTGCAGGGCAGGGGTGGTGGTGCAAAGTTATCAGTAACTCTGGGTTTCTCTAAGCACTTGGTGCTGTCAGAGATGCTTGGAGATGGAGTACCAAATGAGCTGGGGAGAAGATCCTGCAGAACAGGGGTGGCCAGGTCATGGCCCCATACTGGAAAAGTGTACCTGTGCAGAAATAAAGTAGGTGTACAGATAAGTTGTGCTGCTCTTGTCTTGGGATGGCAGGGTTGGTGGTGAAGAAAGTGCCATAGAAATGGCAGCACAGAGGCACCCTCATCCTCAGCAGGCAGCAGGGGTGAACAGTAATGGAAAGCACCGCAGTGAGCCTTCATCATCATAGGAAGACCAGCAACTCCTTTTTTAGTACCATTGGCTGTCTTCTTCCAGTATCTCATTTGTTTAAATAATAGTTCTTGGCTCAACAAGCTTCTAAGTAGTGGCCAACTGTTACAGCAGGGTTGGTGGGCAAATTTTCTTTTTGAGTTCCTCCACTTACCAGGTTAAACCCCTTCACATGGGTGCTCCATTGCCGCCATGGGCTTTTTGTCAGGGATAAGGGTGCAGCCAGCCAGCATGTCCAGAGAGGCCAAGATAGAGTCATACAGGCGATCTGCGTGGCTCTCCAGCTCACCAGACTGCTTTGCGATCCTCCCAAGGACATCCTCTAAAACTAACAATGAGGTTCAAAGAAATTAAACCAGAAATAAAACCCATGCAAGTGTTGTCCAGTAAGCATTTTCAAAAGAACATACAAGGGTATAGTATTTTACACAAAGTAGGACCTGGCAGTAGTTTCTGAATGTCTGCCCTTTTTTAACAGTGATTCTCCAGGGACTTCTGTTGCACTGGAGAACCTATGTTGTTAACTTCTGATTAAAGCTAAGAAAAGAACTCACTGACTCCACTTTGAAATTACGTAATTCACAGAAGGGCACAGAGATATTATGGTTTTCTGATGGCTGGTATTACCTGACTTTAGAGGTAAGACAGGTATCTCTGTAAGGGCACATCCAGATCCTCTTGGGCATAAGGCTTAAATAAAACGACATGCCAAGGTTCAGATGCTTACCCCTGCTACCAGGTCTATCAGTTTCTATTGGCTGGGAAGAATGTTATTTCACATGGGTGGTCTGTAATAGATTTGGGAGTGCTTGAGACCCTTTGTTTTGTGGGCCTCAGTGAACAGACTGAAAAAGAAAATGACCTGGCCAGGCGCAGTGGCTCACGCCTGTAATCCCAACAACACTTTGGGAGGCCAAGGCGGATGGATTGCCTGAGGTCAGGAGTTGGAGACCAGCCTGACCAACATGGAGAAACCCCGTCTCTACTAAAAATATAAAAAAATTAGCCGGGTGTGGTGGCGCATGCCTGTAATCCCAGCTACACGGGAGGCTGAGGCAGAATGGCTTGAACCCGGGAGGCAGAGGTTGTGGTGAGCCAAGACTGTGCCATCGCACTCCAGCCTGGGCAACAAGAGTGCAACTCTGTCTCAAAAACAAAACAAAACAAAAAAATGACCCGAAAGCAGTCTAAGGGAAGATTCACTCCCGCAGTGTCAGAATTGTTGTTCATGTGAGGAAGGGATGGGCTAGGGTCAGAGTGCATCTCACACAGCAGGCTTTTTTCTTTCTTTTTTCAAAAATTTATTTTTGTTAAGCACAAAGGCTGTCTTAGTTTCCTGCACCTTTATCAGCTGTGCTTATACTCTCCCTAGTTTCCTGCCACAGCTGTAACATCTGTCAGTAGAGGAAGGGAAAGAGGAAGCTTATCTGCAGACAATGCTGACTGGATGAGTAGAAGGAGAAGGAACACAGGCTGGCTGTATTGAGATCTCCTAGGGAAGCCACATCAGTGCGGTGTCATCAGGGCAAAGTGCTGTCCACAAAGAGAGTTGGCAGAGTGTGGCAGAGGATTGCAGTCAGGCGCACGGTAAAGCTTGGCTGTAAGGGTGGCTGGGCTGGGTTCTACCCTCCAGTTTCTTTTTTTTTTTTTTTGAGATGGAGTCTCACTCTGTCACCCAGGCTGGAGTGCAGCGGCACAAATCTCGGCTCACTAAAACCTCCGCCTCCCAGGTTCAAGCGATTCTCCTGCCTCATCCTCCCCAGTAGTTGGAATTACTGGCGCCCACCACCACGCCCGGCTAATATTTGTATTTTTAGTAGAGACAGGGTTTCGTCATGCTGGCCAGGCTGGTCTCGAACTCCTGACCTCAGGTGATCCACCCGCCTTGGCCTCCCAAAGTGCTGGGATTACAGGCATGAGCCACCGCAGCTGGCTAACCCCTCTGGTTTCATTAGACCTTTGCCCAGTCTTCTTGTGCGATGTCACAGAAACATTGGTTCAGGGACAACTTTATGTTTTTGAACTTTTATTTATCTATTTATTTTGAGACGGAGTCTTACTCTTGTTGCCCAGGCTGGAGTACAGTGGCGTGATCTCGGCTCACTGCAACCTCTGCCTCCCGGGTTCAAGCGACTCTCCTGCCCCAGCCTCCTGAGTAGCTGGGATTACAGGCGCCCGCCACCATGCCCAGCTAATTTTTTTACTTTTAGTAGAGATGGGGTTTCGCCATGTTGGCCAGGCTGGTCTTGAACTCCTGCCCTCAGGTGATCTGCCCGCTTGGCCTCCCAAAGTGTTGAGATTACAGGCGTGAGCCACTGCGCACGGACGCTTTTGAACTTTTATTTAGACTGTCAGAATGTTTGGTTGGGGCCAAATAAAAGAAGTTGGGAAGGACTGGAACAAAACATGTTTGTAGGCTGGCTCTATGGACTTTTGACAGCATGCTCCTGGCGGAAGAAAAGTTAAGTTTTGCACCCGCTGGAGACAGACACTGACGTCTCAAGGGGGAAACAGCCACATTCCTGATTATTTCAAGCAGATGGATGGGGAAGGGCTGTGTGTCAATCTGAAAGAGCCTGGATACATATCTGAAAACCAAAGAAAACCCCAAAGCCAGTAAAAAACCTCTTGAGAGAGCAAAGTGGGACTAAGCACAGAAAAGTATTATTAAATTGATTTTAAAATGAAGGTCAAAAAACCTGAAGCTTTTAAGAGGCCTTTTTTTTTTTTGAGAAGGAATTTCGCTCTTGTTGCCCAGGCTGGAGTGCAATGGCGCAATCTCAGCTCGCTGCAACTTCCACCTCCTGGGTTCAAGCGATTCACCTGCCTCAGCCTCCAGAGTGGCTGGGATTACAGGTGCTCCCCACCACGCCCAGCTAATTTTGTATTTTTAGTAGAGACGGGGTTTCTCCATGTTGGTCAGGCTGGTCTCAAACTCCCGATCTCAGGTGATCTGCCCACCTTGGCCTCCCAAAGTGCTGGGATTACAGGCGTGAACCACCGTGTCCGGACTAGAGGCCTACTTTTACACATGGCCTCTGTGAAGAGAGGAGCCGCTCAGGCCTCTGCACCTCCAGACACTGGGAAGCTGCGGAAAGCCAGTGCCCAGGGGCTCTGCCAGGCTGCCACTTCTCCTGTGGCCTGTGGCAAATCCACAACTATCCATCTCACAGGGCTGTGATTAAATGGAGAACACTGATGTGCCAACTGCTTCAGTAAAATGCTGGTGTAAATTACATGCAGCAAAGGAGCTTGGCACATGGAATTTCTGCCCCAATAAAAAATCTAAGAACCCTAGTGAAAATGCCAGAAGAGCCAAAACAAAGGCCTTAAAAGGGCAGGGGATTGCAAAGAGCTCATATAATTCACACTAGAGAATCACTTACCTGCTGAAAACTATTCAGTGGTCCCTGTCCACTGATGCCTCTCAACCCTAGAGATTTTTCTTCCCAGGGTACACTTAGCAATGTGTAGAAACATTTTGGGTTGTCACAACTGTGGGGGAAGCAGGGATTTACTGGGGCCAGGGGTGCTGCTAAACATCCTGCAATGCATAGGACAATTCCCCACAAAATCATGCGGCCAATATGGCAAAAGCGCCAAGGCTGAGAAATCCTGCTGTACACCCTTCACGGTATGCACCTGCCCACCATGCTGGTCAGGAAAGTGCCTCCTCATTGCCTCTCAAGCCCGTGGGACCTGCCCAGCTTTGCTTCGGCGGTTGTATTCCAGTATAAATCCCATCTCACTCAAAAATGTAAAATGAGGCATAATATAGGCAGGCTGTCAGCACTTGATTTACAGTCTTGCAGGAAATTAGGGGCTGCCATCAGTTCAAGGCTTTACCCTACCATTCTCTTAGCTCATCCTCCCTATCATATCCTCATCCCCCATGCCCTCGTCCTGTAAAGACAATGAAAACTGTAAATCCTTGGCACCCAGCATGCTTAGATACATGCCTGAGGTCTGTGATTTTCACTTTCCTAAATGGGGAACCCATCCTACAAAATGGGCTCAAGTGGCTGGGTGCAGTGGCTCACGCCTGTAATCCCAGCACTCTGGGAGGCTGAGGCAGGCGAATCACCTGAGATAGGGAGTTCAAGACAGGCCTGACCAACATGGAGAAACCTCATCTGTACTAAAAACACAAAAAAAATAGCCGGGCATGGTGGCGCATGCCTGTAATCCCAGCTACTCAGGAGGCTGAGGCAGAAGAATCACTTGAACCTGGGAGGCAGGTGAACTTGCGGTGAGCCAAGATGGCACCACTGCACTCCAGCCTTGGCAACAAGAGCGAAACTCCATCTCAAAAGCAAAACAAAACAAAAAGGGGCTTGAGCTTGGTTTGCACACTACTGCCACCCTGTCCCCTCTCATCAGTTCTTCATTCAATCTGTTCCCTGAGGACAGACTGACTGTCCTCAGATACTTTTGAGCAATACAATCCTTTTCTGAAACAACTATTTCCCCAAAGCAGGACACAAGGCAGATAATCAGAGAGGAATTCAACCTGGGCTAGGTAAGGTGGGGAACCAAAGGGATACCCACTAAATACCCTAGCCACAAACTAAGGATGGTGGATTAATACTAGGATTCCTACCCAGACTACCACCAGAAAAATACAAAAGCAGAAGCAAAAGACAGCGTCATTCTTGCAGGCTCAATGCCTAATTTGTAATGGGCTTGGTTTTATAACCATGACTGCCTCTAAGCAGGTGTGTAGGGGCAGTGATGGGCAGCGACGCGTGGAGCTGGCAGATGGGGCATGGGGCATCTCGGGCAGTGGGTGTGGGCAGGGGCTCTTGTGGTACCAGCTCCTTACCAGGGATAGTGCGGTCCCTGGGCCTGCTGCTGACAGGGATTAAGCTCTGGCTAAATCCAAAACCTTAAGCATCTCACCTGGGGTGTTCTCCAACAGGCACTGAAGAAGAATCTCCCCCTTCTGTAAGACACTCTCCGTCAGAGACTGATGTTCATCTATATCTTTCTTAAATTGCTTAAGGCGTATCAGAAAAAGAAAAGGCAGAAGCTTCGTTACTATTGTTTTGTAAACGTTATTTGAAAAGCACAGCATGTAGGGAAGCCTTATTCCCCTCTAATGTGTAAGATTCACCCCATCAGGTCTGCAGAATTCCCCAAGTAAACAGTGCAACAGTTTAACTTCAGCTTCTTTGAACCCAAGGTAAATAGAGTCAGTAGTTTTTCCTGTTTAGTTTGACATCAGAAGCATCTTCCCTGACAGAGGCTGGCTCACAAACAGCTTGGAGTTAGGGTCTCCTTCTAGCGCCCTCACCTCATGGGGTTCTCTTTTAATTCAGGGCTATGGGAGTCTCAGAATTTATTCCATTCTAATGGACCACAGGAGATCTGCCATTAAACTGACCGCAGGGAGCCACTGTCTCTACCTCTGCTCCTCCCTCCATGTCTTTGCTCTGTGCAGACCACAGGGGTAACTACCTCAACATCTGGGAAGCTGTGAGTTTCCCAAGCAACTCATTTGCTTTCCCCTCTTGGCTACCGAGCTGGTGTTCTTGATGTTTGTTTAGCAGTTAAGAAGTGTAAAGTCAGCCAGGCGCGGTGGCTCACACCTGTAATCCCAGCACTCTGGGAGGCCAAGGTGGGCGGATCACCTGAGGTCAGGAGTTTGAGACCAGCCTGACCAACATGGAGAAACCCCGTCTCTACTAAAAATACAAAAAAATTAGCCGGGTGTGGTGGTGCATGCCTGTAATCCCAGCTACTCGGGAGGGTGAGGCAGGAGAATCGCTTGAACCTGGGAGGCAGGGGTTGCAGTGAGCCGAGATCACACCATTGCACTCCAGCCTGGGCAGTAAGAGAGGCTCCGTCTCAAAAAAAAAAAAAAAAAAAGGTAAAGTCAAATCCATGACCACCCTTAGTGCAAGGTGTAGAACTTGGTGACTGATTTTTATAAATTTTTAAATTTTTAACAGAAATAGAGACAGGGTCTCACTATTTTGCCCAGGCTGGTCTCAAACCCCTGAACTCAAGTGATCCACCTGCCTCAGGCTCCCAAAGTACTGGGATTACAGGTATGAGCCACCGTGCCCAGCCAGAACTTGGTGTTTTACCATTTTGAAGTGATAGTTTTACCCTTGGATTTACTATTTTCCTGTCTTCAGTTTTCCTTTACCCTGATACCTATACTTATTATTTTATTCTCTAGTACTGTAGTGTGGTTTATGTGCTGCTGCAACCCCGTGTTAAGACAAAATACAAGTATATAAGAAAATGAGTCACAGTTAAAATATGTGAACACAGACACGCTCGCTTATACTAGGTCTTAATCCAAGCAGGAGTCAAGATAGCACACACATACGCATGAGCCATGCACAATTCTGTGCGGGCAAGGGGCTAGCAGTACAGTCCCACTTTGTGACAGCTGTATGGGTGACACAAGAGGCCTATGCCTCACTGACCTGCACGAGTGACTCCCAGCTCAAATCTCAGCTCTACCTACAAAGCAAGCTGGTTGTTTCCGTCTAGCCTAGAAGCTGAGGTACAGAAGGCTGGCAGGAGGGATAAGACGGAGGGATGGAATTATTCTGTTTGCACCTGCTCTGACAAGCCAGGAAAGGCCACTAAGCTAGGTCTACCAGGGCAGCTTCCTCTCTCTGTAGTGGTACTGGTCCTGGGCCCTGCACAGCTGCGTGCATGCACGTGGAGTCTGCATACAGGACCCTTGGAGTCAGCCTTTCTCTCCTTCCTCAAGCTCACTCCACCCTAGTGGGAATGCTGTTTCCTGCAGTGTGGAGAGGAACTCATTGTGGAGTTCCTCAAAGTGAGGAACTCAAAGCAACCTCTCTCCACACTGCAGGAAACAGCATTCCCAGTAGGGTGGAGCAGCTGGCCCAGCCTGCCCAGGTCAAGCAAGGCTCCTCCCTACACTTTAGTTGGCCCCAAGTTGGAAAACAAAGCCCCTCCCTTCCTCTAGCTGGAGTACGGTCCCAGGAAGGCCCTCAGTCAGCTCAGCCCTGGCCCAAGCACATGTAAATTGTGTCCTCTGCTGCTGAAGATATGGTCAGGTTATAAGGTTGTAGGAATTCAAAGAATTGTTTTAGAAAACTCCTTCCAGACTAGCCTCAGGCTCAGACCATGGATATCCCTCTGCTTCTTCATGAAGAGATTAGAAAGGTGCAGCCAACCAGATATGCTAGAAGGCAGGAGTTCAGCCAAGGTTAACGTTAGACTTAGGGATGACAACTATATAATTTATCCTCCAATTCAGGACACTTCTGAGACTGAAAGGGGACCTATTATTATGCCAGAACAACAGGCACAAACTGGGACGCAGTCATCCTAAATCTAGGACCAAGTTAACAAAAATCCACATTAGTATTTTCAAAATAACAAAATCTTAATGAAAAAGAAACAAGAAAACTAAAACCAAACCCAAATACATACACACGCACACAAACTGACGTCAGAGTTTTTGTTTGTTTTTTGAGACGGTCTCGGTCTGTGGCCCAGGCTGGAGTGCAGTGGTGTGATTTTGGCTCACTGTAGCCTCTGCCTGCCGGGTTCCAGTGATCCTCCTGCTAGTGCATGCCACCACACTCAGCTAATTTTTTATGTTTTTTTTTTTTTTTTCTGTAGAGACGAGGTCTCACTATATTGCCCAGGCTGGTCTGGAACTCCCGGGCTCAAGCGATCCTCCAGCCTCAGCATCCCAAAGTGCTGGGATTAATAGTGTGAGCCAAGGTGCCTGGCCTAGATTTCTATTTAAATACCATCAAAATGCCCTATTGTAGATTCTGGAGTCAGTACAATTTCAGCTCAGATCTTTAAATAGTGGTGCAGTCCAATAGGACTTTATGTGGTGATGGAAGTGTTCTACATCTGCACTGTTCTACGTGGTAGCCACTAGACAAATGTGATGGTTGAACATGCAGAATGTGGCTAGTGCAAATAAAAAAATCTGAGTCTTTAATTTTACTTCAATAGCCATACATAACTAGAGGCGTCATAATAGTGCAAGTCTGTATTTATAATCCCTGAGACATTTGGAAAATTATATTGCAAATCACCCTAAAGTATTTTTGTTTTTAATTAAGAAAAAACTTTTTTTTGAGGGGGGGGGGTCTTGCTATGTTGCTCAGGCTGTACTCGAACTCCTGGGCTCAAGCAATCTTCCTGTCTCAGCTTCCAGAGTAGCTGGGATAAAAGACTTGTCCCACTGCACCTGCCAGCCCAAAACCTAAAGTATTTTTGATTTGAGATAAATATATTGTATCTTCAAGCTCCATTTGGCCTGGGAAATAATTCATGCATTTTACAAAGCGTTCCGCTTTAAGAATGTGAAGCTCTAATTAGATTTCAGGTATAATAGTCAACTGAGCTATAACATACCAGACATTGGTTATTTGAGATTTTACTTTGTAATCGAGTAATTTAGCCACACTCTTGTGAGGGAACAAGCCAGAGCCAGGACCGCATATTACCCGGTAAAGCTGCAGAGAAGACTTGAGACTTGTAAGATTGGACCTGGCTGCAGTCCCGTGGTCAGTAACATCTGCAACATTATACAGCCAGCAGATCAGCTCTTCCAGCTGACAGCAAAATGTCTGCAGAGACAAATAAAAGGACACATGGTGTTACTGATCGAACAGCTATTTATGTTATCAAAAGGCTAAAAATATCAGGAGGACTTGGAGACAGACTGTGCACCTTCAGTTTCCTCTCTCCTCCTTGCTCACCTGTCCCGACTCCACGACTCTGTACCTCCCTCTGCCAAAGCAATGAAAACCACAGCCTGGTGTGACATCAAAAATGACAGGCTGAGAAAACCCAGCCTTGCAGGTAGGAATGGAGCAGCCCAGAAGAGGCGTGCCTGCCATGGAAACCAATTCTTGGATCAGCACCATTACTAACTAGAATCAGCATCTTGGAGCCAGATACGTCCATGTTTCTCTGGAAAAGTGAACGTAAAATAAATGACTAAAATCATGACTAACCTGAAGCTATAGCGAAGAACAACTTTACCTCATGGCATCTCAATCTTTTATCAGTAAAGAGGGGTCCATGATAACGTGTCCTACCTACCTCACAAGACAAAATAACCACGTCACCTCCTGGGAAGGTGAAAGCCCCCCGCAAGCGCTAGGACACGTTCCTGGACAGGCACATTCCTGAACCTTCAACATGTCTGGGAATGCACCGAAGCCCTCAACATGAATTATTTAATGCACACAACATCCTAAGAAGGCAGGGCTCCACATTTTACAAATGAGCAAACTCAAGAGGCTGAGCCAACATTCCAAAGACAGCAGTGCCATGTTTCAAATTCAGATGCCTGACACCGATAACCCTATTCCACGCAGTGTTCTTTATACCTCCAGATATTAAGTCATTTGGTTCACAAGATGGTCCGGTGGCCACAAAGTCTAGGCAACAGTACATCCAATGCCCCTAACTTTGCACTTAAACCACTGTGGCAAATGAAGCTCTAGAAGTCCTGCAGTCAAGAAAGCCACTTACCTTTGTTTAGCCCAGTGTTTCCTAAAGGCATCTGTGCACAAAACCTTTTTTGTTCAGAATACCTCTGAGTTAGGAAGCAGCCAAGGGTAGTGGCTAAGAGCTCAGCCTCTGCAAATAGTCTACCTGGGTCTCATTCTTGGCTCAAGCCCTTGCTAATTATAAGTGGGCACGTTACCTAACCTCTCTCTGCTCTTTCCTCCAAAAAGTAAAATGAGAACAGTGCTTACCTGGTAAAAGTTGTGAGGACTGAATAAGATAAGGTACAGCACAATGCCTGGCACATAAAAAGTGCCTGGTCAACATGAACATGTTTTATTATGATGTTAGTGGATTGGGGGAAGAGACAAGACACCTGTACACAAAGCTTCCTAACGTTGAGTGTCATTACCTTCACACATTGCACCAGTGATTCTTTTCCCTGTTCTCCTCCTTTCCTGGGAAGCTGCCCTTCAACATCTGGGTCTGAGAATGGCCACCGGTCCAACCTAGCTGGCAAGGAGGGGCGTGTTTTCAGCAGTCCAGAGGAGACCCCGAGGGCCTGGCTGCTCCCCAGACTGCCTTCCCCTGCGGAGTCGTGGGCACGGACGAAGGAGCGCAGGAAACAGGGATTCTGGCCCTCAGGATCCCCAGATCCTTGGAGGGCAGCTCCAGGGGGAAGCTGGCTTTGGCTGGAGCTTGAAGGGAAGGAAGCTGGCCCATCACTGTCTGACACTTCCAAGGGGCTCTGCCCTTTGATATCCCCAGTGGGCAGGGTAACCAAGGTAGAAATGGATCCTAGATACGAAACCAGGCTAGAAACCTGTGTCAGCCGAGCGGGGAGGGCAAGATACTCGTCATCACTTTCCACTTCCTCTTCTGATTTCCACCTAGACTCTGTGCAGGTAGGGCGCCGGGCACTCTGGCTGGTCCTCTTCTCCCTCTCTGGCCTGGGCGAGGGCCACCCTCTGTCCCGTGTCCTTAGCTGGGGAGAGCCCATATCAAGGTGCTTGCCTATAGTCAGCCGGTCCTTCGCACCCCTCAGGGCTGGCTCTCTGCGCTCCCAACGAGCATCCCTACTGCCTGGGGCTCTGGGGGTAGATGCAAGTTGGCTCCAAGATGCCAAGCCCATGCCACCCTGTTTCTGGGGTACTCTGGAGGGCCACTGCTTAAGGCTTGGCTCTCTGGGCCCAGAAAATGGCAGGGCAGTGGCCTCTGCTGGTGGGCAGTTGGGGGAGACATTAGTAGGTGATTTGAGGGTGCTTGCTGGAGAGACAGAGAAGCTATCCAGGTCTACCCCGGAGTCCTGCAGGACAGGGTCAGCTGGCACACGGCTATCAAGGTGCTTTGGGAGCTGAGGCCCGGGCCTCAGTGGGTAAGTATAGTCAAGCAGATCTTCATACTCTTTATTTGGGTTCCAGAGAGGGGAGTGGCGGTCGGGTGATGGAGGCAGGGAATCTGGCAGCACACAGGCCCAGTACTCAGCCTGGAAGGAGAGGCGTCTCCTGCCTAGCCCAGAAGCATCACCCCCAGAGAACACAGGCTGTGGTGACCACTGGGGCCGAGGTCCTAGCCCCACCACAGAGGAAGGTTCCTGGGGGACGACCGGCTCCAGGGAGGAGGAGACCTTGGCCAGAGAACCACCACGAGGCTCCGCCCTCTCCTGGTGACCCTGGAGACTGCTGCCTGTGGAGGAAGCAGAGATGCTGCAGCTGGAAGGCTGAGCTGCGGAACCTGGGCTCAGCACGGACTTCCACTGTGACAGGCAAGAGAGACCTGAGCTGTGAGGCTGCTGGCTGAGGTCCAGTGCCTGGGGCAAATCTGCTAGGGATGGATCATCTTCGGTATCAGCATCATGTCCTGAGCAAATAGTTGTTGTTCTGGGAAGGCTCAGAGTCTGAGGGAACTCCTCGGAGGAAGAAAGCTTGGTCTTCTCCACCTGCAATGATCAAAGGGACAAAAAGCACTTGGGTAAAAATCAAACCCAATTTCTTTCTTAGATGACAACCCAGGAGTTTCCTTGTGGGTCTAGACAGTATTTAGGAAAGACCTTAAAATGCAAAGTCTGCTGCCTGAGGCAAGAACCAGGCAATATGCACTGCCAGCAGCAGCACTGAGACCCTGCCTGTCTGGGAAGCAAGATGACTCCCATCTCCAGTCCTCTCCAAGGTTCTTCCTTCCTCCACAGGTATCCAGGGTGTGAGCAAGCAGAACTCAGACAGCTCTGTCATGCTGAAGCTGGAAAACAGTCCCTTACCTCTGAGAAGCGTCTCCTGGCAGATGAAACCCTCAATCACTCTGTCGCTAACAGGACACGTCCAAACCCAGGAGGTCGCCCCAGACCCCATCCTGCTCAGTTCACACGCCAGTGGTAACTGAACACTAGCAGAATGACTGGTTCATCTCAGCTTCTTCACTGAATTTTTTATCTGCTTGATGAAGAACTCACCCCCGAGGGAAGCAGGACAGCACAGTGTTGAAGGACATGGGTTTTGGAGCCAGACAAACCTGAGGCCAGCCCCTAACTTTGCCACCTTCCAGATGTATGACTTCGAGCCTCACTTTCCTCCCCTCATAGCACCAGCTCCTCAGAAGGTAAGGATTAAATACACCCATGTGTGCAAAGCACATGGTAAGAGCTTAACGAACAACAGGAATTCTAATAATAAGCACCGGACTCATCCCCGTGAAAGGCCATTTCTGTGTCTGTTTATGATTCGCTTCCTGCCTCACCGAATCTCTGACTCACAGGTGCCAGAGCCTCCCACTGCCCCTTGCTCCCAGGCAGGTGGGGCCCAGCCTCTGTTCTCTCCCAGTCCCGCTCAGAGCCTCCTCACAGGGTGCAGCCCCACAAGGGGACCCTGCAGCAGCCAAGGCTACAATGACACCGAGAAGATCAAAGCCATTCCCAGGAAAGGCCTTGGCAAGCAGAACAGAAAAGAATGTAAGAGCTGGGCAGAACAGATCATTCCGGTCACCTCCCAATGATACTGAGGGCCTGAAAGATCTGGTGATTTGCCTGCAGTCACAGAACCTGGTAGGATTCCCTGCCCCATGTGACTCCCACTAGGAGAAGCTGCCTGGCAGTCAGAGAAGCCCAAGGAATTCTCCTTAACCAGGGACAGTGCTGCCTACTACAGGGCTCCAAGGTTCTGACATGTCCCTTGGGTCTGAAGAGGATTTAGGTTCAGAGCCCCCAGGAGCCCAAAGCCCTGGACACTCCTTTCCCAAGTCTCTTCAGGGTACCCCTAAAGCCTTTAATCACCAAGTCAGAAACACGGCAGGGCTCTCCTTGCCAGAATTCCCCTGGCCTGGACCTCTGGGCAGCAGCCTCTTGGCCTATAATCCCTGGTCCTTAAAAAGTCACCAGTCACTCTTGAGGAACAGGAGATAACCGTGGACAGTCCCCCCGGCCGGTCCTGAGGCCCAGCTCTCTAGCTGAACCCGCAAAACAGAAATCATCATACTCAGGCCCCTCCAATTCCTCACCCTGCACAGTAGCAAGGAAAGGATGCAAGATGGTGAGGAAATCCTGAACAAACTCCCAAAGGACAGCAATGGGTCCATCTACAGTCTTGCCTTAGTACCTACCTGGCTTTCCCCGGAGAGCAGAAGGTCTCCAGACCCCATGGTGGCAGGAGGCAGGCCACTGAGTGCAGGCTCAGACCTCTCAGCTACGGGCTCTCTGTTGGCATCACTGGCCTGTGGCTGGTGGGCTCTAGAGGGGCCGCCAGGGTCAGTCCCAATCCAGCAAGTAGGGGCAGGTATCCCTTCTGCCCCCCATACAGGGGAGATGAGCCCTCCCTCAGCTTCCAGGCGTGGGGGCTGCTCCCCACTCATGGGCCCTGGGATGTCCAGCTCCCGCTCCCTGCAGCTCCCTCTCCCATAGGACTGGGCCTTTGTGTCTTCAGATGCTTCCGCTTCTGCCTTTTCTTCACCCAGGGCCATTGAGACTCCCTACCTAGGTCAGGGTTCTGCTGAAGACTTCAGCTTCCTACAAAACAGGGGAAGGGAGAGAAAAATATAAATCTTCTACATCTGTGTTCAGGAAGTCTTGCTCTTTAACAATTAAGGCAAACATATTTTTGGTCAAAGAAAAAAGGAAACAAATGGTGACTACTTCCTCAGAGGAGCACCGAGTTCCGGCTTTTCCCTGGCCCCAGACCTTTCCAAAGGGGACACAGAAGCACACCATTTCCCCTCTGCTTTCATGGTGGATGGTGCCATCCCCACCAGCAGAAACCCAAGAGGGTCAACACAGGTCCAAAGTCCAATCAAGGCTGGGGTCCTGCCTAAGTCACCTTTTTGCCCTTTTAGCCCAACCCCACTGGGTAAGAGGCCTGGTGGGACCCTTCCTGTGCACAGGCCCATAGTGGTTCTGTTGTCGTAACGGTCCCCTCAGCAAGCAACTCAGGCCTGGCTCTGACTGTTCTATCCTAGAGAACAGCAAGTCAGGGCATGCCCAGGCCTCAGCTGGGCACTGGAAGAATGCCCTCCAAGATGCTTGGCTCTGCCTGGCAGAGGAGGCAGGACCCTCTCTTTTCTTTTCTTTTTTTCTTTTTTCTGAGACAGGGTCTTACTCTGTCACCCAGGCTGGAGTGCAGTGGCATGATCTCAGCTCACTGCAGCCTCGACCTCCCTGGGCTCAGGTGATCCTCCCACCTCAGCCTCCTGAGTAGCTGGGACTACAGGCACATGCCACCACGCCTGGCTAATTTTTCTATTTTTAGTAGAGACAGGGTTTCACCATGTTGCCCAGGCTGGGACCCTCTCAAAGCACAGAAACCACATCCAGCCTGTGGAACAGGTGAGAGCTACTTGTTCCAAGGATGGCCAGTGACCAAAGAGAAAGAGATCAGCAACTCTCCTCAGGCTGGCCTGGGTTATGCTGCACGTGGTGATGGAGGGAAGCTGTGGAAAGCTGGTGGGTAACAGTGGTAGGGTAAGTGTAACACAGCATGTGTGCACATGAGAGCAAGAGCCAATCAGCAGGCAGGCAGGCGAGGGAGCACAGGCCGAGCACTCAGGGAAGGATGATGATTTGGGAGCTGAATCTGCAAACAGGACCATTCCAACACAAAGAGGTTCAGGAACAACAGAGGGACATCACCCTCAGCCTAAGCATGCCAGCAAAAGTTGATGCTGAGAGCCCTGGTGGGATGGGGTAGGGGGCCAAAAAGCCAACAGGAGGAAGACCAATGCTGGGAGGATGTGGAAGGGGAGGTAACGGAACCGTGAATGCCCAGGATGTCGGCAGCCACCCGGAGTGCACTGGGCCAACCTCAAAGCTTAAATGTGGGCAGAAATGGCCTTGTTTCCTTAGTCAGGAGGCAAACAGATGGTAAGAGGAGATGCTGGTGGAGAGCCTGCAAAGGGGGAATGGCTGCGGGCTCATCTTACTCAGCTCACACGCTGGGAAATACCACCTAGATGGGCACTGCACACACTGAGGACGCCTTGCACTGGAATCCAAGAGGGCCCTTCCCTACTCTGCCTGATGGGGCATGCCAGGCTCCAGCCTGATTCAGAAGTGACCCTGGAGAAGAGCATGCCCTTCGCACGGACGCTCGTCTAGTTCCCACAACCACCAGGTGGGGCAGGAACTAATCAGAAAATTATTTTTGAAAGGTAATATACAGCTCAAATGTAAAATGCACAGCAGATGTAAGTCTCTCTCCGCCCTTGTCCCCCATTCCTTTGCCAAAATGAGCCAGGGCAGGCAGAACATCTATGACAGTGCCTGGCATGGTATGGACACTAAGTGTTGGCTGTTGTCATTAGTGTCATGGGGAGGCATGGACAGAATCAGTGTAACAGGTCACCTTACAAGGAAGGACAAAGGAGCCAAATGGGAGAAAAAGCAGCCCATTTTTAAATACAAATCAAACAAAATATTTACTACTAGATACTCCCACAAAATCAGGGAACCAGCCTTACTAGTTTTGTGTATGACCCTTGTTTCCTGATGCAAATATCTATGTTCATCCTTCCCCCACTTTTGTTCCCCCAGAAACTGAGTCTTGCTCCATCACCCAGGCTAGATAGAGTTCAGCGGTGTGATCTCAGCTCACTGCAACCTCCACCTCCCGGGTTCAAGCGATTCTCCTACCTCAGCCTCCCGGCTAGCTGGGACTACAGGCGTGCGCCACCATGCCTGGCTAATTTTTTTATATTTTTAGTAGAGATGGGGTTTCACCATGTTAGCCAGGCTGGTCTTGAACTCCTGACCTCAGGCAATCCACCCACCTCCCAAAGTGCTGGGATTATAGGCATAAGCCACTGTACCAGGCTTATCCTTCCCTCCCTTTTTTTTTTTACATAAAAGTAGCAAACTGTATAGGTCATACTATTCAGAACCTTGGTTTTCTTTTCTCTACAAAAAATATCTAGGGGCTCATTCCTAAGCAATACAGCAGGTCCTTCAGTAACATCACTTGGTACGATATCTTTTTTTTTTTTGAGACAGAGTCTCACTCTGTTGCCCAGGCTGGAGTGCACTGGTGCGATCTCAGTTCACTGCAACCTCCGCCTCCCTGGTTCAAGCAATTCTCCTGCCTCAGCCTCCCAAGCAGCTGGGATTACAGGCATGTGCCACCATGCCCAGCTAATTTTTTTTTGTGTGTGTATATATATATATATATATATATTTTTTTTTTTTTTTTTTTTGAGACAGAGTCTCACTCTGTCTTCCAGGCTGGTGTGCAGTGGTGTGATCTCGGCTCACTGCAACCTCTGCCTCCTGGGTTCAAGCAATTCTCTGCCTCAGCCTCCCGAGTAGCTGGGATTACAGGCACCCACCACCACACCTGGCTAATTTTTATATTTTTAGTAGAGATGGGGTTTCACCATCCTGGCCAGGCTGGTCTTGAAATTCTGACCTTATGATCCACCCGCCTCAGCCTCCCAAAGTGCTGGGATTACAGGCGTGAGCCACCGTGCCTGGCCAATTTTTGTATTTTTAATAGAGACGGGGTTTCGCCATCTTGGCCAGGCTGGTCTTGAACTTCTGACCTCGTGATCCACCCGC
Organism: Homo sapiens; assembly: GCF_000001405.40. Lineage (NCBI taxonomy): Eukaryota > Metazoa > Chordata > Mammalia > Primates > Hominidae > Homo > Homo sapiens. The sequence goes on along the minus strand of NC_000002.12, from coordinate 65,066,365 downwards.
CTCAGCCTCCCAAAGTGCTAGGATTACAGGTGTAAGCCACACCGCCCAGCCGGTCCAATGTCTTTTCATTATATCATTGATAAGAAACCCTGATTCCTGACTGAGGTCACTGTCTGTATGGAGTGTGCACATTCTCCCCATGTCTGCCTGGATGATATCCAGTTCATCTGGATACTCGGGTTTCCTCCCACATCCTGAAAACATATACTTAGGTGAATGGGGCTGACTACATGGTCCTGGTCTGAGTGTGGGTAGATGAGTGAGCGTGCCCTGCCATGGGATGAAGTCCTGCCCATGATTGGTTCCCTCCTTACACCCTCAGCTGCTGGGACAGGCTCCAGCTACCTGCGAACTTGAACCCATTTGAGTAAGCAGGTAAATCATAATCTTGTGTTTTTTTTTTTTTTTTTAAGATGAAGTCTCGGTTTGTCACCTAGGCTGGAGTGCAGTGGCGTGATCTTGGCTCACTGCAACCTCCGGCCCCTGGCTTCAAGCAATTCTCCTGCTTCAGCCTTCTGAGTAGCTGGGACTACAGACACTCACCACCATGCCTGACTAATTTTTGTATGGGGTTTCACCATGTTGGCCAGGCTGATCTGGAACTCCTGACCTCAAATGATCCGCCCTAGTTGGCCTCCCAAAGTGCTGGGATTACAGGCATGAGCCACCACGCCTGGCTCATCTTACTTGTTTTTATTCATCTTTCATAAATGTATGTACAGCTCACATTTATTTCACTATTTAATTTAAAAGTGTTTTAGTCTTTACTTAGAAGTTTGGTGATGCTTTCATGACCAGAAATATGCCATAGGAGCTTAACTCTTATTTATATCAATTAGACTATGGTAAAATTGGTTTCGTTATATGTCCTTTCAAGTGGCAGAGTCACGGTTTCCAAGAACTTACTGACGACATCAAGTGAGGACTTACCGTACAAAGACAGCTTCCTCTTTTTCATTACTGACCAGTACTGTATTCTGGTGTAAGGACGCACTAGTTTATTTCACCAGTCCCTTATTAGTGGACATTTGGGTTATTTCTAGTCTTTTTTGCTAGTCCAAACAATGCTATGATGAGTCACTATGCACACACATTTGTGCTGGCACATCCTCAGCATGAATTGCAGAAGTAGAGCTGCTGAGGCGAAGGGTGCTTTTGCACACACTGCCAAGTGGCCCTCTGCTGAGTGGTATCACTCTACACTCCACCAGCACATGTGAGGGCCAGTTCCCACGGGAGCCAGGGTCTTTAATCCTCACGTCACAGATGGGGAAACGAAGCCTCTGAGTGAGACAAGTCCAGGACTGCCCAACTCCAGAGCCCAAGCTGTTTATGAGCCAACTGGGGAATAAGTGATCAAACAGTTAAGCCACAAAGCAGAAGAGAGAGAAGACTGGTGGAGGGACAAAGAGAAGAGTGACAAATCTTGCTGAGACAGAGATCTTACGGAGCCACATCCTCACCTTGTGGCTCATTAAGAAACTGCACATGAAGACGTTTACAGGCAAGTTTTGTTTTCATAAGTAGGGGAACAGCTGCGCCCGTGAGCTAGAAAAACCAGGGTGAAGGCTGGGTATAGCCCATAATTCCCAATTGCTACTTCTTGCTCCATTTCTTTTTTTTTTTTTTTTTGAGACGGAGTCTCGCTTTTTCGCCAAGGCTGGACTGCAGTGGCGCTATCTCAGCTCACTGCAAGCTCCACCTCCCGGGTTCACGCCATTCTCCTGCCTCAGCCTCCCGAGTAGCTGGGACTACAGGCGCCCACCACCGCACCCAGCTAATTTTTTGTATTTTTAGTAGAGATGGGGTTTCACCACATTAGCCAGGATGGTCTCGATCTCCTGACATCGTGATCTGCCTGCCTCGGCCTCCCAAAGTGCTGGGATTACAGGTGTGAGCCACCACGCCCGGCCTCTTGCTCGATTTCTAAAAACTCTCTCAATGGCTAGAGATTCCCCACACCTCTCACTAAAGGGTGCGATCTTGAGACAAGGTGCTGGAATAAGATGATGATGGGGCAAGGGAGGGGTGCAAACAAATTATCCCTTTGTTTTGATCATGTACTTTTTATTCATCTTGTCTGGACCTCATTATTCAAAAAAGAAGGTATCTATTTAGCCTGGAGAGATAGGGAGTGGTGAGCTATTACAAACTATTCAGTTGACATCCCTAAGTAACTTACAAGGATACACACAAACCTAAACTAGGTTAGTAGTGTGGCCAAAGTCCCTTCAGCAACCAGGTAAGAAGATCTGAAATTCAATGATTTTCAAGGAAATTGTACGTCTGTAAAGACGGAATGAAGGTAGTTACTTTCTTAGACTGGATAAACAGTCCCTTCATAATCTTATTAATCTGCCTGACAAATCATGCTTTTCCCCCCTATTATACAAGTTTATTATGAGAACCAAGACAGACACATGTGAAAGAAAATAAAAACCAATCTATAATGCATTCAAAACTGTCTATGAAATGTTACCAAAATGCAACGAAAGGGAGAAATCAGTTGGGATAAAAATAATAGGGGAAAACTTCCTGAAGTAATGACTGAAGACAAACCTCTTTTAAAACAGCAATCATGCCGAAGAAAACACTGGCCCAGGCTATGATAAACGCACAAGTTTTGGATTCCTAGGACTCAACCCTGTCTGCATCTGGCCGGTGGCCATCTGTAACACTGCATGAAGGTCTGGTCTTCATTTCCATAGATCCGAGATTTTACACATCATTCCTCCTAACCCTCTGGGGTAGGGGTGGGGGCGATAGATTCAGGTTGCACTTCTAATAAGAGGCAGCTTATCCTTCTCAGACTGGTGAATAGCGCTTGTTGTCTTGGACCCACACAGTCTCCCAGGTCATCAGCTTTAAACAATTTCCTAATGTGGGGCCTCCCGTTCTCGGATCACACATTTTACAGTGCTCCTGGAGGCTAGCAGCTCCATGATGGGGCACAGGCCCCCGTCGCCTCCCAAATGAAGGAAGTGCCAGGAGGTTGGACTGAATGACAGGAGACATCAGAGCACAGACAGTGAACTCAACCTTACCCTCTGAGAAAGGTCTGTACACAACAGAACTGCCTTGTCCTTTGTCAAACCAAGAGACAAGCCACATAAGCTTCAGGATATTCTAGGGACCATCTGGACTTTGCTATTAAAATTCTGTTAGTTTCCAGAACCTGAAGAGGCTGTATGATCCACCAGATATAATTAGGAGTGATGTAGGCTTGGCTTACTCTTGCCCTACAGTAAAAATACGCCCACAAATCATGCATGTGGTAACACAAACTCTAAGCCTGGACATCTGACCCTTCTTCGTATATGCTGCATCACCCTAGGACACTCCTGTCACAGCTGCCGGGCTTCCTCCCACTCACTTCTGTCCAAGATGGAGAGAGGAGGACTGGGAACTGTGGGAGGGGTGAGGCTCTGCTCTTGCTCTTGACTAAACCCCTCAAACAGATGAATGATCAACTAGAGAGCAATCCTCCTTTCAACAAAAAAGGACCTCCCCTAGGACTATTTTTTTTTTTGAGATAGAGTCTCGCTCTGTCGCCCAGGCTGGAGTGCAGTGGCACGATCTTGGCTCACTACAACCTCTGCCTCCCGGGTTCAAGGGATTCTTGTGCCTCAGCCTCCCAAATGGCTGGGATTACAGGCGTGCACCACCATGCGTGGTTCATTTTTTGTATTTTTAGTAGGGACAGGGTTTCGATATGTTGCCAAGGCTGGTCTCGAACTCCTGAGCTTAGGCAATCCACCCGCCTAGGCCTCCCAGAGTGCTGGGTTTACAGATATAAGCCATCACGCCCCGCCTCTTTTTTTTTTTTTTTTTTTGAGATGGAGTCTCACTCTGTCGCCCAGGTTGGAGTACAGCAGCGAGATCTTGGCTCATTGCAACCTCTGCCTCCCGGGTTCAAGCAATTCTCCTGGCTTAGCCTCCAAAGCAGCTGGGACTCCAGGTGCGTGCCACCATCCCCGCTAATTTTTCTATTTTTAGTAGATACGGGGTTTAACCATGTTGGCCAGGCTGCTCTCGAACTCCCGGCCTCAAGTGACCTGCCTGCCTCGGCCTCCCAAAGTGTTGGGCTTACAGGCGGGAGTCACCGCACCTGGCCAGGACTCTTTAAGTCGTGAGCTCCCTTTGAAACAATCTCATTTATACCAACTTTGCCCAGGGAGCTCTGTTCTGGCAAGGGCTCGTCTCTTACCTGAGCGCACAGTCACCTGTGCCAGCCACAGAGGCCAGGTGTTGCTAGACTGAGCAAGCCCTATGAGTTCAGGGCCAAAACCTCCAAACCTGTTTTCACAGGAGGCCACAGGAATAAGTGATAATTGCCATGAACACACAGTGGCAGAACCTGCCCAGAGAACCAAAGAGGCTTTCCATGCTGCTCTTTCTCCAATAACATGAAACTGTCCACAAGGAAACAGAAGGCAGGACCCAGCAGAGCTTGCTGGAAGAACTCTGGGGGAACTAGATTTATGGAATAAAGGAGCTTAAAGGCAGAGGCCAAGCAGGCATGGGAGGTCACATGAAAGGAGGTAAAGACACGTAGGGGAAGCCAACAAAGGGGCCAGTCACAAAAGGTGACTGAGGCCTGCTTCAGGGTGGCGTGGGTGCCAGGAAAACTGTGGCTGGAGGCCTGAGACTGGGAGGCCAGCAGCAAAGAGCAACTGCTGCTCCACCTGCTCCTGCCCTGCTGGGAAGTCCCCCTGGAGCCCCACAGTCCCCCACACCAGCCCTGTCTTTCACTGTGGGATAGGTCACTCTGAGCACTTTGTCCCCCTTCTCTGCAGGTAAAATCAAAGTAAAGTGAAAATGAAGAAAAGACTCAAAGCTACGGAGGGTAGACTGTGTCTGCTGTGGCTTGGCCATGGGCCGAGGCCATCCCCAGGATCCTTGGGCACCGGGAGCCCCTTCTTTTCTCCCCAGGGCTGCTTCTGGAAGTTTTGCTTAGAGTCAAAAGAACAGAAGGAATCTCCCAGGGCCCTAGGAGGAGCCAGTGGGTCCCTGTAGATCAATGCGGTAGGGAGGGCTGTGGGCTAGGCTGCTTGGCTGTCTGTTCCCTCGCCTTCTCACTCACTTATCTGTTGGCTGACTGACCAGGGCTACCAGACAGCCTCCCAGCAAGGCCAATGTTCTCATTTACAAGGCAAGGTCTTTAGGTAGCCCTTTTTTTTCTTTTTTTTAATTTGAGATGGAGTCTTGCTGTGTTGCCCAGGCTGGAGTGCAGTGGTGCTATCTCACTGCAACCTCCACCTCCCAGGTTCAAGCAATTCTCCTGCCTCAGTCTCCTGAGTAGTTGGGATTACAGGCACCCACCACCACGCCTGGCTAATTTTAGTATTTTTAGTAGAGACAGGGTTTCACCATGTTGGCCAGGCTGGTCTCGAACTCCTGACCTTATGTGATCCTCCTGCCTCGGCCTCCCAAAGTGCTGGGATTACAGGCGTGAGCCACTGCGCCCAACCTAGATAGCCTTTAAAGAGATGTAAGTCACATCTACAAGGAGCTTGACTGAGTCCCAGCTACTCCTCCCCTCAACCCCAAGCTCTCTGGCCTCCTCAGCAGTCAGCAGAGTGTCCATGTGTAACAAAGCTCAATGTACAAGGATGCTGAGGGCTGAATATGTCAATCAACAGCACCTTTTTTCTCACTAAAGAGCAAAGCAGAAAAACACCTTCCTTATAACAAAAGTCACTGTCAGAAGAGGCTGTACCTGGACCACATGGGTGCATTTCCACAGACCACTGCTTTTACTATACTGACAGTTTTTATTTTTATTCATTTATTTTTTTTTAAGAGACGAGGCCTCGCTATGTTGCCCGGACTGGTCTCAAACTCCTGAACTCAAGCAATCCTCCCTCCTTGGCCTCCCAAAATGCTGGGATTACAGGTATGGGCCACTGTGCCCGGCCCTGACACTTTTTTGTGAGGTCATCAGGCTGCACGTATGAAGACTGAGAAGAATCTTACCGCTCTCAAGAGATACTATTAAGATTGCCACTCACTGTACCATAGCATTCTCTTTGGAGAAGCCATGGGAGAATTCTCTGGCCTCAATAACAGAAACAGCTGTCTCCATTCAGCAGACATTTTCACTTTATAAGTACTGGCAAAACTGATAAAAAAAAATTTCCCTCTTTGCTTTGGCTGCTACAAAGCTCAGGGCCAAATACACAATCTCACCTGAGTAAAAGGCATAGGACAGAGAGGTACTTGCCTTTTTGTGCTAATTTCTTCCTTGACTTTCTCCTATTTTTTTTTCACTCCATGTGCCTCAATTGCTGTTATTAAAAATCTTATTACATCAAAGTATGTTGGAACAATTCCTCAAATAGTTTTTTTTTAACAAGATAGAGAAATTGTTAAAACAAAAAATAGAAAAAAGCTCCTAAACCCAAGATTTTATTCCAATACCATAAGAAAATAAAACCCATTTACCCAATACTTCTAAAAAGCAAATGTAGATACTAGGGTTAGCACTTCACTATCAAAGTGTGATCCAGCACCAGCAGCATCTGCATCACCTCAGAGCTCGTTGGGAATGCAGATTCTCAGGTCCTGCCCCAGAACCTTGGAATGAGAACCTGCATTTTAGCAATATCTCCAGATGACTTGGTAAGAAAAATGTTTCAGAAGCACTGGGTTGGTAAGTAAGGCTGTTTCAGCACCCTGAGAAGGAACAACTAAAATAGCTTTACAACCATTCCTTGGGTGCCTATATGCCAGCCACACACAAGAAGAAAATTTATGGCCCTTGTCTTCAAGGCCTTTGCAACAGGACATTAGAAAAGGCTTACACCTTGTGGCAGGTTTTTAATGGCTAATTATAGAATACCACAGCTGAAAGGGAGTCCCCAGAAATAATAGTATTCCCTAGAAAGAATTTGAGATTCATGATGGCTATGTTAAAAACAGAATCACAGACCTGAATTTCTCCTGTGCCAGTTACAAGTGAGGAGGGGAAAGGTATTTGTTTTGGAAACTGGAAATAATTTAAGAGAAACCAATATGCCAAGGGAGCTTACAGCTACAAGGAAATGTGCAACTTAACCTGTTTCCTGTAACCAGAAAGTGGTGCAGGAAAACCTGGAAGTGACGCAGTGTCCCCCAGGAGTTGTATCTGACACTTCTAGCTGGCAGACAGGTCTAAAGCCAACAGGAACATTTCTTGGGCTTTTCATGATGTTGGTGAACAACATTAAAGATAGGAGACAGTTTCTTCATGAGAACAGATTTAAGTTATAAGGAGAGTCCACCTCCATAAGCTCTGCTTCTTTCTGGATGGATCAACCAGGTAAAGATTTTTTGTCAGCCACATGAGGCCCCCATCTATTTAGCTCCTCTGATTTTACATGACCATTTCAGATAACAGACCCCGTTAAGAATGTATCAAGTACTACTGTAACTCTTGGCCAAATTGCTATTTGGCACCAAATCAATCTTTAGTTGGTGGTGAGACTCCAGACACATAAACAGATAATCTTCTACGGAATACTTTCACTGTGGAAAGAGAATCAGGAAAGGCTAAAGGGATGTTTAAAAATCAGACATCAGGCTGGGCATGGTGGCTCACGCCTGTAATCCCAGCACTTTGGGAGGCTGAAGTGGGTGGATCACCTGAGGTCAGGAGTTCAAGACCAGGCTGGACAACATGGCGAAACCCTGTCTCTACCAAAAATACAAAAATTAGCGGAACACGGTGGTGGGTGCCTGTAATCCTAGCTACTCGGAAGGCTGAGGTAGGAGAATTGCTTGAACCCGGGAGGAAGAGGTTGCAGTGAGCTGAGACTGTGCCATTGCACTCCAGCCTGGCCAAGAAGAGTGAAACTCCCTCTCAAAAAAAAAAAAAAAAAAAAAAAAAAGGAAAAAAATCAGCCATCGGATAAGGTGTCAGGCACCGTGGCTCATGCCAGTAATCGCTTGAGCCCAGGAGTTCAAGACAAGCCTGGGCAATATAGAGAGACGTCATCTCTACAACAAAATAGAAAATTAGCTGGGCCTGGTGATGTGCACCTGTGATCCCAGCTACTTGGGAGGCTGAGGTGAGAGGGACTCGACCCCAGGAGGTTGAGGCCACAGTGAGTTGAGATCATGCCACTGTACTCCAGCCTGGGTGATGGAGTGAGACCCTGTCTCAAAAAAAGGGATCGGATAAGGACCAAAAAACAGAGAGATCCTGAAGGGTCAAGTACTATACAGATATTTCATATTGGTGAGTGTATTCAAGTATCCATTTATTTTTCTCCTAACGACTGCTAACAGCTAACAGCTACTGATCATTTTCTTTGTGCCAGGAACTATATTAGGCACTATACATCAATATCTTATTTAATCCTAATAACTCACCACACAGGTACTACTATTATTCCCATTTTTAAGGATGAGGAAACCAAGGCACGGAGAAGTTAAATAACTTAATGACACGCCTGTAATCCCAGCACTCTGGGAGGCAGAGGCAGGAGGATTGCTTGAGCCCAGGAGTTCAAGACCAGCCTGGACAACATGGCAAGACCCCCATCACCATTAAAAAAAAAATTAATCAGAGTTAGTAACATGGCAGAGCTAAAGCCTGTTTGACTTAGAGAGCCTGAGCTTAGCTGCCTTCCTAACCTGTAAGAATAACTCGCTCAAGAAGTTAAATAAATGTTTCTGTTGTGTCACCTTTAGACTACCACGCTGATTTTGTTTCCTTTTGGCTTCCTTCCATCATTGAGTGCCTTTTATGTTCCAAGCATTGTGCTAGGGGCTGGGGAAACCACAATACAGTGTGATGAGTAAAAACAGAGGCTGCAGAAGGTAGCCCAAAAAAGGGAGGAGTTATCAGTCGCAGGGTGGGGAAGTGCTTTAAAAAGCTTTGCGCAAAAGAGGTTAAACTGAATTCCTTGGGTTTTTTGTTGTTGTTGTTTTCTAAGTGGGCCAGAATTGACTCAACAGAGGGTGGGAAAGGGGAATGGAGGGAACAAAGTAAAAAGTGGTGACTTCTAGATCTTTCAACTAAACCCAAGGCAAACTGACCCAACAACCTTTGTTACACACTTTAACACAACACTCTTCATACCCTAGATCTGAGAACTGTTAGATTATTTACAAACGCTACCTCCCTTCGTGGTCCTGATGAATTCCCAGTGAGGTCCAATCTGCCCTGGCAGGCTTCCGCTCATTTTTGTTACAAACAATACACTAAACCCAACCTACTAATCATCAAGGGCCTGGAACAGGTTTTGGACATTCGTCCCCAGGCTGCTGAGAACTGTTCTAGTGATGACAGTTAGAAAGGGTAGCCCTCCGAGGCAAAAAAAATGAGACATCTTGATTTTTTCTCTCCGCATCTGGGCGCGGCGATAAGAAGACATCACTGGTCTCCATCTTTCCAGGGGGAAAGGCCCGAGCTGCATTAGCCCCGACTGGGGAGCTGGGTAAACAGCCCACGCCCGGGAGAGGCCTGAGGGAAAGTGACCTCCCCCGGGGCCCAGGCCGACCAGCGGCGCAGCTGCTCGGCCGCCAGATGCGCGGACTCGCGCACTCCCTCGCCGCGCCCGGGCATTCCCAAGCCCAGCCGCCCGCCTCGGCCCCGACCCCTCGGCCGCCACAGCACACGCCGTTCCGCTCGCAAGATGGAGGCGAAGGCACGAGGCGCCCCCGCCCCCCAGGGAGCCTTTGTGCCCTTGCCGGCGGGGACGCGAGGCCAGACGGCCCGCACCGCAAGGGCCCCGCAGGCACCGAAGAGACGCGGGGGAGGGGGCCGGGCGCGCGCGCGGATCTAGCCCGGGCCACCGCCCCCAGCGCCGCGGCACCCCCGACACCAGCACCCGCACGCGGGACACTGCCTACCTACCGCACCGCGAACGCTTCGCACGTCCGGAGCGGTCTCAGCAGCCCCATGCGCTGGCCCCGAGCTGGCGGACCCTGACTGCAACTGCGGCCCTCCAACCGCAGCCCAAAACGCGCAGGGCAGGACCGAGCGCCAACCACGCCCTTCGGCCGCGCTGACCACGCCCTTCTTCCCGCCCCTTCTCCCTCCGCGGGAGGGCTTTCGGCAATTTCGCGCAGCGAATCGCAGCTCTAAGTCCGCGGCTCCACCAATACGTGGACGCTCCTGCAAGATGAGCCCGCCCCCTACTTCGTCCTGGCCTATGGGAAGCCGGGACTTCTTCAGCGGCTGTCCTCCCTCGCTTTTGGAGCTCCGACCTCAGCTTCGCCTGCGAGCTGGGTTGTGTAAAGGCTGGTCATTTTGGGGCGCTTAGGGGTGGGTGCCGGGGGGCGCGCTTTCCCTCGTGAAGGTCGCTCCAGGAGTCATGCGTACATTCGTTCATTTTGCTCTGGACGCACTGATGTTCCCGGCTCGCCGCCGTGCCGCAGTCACGAGGCTCTCCGAACGCCTTTCACTGTGTTTCTGTTTACATTCGCGTCTGCAAGACCCGGCGGCGCGACCGAGGCCCGAACAGGTGCTGCGAGGCGGGGCGGGGAGCCAGTGCTGAGGGGAGCTCCCCAGGCCGGGTGGTTGAAGACAGCTTCTGGGGGGAGGTGGAGCTCTGGCTCGTGGAGAATGGGAAGGGTGTGGAAAATGAACTGGTAGCTACTTAGCCACTCTGAGCAGCCTGCTCTGATGGGAAATCGGTGATGGAGTCGGAGGGAAGTGGGAGGCAGCTTGTGGGAGGCCAGGGTGCTCACTCTCTCCCCTGCCAGCATGGGACCTAGTAACTTTCATACATCTCTATCTATCTATCTATTTTGCAAAGATGGGGTCTTGCTGTGTTGCCCAGGCTGGGCTTGAACTCCTGGACTCAGACGATCCTCCCGCCTCGGCCTCCCAAAGTGCTGGAATTACAGGTGTGAGCCACTGCATCCCATCCCCTAGGAGCTTAATGACACTGCCCTTTAGCTTTTACTGCTTAGCAGAATCCGGAGGCATAGAGGAACTACCACCAGGGTGGCGTGGGGAAGAGGCCCTCCCTTCTGATGATTTTCTCTCAGCAGCACTTTCAGCAATCTGGCTTCAACTGAATATCTCCCCAGTTCATAAAACAGGCGTCTGTAAATGTCAACCCCAGCTGGGTGCAGGGTACAAATTTTTTCCTACAGAGCTCTTGAGTCCCAGGTAGTTTAGGAGACAAGGACTTGTTTGGTTTTCCCAGACCTGTCAGGACAGCTCAGAGGTTTTGTCTAACCCAGGGGCCACAAACTTTGGACAACAGCAGCAGCTAGCCCACAGATGGTTTTATTTGGGCATCGCATAGCTTTTCTTTGTTTGTTTGCTTTTGTTTTTTAATAAGAATTTGAATCCCACCACCACCACTGGTCCATTAAGTAACAGCCAGCCTTCACACATTTGCTGCCTACCTGAAGGCATTTGTGTTTGTGACCCTTGATCTTTTCTATACACAGAAGACCTCCAGTGGAGTCACCTAATCCCACAGCCAAGTCACCCCTGCTGGACAGAGAACTGTACAAAGTCCAAACAGGCGTACATATCCTGTATGGTTTCCTCATCTATAAAGAGAGGGGATAGGATGAAGGAGTCCCAAGGTTCCTTTTGGTTCTGATGTTCTGTAATTTTGTGTTGTGAGCAGCTTTTGTTTTTGCCTGACGGGAAAACTTTCCTTTGGGAATTGTCTGCAGTCCGCTGGGTCAGATGGTTCTTTAGCACCGCACTTCTCCGGTCTCCCAAGGCAGGATGGGTGTGGAGAAGGGGAGGTGTGGAACCCAGGCCTGACCAGCTGTAGTCTCCCTCCTCTTGTTTTCAGATTTCCCCAGGGATGCGCACATGACCAAACCTGAGATGATCTGAGCCCTTGTCGGGGATTTTAGAGAATGAGGCTGGGAGAAAGAGGCTCTTTCTTTTGGTGTTTCTGAGCGCGGGAAAAGTAGGCCTAGAGCTGTCTGTAGTTATACTCCTTGCAGCAGCAATGCTGGAGAACCAGGCCTGGAAATGTTAGGAACCAGCTAAGCCATCCTGCTTTGGTACTCTGATTAGGGTGCGTACCAGCTCCTTTGGTGGTGACATGAATTATTTTTCAACTCTTCTCACTTAAGATTCAAGTTTTGGGAAGGACCATTTACTTGGCCTAGTCTAGGTTATGTGCCTGTGTTCTGATTGCCAATAGGCAAAGAGAGTTCTGGTTTCTACTGTGGCTTCTAGTCTGGGAGGCCTAGCCTCATACCAAGACTCAGTGTGTGGGGGCCTCCCCTCAAATAAGAAGAATGAGACGCTGGGTTGCCAAAAGTTGCTTCACTATAGTCCGTCTCTTAGGCTGCCCAACATTCACAGAAGTGCTTTCAAAGGTAAATGAAAATGCTGCCATCCAACAAAATGCGAGCATCTCTCCTATAACAAAATTTACTTATCCCTTCCCCAAAGCAGGGCATCTCAAAATCTCCTCATTTACTGTATTTGGCCCAAGTCTAACTTCTGTAGGTGATGTTCCATTCTTCCTTTCAGTTTCATCATCATCCCATCCCATCGTTGTAATGTGTAGACTAAATTGTAAAGTTAAGCATCACTGATAGACTTTAGATACAATTGTGAAAAGAAAGGAAATGAAAGAAAAGGACAATAGCTAAAAACTCCATTTATATATAATACAGCAAGAAGGGAAATACTGTTAGAGGTTACGATCTTCATTTTTGTAACTGGTAATGAAGCTTTATTGTCATTTACAATTTTCCTTCTCCGCTAACCATTCCAGGTCCCTCTTTCCTTCACGCAACCCCTCAGCTGGCCAGGATTCTTTGCCTGGTTGGGTTAAGCAAGCTTTTGTTCTTGAGGAGGTTGCCTGTAGGTAGGTTGTCTGTAGTTTGTCTGTAGGTGGTACAGTACATTGCCATCAACTTGTGCCCTGGCATGAGAGTGATGAGGTGCCTCAGGAGATCTCCTGTGTTCTATTACTGCTCCTCTTGCCTCCGTGGTGTAACAGCAACCCCACTTCCTCCTGAGAGTCAAAATCAGTCACCAAACAACATGTGACCTGTGGCATGAGGAGACCACATCAATTTCAGTTCTCAGTTAATAGGAACCATTGTTGTAGGTTCTGGTGAAAGCATTGTACTAAAATATCTAAACCAGCTGGTTTGAGGAAAAGCAAAGTATAAATTTTGAGAAGAATCATTAGGTATGATTTGAGAAATACCACACCCATTGTTACCAGCAATGATATTCTGCTGTGGAAGAAACTATTGGTCATTGGTTCAGAGTTTTGTCTCCCAGTGGGCACTTGAACTAATTTTTTTTTTTTAATTAAAAATTTTGGTCAGCTGGTGGCTTCTTGCTTGGTGGCCAGGAGCCAGATTTCATTCTGGGCAGGAGCAAGGTGCAGCCAGTGGGAATGCAGGAGAGGCCAGGTGCGTGTTTTGGGACTTTCGGAGCAGCAGCCTGGGAACCAGCAGAGAAGATTCTGTCTTCCAGAGGTTGCCACTGTCTGCCAACTCACTTGTCTCCATCCTCAGTCATCTTTTAAAAGTACATAGCGACACTCTAGCTGTCTGGTTCTTCATGGGGAATGTAATTGAAGTCTGACATCATTCCTATTGCCCTGAAGTCTGAAACTTAGTGTCATTCTCACTGAAAATTGCCTTGGAGTTTGACAAACTCTTTCCCCAGTGATATTGACAGGTTGTTTTGTTTTTGTTTTTGTTTTGTTTTTGAGACAGTGTCTCACTCTGTCACCCAGCTGGGGCTGGAGTGCAGTAGCACGATCTTGGCCCACTGCAACCTCCACCTCCCAGGTTCAAGGGATTCTCCTGCTTCAGCCTCCCAAGTACCTGGGATTAGAGTCACCCACCACCACGCCTGGGTAATTTTTGTATTTTTAGAAGAGATGGTTTCATCATGTTGGTAAGGCTGTTCTTGAACTCCTGACCTCAGTTGATCCACCTGCCTTGGTCTCCCAAATTGCTGGGATTACAGGTGTGAGCCACCACACCTGGTCAGATCCGAGGTATTTTGAACTAAACAGAACAGCAACCAACATCCATATAAAGTAACTACAAGAAAAAAATTAAAAACCATTTTAACTAATGAAAATTCTTTCCACCAACCACAATTCCATCCAACAGCCAAAAAGCAGAGGAAAACTAACAGTATTCTTCATATGAATTAAATATCATTTAGTAAGCAGCTGTAGCTATAAAGAATACCAAAAATCAGACATTAAAAAACTCAAAATAGAAATGGACACAAAGCAGAAAACTATAAAATGAGAACTGATGAAATTCAGGAAAGAAGTAGAAGAAAAAGCCAAAATAATCTTGAGATATGGAAACTAAATTACATTGTGTCCACGGGAAAATAGGTTAGCCTTAAAAGTCAAGAAGGAACATTGAAAATAAATTTAAAACAGCCAAGAGAACCCAAAACAAATTTGGAAAAGAAGGAAAAATATTAGAAAAAAAGTGAGAGATATAGAAGATAGACAGAAGTTAACATATGCATCATTGAAGTCTCCAAAGAAAAGAAACATAACAATGAAAGAAAGCTATAACTGAAGATAGTTTTCTGGATATAAAATAAAACATGAATTTTTGGGACCAAAGGTACCTTGAGAAACACTGAGTCAGTATCATTAGCCTCAGTGAAATGCAAATCAAAACCACAATTATAGCCACTAGGATGGCTATAATAAAAAAGGTAACGTGTTGATGAAGATGTGGAGAAACTGGAACTCTCATACATGGCTGGTAAGAATGTCAAATGGAGGCTGGGCACAGTGGCTCACACCTGTAATTCCAACTCTTTGGGAGGCTAACATGGTAGGATCGCTAGGGCCCAGCAGGTCAAGGTTGCAGTGAGCTGTGATCGTGCCACTGCACTCCAGCTTGAGCAACAGGGTGAGACCTTGTCTCAAAAGAAAGGAAAAAGAAAAAGTATGTCAAATAATACAGCCCCTTTGGAAAGCAGTCTGGAAGTTTCTCAAAAGATTAAGCATAAAGTTACCATATGACCCAGCAGTTCCACTCCTATATATGTATGCAAGGTAAATTAAAACGTATGTTCATACAAAAACTTGTACATGATTGGTTATTGCAGCATTATTCACAAGAGCCAAAAAGTGGAAACAACCCAAATACCCATCAACTGATGAATGGGTAAGTAAAATACAGTATATCCATAATATGGAATGTTAAAATGGCAGTAAAATCAATGCTACAGAATGTAGACGGACATTTTTATACAATGTGGGTGAACCATGAAAACATGCCAAGTGAAAGAAGCCAGTCACAGAAGACCACATAGATGATTCCATTCGTATGACACATCCAGAATAGGCAAATCTATGGAGACGGTGGATTAGCAGTTACCTAGGGCTGCAAGAGTTGAGGGGAATAGGAAGTGACCACTAATGGGTAACAGTTTCTTTTAGGGGTAATGAACTAAATTTGATTGTTCTAAAATTGACTGTGATGATGCTTGCACAACTCTGAATAAACTAAAACCATAGAACTGTGTACTGTAAATGGGTGAACTGTATGGTAGGGAAATTAGATCTCAATAAAGCTGTTTTTTTTAAAAAAAAGATATAGAAGTCAACTTGAAGGACTTTTTTTTTTTTTTCTTTTTTTTTTTTTGAAACAGAGTCTTGCTCTTTCTCCCAGGCTGGAGTGCAGTGGCATGATCTCAGCTGACTGCAACCTCTGCCTCCCAGGTTCAAGTGATTCTCCTGCCTCAGCCTGCTGAGTTATAGGTACTTGCCACCACACCCGGCTAATTTTTTTTTTTTTTTTCCAGTAGAGACAGGGTTTCACCATGTTGGCCAGGCTGGTCTCAAACTCTTGACCTCTGGTGATCCATCTGCCTCAGCCTCCCAAAATGCTGGGATTATAGGCATGAGCTACCACACCTGGCCTTGAAGGACTTTTTCATTGGCCAAATTTGGGACAATCTGCAAATAAAAAATAATGTTAATTACGATTTAATTACATTTTAAGTATAATTGTATTTAAGTATATTTGAGATAATTATATACTTAAATGTATAATTAACTTCAACATAATTAGGTATATAGTTAAGTATATATGCTTAATATATGATTATATTTAAAATATGTTTATATATTAAATATATTAACAAGTATATTAATATATAGTACTATATAATAAATATGTTTAACATAATATATAAATATATAATAAATGTATTAAATGTTAATGTAAAATAAATATTTGTAATCTATAATTATAATTGATTATAATATAATAATTTTTTGAAAATCATGGTCCATAGTCAATCTCAAACAAAACATAAGAAAACAAAGAGAGAAAAAGAAAAGCTCATCTTTACAGAGTGATAACTGTAAGAGGAATGTTAGATTAGACAATTACCCTTTTGGAAACTCAAATGTAATAATTAACCAATTAACCAAGATAAGGATTACTAATGAATGCTAAAACTATTGGGAAAAAAGTTTCTGGGAACAAGGTATTCACACAGACTCCCAAGTATTGCCCCACTGATTATTTACTAATTACAAAAGGGAAATTATGCATTTATAATGGAAAGATCAAACAATTACCACCATAACCAAGTGATCAAACATCACCAATAATGGGACTACCAGACATGTGCCTCCTAAGTAGAATTCTTTCCAAAAATATTTAACCTAACTTCCTGCTTACAGGAAATACAGTAGATACTGGTATAAGATGAACACCATTAGGAAGTAATCATCTCCAGAATATGGGATATTATGTAGCTGCACCAGACCAGTTTGGTTCAACTTTTATGTAACAAAAGTTATGAGTTGTTTTTCAGTTGCTAATGGAGCTTCAGGTCATGTAACCTGAGCAGGCCCAGGTGAACCAAGTGTGTAGCCACAGGGGGGAACCTAAGTGCTCAGAGGAGCAGGGACTGAATTAGGAAGTTGACACTGCATGGCTGGATCTACGATGCAATCAGATTGAGCTCTGGCATCACTCATTAGCAGGATCCAGTGAGATCATGCCTCTTGGCATTACCTCATTGCAAGATCCAGTCAGATCATGCCTCATTACCCTATGCTTATAAAACCTGACACAGCCTGGAGCTCAGGGAGGCATTGCTTTGGGAGCTATCTATACCCAGTGTTCTTTTTACTAGTTGTAAGTAATAAAATCCTCTTGTTAAATCCTCCTTGGTTGTGGCCATTGGTTGTTACTTACCAAGTGACCTAGCCCACCTGTTGTGTGGGCAACAGTTGTACAAAACAATTGGCCTGAACTCTTCAAAAATGTCAACAGTATGGAAAAAAATACCCAGTAATAAATGGTATTGGAAGGAATGGTTCTAGATTAAAAGAGACTAAATAGATAATAACCAAAAACAATACAGGAAACTTGAGTGGATAGTGGAGCAGGAAAAAAAAGAGCTATAAAAGGTATTTGGGGGATAACTGGAGAGAGTTGAATTTGGGCTGATATTAGATGATATTATAGCACAATTGTTAAATTTGAGGGGCGGTGATGGCATTGTGGTTATGTGGAAAAATATTTTTATTCTTAGGAGATACATGCTGCAGTAATTAGAGGTGAAATGTTATAATATCTTTGTATTAGTCTGTTTTCACACTGCTGATAAAGACATACCTGAGACTGGGTAATTTACAAAAGAAAGAAGTTTAATGGACTTACAGTTCCACGTGGCTGGGGAGGCCTCACAATCATGGTGGAAGGTGAAAGGCACGTCTCACATGGCAGCAGACAAGAGGAGAGAACTTGTGCAGGGAAACTCCCCTCTTTAAAACCGTCAGATCTTGTGAGACGTATTCACTACCACAAGAACAGCATGGGAAAAACCTGCCCCCATGATTCAATTACCTCCCACAGGTTCTTCCCACAACTTGTGGGAATTCAAGATGAGATTTCGGTGGGGACACAGCCAAACCATATCAATCTTTAACTTAATTTTGGTTGTTTAACAAACAAAACTGTATATCTGTATTTGTAGCTATCTATCTAAGGGGGAGCACGTGCAAATGTGATAAAATGTTAGTAATTGATGAATCTGTAGTTGGCAGACTCTAAGTTGGCACTCAGTGAATTCTGACCTTCCCTCCTGGAATTCACACCTTGTGTAATCCTTTTCCCTTGAGTAAGGGCTGGGTTTAGAGACTGGCTTCTAGCAAACAGCATGTGGGAGGTTCCTTCCATAATTGAATTCTCTCTCCTTCAATTGCTCAGATGGAGATGGGCTGCCATGTTGTGAGCTGCCCCATGGGGAAGAGGCTCACATGTGAGGAACTGAGGGAGGCCTCCAGAAAACAGCCAGTGAAGAACTGAGACCCTCAGTCCAATAGCCTATGAGGAACTGAATCCTGCTGACAACCATATGAATGAGCTTGGAAGCAGATCCTTCCCCAGTGAAGCCTTCATGTGAGACTGCAGCCCACTTGACACTTTGATTTGTAGCTTGTGACAGACCCCAAGCCAGAAGAGTCAGGTAAGCAGTGCCTGCACTCCTGACCCATGGCAACTGGCATGATAAATGTTTTTTCCCATGAAGCTATGTTTTAGAGTAATTTGTTTTGCAGCAATAGATAACTAATTCACTAGGTAAAGGTTATATCCATTGTAATCTTTCAACTTTTCTGTAGATTTGCAGTTTTATGTGCTGACAGGTGAACACACTGCTGTTGGCACCATGGCCACTGCATACTACGTGCTGTCATGCTAACATTTGATGCTGCAGCAGTAAGTTATTTCTCAATTGATTCTGAGTCTCTGGTTCACTAGCAGGATCATGTGCCCAAGCTCCAGCTTCCAAGGTGTGAGGCCAGAAAGTACCTGACCCTCTCAGCTTCCACAGTGGGAATTGTGGCCCTGTCTCTCAAATAGGGAGGTATTCAGACACTGAGTAGATGAAAAAAAAAAAAGAAAAGAAAAAAAAAGGTGGGGGGGGGCGGTTGGTAAGAAAAGAAAAAGGAAAAGAGGGGGGAGAAAGTGAAAAGAAGAGAAACATCTGCTATACTTTGTTCTACTCCTCTACTCCCAACTGCCCAGAAAGCTCCCCTGCTTAGGAGAGAATCAGATCAGCAGAGTTCCTGATGACCTAGTTTACTTGCCTGGAGACTCATTAGGGTAGCTCAACTACTGACTCTTCCTGTCTCCGTTTTTACCCTCCTGCCAATAACAACCCCCTCTGTCTGTGTCTCTTTAAAGCCCCAAGAGAGATGATCTGATGGTTTGGCTGGTCACTGTTTAATAGAGGGTGTTCTTGTTGGTCTGGATTTTCACTCTAGGCTACGTCAGAAGGTCTGGATTGGCCAATAGCTTGGATGCCCTTGGGGCCAAGCTCCGTCCAATCTGTTTATTTGCCTGCGGGGTGGTAACAAACAGAGAAACTTCCACAAAGGAGCCCCTAAGACCCCTAAGTCATGGACTTGTACAGGCATTTTGAGGCTTTTATAAGGGGGCAGTGTTAGAAACGCTTGTTCCCTGGTGCTGCAAAGAAGTAGCTCTCGAGTTGGAGAGAAGTAAAAGCTCGAACCGGCCTGGGAAGGACCTTACCTAGTGATCCTAACTACTGAAACTGCAGTCTGGACAGCAGAAAAAGGATTGACCCATCACACCCGAGTCAGGAAAGTGCCACCCCCTCCAGAGTCATGGGCCACGGTCCCAGGGGAAAACCCTACCAAACTAAAGCTAAGAAAAATTTAACTCTCTTTCATCCATTTGATTATGACTTCTTTCCTCGCTCTATTGCTGACCACCTAGTTATTAATGTAACCAAGTCAATTTTGCCTCAAACTATTACATTTGATGCTTGCCTTGTTATACCCTATGGAGACTTGCCAAGTCAGAGGCAACTCTCCACTTCAGGAAAGTATCTTTATCCTTCCTAGCGCTCTGCAGACTAAAAATCTGTTAACTGGGATAAATTAGTTTGAGAAGAGTTTGACGAAGATTCCAGTATAAACTGGAAATCTTGTCCTCCTAGAGCAGAGCTTCTCTGCCAAAGTTGGTCCAATGCTCTATAAAATATTAAAGAGCAAGGATCGGCTGCCCCAACTAGTACTTGCAGTTTCTTAAAACCATATATTCATTTTACTAAAGGAGTTACCCCTCCCCATTGTCAGCTAGACCAATGTAACTGAGGACAGATGACCATCCCTGCTCCCCAGAGTTCTTCTATGGCATAGGAGCAGAAGTCTCAGGATCCTTTGAAATGCACTTCATTGCCTTGTCACCTCCTGCACCCCCTTCTCCCTCTCCTAACTTCTCTGCTAACCAAACCTCTTGTTATCTACCCAATGATGAAACCAAAGTAGTTGTAGAGGTTAAAGATTTAAAACAAACTGTAGCAACTGAAACAGAGTATCAGGACGCAAATGCTTGGCTGGAATGGATTAAATATTCTGTTCGCACGCTTAACAAAAGCGACTGTTAACTCTTATGCGACAGGCAGGCCAGAGACCCAGCTTGTCCGCTTTCCAGTTGGGTGGTCCTCTCATGGACTGGGCATGAGCTGTATGGTAGCTCTCTTCCACAACCCCACAGCCTGGGGCGATGAGTCATGCAAGACTCTTTCTCTGCGGTTCACTGAGGTTAAGAGCCCTGTGGGTCAGCCCCCGAGGGCCATGCTGCCACCAGCCCCTGATGTTAACTTCACCTCGTGCCTTTCTCTGCGGGGGGTGGGGGGGGAGTTAGCATTCCTTGAAGACTTAACAGGGTGCAGTGAAACCAAGCCTTTTCAAGAGCTTACCAATCAGTCTGCCCTTGTTCATCTCCAAGCAGATGTGTGGTGGTATTGCAAGGAACTATTGCTGGGTACTCTGCTCTGCCAAGTAATTAGAGCAGCACTTGTGCCCTAGTCCAACTGGCCATCCCTTTTACCCTAGCATTCCGTCAACACGAAGAAAAAAAAAAAGAGAAAAGCGTAAAAAAAAGAAGTGCCTCACATGGGTCCTTTGACTCCCATGTTTATATAAATGCTATTAGACCTCCACGAGGAGTACCAGATGAATTTAAAGCCCGAGATCAAATAGCTGCAGAATTTAAGTCAATATTTTGATGGGTGACAATTAATAAGAACATAGATTAGGTAAATTACATTTATTACAACCAACAGCGGTTTATTAACTACATTAGAGATGCTGTTAAAGGAATAGGTGAGCGATTAGGGGCTACTAGCCAGATGGCTTGGGAAAATAGAAGAGCCTTAGACACGGTATTAGCAGAAAGAGGAGTTTGCGTCATGATTAAAACTCAAGGTTGTACCTTCATCCCAAACACCACCGCCCCTGATGGACGTATAACAAAGGCATTGCAAGGTCTAACCGCTCTGTCTAGTGAGTTAGCCAAAAACCCAGGGGTAAATGATCCCTTTACAAGGTGGCTAGAAAAATGGTTTGGTAAATGGAAAGGAATCATAGCCTCGATTCTTACTTCTCTCGCAGCCGTAGTAGGTGTACTCATTCTTGTTGGGTGTTGTGTCATACCATGCATCTGTGGGCTGGTGTACAAACTCATACAGGCAGCACTTACTAAAACCTCCCTTAATTCTCCTCCACCTTATTCAGAGAAGCTTTTTCTTTTAGAGAATCAAACAGAACAGCTAAGCCAAGACATGTTAAGGAAGTTTGAAGAGAAAGAACTATAAAAATTCAAGAAGGGGGATTGTTAAATATAGTAGACCCCAAGTTTCTCTTCAAAGAATCAGTATGTCAGTATGTTCAGTTCTCTTATTCTTTGATTCTCCATTTTAAAGTTTAACTTCCTGGTTCTCTTCACCCCTTTGCTTCTAGTTTCAGTAAACAACTTTCTCGCGAGTCCTAATCAGTAGTTCACATCTGTTCCCCTGGTCACCTGCTCCATCCTGACTCATCCTGGTCACCTGCTGTGACCTAAGTCACCTTTAGTTACCTGTTCCTAACCGTCCTTCCTGCCACACTACTCACCCTGCCACTCTGGCTCATACCTTTGCTCTCTTTAAAATAGCCAGTTGGAATTAGCTTAGACTGTGCGGTCCAACCCTAGCCAATAGGGAAACAACACAGCAGTAGGGGCTACCTGCCTCAGGAATAAGAACTCCTTGCCCTTCCCTGTCCAGGTGTGCTGTTGCCATTACTCCATTCGCGAGTTACACTCTTCTATAGAAGTAAAAATTGCCTTGCTGAGAAAATTAAATTTATGTTTGAGTGCTGTTTCTTCGTGGCACTGGGGAACAAGCATTTCTAACAGCAGTGTAGAGGAAAGAACTTGGCTGGGACCTTACCCTCCTGCCTCACTGATGGAATGAGACATCTGCAGAGGAAGCTGATTTGGGGTAAAGACAATGAGTTGATTTGGGGCATGAAAGTGAAAGTAAGATTCCCAGATGGTGCTGCCTTTTGTCTTTTTTTAATTTTTATTTTTTGAGACGGAGTCTTGCTCTGTCACCGAGGCTGGAGAGCAGTGGCATGTTCTCGGTTCACTGCAATCTCCACCTACAGGGTTTAAGTGATTCTCCTGCCTCAGCCTCCCGAGTAGCTGAGACTACAGGTGAGCACCACTACACCCAGCTAATTTTTTGTATTTTTAGTAGAGGCTGGGTTTCACCGTGTTAGCCAGGATGGTCTCAATCTCCTGACCTCGTGATCTGCCAGCCTCGGCCTCCCAAAGTGCTGGGATTACAGGCATGAGCACCGCGCCCGGCCCTGCCTTTTCTCTTGTTGGAGACATGGAGCTCAAGTTAGGAAGTCAGGGATGGAGATGAAGATGGGATGGTCGATCATATAGATGTAATGCTTAAAGCTACAGACAGGGAAGAGATTTCCATAGGCATGGAAGTGTAAAGCTGGAAAAGCCAAGGGCAGTTGCTGTAACACTATTCCTTCAGCCGTTTTCACCAGAACTTTGGAAACTTGCATCTGGAATGAGTAGGTGAAGTGAATTAGATTTTCCAACTGTATGGTGCAGGCTGCATCAACATCTATGTGCAACCCACAGACTTCATGTCCAACATTCACATCTTATGACATTGTCTCATTGTTAAGCATCTTGAGGTAGGATAACTTTTTGAGCTACAAATGTGGAATTTCCTCTTGTATTTCCCCACTTTTCCTCCTCAGGCAGGCTTCGTTTTACTTTCCTCAGGAGCTGGCAGGCTGAAGGCAGAAATTGCCTGCAAAACACTTCTTTTCCTGGCTTTGTTTTCAAAAGCCTAAGTCCCCTGATGTGTCTGAGTGTACAGTGTACTGGAGGGAGAGGAGACAGGAAGCAGCTCTGACGGAAACCCTAGCAGGCAGTGGTGGATTTCCCCCAGGGTAAAAGATTGCTCCAAGCCAGGGGAGGGGTCCAGGGTCCTGCAATAGCTGGGACCTGTGCTCTGCCCTCTGACAACACCCCAGGGGAGTGGTCAGATCTCAGAGAGGAACAGTTACAGGGCTCCCAGCCTCACCAAATATCCATATGTCCCAAGGGTGGCGTGAAAGCTAGTGGGCTGTTAGAACTGAGGGAACCAGATAAATTGGGCCCTGGTGGCCTTGACAGTGACCAGTAATGATCTATAACTGCAGGGTCTTCCTAGGACCTTGAAGGATGGCCTGAAGTAGAAAATCCTGTTGGGTTTGGAGTAGAAATTAAGTTGGTTTAAATTTATTATTATTATTATTTGTTTTTCTTTTTTCCTTTTTTTTGAGGCAGAGTCTCGGTCTGTTGCCCAGGCTGGAGTGCAGTGGTGCGATCTCTGCTCACTGCAGCCTCTGCCGCCTGGGTTCAAGCAATTCTCCTGCATCAGCCTTCTGAGTAGCTGGGATTACAGGTGCGCGCCACCACGCCTGGCTAATTTTTGTGTTTTTAGTAGAGACGGGGTTTCACCATGTTGGCCAGGCTGGTCTCAAACTCCTGACCTTGTGATCCATCCGCCTCGGCCTCCCAAAGTGCTGGGATTACAGGCATGAGCCACCACTCCCGGCCTTATTATTTGTTTTGTTTAGAGAGGGGGTCTTGCTCTGTCCCAGGCTGGAGTGCAGTGGCATGATGATAGCTCACTGCAGCTTCAAACTCCTGGGCTCAAGCGATCCTTCTGCCTTAGCTTAGGACTACAGGTGTATGCCACCATGCCTGGCTATTATAATTTAATTTAATTTAATTTTTTTTTTTTTTTAGACATGGGGTCTTACTATGTTGCCCAGGTTGATCTTAGACTTCTGGCCTCAAGCAGTCCTCCCTCCTTGGCCTCCCACAGGCCTGGGATTACAGATGGGAGCTACCATTCCCAGCCTCGTAATGGAAATTTAAAAATTTTATAAGGAATAGCTATACTACATCAATAATACTGCCTGACCATCTTTGTACATATAACTTTTTTATATACAGGAATTTTTTTTTTAAAGATAGATTCACAGAAGTAGAACTACTGATTGAAAGGGTATAGACATTTTTAAGCATCTTGATACATGTGGCTTAAATGCCACATGTATGGCCTAAACTGATTGAGTCTTTTCAGGTTTGGATTTTAAAACTAGAACCCTCTCTTCAGTGGAGTGGGATGGGGGAAACACTGGAAACCTCATGGGAAGCAGTTGCAATATTTCATATGAAATGCGAGGAAGGGCCAGACTGAGATTATGGCCATGGGGAGAGAGAAAGGGATAAAATCCCCTATCATTCAGGAGGTGCTATCAATAACCCATCTCTGCATATGGGTGAAGAAGTGAAGGGGAGGCAACAATCAAGATCCCCTTACTAATTTCCAGTTGAAAATCGAGTAGATGAAAATCCTATCAACTAAGAGGCAATGTGGCTTGGTGGTAAATGCCTGTGTTTTGGATCTAACTGACCAAGTTCAAATTCCAACTGTCCCAACTAATTAGCTGCATGGCCTTGGGCAGGTTGTTAAAACTCTCTGAGCGCATATGCCTAGATTTCCTTATTTGTGAAATGAGGATAGTAGCGTTTATGCCTACCAAAGAACTGTAAGGATTAAATGTGAATTTTTTTTTTTTTTTGAGACAGAGTCTCGCTCTGTCGCCCAGGCTGCAGTGCAGTAGCATGATCTCGGCTCACTGCAGCCTCCACCTCCCGGATTCAAGCAATTCCCCTGCCTCAGCCTCCCAAATAGCTGGCACTACAGGAAAGCACTACCACGCCCAGATGATTTCTGAATTTTTAGTAGAGACGGGGTTTCACCATGTTGGCCATGCTGGTCTTGAACTCCTGGCCTCAAGCGATCCTCCCCCCTTGGCCTCCCACAGTGCCCGGCCATAAGTGTGAAAATGTCTTTAACCGCCTGGCCCATTGGGACTTTGAAGAAATTAATGAAAACAGATAATACTAATAGAAGAGGATGTACAGAGGGTTAAAGAATATATTTGGTTTGAGATCCATTTGTTTAAGATGCATGAAATCTCACGAAATGGACTTTATCTTGGTATGCTTTTATTTTTTTAATTTTAACTTTGAAATAATTTTTCCTTTATACTTCTTTCTGTACACTGCTGCTTTCATTTTTTTTTAAGAGACCTAAAGGTATGATAGGGACAAGGAAAGAGAGGGTGGTGATCCTGTTGCCCTTGTGGGTAAGGACTGCGGAGGCAGTGGTGCAGTTCTCAAGCATGACCACAAGGTGGAGTCCGTAGTAAGTGGAAATGGTTTACCCTGCGTGGGAGGAGACTGGGCAGGATCCTGGAGCAGATTCGGTGGCAGCCGCAGAGCCCTCGGTCCAGTTCTGCAGGCGAGTCCCATCTAGCCTCTTCTGCCTTTTGGTGACTGACTTTTCACGATGTAAAGTTAATCACAGTTACACATAACAGCCACCACACACTCCCAGGACCCCAAAGAAACCATGAAGAAAATAATCACAAGCATAACAGTTCACCTTTTGGTGGTTCTCCATTGCCAGTTGCATGAGCTCCCAACTCCTTGACTTTCAGTTCTGGGACTTCCAGTCTATGAGACCCCACTTACCTTTCTGGAATCTTCTCCTAATACTTTTCTACCTGGCCCATAGGCTCCAGTCAACTGCCTACTCACGGATCCCCAAAAATGCCCCTCATTTTCACCTTGCCTTTTGCTTGTTCTGTTCCCTGTTTCTGGAAAGTGATTTCTCCATTTCTGCTTATTGAAACCTCAGTAATACTCGAAGAACTCGTTACATCTGTGAGGGCTCTTTATGTTTCAAGTAACACCCGGACAATAAAGGGAATCTAATGGCTCCTATACTGAGAAATATCGAGGTATCTAGTTAGCTTCAGGTGACGTCTGTTCAGCAGCTTGGACAGCACCACAGGTGACTTGGTTTTACTCCATTTTTGTCTTCTGCCTTTTGCTGTGTCGGCTTGCGTTCAGAACCCCTAGTGGCTCTTTCAGTCCTCCCCTAGCAGGTAGGTGTGCTCCGTATCTTCCTTCTGCTTCTTAACGTCTCTATTCTTCTCCTCCCTGCTCAGTGCCCTTGGAGGATGACCTGGCTTAGATTTGCGGGCTTCCTTGCCTTCTGTCTTCCACTTGGGTTTGGCCAGTGAGGAGCACCAGCATGGGCTCCACGGATGGCTGGGCTATTAATTAAATCTCTGTCTTCCATGGTGCACAGCACAGGCTGCCTTCATCCCTCATCTATGAGGTGACAGTCTCCATATCTCTATCTCTGCATTCCAGCAACCACCCTCTGTAGGCCTAGGGTGGTAATGGCCCCAAGATATTTCATTATTCCTTAAGTTTTCCCTACACATGCTCACACTTTTGCAAACTGTCCATGTTTTTTTTTTTTTTTAAATAGAGATAGGGTCTCACTCTGTCACCCAGGCTGGAGATCATAGTTCACTGTGGCCTCGAACTCCTGGGTTCAAGAGATCCTCCCGCCTCAGCCTCCTAAGTAGCTGGGATTACAGGTGTGCACCGCCAACAGTCCACTTACTAACTGCTCCTCAAATTGTCCAGTTTGAGTGTGCCATCTGCTTCCTGCTGGGACCTTGACTGATATAGCAATCCCGAATCACACATCTTCATACTACACTGCTCAGTGGTAGAAAGGCGGGAGAAAGAGGTTCTCTTTTGGCCATTTTAACAGGAAAGAGAGTATGCTTCTTGCCCGGCAAACAACTTTTAAATTCTTTTTTATTTTATTTTATTTTTTTGAGACGGAGCCTCGCCCTGTCATCCAGGCTGGAGTGCAGTGGTGTGATCTCAGCTCTCTGCAACCTCCCCCTCCGGGTTCAAGCCATTTTCCGGCCTCAGTCTCCTGAGTAGCTGGGATTACAGGTGCACGCCACCACGCCCAGCTGATTTTTTCTATTATTAGTAGAGATGGGATTTCACCATGTTGGCCAGGCTGGTTTTGAACTCCTGACCTCAAGTGATCTGCCCGTCTCAGCCTCTCGAAGTGCTGGGATTACAGGCGTGAGCCACTGTGCCTGGCCCCAGCAAACATCTTGATTATTTTTGGCCTCAGTTGTAATCTGCCTAAACTAATAAGAGACTTTCTTGGTGCCAAGGGTGGGTCATTTCAAGCCAAACCCCATGACTGAAATAGGCAAAGGGTGGTTCCCCCAGAACAGAATCAAGATGCAGCAGTGCTAACTGGAAGAAGGAGAAAATTCAGCACCTTCTTCCCAAATGCCATCTCTTTCTTTGAAGCTTGTCCTTATTCCCCCAAGAGGATACAACATGATGGCCAACAAGATGGTGTAGTTCCCAAGATGGAGATTATAGTGTAGTTGGGGAAACAATTATTTAATTTAACTTTTTCTTTTTTAGGGTCTCACTCTGACACCCAAGCTGGAGTTCAGTGGCACCATCTCAGCTCACTTTAGCCTCGACCTCCCAGGCTCAAGTGATCCTCCCGCCTTAGCCTCCCGAGTAACTGGGACTACAGGTCTGCACCACCACACTTGGCTAATTTGTAATTTTTTTTATAGAGACAGGATCTCACTATGTTGCCCAGGCTGGTCTCAAACTCCTGGACACAAGTAATCCTCCTGCCTCAGCCTCCCAAAGTACTGGGATTACAGGCATGAGCCACTGCACCCACCATGGGGAGACACTTAAATACACAAAGAATAATGATCTATTACATTAAGTACTGGGAAGGAAACAAATGAGGTGCTGAGGGAAGAAAAACATGGATGACCTATTAAAGATCATGTGACCAGGGAAGGCTCCCCTGAGGAGGTGACATTTAAGCTGAGGCTGGAAAGATGAGAAAGAGACAACAAGTGATGGGAAAGGACAGGAATTCCAGGCATTCTTTTTATTTGTTTGTTTGTTTGTTTGAGACAGAATCTTGCTGTGTCGCCCAGGCTGGAGTGCAGTGGCACAATCTTGGCTCACTGCAACCTCCACCTCCAGGTTCAAGCAATTCTCCTACCTCGGCCTCCAGAGTGGCTGGGATTACAGGCACGCACCACTATGCCCAACTAATTTTTGTATTTTCGGTAGAGACGGGGGTTCCCCATGTTGGTCAGGCTGGTCTCGAACTCCTGACCTCAAGTGATCCACCCACCTTGGCCTCACAAAGTGCTGGAATTACAGGAATGGGCCACCATGCCCAGCTGAATTCCAGGCATTCTGAGGTGCACTGGCTAGAGAATGAATAGATACCAAATGTGGAGGCACTTAGGTGAGGCCACTGTGGCTGAAGTGAGGTGGGCAAAGGGTAGAGCCATCTGGGTGAGGCAGGAGAGGCAGGCGGGGCTTCCTGGACCAGTGTTTGGATTCCAGCTGGGTGCAGAGAAGAGACCCTGAAGGATATTCAGCAGGGGTGAAAATCTGATTTCTGTTTTAAGATCACCCTGGAAATAGAGGCACTCATTTGGAAGATGCTGTGTTGTCTAGGTGACAGATGGCAGAGACGTAGAGAGGGTGCCAGCTGTGGAGATGGAGAAAACCAAACAAATCGAGCTGTATTTTACAGGTAGAATCAGCATGATGATTAGCAGCTGGAACGGGGTGGTTGGGAGGTAAAGAAGAGTGTAGAGTAACTCCTCAGTTGCTGGTTTGATTATTGAGTTGTGGTGATGGGGGAGGGATGGCAATCAGGAGGTCAGCGGCCAGAGGCCACCCAGCATCTCTGGGTCTAAAAGGCAAATTCCAACAGAAGTTTAATTGGCTTCCTTTGAGTCAGACGCTTACCTGGTTCATTAGCTAGGCTGAGGTTGGGGGAGCACACAGGGATGGGTATGCTAGGTAGGGCCTGCCTAAACTTGCTAGCAGCCTACAAGAATGGAGAAAAGAAGCATGTGAATAACTAGAATCCAGAGAATTTTAAGGCCTGGGGCAGATGCCTTCTGGGGTGCCATCCCAGCCCCCCAGTCATTTCCCTTTCTCTAGAACCTGTTCCACCCACCCCAGGGTAGGGACCAGCCGCAGTAGATGGCAGGCAGAAAGAGATTCTGCTATAAAACACCATACACATAAAAGAAAGAACAGCAACAAATGGACAAAGATGGAGTATGGTTTTGTGCCCAAAGAATTTACAACCCCAAAATGAGTTTCGTGATATGCCTGCTTTGATTTCTCATTTATTCCAAGTTATCATTTATATTGTTAATCTATACAGTTTTCTCCCCCCACGTATTAGACAGCTTTTAAAAATGGTTTTCAAGGCTGGGTACTGTGGCTCTTGCCTATAATCCCAGCATTTTGAGAGGCTGAGGCAGGTGGATCATTCGAGGTTAGGAGTTCGAGACCAGCCTGGCCAACATGGTGAAACCCCACCTCTACTAAAAATACAAAAATTAGCCAGGCGTGATGGCATGTGCCTGTAATCCCAGCTACTCGGGAGGCTGAAGCAGGAGAATCGCTTGAACCCAGGAGGTTAGAGTGAGCAGAGATTGCACCACTGCACTCCAGCCTGGGTGACAGAGAGAGACTGTCTCAAAAAAAAAAAAATGGTTTTCAAGTTACTTCGTGTGTATTTAAGTTTTTTGCCTACTTGATAAGCCCTCTGTTGGAAACTTCTCTGCAACCCTTGTTTATGAACCAGACAGGGCTGTGAGTATTCTGGTATACTGATGTCTACTCATTTACTGGTGTAAATTATTTCTCTGCCTCTATGCTAACTAGAGATATAGATATATATATATATGAATAATGAATATATAAAATTTATCAGTTTTCTCCCTCTATCTTAAAAGATTATTCACTGGGCTGGGCACGGTGGCTCATGCTGGTAATCCCAGCACTTTGGGTGGCTGAGGCGGGCAGATCACTTAAAGTCAGGAGTTTGAGACCAGCCCGGCCAACATGGTGAAACCTCGTCTCCACTAAAAATACAAAAAATTAGCTGCGTGTGATGGTGAGCGCCTATAATCCCAGCTACTCGGGAGGCTGAGGCAGGAGAATCACTTGAACCCGGGAGGCAGAGGTTGCAGTGAGCCAAGATCGCGCCATTGCATTCCAGACTGGGGGACAAGAGCGAGACTTTGTCTCAAAAAGAAAAAAAAAAGAAGATAGTCTGGATGTAAGTAATTATTCAGGCAATTTAAAATGACCCCTTGAAATTAAATGCCACTTGTTTTGATTAGACTTTTTTCTAAAATGTCTGACATCATTCTGTGCCATAGGAAATTGAGTTAGTAACATCTTAACTTTTTCTGTTCTTTTAATTTTCCGACTCAGTCATTGTTATGAAACCCCAGGCACTGTCGTGGCTGTACTCCAGCCTTGGGGGCTATTTGATTTTCTGGTGTTATTAGTGCTAATTCGAGAGCTCAGAGGCTTTTATTCTTTTCTAGCTGGCGATCATTCTGTTTCCTTCCATCTTGCTGCGGTCAGCATGTCTGCTTCCTCCCTTCCCATGGAATTATGATCTGTTCTCAGCTCTCCCTGTACCCCTCTCACAGCCTAACAGGGTGCCCTGTACAAGTAGGCACTCAATAACCATTTCTTCCATTGGATTAAACCCAGGAAGACTGGAAGTTTGCCAGAGGAAACAAAATAATTAAGCTTGTTAACTCATTAACTTTAATTTTAGACACATCCCTTAAGCTCCTGAGTATAGTATGGGAAATCATACCTGAGTTCCAAATGGTTGAGGTTGTCAGGGATCTTGGCTGCTGAATTAAGCGGGGTGTATGGCTCTATTATACATGAAAATATGTCTTTGCAGGCACACATAATTGCTGCTAATTTGTACCACAGGAAGAATAAAAGTAGCAAATTGATAAAGAAGACCTATTTCTACTTCTATAATGAAGGCTACTTACCCCCCATACATGTACAACTATTATATATCAATTTAAAAGACAATAGCCCTTGATTACCTTAAGTACAACCCCTACCTTCACTGTAGTATACCAGGATATAAAAGTATTGTCAAGGCCAGGCACAGTGGCTCAC
Organism: Homo sapiens; assembly: GCF_000001405.40. Taxonomy (NCBI): domain Eukaryota; kingdom Metazoa; phylum Chordata; class Mammalia; order Primates; family Hominidae; genus Homo; species Homo sapiens. The sequence continues at coordinate 65,035,138 of NC_000002.12, read as the reverse complement.
GCCTGTAATCCTAGCACTTTGGGAGGCTGAGGTGAGGGGTGTGAGTGGATCACCTGAGGTCAGGAGTTTGAGAGCAGCCTGGCCAACAATGGCAAACCCCGTCTCTACTAAAAATACAAAAAATAGCCAGGCATGGTGGTGCATGCCTGTAAACCCAGCTACTTGGGAGGCTGAGGCAGGAGAATTGCTTGAATCTGGGAGGCAGAGATTGCAGTGAGCCGAGATTATGCCACTGCACTCCAGCCTGGGTGACAGAGCGAGACTCCATCTCAAAAAAAAAAAAAGAAAAAAAAGGATTGTTTATGAAATTCAAAGCTATTTGCTGAAATACAAGCACATTTTTATAAACGAAGGTGACATATTTAAAACACAGAAACAGGTAAATTGGGTGGAAGCAAAATTGACCCATAATTTTATTGGTCTTTCCTACTGACACATTTTAACTATGTTACAAAAACTACTGAAGTTGAACTGTGAGATACATCTTAAGTGCATCCTTAGTGGGCAGTTAATTATTTCTCACTAAATAGAGTTTTGCTCAGGCATAAAACCTTGGAGTCATCCTAGGTTCCTCTGGGCCTCATCTCACATCCTATCTGTCTGTAAATCCTGTTAGCTCTGCCTTCAAAATCTATCCAGAATCCAGCCATCTCAATACTTCCACTGCTACACCCCGATCCAAGTCACCACTCTCTTTTTATTAGCCTCTTAGCTGATCTCGTGCTTCCATCACTGTCTGTTCTGTATCCAGTAGCTGGAGCAACTGTTTATAAGTAGACGGTCTCATCACATCTCTTCCTGCTCAGTATCTTCCAGTGGCTCTTGTGATACACAAGTCCTCATCATGCCCTCTGGCTCTTCCTACCTCTCAGGACTTATTCCTGCATGCTCCCCTCAGCCACTCTACCCGTCACATAAGCCTTCTTTCTGCTCTTTAAACACACAAGAAATATTTCTTGGCCGGGTGTGGTGGCTCACGCCTGTAATCCTAGCATTTTGGGAGGCTGAGGCAGGTGGATCACCTGAGGTCAGGAGTTCGAGACCAGCCTGGCCAACGTGGTGAAACCCTGTCTCTATTAAAAATACAAAAATTAGCTGGGCCTGGTGGCTGGTGCCCGTAATCCCAGTTACTCAGGAGGCTGAGGCAGGAGAATTGCTTGAATCCAAGAGGCAGAGGTTGCAGTGAGCCAAGATCGCACCATTGCACTCCAGCCTGGGCAACGAGAGTGAAACTCTGTCTCAAAAAATAAATAAATAAATAAATAAATAAATAAATAAATAAATAAATAAATATTTCTTGTATGAATGGAATACAATGGTTGCTAAGTGAATGAATGAATTTTATGATAATTATAATCAATTACAGTTAGTACCAGCTATATGCTAGCCCTGCCCAGAGAGATGCTCTTTTACCAACTGGTGTGAACCCGTGGTTCTCAGACTTTACCTGGTATCAGAATCATCTGCAGGGCTTGTTAAAACTCAGATGGCTGGGCCTTACCCCAGAAAAATTTACATTTCTAACAGGTTTCTAGGTGATGCTGGTCAGGCATACACTTTGGCTTAATGATTCTAGGCCAACTGGCCATTCTGAGGAGAAATTTGACAGATTTTGGCCTGGTATTCCTTTCTGCCTCTCTGGGTGAAAAGATTAATTGCAGATGGGTTTGGGGAAAAAAACTCTGAACTTTATTTTTTGATACTTAGCCACAGGGTGGCCCCCTAGCTCCAATAATTACTCCATAGCCCCCACTCCCACCGCATTAAAACACCTTTTGTTATTTGGAGAACTTCCAAGCCATTTCTCTCTCTCTCTCTTTTTTTTTTTTTTTTTTTTGCTTGTTTGTTTGTTTGAGACAGAGTCTCACTCTGTTGCTCAGGCTGGAGTGCAGTGGTGCGATCTCAGCCTCACTGCAACCTCCTCCTCCTAGGTTCAAGCGATTCTCGTGCCTCAGCCTCCCAAGTAGCTGGGATTACAGGCGTGCACCACCATGCCTGGGTAATTTTTTTTTTTTTTTTTTTTTTTTTTGGTATTTTTAGTAGAGACGGGGTTTGCCATGTTGGCCAGGCTGGTTTTGAACTCCTGACCTCAAGCGATCTGCCCCCCTCAGCCTCCCAAAGTGTTGGGATTACAGACGTGAGCCACTGTGCCCGGCCTCTCTCTCTCTCTCTCTCCCCACTCCCCCCACCCCCACCCCCACCCCCCATCCCCCCAACCTTTCTGTCTTTAAATGTAGCTCTAAGGCCACTAGTTTGTTATTCACAACAGGCCGGCCCTTTCATGCATGGGATATGGTGGTGGTTTCCTCAGTAATGTAGGACTCTGGCTCTGTTAGAAGCGACTGTTGTCTTAGACAGAAATGGCACAGGAAAGTAGGTTTGTAAGTCAGAGATCACATGATATCAGAAAATGAAAGGAGATTTCATTTTAGCCCCCAGGAGGGACCCACACACAGGACAAACATCCACTCTTTTGTAGCCCATGCCGCTCTGCACAGGAGGGTCACCCCCTAAGCCTCACCCAGAAGCTCCTCCAAACCTCTTGTCACTGTAGTGGAGAGGAGAGGACCTTTCCTCCCGCTTCCAGCTGCCCTTCATCTCACTCCCAGACAGATAAGAGGGCTGAGGACTGGTAGGAGTGAATGACAAGGACAGAGGGCTGAGGGCTGTGGATGCCACCTTCCTGGGCTGTCACCCCTGGCCTGGTGTTGGTATCTGAAAAGGGGGGAGCGGGCTGGCAGTGACAGACAAAGTGGTGAGTGCAGGGGAATAGGCCCAATCTGCGACCCACGGTCCTCCCTCTCCTCCCCTCTACACCTGTCCTCCTGCTTCTCTTTCTCTGTAGAGTGAAACCCAATTCCAAACGTTAACAGAGTCTGGAAAAGGCATCCAAGTAAAAAAGTGCAAAAGTTGAAAATAGCCTTCCACGTTATAAGGGAGGTTCCACTCCCAGAAAGATAATGACGACTATAAAATTCCAAATGGCACTCTGCCCACTAGCCACATTCTTCAATAACACGGTCTTAGCAGTTTCACGTGTTATTTACAGGTGAAGAGGCAGTAGATCTTTTTTCCCACTGAGGTCTCATTGAGGATATAGATAGGCTGCTTCGGATACTACTGGTAATTTTAATTGTTTCAGTTTCATAAAATGTATGAGACTACACTTCTTATCACAAATATCGTTACTTCACTTCTTTCACTTAGAGAGAGAGGAAGAGGGGTGGAATAAAAGAACAAAGGCAGTGCAATAAAATACTCAAAATAGCTGTAAGACAAATATTGCTCAACAAAGTTGGTGGCAGCACAGAAACAGACCCACTGGCTGGTAGGCAGCAGCACTATGAGAGGGTTTGATGTATTCGCTCATTCACAAAGCCTGCCTTTGTCATGTAATAGGCACTTAGGGGAATCCAGAGCTTGTCTGGAATAGGGGGATGCGTCCTGCAAACAGAAGCAGTTCCAGACCCTGCAGGTTGGCTAGCCAAAGCCCAGCTAACTCCCATCAGGTGTACCTTCCTGAGCTGCACAGACGGAAAACCACAAACTGCTTTTTCAGACTTCCTTGCAGGTCTGCCAAGCAGAGCACCTGTGTGAAACTCAGAAGCTGCAGCTGGGAAGGTGGGCATGGGCCGTATGGGGTAGAGCTTGCTGGGAGATCTGATTGGGGTAGCTCTGAGGGAGGCTCCACTGCCCGGTTCCTAATGTCACAGGTGTGGGCAAGCACCTGCTGCGGAAACTCAGCACTCTTAACTACATTGTTCCTGGCTATTAGCCACCCACCTGTTTCCCTATCCGTCCCAGAAATTCTGTACATTCTTTAATTCTTCCCTGTAATCAGTGCTTTTCTGCTTTGTTGTCTGTACTTGGAACACTTACCAAGAAATTAACCAAATCAGAGATACTCAGCATGGGCTTGAGGAAGATGTGTTTTGACATCATTTTCTCCAAATCTCTCGAAGTTTGTGACAAGTCTTTTTCTGCTACACTTTCTTCTAGTTCCTGTTCACAGTTTTGACCTCTTCCTCCATTTTCTCTGATGTTTAGCTGATTTTTACCGTCTGTTCCATCATCCAGTTCTCCAAGGTGTTCATTTTGACATCCAGCCTGACACTTCCTTCGCACTTTTGTGGCACCTCTAGCACTGCCACTTGCTTGGTTTTTGACAGCTGGTACCATCAACAAACAAATGCCTTGGGGAAGAAAACATGTCAATTCGCATGGCTTGAAATGCAGGAACAAAACAGAAGTGCACACCGACCCGGAGCTTACAGTACAGCGTGCCATGAGAGCTTGCATTGGCCAAAAGCATGCAAGAATACTCACTGTAGCTGATGCATGTTGTAAAAGTCTGCATGAACTCTGTTCTTCAGTGCTGCAATTTCTGATGTGAACAGCACCATCAGCTTTACACAGAACAATACTCAGTGTGGCATATGTACTTTTATTATGCAAAAGAGCGGATGGCAGGACGTTTGAATATAGGGAAGTTGAAAGTCACCTGGAAATGCTTCATGCAAATAGCACTAACTAGGAAGAGAAGGCACCTGTGCTAAGAAAGGGATGTGAAGCGGCCAGTCCAGGATTTGCAGCCTTGTTTGTGTGTTACTATAGAATCGCCTGGGCTCTTTTAAAAAATATTTATTTATTTATTTATTTATTTATTTATTTAGAGACGGAGTCTCTCTCTTGCCCAGGCTGGAGCGCAGTGGCGCAATCTCAGCTCACTGCAACCTCTGCCTCCAGGGTTCAAGCGATTCTCCTGCCTCAGCCTCCTGAGTAGCTGGGATTACAGGCGAGTGCCACCATGCCTGGCTAATTTTTTTTTTATCTTTAGTAGAGGTGGGGCTTCACTATGTTGGCCAGGCTGGTCTTGAACTCCTGACCTCAGGTGATCCGCCTGCCTCAGCCTCTCAAAGTGCTGGGATTACAGGTGTGAGCCACTGCACACGGCCTGGGCTCTTTTTAAAAATGCCAATATATGGCAAAAAACAAAACAAAAATAAAGAGGAAAGTGGGGAGAAGGCCAGGGAAGTTTGGAGGACCCCAGGATTCCACTCACCTTACTGACCCTAGTGGTGTATTGGCTTTTTTAAGACAAGGTCTCACTGTTTCCTAGGCTGAAGTGCAGCAGCATGAACATGGGTCACTGCAGCCTTAACCTCCTGGGTTCAAATGATCATCCCACCTCAGCCTCCCGAGTAGCTGAGACCACAGGCACGTGCTACCACACCTGGCTAATTTTTAAAATTTTTTTGTAGAGATAGAGTCTCACTATGTTACCCAGGCTAGTCTCGAACGCCTGGGCTCAAGTGATTCTACTGCCTTGGCCTCCCAAAGTGCTGGGATTACAGGAGCGAGCCACCATACCAGGCCACTTTCCCCTTTATAAAAATTTAAAAAGAAAAGAAAATCCCAGTATTCAGGCACAAACCCAAACCAGTTTAATCAGAATCTTTGTGGGTGGAGTGCTGGTGGGTTGGTTTTTTGTTTTTTTTTTTTAGCGTGGATGAATCTAATGAGCCTTCAACATTGAGAACCAGTGGATAGGGCTTCTACTCTGCCCTATTTATCCTTGTGAATGTGGCTTTTCTTCCTCTTTCCACAGGCATTGTCTGAGGCTTTCAAATAAGTAACCTCGTGGGTTTTTGTAGTAAGTAGCATTTGTGGCTGGAGGCCAGCTTCCCATTCAAAGACTGTCTCTTCTTAAAGAATTCTTGATTCTTGGCCAGGCTTGGTGGCTCACACCTGTAATCCCAGCACTTTGGGAGGCCAAGGCGGGCGTATCATGAGGTCCGGAGTTTGAGACCAGCCTGGCCAATATGGTGAAACCTCTTCTCTACTAAAAATAGAAAAATTAGCTGGGTGTGGTGGCACACGCCTGTTGTTACAGCTACTCAGGAGGCTGAGGCAAAAGAATTGCTTGAACCTGGGAGGCGGAGGTTGCAGTGAGCCGAGATCGAGCCACTCCACTCCATCCTGGGCAACAGAGCGAGACTCCATCTCAAAAAAAAAAAAAAAAAAAAAAAGAATTCTTGATTCTTAATGGAACCACAGGTAGTCAGCAAGATGAAAAATGGAAATGATGATTCTGTAATTGTCCATGTTACAACAACCAGAGTATGAATTGCATTGCAGTTTTTTTGTTTGTTTTTTGTTTTTGAGACATTGTATTGCAAGACACCAATAGAGGCACTTACAGAGTCTCGCTCTATTGCCCAGGCTGGAGTGCAATGGTGTGATCTCAGCTCACTGCAACCTCTGCCTCCTGGGTTCAAGCAATTCTCCTGTCTCAGCCTCCTGAGTAGCTGGGACTACAGGCGTGCGCCACCACACCTGGCTAATTTTTGTAGAGATGGGGTTTCACCATGTTGGTCAGGCTGGCCTTGAACTCCTGACCTCAGGTGATCCACCTGCCTCAGCCTCCCAAAGTGCTGGGATTACAGGCGTGAGCCACTATGCCTGGCCTGCATTTCAGTTTTATCTGGGGAAAGATCATCTCCTTGGCTGACAGAGTGTAAACAAGAGTAGATTTCCCCTCAAATGAGGTCATCCATGGCCACTGTAGTTAGAGGCTTTTGGGAAATTACCTAGAATGGAGTTTTCCAGAAAAGACCATGAACCAGGGTGCCCACAGATGCTGAGGGTACTAGGTCTGTGATTCTCAAACACTCACATGCCCAAGTATTTGCCAGGAGCTTGTTAAATGCAGAATTCCTAGGCTGCCCACAGTGCTGCTGACCCGGCAGTTGTCAGCCTTGGCTGAAACCCCTGGGCAGCTTTGAAAATACTGGTGCTTGGGTCCCACCCCCAGAAATTTTGGTTATTTGCTTTCAGGTATGGCCTGGGCATGGGATTTTTCAGGGTTCCCAGAGTAGTGTAATATGCATCCAGATTGGGAACCACAGGCAAGAAAAGTGCCACTGTGGACTCTTATTCCTGGTCTGCTGTCCCTCTTGGAAAGTCTTCCTTTCCAATTTTCCTTCACATTCTATCAGCAGTGGAGTAGAAGAGACTTAGAACTCAGGGACCGTCTAGTCCAACCCCGCAGTTCACAGATGAGGAAAACAAGGCCAGGAAGGGGAAGTGGCCGGCCCAAGGACACACGGCTACTACCAAGTCAGCCCCAGAGTACATCCGGCTCACTCTCTCATGGTCCTGCTCCCATCATGCAGCCTACTGTGGAACACAGGGAATTTTATCTGAAGGAAAACACTACAGTAAAACATTAGAAATAAGGAATGATAACGATTCAGTCCTCTAAAGATTTTTAAAGTTCTTCATCCATTTGTCACTTCATACTATCTTCTATATGTATAAAGTGGTGCTGGGTACCCAGGGGCAATGACTCACGTTCCCAGCAGGCCACGGATTTACTAAAAATGGGTGTGCTTTTGTCCTTGACTCTCACTCTTAGGGACAGATTGGATTTGGGTTTTGATGGAAGAGCTGAGCTTCCAGGGAAGTATTTTAGCAGTTGATGGTTGCTTTCTTTCTTAAATCTCCATGGATATGTATACATCAGGTATCTTGTATATATCAGGCTAATGCTTTTCAGTGTGCTTTAGTGAAGTGGAAATGGGTGAGATCAGGGATTCCTGGACAAGTGACTCCTCAGCTAGCACTTTATTGAGGAAGAGACCCTGCTATGCCCACTTTCTCTGTGTGTAGGGGTGTGGGGTGTGGGGTGTGGGGGGAGGTTCTGCTAATGGGGGCTGCTCCCCTGGGGAGCCCTACAAGCCCAAGTCATCCTAGGGCTCGGCAAAGACTTGCCAGAATTTCAGTACCTCATTTTGTTGCAGACCAAAAACTGATAATAGGAAAATCATCCATGCGTCCCTGCTATGAGTGTCAAGCCACCTGTTCACGTACGTCATCCCAATGTCCTGGGGACATTTTTCTGATTTAAAAGCAAATGAAAATATTTTTGTAGGGCTGGAGCAGCGGCTCATGCCTGTAATCTCAGCACTTTGGGAGGCTAAGGTGGGACAATCGCTTTAGCCCAGAAGGTGGAGGCTGCAGTGAGCTGTGATCATGCTACCGTACTCCAGCCTGGGCAACAGAGCAACACCTTGTTTCAAAATAATAATAATAATTTTGTGGGCCCCTAAAAGCATTGTGGGCCTCAGGTCCTGCGAGTCCTGTGCCTCATGGGCAAGTCAGCCCTGACGGGGTGGAGGGAAACACCCACGCTTGGCCTCTGTCGCTCATGCTGCTAATGTGCTGGGGCACTACCCATGGGCCGTACAGAAACAGGCAGTGGGCTGGCTGTGGCCTGTGAGCCATAGTTTGCTGACCATTGCTCTAGATGACCAAGGTGTAATTAGCTGAGATAATTTCTGATGGCTCACAGGACAGCCAAGAAAAGACATGGTCATCCAAAGTGACTGGTAACCGCTACAGAGAGTCTTCCATTGGGCCCTAATTACCACCCCGCTCCTACACCCCTGGTTTTTTCTTCTCACTTTGTGAAAAGTAAAAGCGTACACTTATTAAACATAAATGGCTTGTAATCCCAGCACTTTGGGAGGCCAAGGCGGGCAGATCACTTGAGGTTAGGAGTTCTAGACCAGCCCTGGCCAACATGGCGAAACCCCGTCTATACTAAAAAAAATACAAAAATTAGCTGAGTGTGGTGGAGCAAGCCTGTAATCCCAGCTCCTCGGGAGGCTGAGGCAGGAGAATTACTTGAGCCCGGGAGGTGGAGGTTGCAGTGAACCGAGATGGCACCTCTGTACTCCAGCCTGGGTGAGAGAGCGAGACTCCATCCCCCAAAAGCAAACAAGCCACATAAGTGTATAGCTTAATGAATTATCACAAAGCAAACACCCATCCAGATCAAGAAATAGAGCATTCCCAGCACTTCCACAGGCTGCTCTCCCCGCACCTAAAGGAAACTATGAAACTGACTTCTCCCCTGTAGATCAGTTTGTTGGGTTTATAACACTGTGCTCTTTAGCATCGGGGCTCTTTCAGGCCTGACCATTGTTGTACTGTGTTTCTGGAAGGACTGAATGGAGTGGGCTACCACTCACAAGATCTCAGGGCCATGCTTTTGTCATGAGATTGGTTGTCTTAGAGGGGCTTGGAGGTGAGGAAGGCATGTGAGCAATCCAGCTAGCCAACCCAGGGTGCTCTGAGGACTAGAGAGAGAAAAGGTTCATTGATACCACAAAGTGCATAGCCACAAACACAGATGCTTTGTTAGAGGAACACCACAAATGGAAAAATCATGACTAGTGAAGCTGATTAAGGAAGTTCCTCTAGACTGCAACCCTATTGCTTTGAAACTGATTGGCCCATAACTATTAAAAGGGAAACAATTTATAGGGAAGACAGATTCAACATGCTTTACGTTCGAGTTGAGAATCAAAGCTTTTAACTGCAACTGACCCCACAGTTCAGGGCTGCCATGTTATGGCCAGGAAGGCTATGTACCGCACAACTCCTGCAAGCTCCATTCGCACAGAATACATGAATGGTGCCCTGCGGAACTGCATGCTGAGGCAGCCCCGCCTATGTAAGCATAATCAGTTGCCTAGATTCAGACCACACTTTAACTTACAATGTTGAACTTCATCAGTTATACATGTTTGGGTAAAAGGCTCTTTTTTTTTTTTTTTTTTTTTTGAGACCTCCGCCTCCCGGGTTCCAGTGATTCTCCTGCCTCAGCCTCCCAAGTAGTTGGGATTACAGGCACGTGCCACCCCACCTGGCTAAATTTTTGTATTTTTAGTAGAGATGGGGTTTCACCATGTTGGCCGGGCTGGTCTTGAACTCTTGACCTCAAGTGATCTGCCCACCCTGGCCTCCCAAAGTGCTGGGATTATAGGTGTGAGCCACCGCGCCCAGCCAAGGCTTTTCTTTTTTTAAAAAAAAACTTTTTTTAAAAAAAATATATATATTTTTTGAAACAGACTCTCACTGTCACCCAGTCTAGACTGCAATGGCATGATCATGGCTCGCTGCAGCTTTGACCTCCCAGGTTCAAGTGATCCTCCTACCCCAACCTCTGGAGTAGTTGGGACTATAGGTGTGCAGCTAATTTTTTATGCACAGCTAATTTTTAAATTTTTTTTTATAGTGACAGGGTCTTGTTTTGCTGCCCAGGCTGGTCTCAAACTCTTGGCCTCAAGCAATCCTCCTGCCTTGGCCTCCCAAAGTGCTGGGATGATGGTGTGAGCCACTGCACTCGGTCTCCCAATTTTAAATATGAGACTAAGCCATGGAGAGGTTATCATGCCCAGGGTCATGCAGCAAGCAAGCAGCAGAGCTGGGAGTGGAACCCAGACAGCCCATGGTCCTCCCTGCTACATCGCCTGTGCTATTCAGACACAATTTACAGTTCCCGTGAGCAGGTTCAAGTAGCTCATCAGATCAGCGCTCCTTCTGATCCCCAGGGAAGAGATGGTTTGAGTGTAGATTTGCTCCTCTTGGTCTGGTTACATCAGAAAACTGACTCATCAAGTACTAATCCCAACCTCCAAACACTCTCCACAACAGAGAGTCAAGGCAACCACACTCCAGGGTAAGAATCCAAATCGTTACTCCTAGCAGGCCCCATCAGGCCCCTGATCGGTGTGAACTCTCTCCTCATCCTTTGGGGATTGCCCAGAAATGAAAACCAGTTCCTGTATTATATGAAGAGCTGGAAATGTTCAGGTCAGACAGGGGATCTGTTTCTTCAGAGGTTTCCACTCTGTTTGCAGGATAATTCCTATTATAAGAGGTGTCTAGATTCCCTAATGTTGCTGGAATGTGGTGTCATTGAAAACAAGATTATATAAAAGCATGGGCGAGGTGTGGTGGTGCCATAGTAGAGGCATGGACAACTGCTCTCTTTCAGGGACTTTCCCAGAATTCTAGGGCCTGGGGCTTTCTTCCTGTTGTTCCTACTTAATGCTTGCCTTACAGTAGATGCTCAGTTAGGGCCTGTTGACCTAGTCGTTCTGACAAGACATAACTTTATGGAGGTATGTGGCAAAACCACACACTTTTTACAAGAGCCCTGCTGGTGTGGAGTGGGAAGCCCCTGAGCAGCTTGACGCTTCCCAGTTGCAAGCAGGTGGCCGCAAAAGGATCAGCGACAGCAGCTCCGGCGGTAGCACTGCCCCCTGAGCATGCCTGCCCTGACTTAGGGGCTCGTGCCTGATGAATGGAGCAAGGAAAACAAATCCCTTTAGTCACCCAAAGCCCATCTCCTAGAAGAGCAACAGCTCCTCCATCAGCAAGTGCCGCTTCAACACACAAGAAGGGAATAAAGGAACTGCAGATTCCAGTGGAAACACGGTATTCATTTCTGAGGACTGTGCTAGGTTTTAAGGCAATTGTCACATGTACAAAACAGTCAGATGAGCAGTATCTGAACAGATTTACCACAACATGTTAGAAAGAGAACAGCAGGGGAAATGTTTTCAGACAAGGAGATGTGAGATTTTCCCCAGTCACGTAACCCCTGGTCTACCGACTCTGTGGACTGAAAACCAGGAAGATAGACAGCACATTCTCTCTTCTCGCCTCCAAGGGGAAGGGCCACCTGCACACTCTCGGAAGCACCCTTCTCCAGACCCAGACACGCTTCTTACTGCAGGGCCAGGCCAGGACACAGGATGGTCGGCCAATGAGTCTTAAGTCCAGCTCTAATTTCACGCTTTATGGCTTTGTGAAATTCATCTTTAGAAATGGGAAAATCAAGATACCACAGACATACAACTTGTAGTTAATAGTTAAGTTCCCCTCTATCCAAACACAAACTTGCTTGGCTTGGAGCTAAAACTATACACACACGCACACACACACATGCATATACACAACACACATGTGTGTATAGATATACATATGTGTGTGTGTGTTGTGTATATATATATGAAGGAAGAAAAAAAGATTTACTGAAGCCTGAAGAATAGTGAGTGTTCATTTACCATTTGGAATCAAACAATGTGATTGTTTCCCTTGAAAACAGAAGAGTATCAGCAACATGCTCTACCCAGCGGGGAAAAGTTTCCAGTTTCCTTTGCACGGTTCCTGGTCCCTTTTGGCTTCACAGGAGACTGGAATGGCTTAGCTGGTTTAAAGAGAGCTGGGCTTTCCCCCTGGCTGGGTCAACTCTGTGTCCCATGGCTCTTCTTCACCCTTTCTGCTCAGGCTCATGTCCCCAGTTTTAAGAAGGGGGTGTGGCTTGATGGTCTCCGTTCCATCTACCCATTCTCATCTCAATGGTACACACATCCATAAGCGTGTGCCCCTGTCTGTAGGGCCCAGGTGACACATAGCAACAGGGAAAACAAGGGAGTGAAGGAGGCTGAACACTGGGGAGCTTTAATGGCCTGTTACAGGGTGGCAGAAACAGTGGCTGGGTCTGGGAGTCACAGCAAAATCAGGCGCCCAGAACCATGGTGGAAGGTGGGGTTGCTAGTTCATGAAAACTTGAAGGACATTAGGAAGAGGCGGCATTTGATGCTGTCAAGTAACTACACACAGAACAAGGGCATGATAAAAGTCCTAATGCACATAGAGAACAAAGCCCTGCTCAGAAATGCTGTCCTCACCAGCAGAAAGGACTCTGTGGAGAAAGCTGTCCCTTACATAAAAAAGAAGAACATACTGGGTTAGCACTTGATATCCAAGAAGTGAAATGGTCGTTTTCGAAGATTAACAGTTTGCTTCACCAAATCCCTCTGAGGTAGGTAAGAGGCAGGTGACATTAGCCCCATTTTACAAATGGGGTAAAGTGAGGCCCCAGGACCTGTTACATCACGAATATGCATCAACAGCCACAAACAGCACGCTCTCAGATCTTCCCCTTCACTTAGCTTAGAACCGTGTCAGCAGGTAATTGGAAAAACATGGACCATTTCGCTGATAATTTTAAACTTGGATGTACTGGCAAGAAAGGGCTCTATATTTTGAAATCAGCCAAAGCCAGGGGACCTGGGAACCTGTGAATGGGGGTACCCCACTCCAATTAGTACATGGTTTTCTCTGGGGTGGTGGTGGTTTTGTTTTTGCTGCAGTGCAGCATTTTACAGAGTGTCCAGTTGAATTCAAATAATAGATGATAAATCAACAAGGGTCCTGAATGTGATAACTACATCACACCTCCCCAGGGAAGGAGGCCCATCTCTGGCCTTTTGCCAAATCAGCGTGAATGGAGAAAAAGCCAAAGTGTTATCAGAGGCCCAGGCCTCTGGAAGGAAGCAGAAAAGTGCCCCAGGGCTGGGATGCGAACTGGGACAATTGTATGTGAAACCTGTCCTGTCCTGATTAGATTAGAGAACCCTCTGCCCCGCTTCTCCCCCACAAGGCTGCATTCCCTCTCCTTTTTTCTTTGACCTCAGAATCTAAGTTGTTTACCTAAGGCTGTGGACCAGAGACCACCACAGTGCTAACACCCACCTGGAGTATTTCTAACTTGACAATGTGCGGCACCTGCAGTCTCCCAGAACCCAGGGATCAGAAGCTATCCACACCTAGCTATAGCACAAACTCTTTAAACACCTGAGTCCCAGCTCAGCAAAGGCCAGCCATGGCTAAGAATTTGAGCATTTTTTCAATTACTGCAACTCGAGGCAATGCGACAGATGACTATAAACCCCCTTGGTTTGCTCAGAAAACACCTGATGCAGAGCTGACCGGGGAGAGTGAAATACATCTGCATTTTTTCCAAGATGTAACCACACAGGACCCTGTGAGTCCATGATTTCTTGAGCCTGGCAGCTCAAGGGGTTGTTTCCAAACAGATCCCTGGTGTACACACAGTTGCACCTGGACATGGATCAAGCCGAATGTCAGAGTGTCCTTGTCCTTGGTAACCAGTTCCGGCTGGGGAGCCCAATGCCAGTGCCGAGAGGTAAGCCTCAGGCCAGCGACTGGGCCAAAGCATTGCTTGGGAGGGTAAAAGTTGGCAAGGGCAGTGCCCTGTGTCCATGACTGGCGGCTGGGTGAACAGGGTGGGACATCACTGCTGGCAGGCAAGCCCAAAGCCCAGCCCCATCACAGAACCGACTCCTTGGATTCCAGTTCTGGGGCACTGGCCACGGGGCCAGCGGGGTTCTGGTGTGTCACCAGGGGCGATGTCTCCTCCTCAGACTTGCAGTTGGGGATGGCTTCCACTTTCACCTCAGCAAGTTCCTGCTCGCCTTTCTTTGTTGCCTTCTGATTCAGGTGGTGGAGAATGCCTGCACCCAGGGCATCCCCTTCCACATTCACCACCGTGGTGGTCCGGTCCCTGGTGGGAAAAGAAGAGGCAGCTATTATATCTACTGCTGGGCGATCGGGTCCTGTCACAGGCAGCCTGGATGCCGAAGGAAAGTCATGATTGTGAGGGGCCCTGTTGCTTCCTGGAGAGCATGCTTCTAAGGCATTGGCTTTACCTTATTCTAAATTGATTTTCTTTAAACACTTTTTATTTTTATAGAAAGAATAAAAAAGAGCATAAAGAAGCAAACAAGCCACTCACCCCTAGTCCCCAACTGAGTGAATCTGTATGCCCATTTTAATCTATTTCCTTCCAGTCACCTTTCTATACACGTATTTTATATGTATTAGACACCATAATTAAAAATCACACATAAGCCAGGCACAGTGGCTCATGTCTGTAATCCCAGCAATTTGGGAGGCTGAGGTGGGAGGACTGTTTAAGGCCAGGAGTTTGAGACCAGCCTGGGCAACATAGTGAGATCCTATCTCTACAAAAAATAAACAAATTAGCTGGGCATGGTAGAGTGTGCCTGTAATCCTAGCTACTCAGGAGGCTGAGGTGGGGGGATTGCTTGAGTCCAGGAGTTCAAAGCTTCAGTGAGCTATGATGATGCCATTGCACTCTAGCCTGGACCACAGAGTAAGACCCTGACTCTAATAAGTAAACAAATAAACAAACATATTGGGATAATAGTGTGGATACGGTTTTGTGTCTAGCTTTTCTTCCACTGAATAATACACTGTGGGAGTTTCCCTTCTTTTTCTCATTTCAACGCTACTTTACTGCGGATGTTAATCTTCATATGTGTTCCATTGCCATCGGCAAATATAAATACCATCTCAAAGAAAATATCACTATCCTTTCCAGAAGCTAGCTTGTTGTGTTATAGATTAGCCAATACCATTCCCCTGTCCCTGGAGCTCAGAGGAAGTATTGTGCACATTTTGAAGAGAGGGAAAAATGTGATCTTCCCTGAGGGCACTGGGGAGCTGACTCCCTGCAGAGTGCCGTCCTGCTGTCTGCAGAATCAGAGGGGATGGGGTGGCTGGCAGGCCTGTGTGACTTCAGGTCTCCACTGGGCAGCCGGCTTGGTGCCCTGTTTCCCTGTTCCTGGCCAAGCACCTCTTTGATGCCTCTTCTCCACGCACAGGAGGTGGCTGGGTGAGGAAGGAGAGGGGGCCTCTGTCAGCTCTGGTCCTGTCCAGCTGGCCAGCTCAGGGACGGAGTTCCCTCTGATGAGGTGTCTGCGCAATGCAGGTCTCTTTTGCAGATTTTACCCTCATTGCTCTGAGAAGCCCCTTCAAGTTGGAAAAACCACCATTCCCACCTGCAGCAGGCCAGTCCGTGAGCCCAGTGCCAGGCCCTGCCTGTGACGAACCTGGTCTGGAGTGTCTTTCTTTGCTGACATGAATTGAATGTTTTACCACGTGCTCATTATTCTGTGTGCTGTTCCCGTGCTAACTCGCTCAATCTTCCCCACAACCCTGGTGTGGGTGCTATGATCATTCCCATTTTACAGATGAGCAGACCAAAGCACACACAGTGCACATTACACAACTACTAGATGGCAAATCTGGGATTTCAATCCAGGCACCTGGGCTCCAGGGCTCATTTTCTTACCCACAGGCTCTACTGTCTCAACTTTAGTACCTCAGGCAGCCTTCCCTATAAAATAGATATTATTCATGCCTGCAAAAGGTATCATGTGACTCAAGGAATCCATGCACAGAAACTGTTTTGTGTCTTCACAGCAGCCCCAGAGATGTGGTCTGGATCACACCTTCTTCCCTACCTCCTCCTCTGCTGAGCCCAAGCCCAAGTCACTCACATCAGCATGGTTCATCCTCCCTCCCCTCACAGAAATCACTCCTTAGAATCTTCCAGGCCAGGGACAATCATTCCCAAAGGATCACTGCTCCATCGACTTATTACTCCTATGCAGTCAGCAACTCCATAGACCCTCGTGTCCCTTGGGCCTGCGCTGAGGGCCTCAGCTGTGGACCCCTGCTTTACTGGATGCTATAAGCAAGTTCTTGGTAATGACATCTCATGGTCATTCCTGGATGTTTGGGGGCATGTGACTCTCATATTGTTTAATTTTTCCTAGCTCTAAATCTTGCCCTTTTAGCTCCACTGTAGCCTCCTTCACAAGGCTGGAGTGTGTCTGAAGTTTCTCTGCATGGCCCAGGCCCAGCAGTGCTAAGCTCCTAGGGAACTCAGTGCAGACTCTTTTTGGTGTTCTCAGGACTTGTTACTTACACAATCCAGTCCACAGCCAGGATCAGAGGCAGGTCATGAGTAGGCAGCCCAATGGCCTCCAGGATAATGGCAATGGTGAGGACCCCTCCAGCTGGCACGCCTGCTGCTCCAACACTGGACGCTGTGGCAGTCACTCTAAGGGATGGCAGAGCAGGGCCAGCCATTAACATAGAGCGTGGAGTGGACACAGAGAAATGCAGACCATGCAGCTGCAATGTGGCTGGAAACTAAAAACCGCCCCACCATAGGCTCTGCTGGCTACGCCCTTGAGAGTCAACACACGCTCTTCAAGTAATGAATCCCCACTGTCCTCATTTTATGAGCGAGACACCAAGTTGTGGTGAGATTGGTTTTTCAAAGGAAATCACAAGAAAAGCCTTCAGTTTTGAGCCAGGGAAAGAATGAGGAACTTACAGAATGGTGAAAATCTGTCCTGCGTTGAGCTCTACGTTGTTGAGTTGCGCAATGAACACCGCGGCCACACACTGGAAGATGGCTGCTCCGTCCATGTTCACGGTGGCCCCGATGGGGAGAATAAACCTGCTGATCCTCTTGTCCACACCATTGTTCTCTTCAATGCACTTCATCATAGAGGGAAGGGTCGCTGAGCTAGAAATGGGAAAAACAAACCGCCAGACATGACAACAGTCCGAGGCAGGCTAACATGTGTCTTGTCTCAGACCCCAGAACAGAGCAATTAGCACCATCTTCGTTTCTGGCTTTCTTCTCTTGAAATAAGGGAAAAAACAGAATCACTTTAAAACTTCTGTCACAACATGAGGCTTTGGCAACTCCCAAGATACTTAAAATATGACTGCCTTCATTTACCTATTCTGTCATTTACTTGGATTCACGTGTTCCAAGTTTCTTAAGAACTGCACATTGCCTCCCGGTGCAAAACGTTCCCGAGAGAACAAACAACTAGTTTCTCTACATGTGCATCTCCTCTCTTGAGTGTTCCCCTCCCAAAAGTAAATGGTAAACTATGATTTTTTTTTCTTTTAGGCCAAAACCCAGAAATGGCTCTGTGAGCTTGGAAGAATAACTAAGTAGATAACCATAAGAACAGTACCTGCTCCCTCTAGCTGGCTCTGCGGGCTCTGCAGAGGTTAGTTGGTGCAGCTGAGAAACAGGTTTTTGTCTAGGCCAGAGGAACTTCCTTCCCTAATTTTTTTTTTTTTTTTACTCCCACCTCTGTGTTATATAAATAGCCATCCAGATTGGGAGGAAGTGAGCAGTAGAGGCAAAACTAAATGTGTGAATGAAACGACGTGCTGCCGTCCTTTGAAAGTTTTAACATATTTGGAAAACCCAGTGTTTTTTTTTTTTTTTAAGGTTTTCCAGTGAATGACAGGATGCATCTCTTGTGCCAAATGAGACAATCCCACACTATTGTGGACTCCTAGAGGGCTAAGCATCCATCCCTCACCACGGTGCCTCAGACTCGTTTTCTAATTCACATATCCAGAAAGGGAGAATTGGGCAGGAACCATTCTAGAAACTTCCCTGCAATGCATTTTTGAGTTAGGTGGGCTGCCTTCTTTTACTCAGGGAAAGGTCTTCCTAATTAGGGTGAGGGACCCGCAGCTGGGCTAACTAATGATCTGCTGACCTCTAAGGAGCAAGAGGGAGAAGAGAATGAGGTAACTTCAGTAGAATAGTAAATGAAACAGAAACCCACCCCAGGGGAATACAGAAAAGCTTTGGGGCTGGTCATTTTAAGAAATCATGTGAGGCTTGGTGTGGCTGTGCATGCCTGTAATCACAGCTATTCGGAAGGCCGAGGTGGGAGGATCACTTGAGCCCAGGAGTTCGAGACCAGCCTGGGCAATCACGGGAAGATCCTGTCTCTTAAAGAAGAAAAAACAAAAAAATAACAGAAGACCGATTTAGAGTTTTCCAGGAATTAAAGTATGTCAAGACACTGGTTGTGCATCTACCACTGGGCTCACCTGGTTCCATGTTAACATGGCTCAGAGCAGTGAAGAGACCCAAAACCCACTCACCTGGAGCAGGTAGCAAATGCTGTCGCAAATGGGGCGAGGAGGCCCAGGAGGAATCTGAATGGGTTTTTTCGTGTGAAAACAAAATAAATAAGTGGCAGAACAATTCCTCCATGAATAACATGGCCCAATATAGATGCGAAGATGTATTTCCCCAGGCTGGTCACCAGCACGATGATGTCTTTCATTTCCACGATCTTGCTTCCAACAAGGAACATGATGCCCACAGGTACGTACCTAGGGCACAAGCACAGGGTACTCATCAGTGGGGGATAAAGCTGGGGTGAGAGATGCAGGTCCTTCCTGAGGCAGAATGCAGGGACTTTCAGCCAGGCCGTCTTCATCTCTCCCTAGGATAACCCCGAGGAACCGAAACAGTCAGGGTTATACCATCCCCATTTTACAGCCTGTGAGACTGGGTAAAATGAGGCTGACCACTCACCAAGGGTAACAGAGTCAGGACCAGAACCCAGACGTCTTTCCCCTTGGATACAGTATGTCCTTAACAGAAGGATGCTACCAGTCACAGGGATTCCCAGGAGGAAAGGCAAGGAAATCGAGATCAAAGCCTCCAGGACTGTAAGCCTGACTTTTGGCTTTGCTCAGGCTTGTTCTGAGAACTTAGAAACACAAAAGACTAACACCTATTTCACAGAGTGGCTGTGATAGAAAATTGAGCCAAAGCTAGGACTTTTGTGAAGTTTTAAATTCTTTGTGGCTTAGACAACATGATTCCGTGGGAAAAAGTCATTAACAATGACACTCTGGGAACACGCCTGGAGCGTGAGAGTTTTTTAAAGGCAGGATGGGAAGGAATGGACTGTGGGAGCTACAAAGAACAAAAGTCAGTTGTTTTGAATTAATATAAATTCAGGAAGAATTTTCTAACTGCTGACTTTATTTGTAAATTTTAATTGCGTAGGTAATAATGTCACATAGTTCAAATTTCAAGGGGTACAAAAGAGTGAACAGAGTGAAGTCTCCCTCTCATCTCTCTCCCAAGCACCCAGATTTCCCCTCCCTGGAGACAATGTCACTGGTTTCTTGAGTTTTCTTTCTAGAGATATTCTAAGCAGTAATTATTAATTAAAAACCCGATAGTAATACATGAATACATTCTCCTTTCAAAAAATTAAAACGTAGATGACACCAAAATCCTCTTTAAGTACCATCCTTAAGCCAGGATCCTCCTCAAATAGACACTCCTACCTCCTATGCAATTAGATACATAGGTATGTATTTAAATCTATGTGTTTTTTTCTTTTTCACCCTATATTACATCTTTGAAATCTTTTCATATCAATACATAGAAATCTACCCCATTCATTTTTTAATGTGGTAAAATATACATAAAATTTACCATCTTAACCATTTTTAAGTGTAGAGTTCAGTGGCATGAAGTTCATTCACATTCTTGTGCAACTATCATCACTATCCAAATCCAGAACTTTTCCATCATCCCAAACTTTGAAATCATTAAACATAACAGCCTACTTTCCCCTCCTCACAGTTCCTGAGAATCACTGTTCTACTTCTTGTCTCTCTGAATTTGACTATTCTAGGTACACAAAGGTGGAATCATACAGTGTTTGTCCTTTTGTGTCTAGGTTATTCCACTTATGATGTCTTCGGGCTTCATCCACATTGGAGCATGAGCTAGAATTGTACTCCTTTCTAAGGCTGAATAATATTCTGTTGTATGTCTCTATCTCATTTTGTTTATCCATTCATCCAATGATGGACATTTGGGTTGTTTCCACCTTTACCTCATTGTCTTTAAATATTATCTTCAGAATGGAAATACCATAGGTTATTTTGTCATCGTCCTGTTGGTGGATGTTTAAGTTGTTCCCAGGTTTATCGTTACAAACGACACTGCAAACATACTTTGTGGTAACCACATGCCTTTGTTCTCTAGGTAGAGATGCTAAGAAGTGAACTGCTAAGTTATAGGATGTGCATATTTTAAATTTCAGTAGATACTGCCACTTTGTTCTCCAAAGTGGTTATTCCATATCACATTCCCACCAGCAGTCCAGGAGAATAATCTTCCCTCTGCAACAGTGGTTCTTATCCAGGGATGATTTTGTCTGGAAGACAGTTTGGTTGTCATAACTTTTGGGGCATGGTGCTAGTGGCATCATGCAGGTGGGGGCCAGGATGGTGCTAAACATCCTACAGTCATGAGACAGCCTCCCACAAAGACTGATCAGCCCAAAATGTCAATAGTGTCATGGTTGAGAAACCTCACCCTCACCATTATCAATGCCTGATAAAACCAAATTTTCATTTCCCTTATTTCTAATGAGGTTGAGCATCCCTTAAAATGTTTACTGGTAATTCAGGTTTCACATACTTTGTCTATTTTCTGATGGTTTGTTCAGTGATTTTTCTTTTTCAGTAATCAGAACTCTTTTTTTCTATATATGCAGTATGCAAATATATATATCAATTTTTAGAAATGAATGTCTTGACTTTTAACTTTGTTCAAAGTATCTTTTGCATGCAGACTTTTTATATTTTGATGTGGTTAAGTTTAGCAGCTTTTTATGGCTTTTGCTTTTTATATCTTGTTTAGGAAGGCTTTCCCTGCCTCTATATTTTCTTCTAATATTTTTAGAAGACTCCTCTCTTTCTTTCCTTCTTTTCTTCCTTTCTCCCTGGTCAGTTTAATCCAGGAGTTAGCAGCGTGAGTTTTTGTAAATAAAGTTTTGTTGGAACACAGTCATGCTCTTTCATTTACAAATTGTGAATAGGTACTTTTCTCCTACAGTGGCAGAGTTGGGTAGTTGCAATAGAGAGCATGTGGCTTGCAAAGTTGGCTGACTCTGGGTTTAATACATCTGAAAGTTATTTCTGTGAATAGTGTAGGGTAGGCAGGTACTAGGGTTTTGGAGTGGGTAGTTAGTAAAAGAAAGATTGCAGAAAGCGGTAATACTGACAATGCCTCCCATACTTGGTTGAGATCCCTTAACTAGTTAAGGCATTTTAAACTTCAATTCTGTGTAATATGCATTTCTGAGCAACAGGTCTCTCGCTCTCTTGCTGCAGTTAGACATTCAGCAGGATCTGCCTTACTGAATACCTGCTTATGTGACTGGTACATCAAATTGAAGGAATGACTAAACTGGTTTCCAGATTAAAAGCAAATGTCCGGCCGGGCGCTATGGCTCATGCCTGTAATCCTAGCACTTTGGGAGGCCAAGGTGGGCGGATCACCTGAGGTCGGGAGTTTGGGACCAGCCTGACCAACATGGAGAAACCCTGTCTCTACTAAAAATACAAAATTAGCTGGACGTGGTGGCGCATGCCTGTAATCCCAGCTTCTCGGGAGGCTGAGGCAGGAGAATCGCTTGAACCTGGGAGGCGGAGGTTGCGGTGAGCCAAAATTGTGCCACTGCACTGCAGCCTGGGCAACAAGAGTGAAACTCCGTCTCAAAAACAAACAAAACAAAACAAAATGCAAATGTCCTAACATGGACGTATCAGTGATATGGTTTGGATTTATGTCCTCACCCAAATCTCATATTGAATTGTAATCCCCCACCTTCCCCCTGTCTTTCTTCCTCCTGCTCTGGCCATGTGAAGACATGCCTGCTTCCCCTTCACCTTCTGCCATGCTTGTAAGTTTCCTGAGGCCTTCCCAGCCATGCTTCCTGTATAGCCTGTAGAACTGTGAGCCAATTAAACCTCTCTTCATTATAAATTACCCAGTTTCAGGTATTTCTTCATAGCAGTGTGAGAACGGACTAATACAATCAGTTTTTTTACTTTTAAATTTAATTTAATTGTTTATATTTTGTAGAGATAGGGCCTCACTTTTTTGCCCAGGCTGGTCTTGAACTCCTGAGCTCAAGCAATACTCTGGCCTTGGCCTCCCAAAGTGCCGGGATTACAGGCATGAGCCACTGCGCCTGCCCCAATTTCTTTTTTTTAGTCTAAACTTTGGAAAATATTAATATTTTAGACTTAACAAAAGCCAAGAAAAGAACTTGACATCTAAATACCTTTTCTTTTCTGAAAATATCAGTTCTCTCCCTAGAACAACAATCACATGAAATGGCATTGGCAGTGATAGAGTCAGGCTCTGGAATTTTCAGATTGAAGAAGAGAAATATCACTGGTAGGGGGTCTAAACTTAGCCTCCCATTCAATTTCAAACTTCTAAAATCAGTCCAGCTGTCATCCAGCACTACCTGAGAGAGAGAAGTTCTGGGATCTTTCAGGGTTGAAAATAAGGAAAATGCTTTGTGCATGGAAGGAGAAACTAGTTCTTAACAATTAAGTAGGCTGGGCGCGGTGGCTCATGCCTGTAATCCCAGCACTTTGGGAGGCTGAGGCGGGCAGATCACGAGGTCAGGAGATGGAGACCATCGTGGCTAACACGGTGAAACCCTGTCTCTACTAAAAATACAAAAAATTAGCTGGGCGTGGTGGCGGTCATCTGTAATCCCAGCTACTCAGGAGGCTGAGGCAGGAGAATGGCTTGAACCCGGGAGGTGGAGCTTGCAGTGAGCCGAGATTGCACCACTGCACTCCAGCCTGGGTGACAGAGCAAGACCCTGTCTCAAGAAAACAAAAAAACAAAACAAAAAAACAAGTAGAAGCGGCTGGGTGCAGTGGCTCATGCCTGTAATCTCAGCACTTTGGGAGGCTGAGGCAGGCGGATCGCCTGAGGTCAGGAGTTAGAGACCAGCCTGGCCAACATGGTGAAACCCTGTCTCTACTAAAAATACAAAAATTAGCCGGGCATGGTGGCCGGTGCCTGTAATCCCAGCTACTCGGGAGGCTGAGGCAGGAGAATTGCTTGAACCCAGGAGGCGGAGGTTGTAGTGAACCGAGATCACATCACTGCACTCTAGCCTGGGCAACAGAGAGAGGCTCCGTCTCAAAGAAAAACATTAGGTAGAAGCCACAGAGGTCTGGTTTGGGTAAAACAGCAGGATAAAGCTTATGAGAGATTGATACTGGAATTGGTATGATTTTGGAGTGAGGGAGCTGGTCAAATTTTTACCTTTTAGCAAATAATCTAAGAATTGTTACTTAACAATCATGCTTTCATTGATATCACACAAAGAAACATTTACAAATTAAAAGCCTACATAAAAGGGCCAGGCGCAGTGGCTCACACCTGTAATTCCAGCAGTTTGGGAGGCTGAGGCAGGTAGATCACCTGAGGTCAGGAGTTTGAGACCAGCTTGGCCAACATGGTGAAACCCCGTCTCTACTAAAAAAAAAAAAAATTAGCTGGGTATGGTGGCGGACGCCTGTAATCCCAGCTTCTCGGGAGGCTGAGGCAGGAGAATCACTTGAACCCAGAAGGTAGAGGTTGCAGGGAGCCGAGATCGCGCCGCTGTACTCCATCCTGGGCAATAAGAGCAAAACTCTGTTTCAGAAAAAAAGCCTACATAAAAGAAGAGCATTCCAACTTTATATATGCATGGGGTGAAAATGGACTTGTCCTTGTCCTCTATGCTGTGAACTACTATAGTAAAGGGTCCCTTTGAAGCTTCAAGTCTATCATTTTCAGATAAATGAACCTTATTTCATGCAACAGATAGCAAACTAATGGAATTCACTTTCCCACAAGATGACATGGGCAACCCACATGAACTGGGTGGTGGTAGGAACCCATAAACAGATCCCGGTGATGGAAACACCAAGGGGTCAGTGTGGACACTGAGGAAGTGACTGGTAAGTGTGGTGCATGCCTGGCTCTCTGAGGTCCTGGACAAGAGGAGAAACTGTCTCCACTTCCATCATCCCCTGTACCAAGCCTGGCTCATGGTGCATCAACCACATACACAGCATTGTGCCAGGTGGCCCCACACAGGTACCTAGAACAGCAAGGTGGACTCTTTTCTGGATGGCAGGAGGAAGGAGAGAGAGAGTAGGCAGCAAAGCAGCACTCACCACATAATCCAGGACACCAGCACCATCGTCGCCTCGTTGAGGGAATTGAAGAAACGGATGAGGTCTTCTCCTTCGGAGCCTAGTTTCTTTAAGGCCACTCCTAACACCAGAGCAAACAGGACCAATCCTAAAATGTTCATCCCTTCTATCTCAGTGCCTATGGGGATCTGCAGGATCAGAGAGGATAGAACAAGTTTACAACAGATGAGTGAGAATTAAAGATGTATTTGCTTGGTGTCCCCACCAGACTGAAACACTGTACCCAGAACGAGAAAAAGCTCATATTTTCTTTAACAATTAGCAATTCTGCAAATAAAGGGGTAGGAAACTTAAGGGGAGATGTAGTCTGAGGATACAGAAAGCCAACAAGCAAAAATTTCTTCTAGTTAACTCTGAAAGCTGCCCAAAATGGCATAGGTTAAAGTGGAAGGTAGTGGGCTCCCTGTCATGGGGATATATTCAAGTAGGGGTTGGACAGCCACCTCAAAGGGCTGCTTTTAAAAGAAGAGCTGGTTAGTCAAAAGTTCCTTCAGGCTGGTCGCGGTGGCTCACACCTGTAATCCCAGCACTTTGGGAGGCCAAGGCGAGTGGATCACCTGAAGTCACGAGTTTGAGACCAGCCTGACCAACATGGTGAAACCCTGTCTATACTAAAAACACAAAAATTAGCTGGGCATGGTGGCAGGTGCCTGTAATCCCAGCTACTTGGGAGGCTGAGGCAGGAGAATCACTTGAACCCAGGAGGCAGAGGTTGCAGTGAGCTGAGATCATGCCATTGCACTCCAGCCTGGGCGACAGAGCGAGACTCCGGCTCAAAAAAAAAAAAAAATTTCCTTCAGATAACAAATCAGTGACTGTAACTTTGACTCCTAAATATCCACAGAGTTTTGTTGTGAGGCTCTTACAGTGACCTCCTAGCCGACAAACTTCACAGAAGATTTTCACGATCAACATGGACTTTTTCAGGATACTCTTTCCCAAATCACTGACTTAAAATGCATAGACATACTGTATTCTTAATTTTTTCCAGCAATGCTGAATCTCCTTACTGCAAGCATATATTAGACAAACATTTTATCCCACCAACACATATTATGAAATAATCGTTGGTGTTCCCTAGCCCTTGCAGCTTGAGCGCAAAGGCTGGGCCCTAGCCCAAGTGTCTGGCAAATGATAGGTACTCAAAATCATCACAAATTTCTTTCTAAATACTTTTCTAATTTCCAAATTAACTGGAGACATGTAGGTGGCTGGTGTGATTCACATGAAATGTACCAAAAGCCATGGATTCATATATATCATAAAAATTGTGATGGAGTAGCTTTTCATTTCCTTCCAACTTTTCTTTTTCTTTTCTTTCTTTCTTTCTTTTCTTTTTTTTTTTCTTTTTGAGACAGAGTTTCGCTCTTGTTCCCCAGGCTGGAGTGCAATGGGGTGATCTCAGCTCACCACAACCTCCACCTCCTGGGTTCAAGTGATTCTCCTGCCTCAGCCTCCCAAGTACCTGGGATTACAGGCATGCGCCACCATGCCCAGCTAATTTTGTATTTTTAGTAGAGAAGGGGTTTCTCCATGTGGGTTTCTCCATGTTGGTCAGGCTGGTCTGGAACTCCCGACCTCAGGTGATCTGCCCGCCTCAGCACTTCCAAAGTGCTGAGTTTACAGGCGTGAGCCACCACACCTGGCCTTTCTTCCAACTTTTCATTGTGAGGACAATGATCACCGTATAGGGCGCTTTTGTTTATGTTGATAGATATCACTTATAGAGGAGCAGCGGCAATAGTAATTAAGGAGCATTGGCTTTGGAGCCTGACTTTCACTACTTCCTAGTTGTGGGAGTCTAGGTAAGTTACTTAACGTCTTTGTGACTCAGTTCCCCATTTATAAAATGGAGATAGTCACAATAGCTAATATGTAAAGTTGCTATGAAGATTAAATATGTTAATATATGTAAAGTACTTAGACTGTGTCAGGCAAATGAAAACCAACAAGAACTATTATTATATTAATGGAATATCTTGGAGATCATTCTAGGCTCACTCTGTCTGGAGTGTCTTCCTCTTAAAATGTTATTTTAATTCCATAGACAATAAGACGACTGTTTTTATTTATTTATTTTTTTGGAGACAGGGTTATACCCTGTCATCCAGGCTGAAGTGCAGTGGCGTGAACACGGCTCACTGCAGCCTTGATCTCCAGGGTCTAAGCAATCCTCTTACCTCAGCCTCCTGAGTAGCTGGGACTACAAGCATGTGCCACCATGCCAGGCTAGGTTTATTTATTTATTTTGTAGAGATGGGATCTCCCTAAATTGCCCAAACCGGTCTCAAACTCCTGGGCTTAAGTGATTCTCCCAATTCAGTCTCTCAAAGTGTTATTATTACAGGTGTGAGCCACTGCACCTGGCCAAGACTTCTGACTGTCACTACTCTCTCCTGGGACTTGACTTATTGAAGCTGGGTGCGGTGGGTATAGCTGAAAGCTGGGGGAGAGAGATGATTTGGGGGATTTATTGCTGGCTCTGCTACTGGCCTACTAGGATTCTATGAGCTGGATGGCTAACAACTGGTGATGACCTTGGGGCTGTCAACTCACGCTTTTTGATAATGTCCCAAGTCCTAACTGGAATTAAGGGTCAAGATTCAATTAAACCAGAAAATTCAATTACTATTTGAAAGTTGGTTTTAATATCACATGTTCTCATATGTGGGAGCTAAAAAAGTGGATCTCATGAAGACAAAGAGTAGATTGGTGGTTACGAGAGGCCAGGAGGTGTAGGGGGGAAAGGGGACAAAGAGAAGTTGATTAATGGATACAAATGTACAGGTTGATAGAAGAAATACACTTAGTGTTTGATAGTTCAGTAGGGTGACTATATTTTACAATAATTTACTGTACATTTCAAAATAGCTAGAATAATTGTAATATTTCTACCACAAAGAAAAGACAAATGTTTAAGGTGATGGACATCCCAAGTACACTGATTTGATCTTTGCAAATTATATTAATGTATTACATTATCACATGTACCCCCAAACTATGCACATTTATTATTCAATTTCTTAAATCAGTAAGAAAATTGTTTTAACAATTAAGAGAGCTGGTTTTAGCAGGTCTGCAATTCTAAAGTGTGGTGTTTGAGGTCAGGCAGTTCCAGCTTTCGAACCAACTCTCAGATTTGAGGACAATTACAATAATTTTTCCAATGAAATGACTCCCTTTCTGTAGAGGAGGCTGGTGGCAGGTGGGTTTGGAGCAAGGTATGCTGGCTGCACACCTAGGCAGACTTAGCATTGAATGGGGCTAGGGGACTACAAGCAACCAGAGTTGCATCCTGGCCAGTCTCCCTGGGATTTTGCAGATTCTGTTCCTGCTGCCTACATCACTTTTCCCCCACATCTCCCCATAGCTCCTCCCTCACCTGATCAGAAGACCTCCCTGGCCACCCTGCTAAAATAGTACCCATCACCACAGACACACACACACACACACAAACACACTCTTCCTATCTATTTGCCCTGCTTTAATGTTCTTCTTGGTGCCTATCACTGGCTGACATATACTTATTTATTACATGATTCCCTCCACTAGAACATGAGCTTTGTAAGAGCAGGGCTTTGACTGTATTGAGCACTACTGGAGTCCAGCACCTGGGAAGGGCACCTGGCTGTTGCCAAATAAATCATTGTTTAATGAATTAATGATTCAACTAAAGCCTAGGAGGAGTGTGTCTGTGGCAAGTTATTACGTGGGATCAAAGTGGCCATGGAAGATAGAGCCACGGGTCAGAGGCACCCTTCCAAGTGTCCTTGAGCCTCTGGGTCCTTGATTGATTTAATTCTTTTTAGAGACAAAGTCTCCCTCTGTTGCTGTCTAGAGTACAGTAATCTTAAACTCCTTGGCTCAAGGGATCCTCCTACTTCAGCCTCCCAAGTAGCTGGTACTACAGGCACACGCCACCATACTTGGCTAGTATAGAAAAAAAACTTTTTTTTAGATACGTATCTATGTTGCCCAGGCTGGTCTCAAATTTCTGGCTTCAAGCAATCCTCCCACCTCAGCCTTCTGAGTCATTGAGATTACAAGCGTGAGTCACCATGCCTGGCTAGGTCCTTGACTTTTCATTCTGTCACCAATATCCCAACCTTGGGGACAAGGCCCACACCTGCTATGCCTTTACACAGTCTTCTCGCCACAGGGTTTAGGAAAGCCTGGAACCAGCGAGGACACACTGCTCCTCTTTCTTTCTTTTTTTCTTTTATTTATTTTTTTGAGACAGAGTCTCGCTCTGTTGCCCAGGCTGGAGTGCAGTGGCAGAATCTCAGCTCACTGCAACCTCCACATCCTGTGTTCAAGTGATTCTCCTGCCTCAGCCTCCCAAGTAGCTGGGATTACAGGTGCCCACCACCATGCCTGGCTAATTTTTATATTCTTAGTAGAGACGGAGTTTCACCATGTTGGCCAGGCTGGTCTGGAACTCCTGACTTCAGGTGATCTGCCTGCCTTGGCCTCCCAAAGTGCTGGGATTACAGGTGTGAACCACTGCACCAGCCTCTTTCTTAAAGCCTGACTCCTTAAATGCCTGGGTGAAATTTACAGTGAAGGCAAGTGTATGTCAGCTGAGGTGGATGCTCACAGGTAACCAGTATTTCCAGTGGAGAAGTCACAGCAGCCATATTTGCCAAAACTTAAAGTTATTGAAGAGACAATTAGTGTTCTAGCATTTACTCATCACTCTTGGTTTCTTTCTATTTATTTATTTAGACATAATTTTGCTCTGTTGCCCAGGCTGGAGTGCAGTGGCACGATCATGACTCACTGCAGCATTGACCTCCCAGGGTCAAGCAATCCTCCTACCTTGGCCTCCCAAGTAGCTGAGACTATGGACATGTGCCACCATGCCTGGCTAACTTTTATTTAATTTTAATTTTTTGTAGTGATGGGGTCTTGCTCTGTTGCCCAGGCTGGTCATGAACTCCTGGGCTCAAGAAGTCCTCCCTTCTTGGCCTCCCAAAGTGCTTGGATTATAGGCGTAAGCCACTGCACCTGGGCAACAATTAGTTTTTTTTAAACTGGTCAAAATGGCCTTGATCAACCTTGGAAGACCATCATTTCAAGTAATTTATAGTGGGGGTACTAAATCCTACCTGATCAGGTTGTCCTAAGGCTCAAATGAAATAACGTCGGAAAGTGTCTGTGCCAAGAGGGTGGCATGCAGAAGTGAGCCACTTACCTGGAAAGCAGGCCTAGCTGACACCCACATCCCAGTGAGCCCAGCTGTGGAATCCAGGGCCTGTCAGAAGGGGCCCAGTTGGACGTCCAGCCACGTCCTCTGGCCAGACAGAGTGAAGTGACCTCCATTTTTTAAAATCAGGAGCCACTGACTGGATTCACATTTATGAACAGGGGGATATCATTCACTAGGGGACTGTTGGAATGTGTGTGGGCACTTTGGTTGTCATAATGATTGTGGTGTCTTACTGGGAAATAGTAGGCAGGGTACTAAGAATGCCATCCGTTCTGAAATGTTCAGGCAACCAAATGCAGACTTTCCTACATCCCCCAGGCCTCAGAGCATCCTATCAGACAGTCATATAGGGAGAAAAAGCTGTTTAAAATGCACTGAGCTAGGATTAACTCCATTTTACCCATAAATATTTTTTCTGCATAGTTTTAGTATTCACTGGATTTTCCAAGAATATCAAGTGGATGTAAACTGAAGGAAGACTTTATTTTGTTCCGAACTTCAACAAGTGTTATTTGCCATTTTAGAATAATATCCAGGTCACTAGTATGAGACATAATGTTGGTCTGCACTTGTAGCTGTTGCGTTTGGGGTAATTCTGTATACATATACAAAAATCTTTATTTAGCATGTATTTCAAAATGTGCAGAAAAATAGCAAAAAATGTGCCTATAATATTTAGTTGACTTCTATCTCACTGCTTTTAAATCTCAATTTATTTATTCTAAGTAAATGCAAGTATCTGTAAACTTCATTATGGCTTCTAGTAGAGTTGTATATTTACATGGTAAAATATGGATTATTTTATTAGAAATTATTTTTATTTCTCCCTTATATTGATTTTTTTAAAATGTAATAGGTATAGGGGTAGTTTAAATCACTTATTAATTACATTTCTAGATGGCAGAAAAGGTTTTATAAAATGTTTTCTGGGGCCAGGCACAGGCTCACACTTACAATCCCAGCACTTTGGGAGGCAAAGGTGGGAGGATTATGTGAAGCCAGGAGTTCAAGGCTAGCCTTGACAACATGGTGAAACTCTTGTCTCTACAAAACATAAAAAATAAATAAATAAATAAATAAATAAATAAATAATAAAATATTAGCCGAGCATGGTGGCACATGTCTGTAGTCCCAGCTACTCGGGAGACTGAGGCAGGAGAATCACTTGAGGCCAAGAGTTCAGTTCAGTGAGCCATGATCACACCACTGCACTCCAGCCTGGGCAACAGAGCGAGACCCTGTTTCAAACAAACAAACAAACAACAAATAAATCAACAAACAAAATGTTTTACGGATCCTCTGAGGATTGTAGTGCTTTGAGAGCAACATGGTATTTGGCCATGGTATTTGGCCATAACCAAAGGAGCAAACCTAACCTGTTCGCTCCAATAGCCCATTCAAACCTCAAAGTTTTCAGCCCACGTCCTGTATGCTCCTTCAAAGAAGAAATAAGATTTGTTTTAGACATATTTTTACAAGTGACCTTATAAAAAGCTTTACCTTTTCATGGGTTACATTTCCAGAGCTGCTGTTCTGGGTCACGACTTTATAATCGGTTGCATACTGTGATCAAGAGGAAAAAAAAACCCACTGTTAGTGCACAGGTGAAGACCGACCTAGAGGAACCAAGGGCACTGCTGCACTCTTGGTACTTCTGTCACTGTTCACACTGAGTGTCCTGGGCATTCCTCACTTGGCTGGCCTGACAAAAGCCTCTGAGAACTGTGAAAAAGCTACATTAGGACCAAGTCAGCAGATACTTCAAGAGGTCTCTGGGTTGCTTAGTGTCCCAAGGAAACAGGGAGAATTTCCTTATGTTCTTTGGGCAATGGTTTGGAGAAGGACGGCTGCACAATTTTATGCTGATAATTTGATATTTCCTCAGCCTTATATGTCATATTATTTGAATAACCTTGGCATTAACTCCATAATGCCAAAGTTCATTTTTCATTGTATCATTTTATTTCCATTCATTTATTTATGCCCCACTTTGTTCTAGAACTTATTTGAGCATGACTGCTTCTACCGTCTCTTTCTAATCTGGCTTGAGCCTCCACTCTTGAAAGCCAGGGATGTGAGGCAAGATGGCATCATCTAACTGAGTCTTCAGGGGGACTCAGTTATCAGAAGTGAGACGTCTTTCTAGCTTTGGTCCCCTGGTTGATTTCACATGCTTCTGCATGGTGCACATAGGTGTCTGCCTGTGGCAGTATGTACTAACAAGTGGAATCTGTTAGTACAGTCCTTCCTGGCCCCTTCGAAGGGCACCTGGTCCTTGAACTGTCAGGAGGAGGCAATTAGGAAGTATAGACTTGAAGGCCTGCTTTCTGCCTGCCCTTGCTGGGCTCTGGTTTCTCTCAGCTTTATCAGTGTTACAGAAAGGCAGAGGTGTTCAAACAAACCCACCCGCCTCCTCTGTGACAGGCACTAAAAAAAGCCCCATATACCTATATTTTTTTCCTACCTCACATTATATATACAAGTCACTCCTGTGCTTATATGCAGATCAAAAAACAAAACAAAACAAAAATGAGAGGTTTAAGTAGAAACAGAAAAGTCTTTCATTGTAAAAAGCAATCAGATTAGACCATATAATCTAGGCCTTTATATTCCTTCTCTGTGTAAAGAATGGTCATAGGAGACCAGGCACAGTGGCTCACGCCTGTAATCCCAGCACTTTGGGAGGCCGAGGCGGGCGGATCACAAGGTCAGGAGATCGAGACCATCCTGGCTAACACGGTGAAACCCCATCTCTACTAAAAATACAAAAATTAGCTGGGTGTGGTGGCAGGCGCCTGTAGTCCCAGCTACTTGGAAGGCTGAGGCAGGAGAATGGCGTGAACCTGGGAGGCGGAGCTGGCAGTGAGCCAAGATCGCGCCACTGCACTCCAGCCTGGGCAACAGAGTGAGACTCTGTCTCAAAAAAAAAAAAAAAAAAAAAAAAAGAATGGTCACAGGACTGTTACTTGCAGCATTGCCAAAAAATAGGGGAAAACCAGAAACAACCTGAACATCCATCGGTAGGGGACTAGTAGAGGAGAATTATGTTATACTCTTACAATGGAATACTCTACAGCCGTGGCGTTATGCAGAAGGGTAGCTACCGACATGAGAAAATATTCACAATATACTGCCTTAAAAAAAAACAGCAGGCTATGAAGCAACATGTGTAGTGTGTGTCCATACTATGTATGCTTATCTTTATTTTATTATTTATTTATTTATTTATTTATTTTGAGATAGAGTCTCACTCTGCTGCCCAGGCTGGAGTACAGTGGTGTGATCTCGGCTCTCTGCAACCTCCAACTCCCAGGTTCGAGCAATTCTCCAGCCTCAGCTTCCTGGGTGGCTGGGGTTACAGGTGCACGCCACCACACCTGGCTAATTTTTGTATCTTTAATGGAGACGGGGTTTCACCGTGTTGGCCAGGCTGGTCTTGAACTCCTGACCTCAAGTGATCCACCCACCTTGGCCTCCCAAAGTGCTGGGATAACAGGCATGAGCCACTGCGCCCAGCCTGTATGCTTATTTTTAAAATGTATGTGTATACACGCATAGAAAAAACATATCTGAAAGAGGTATACCAAAATAATGGGTAGCTCTAGACAGTGACTATGGATGATTTTTGTTTTCTGACACTTCTTTGTATTTTATTTTATTTTTTTGCAGTGAGCACATATTATCTTTATAGTCAGAAAAAAAGATAAAAGTGTATTTTTTTAAAAAAGTGTACAATATTTAAGACATCCCCAAAATGTGATTTGAGGGTATTTCTTAGGTAATGTAAACAAATTTTGGAACCAGTGGGACATTTTGGAAAGTTTTGTTTGTTCAGTCTTTATTTATTTATTTTATTGTTGTTGTTTTTTAACTCTAGGTACCCATTGATAAAAGTTTAGGCCAATCTTACCAAGTTTTGTTAACACCACCATCTCTCCCTGTTCTACCTTACCTAACTCTATAGCAGTAATTGGTACATTTCTTCCATCAAAGTTTCATATTTTTAGCAAAGTATCAAGCCTTACCGTACGGAAAGCTGCAACCACAAGATTGGAGGGAAACAGGTTTCTGTTGGAAAAGAAAGCATTCTGTCAGTATTCTTTTAAAACAATTTTTTAGAGATGAGGTCCCTGTTGCCCAGGCTGGAGTGCAGTGGTGTGATTGCAGCTCACTGCAGCCTTGAACTTTTGGGCTCAAGTGATCCTCCTGCCTCAGCCTCCCAAAGTGTTGGGACTACAGGCGTGAGCCATGGTACCTGTCTTCATCAGTATTCTTAAAATTCAGTGTGCAAAGTATCTGCTTTGAGATGTCCACTTCTAAAACCCTAACACAGTGTTCTCTCTCCACCCCTAGCTGACACTGCACCTTTTGCTTGATTTAAGCACCCTAACTGTGCCTGCGCTGCTGGGCCACAGTAGATACTTTGAAGCCACTGATTTTCATTTCCATCTCTCTCATGGTACTCCTTGATATCTGAACTTAATGGTGTCCAACCAAGTCTATAACTGCATTGCTTTCCTCTCACCTAGAGGTTAGGCACCATTGCAGTGGTTTGCAATGTCAAGTGTCACTGCTCACTAGTGAAATCCAAGGGCGTTTTTGTTGTTGCAAAATTGAGGCATTCCCCAATTGGGGGGAGTGTGTAGGGAGAAATGCCAGGTCCCACACATTTGTCCTGTTAAATGCAGTAGAGTCCTGTATAATGAATTATCTCAAGGCCCTCCAATGTCTTGCATGACATACGTGTAGATAAAAACCTTATCTATAATTACTCAAGACTAAACTAATTCCAAAACAAGGTTCTGTTTTTCACAATTTGAACATACGCTGAATTTTCCAGAAGTGTAACTCCTTGTAAATTATGGGGTGGTTTTTGTTTTGCTTTGTTCAGAATGTTTCCAAATATTATTTGTCTTCCTGGAAAATCACACCACCAGTGCAAATTGTAGAATCTGAGTCCCTAATTCCACACCCAGTGTCAAGTAACAGTCTGCATTTATAACTATTTCATTAGCAGTGATTCTGAGTTCAGGAGTAAGCATTCAACCACTTTATTTTAGAGCATGTATATATTGAGACACATTGTTTTTGTTATAATTATTTTCCTTTTGTATATTACAGTTACATCATATTGATATTTTGAAATTATGTGGGCAGGGACATTTTATTTATGGATTTCATCTTAGAATTAAGGATATTATAAACATTTGTTATAAAAGTAGGGCAATCGAGCTGATGGAGCCCAAAATCTGTTCATGCAAATAGTTTTACTGAGGGCTCTGTGTAGGATGCTGGTCTTGATATACAAGAAATTCTATTCCAGCTGACAGTCCATTTGTTCTCACTTCCTGCAAGAAGAGTAAGTCTAGAAGAGCAAAAGACTCTGGATCATTCTTAACAATTTGTGTCAAACTTATCCACTAATTCTTACTTCTGTAAGAAGCTGGGTTGCTCACCAGGATCTCCAGGCAACTATTTGCAGTGCATTGGGTTTCAGAGGTAGGCAGGTCTGGCTGCAACCCAGCTGTGGCAGGCAGAGTCTAAGATGGCCTCCTGGTATTCACACCTTTGGGTAATCCCTTTAGTCTGGGTGGACCTATGACTTGCTTCTAATGAACAAATGCAGCAAAGGTGATGGGATGTCACATCCACGATTTGGTTACATAAGGTTGTAGCTTCCATTGTGCTAGCTGACTCTTCTTATTGTCTTCTGCTTGCATACTTTGATGAAGCAAGCTGCTATGTTAGAAAGGCCCACGAGACTAGAAACTGCAGGTGGTCTCCAGCCAAGAGCCAACTGAGGCTCCCAGTCCAAACTTCAAGGAACTGAATTCTGCCAACAACAACATGACCTCAGAGGTGAATCTCTCCCCAGGTGGACCTGTGGGTAAGAACCTAGCCCTGACCAACACCTCCGATTGCAGCCTTGTAAGAGACTCTGAAGCAGAGGACCTAACTAAACTGTCCCAAGATTCCTGACCCCAGAGAGACTGTAGGATAGTAAATATGTGAGATTTTAAGCTGTTTAAGCTGTTAAATGTGTAGTAGTTTGTTATGCAGCAATGTATCAGCCAACAAAGTTAATAAGATGCAAAAATCAATGCATTAGAACACTTAGGGTGCTCTCACAGGACGGCCAGCATACACAGCCTGCAACACAGCATTTCCCAAACTTGTCCATAGAACCTGAGTTGCTTTTAGCATATTTAGAGAATACCAGAGTACATGTCTGCATTTAAGCAGAAAAAATTAATCTTTAGCTGAATTAAATTGTTGCAAAACTGTGACCAGAAGTTTGATTCTTATCACAGCTATATTTACTTTTTAAAAAGTAGAAACAGACTAGCAACTTATATTGGCTAGTTTTCGGAGTATAGATGAATAACAACTTACATTTGTTATTATTTCCATTACAAAGCAACTTTCTTACATATTTTAGTCTTGGGGACTACCTTTGGCATTTCATTTCCATTTTCTGCCCTAGTCAGAAGCAGCAAGGGGCCCTGTGCCAAAGTCTCTCTGTTCTGTATCCACCACACAACAATCCTCAGTTGTTGACAGACTGAGCTGCTCTAAGTTTCTCTTTCCATGAGGACCGGGAAGTTCAGAAAAGAGTTGGGTTAGAAGACCTCCACTTTCCTCATGGGAAACAATTTCCCCCGGCAAATACCTCACATCCTTCAGGGATTAGCTGTTTCCTCAATTGGTACAAGCACAGCCTTTCCCACAGCCTTGAATGCATTCTCTTCTAAAGAGCACAACACTATTTGTTTAATTCTGTCTATCTGTCCTGCCCAATCTTTTCATACAAGCAATAACCCAGTAACATCTCACCCAGAACAGGCCCTGTCCTTAACCCAGAACTTCTACACCTAACAGCCACTGGCACACCGACCTGTTTTCAGACTGTCTACAATATCTAGTCTGCAAAATCCAATGGGAACAGAGGGGTCCAGAAGCAAAAGAGCAACTTCTGCCCCCCAAAAATCAAGTTCCTAAGAAAAATGTGATGTGTTTTGACAGTTTCTGATAAAGTTAAACATACACTTACCATAGGACTCACCAATTCCATTCCTAGATTTTTTTTTTTTTTTTTGGAGACAGAGTCTCACTTTGTTGCCCAGGCTGGAGTGCAGTGGCAGATCTCGGCTCACTGCAGCCTCCGCCTCTGGGTTCAAAAGATTCTCCTGCCTCAGCTTCCCGAATAGTTGGGACTACAGGTGTGCACCACCACGCCCGGCTAATTTATTTATTTATTTATTTATTTATTTATTTTTCTGAGACGGAGTCTCGCTCTGTCTCCCAGGCTGGAGGGCAGTGGCGTGATCTCGGCTCACTGAAAGCTCCGCCTCCGAGGTTCACACCATTGTCCTGCCTCAGTCTCCCGAGTAGCTGGGACTACAGGCGCCCGCCACCACACCTGGCTAATTTTGTTTTTGTATTTTTAGTAGAGACGGGGTTTCACCATGTTAGCCAGGATGATCTCAATCTCCTGACCTCGTGATCTGCCCCCCTCAGCCTCCCAAAGTGCTAGGATTACAGGCGTGAGCCACTGCGCCTGCCAATTTGTATTTTTAATGCAGACAGGGTTTCACCATGTTGGCCAGGCTGGTCTCAAACTCCTGACCTCAAGTGATCTGCCCACCTTGGCCTCCCAAAGTGCTAGGATTACAGGCATGAGCCACCACGCCCGGCCCACTCCTAGATATTTACCCAAGAAATATAAAAATATATGCCTGCAAAAAGGAACTGTATGCATAACAGCGTTATTCATAATAGTCCAAAACCCAAATGTCCATCAACAGATGAAGGGATACAAAGATTATGAAAACTCCATACAACGGAATACCACTTGGCAATAAAAAGGAGCCAAGTGATATACGCAACAACATGGATAATCTCAGCAACACTGTGCTGAGCAAAACAAGACTGACAAAGGAGAGTGCATACTGAATGATTCTGTTGATATGAAACTCTAGAAAAAGCCAAACTAATTTATAGTGATAAAAAGCAGGTCAGCTGCCTGAGGCCAGGGGTGGAGAATGGGGATTGCTGAGAAGAGTCATAGGTGATGGAAAAGTTCAGTATCTTGATTGTGGTGGTGGTCACATGAGTTATCCATTTGTCAGAACTCATTGAACTGGACCTTTAAAGTGGGTGCATTTATTGTATATAAATCCTACCTTGAAATTGTTTAAAAACTTATATAAAAAAGTATGGTAATAACTGTTAGAGATTTTCCAACTAAAAAATACGTACATTCAATGGGAGGGCTGAACTTTTTTTTAGATTATACAGCTCATTTCTCAGATAACAATCTCTGGGAAGGGCTCTCCTGGTGGCAGTGAGCTGAAGCACCATAGAAAGCATCCTCCTTTGCTTTCATCCTCTGCTTGCCACAGACCAAGAGCAGGAGCAGTGCCCTCCTGCTGTCACCAAGGGCAAGGAGATGAGGCTGCCAGAATAAAGCAACATGTTTCTCTGTCCTCTACTTTCCCTCTCTCCTTTGGCTTTCAGACACAGATGCTGCGGTAAACTCTGGTTCTTACTCCTGAGCTCTCTTCTAATCCGGGATCAGCTGCCTCTCTGGCAAACAGTTTTGCTTCCCAGAGCTCTGTCTTCAGGCATTTTTCCCAACTCCTCATGTTCACACAGTAGCTTCATGGGCTTTTGAAATCAGAGACAGTGAGCTGGAAGGGATTTTAGAGGTGATCCAGTTCTATCCCCTCATTTAGCACATAGAGACACCAATGCCCAGTCACTGAGCATCTCCCATTTCTGCTCCATCTAGGCCAGCACTGTCCAACTGAAATGCCTGCATTTGTGCTGCCATGTTGGACTATAGAGCACTTGAAATGTAGCTAGTGCCACCAAGGAACTGATTTTTAAGTTTTATTTACATTTGAAGTAATTTTAAATAGCTACATGTGGCTAGTGTCTATTGTATTGGACAGCCCAGATGTAGAGTACTGAAATCCAGAGTCCAGAAGTCAGGAGGACCAAATGGTCATCCTGTGTTCGCCTCTGCACATCACCCACTTTCACTGGGTGTTAGGATGCTTCTAAGCACTGAGCTCCTCATCTTATTCAAGTTTGCAAATATTTCCTTTTTCTGTTGTTTGATCCTGAGAGATCTACTTGAATTACATATGTATTAGGCCAAAGTTTCTCAAATATCAGTAGACCATTAAATCAGTGTATTGGCTTTAACCAGTATTTTATAAAAGATGAAATACATTAGACAAAAATATCAGTATATATCACACTTAAAATATTGTTTGGTGGAACCTGTGTTTTGGTTTGAGTATGTGGGAGTTGGGGGGCGGGTATAGTGTGGATGCCATAATGTAAAATGTACTTTTTATGGTAGGTCAAAATTAAAAACGTGTGAAACCTCTAAGATACACTACTAAATCTAGAGGCCCAAGTCAGTCCAAGCCAGGAGATAATGAATGAACAAGCTTTTCCAGCGCTATAAGACTCTTTGAATACATTACTTAAAACAAACAGAAAAACTGGTATGAAATGAGGTTGAACTGGCCAATGCAGAACCACTGTGGGAGGTGCTGTGCAGACCCATGCAGCTCACACAGTGAAAAACTTCAAAAACGTTCTGTAACATCTGATACTGTTTGTTCTTCTGATCCTATTGTCAAGGGTGGTATGCATTTCTCTGTTCTATATGAAAAGAATGTAAAACAATTTACTTTTGCTTGGGCATATTTTGTTCCAGAATTATTTCCTTTTATTTAAGTTCAAAAATTCTTTACCAAATCTATTAAAATTTCAAAGACTCTTCAGAACAGGATATGGCATGGTATGTACACCTGATAAATATTTATTATCGCTAGTATTTATTGTAACAGAGCCAGTTAACAGGGATGTGACCCTTCAGATCTTGGTACCCCCTACAAGGCTGAGCTGAGGAAGGGCTGGGGCTGGTGGACTTGCACTCTGATGATGGGGGTGTGAATCCATCCTCTCTTTAAGGCCTCCATCCAGTTTTAGATTCCAGCTGGAAAGGGTAAGGCTGAACCCCTGGAGTGGGGATCTTTTGGGGGAAATTAAGTTAAGAGCAGCATTCATGCATCATATCAAATAGCCCTCAGCTGTCCCTGAGAGGGTGGGACACACTAGAATATTGGCAAAGCACTCATATATTAACTCATTTAATCCTCACAACCATTCTAGGTTGTAGGTCTCACTAGTCTCATTTTACAGATAAGGACACTCAGGCACAGAGAGGACAAACGACTTGTGCACGTACAGCAAGTACGTCATAGAGCTGGGCTTCAAACCCAGGTGGTTGGCTTTAGTGTCTGCTCTTCATCACTACCCACCTCCCTAGGTTGATGCTTTTTTCTGTCTCTAAACTATTCAGGTGTCCTCCTGGGAGGTAAAAGAAATGGTCAAGAGTGAGAACCTTTTTTTAAAAAAAATTACAAGCTGCTATTATTTTCCTTTCATCACTAGTTAGGCTGAGACAATGCCATTAATTTGGATCCTTGTTAGATGTGCTGTCTTCATCTTGCCTATAGAAGAGACATGGGCATAGTTACAACAACCCGCCACAGTCAATAATGTAAAGAAATTGTTCACAACTCACTCCTCAACTTTGCCATCTGGTGGCTAATATTACTATTTATTTTAATTTAAAAAATATGGAACGCTTCACATTGGAACATCACGTTGTGTGTCATCCTTGCACGGAGGCCACGCTCGTCTCCTCTATTGTTCCAGTTTTAGTATATGTGCTGCCAAGGCAAGCACAGGGGGCTAATATTAAATCTCAGTCTCTGATAGTTTTTTTTTTTTTGCACCTATTCAAGTAATGTGTTCTTTGCAGCTTGAGAAGCATCATACATATTCACACCAGTCCTTGAGAAGGAGGTACGTCCAGCACACCTCCCTCTGTGAAGGGAAAGGCTCAGAGCATGGTTTGCTATTAAGAAAATTAGCACGAGCAGTGAAAAAAACCCTAGAAAACTGGGCAACAGACAAAATCCTAATTGTATTTACCATATACATGGCCACACCCTACTATGCTACTGCAAGATGGTGGCCCTCGGCCATTCTTCTGGCTGCCAGCACAGACCAGAGCCCTGGGCCTAGGCTCTGTCCCTACCTGCCTCCTTGGCAGTTACACCTTGGTTCTCCATTTGAAAACTACAAACTTTAGAGCCCAAAGGAATGTTAGAAACCATTTGCCTCAATCCCTTCAATTTATAGCGGAGGTCAACTGGAGATCATAAGCATGTAAGGCAGGGGAAAAAGAAACCGGAATGTCAGTGAGAATCTGTGGGGACTTCTGTCCCATTTCAGAATGGAAGGCTCTTCTGTGTTTAGTTTTGACTTCTCTCCCTTTCCAAATTTTCCATAGTGTGACTCTATTAATTAGTAGTCTAAAACATAGTCAGTTACTGTTCACTTCTCCTCCAGATGCCATGTGGTTCCCAATACACCTAGAGACTACATTAGCTTCAAGTCATCTTGAGTTCCCCTAAACATTCCTCTTCTTCCCATCTACCCTCATTTATTTCAGGTTACGGAAAGAGGGCCATCCCCATTAGCTCAGGTGAACTGGAAAACCCAATCACTCTATTTATAACAAGAGCACAGGTGTATTGGGCCAGCACTGTTCTAACAGCTTTAGAACCCAGAAGAGCTTTAGAGCTCTTAGACACAACCCAGCTAACCCTCAGAACAATCCTGCGAGGTGGGTACCATCATGATTCCCATAATAAAGATGAGGAAACCAAGGAATGGAAAAGTTATGGACATGTCCCACAACCAGTAAGCATTGTTAGGGACCAAGAAGTTCCACAATGACTAGTTTCCTGATAACCTGTTTCTGTCTCTTTGGTGCCCAACCATTTCATTTTGGATAAAAACCCACAAGTCAACCACTTAGGTCACACATGGTTCTGAAAGTCCTATACTGTTCTGGATTCCCAGGCACAGAACTCCGGGCTGCTCAGGAAGAGACTATGATTCTTCCACCTGCCAGCTACTATTGGCCATCCCTTCTCATTGCTTCTAGCTCCAGCCTTCTCATCCCAATTCTCTATTCTACATTGTTATTTCTAACCCATTGTGTGCTGGGAAATCAAACCACTCAGCAATGACATTCTGAATTTTAAAAAAACATATACACATGTAATGAATACCTACTAGCTTCATCTCTTTCTGACTTGTAGTTCCAGCTTTAAAAACCAAATTAGAAATCATGACAGAGAGACCCTGGGGGATTTGGGGGCACTTTACCATCAGGAAAGGGCATGGACTTTAGCACAAAGCCTCAGCAGCAGCTATGCTGACTCATCAGAGGCCTTTCCCACTCTTCCAGGTGTTTAAGTTCTGAGCAGCTACCTCGAGAGGGCCTGCTGGATAACTGAGGCGTTTACTGGCAGAGTCTCATTTCATTCACGTGCCCCTAGGAAGAAAGGAATGGGGCACTGCCTTTCCAAAGAAGATGCCCAGAGTCACATGAAATCCACATCCGTGAAGTTTCCTTGAAGGAAGCAATTTTTTAATTTTGATGTCAGAGACTCTCCAGACTCAGGAAGCATTTCCGGGTGGCTTGGGACTTAGTTTCCTTTCACAAGCTGCTTCAGCCTGAGACCAAACCTCAGCGGTGCACACATACTTTCCTTCACTTGAGGAGCTCAGCCTCCACGCTGGCTGGAGGAAAGGAGCATTTGTCTTTACCCAGTCATATGCCTACCTGGTTCCTCTCTGGGCCCAGAGAAAGCATTTCTGAGATAGCCACACTAGACTAGGCAGGTGACATTACTAAGGCATGTTGACTTGGAGGAAGAGGGATTAGGAGAAAGAGAGAGAACCCTGCACTGTGGGGTAGGAGACCCACAGTCCTTCTAATCTCTTCTTTATAAGCCACTCCATGACCTTGAGCAAATCGCTTAATCTCTGTCTCAGTTTTGTCAGTCATAAAATGGGATATACCACCTGCCCTACCTTTATCCGTGAGCTGCTGGATTAGATGAAGTTGGCTGTTGGAAGAATTATGAAGCAATACCTATCCCCAGCAAGCCACAACAAAGCCTCTCTTAGCCCTCCATGCAGGTGCAGCCCAAGTCATTGAAAAGTTGCACCCACACTACTAAGCTATGACGCTGGGTCACCATCCATGTCAGAAGCAGGAGGTGAAGGGGCTTGGGTCTAAAACTAGAAAACCATGATCAGGAAACAAGAAGTCCCTTCAGGAGGTAATGAGGTACCCCCTACCACCACTGCCCCCTCTTCTGGAGTTAAAAGATCCTATTGAGGCTCCCGGTGCGGGACCATAGCAGGACAGAGCTGAACATCCATTCTCCCTCCCTGGGCCACAGATCCCTGCAAAGAATAATCCTTTAACCCCATTATTGCCTTTCCTCCCTGAGAGAGCTGACCGACCTCCTACAGGTAATAGGCTAAAGGTGCTCTCAACCTCAGGAGACTTCTTTTCAGCACTCACCTAAAAGTTAGTTTCCAAACTTAAAAAGTGTCTGGACTCCAAATATCAAGCTGCCAGTCACAGAACAAAGGCTGTGATCTAGACCAGCCTGGGCAGCATAGTGAAACCCCATCTCTAAAAAAATTTAAAACAGTTAGCTGGGGCCAGGCAGGGTGGCTCACACCTGTAATCCCAGCACTTTGGGAGGCCGAGGCGGGTGGCTCACGAGGTCAGGAGATCAAGACCATCCTGGCTAACATGGTGAAACCCCGTCTCTACTAAAAAATACAAAAAATTAGCCGGGCGTGGTGGCACGCGCCTGTAATCCCAGCTACTCGGGAGGCTGAGGCAGGAGAATGGCGTGAACCCAGGAGGCGGAGCTTGCAGTGAGCCGAGATCGCACACTGCACTCCAGCCTGGGTGACAGAGCGAGACTCCGTCTCAAAAAACAAACAAACAAACAAACAAAAAGCTGGGTGTGGTGGTGTGCACCTGTAATCTCAGCTACTCTGGAGACTGAGGCAGGAGGATCGCTGAAGCCTAGGAGTTCGGGGATGCAGTGAGCTAGGATCCCAACACTGCACTCCAGTCTGGGCAAAAGAGCAAGACCCAGACTTTAAAAAAAAAAAAAAAAAAAAAAAGCTGTGATCCCCTTAAAAGTCCTAATAGGCCACCACTATCTGCCCTTTTGGCAAGAACTTTTGGTCTCCCTCATGAGTGGTTTTTTTTTGTTGTTGTTTGTTTGTTTTTAAATACGGATGTCCTAGATTTTTGTTGTTTTAAGTGAACAATCTCTCTCTTAAGTGCAGACAGCCATCACATTTTCCAGAAGGAGAAATGGAAA
This sequence comes from Homo sapiens, assembly GCF_000001405.40. Taxonomy (NCBI): domain Eukaryota; kingdom Metazoa; phylum Chordata; class Mammalia; order Primates; family Hominidae; genus Homo; species Homo sapiens. The sequence goes on along the minus strand of NC_000002.12, from coordinate 64,991,218 downwards.
CAGTTGGAAAGGCAAGTCACTTTGCCCAGGGTTTGCTGTTTTTCACAACCTCAGCAATGAGGAGCTTTGCCTCAATAACTCAAGACAAAATATATTAATAACTCCAAGGCTCAGAATCCAAAATCATCAGAAATCTGGAGAAGGAGCCAGCTGGACTCCTCACTCAACTGAACCTGGTTAGATCAGTAAATGCCTCCGGGCTGCAGTTTCCCCATTTGTGAACTTTGGGCTAATGGAGAAACCAGGAGAGACCAAGGTTTTGGATAAGTCACAGAAAGGATACTACATCATCTCAAAGGATGAAATGCAACTTCTAAGAATTGCAAAAAGCAGGCAAAACTAAGTGAAGATGCTTCTCTCCCTCCCCTCTAGAACTCACACTTTCGCACAAAGAAAGGCCTTTGAAACACAGCACTCTGCCGTGGTCTTTACTGGGGTGGACAGCAACCTGTCCCAAGCCCCAAGCCCTCAGGAGAGGCATATTTCTGGGCAATATGTCTCACTCAACTAACCCCAGCCCTATTATCCGTGGGTCCACTGATAACTGCAGAAAATTGCCAGCTTCCTTCGCAGCCAAGGACTGTAACAGAGAAGGCCATAGATTGCAAGCCGGATGACCCAAGAGGCAAAACTTAACCAATGCTCCCAGAAGCTTTTAGGCACCATGTGGGAGAAAATGAGGCGAAGCCACTGGGGCGTGGTCGGAACATTTTTACCGGGGAGAGCAGCGCGAGAGTATAAGGAGTAAAGAACAGGCGGGGCGGCTGGCTCTTCCCTAACAAACGCCCACCTAACGGTGGGGACTGGTTCTTGCTCAAAGATGCGGCCCTGCTCTTTCGATTGTGCGGTGCGCCCCAGCTGTTTGCAAAGGTGTGGTCAGCACGCAAAAACTCCAGACGTCATTTTGATATTTTTAAAACGTTAAACGCCACCAGCAGCCAGCTAAGAATTAACTCTTAGGAGTGTATAAGCATATGGGTGTATGAACTGGAGGGCATCCGAGAACTGGCGTCTCCCACTGGGCCCTGGGAGAGGTGGAGAGTGTTACCTGGCCAGGTCGAGGAAAGAGTCCACCGTCTCTTTGGGGACAGGAGGAGGCCCCGAGTCCTCCAGCCCCAGGTCGCTGGACTGAAGGGTCTGCGCACCGGATCCTGGCTTGATGATGAACGCCAAGGCCACGGCGAGCGCCGAGGCACTCAGTGTGGTGAGGCCAAAGTAGGCGACAGCGATGCCGCCCAGACGCCCGAGGCAGCTGGCATCGAGCGAGGCGGCGCCCGACACCAGGCTGCAGACCACCAGCGGCAGGATGATCATGCGCAGCATGCGGAGCAGCATCTCGCCGGGGAAGGCCAGGTAGGTGACCTGCGTGCGGCTCAGGCTGAGCCCGCGCAACGCCGCGCCCAGGCCCGCGCCCGCCAGCACCCCGGACACGGTGAGCAGCACCAGCGCTTGGCGCCGCAGGAAGCCCGCGCAACGCCGTGCGCGTCCCGCCGCGGTCCCCGGAGCTCCGGGCCCGGCCGCAGGCCCCGCCTGAGCGCTGTCAAGGTAGCCGTTGGTCTCGTTGCTCTTCTCCATGGCGCTACACGCCGCTCCGAGCTAGAGGTGGCAGGGGACGTGGGCTCTGGCAAAAGACGGGGTTCCCAATGAATGGGTCGGTCGGCCAGTTGTGCTCCGCAGGTTCTGGGAAGCCGCCCCGGGGGTCTCCGGGCCTGGCGCAGGAGCAGGTGCGAGAAAGGCGAGGAGAGGCGCAGAGTGCGGGTTGGAGCCGCGGGCGGAGAGGATCGCGCCCAGCCTCCCTGGAGCAGCCGCCGGCTGGAGATGATGCAAACGGGAGCCGCGAACGCGGACGCAGACGGGGAAGTAGGAGGGCGCGCCAGCGGCCCCAGCCCGCTCACTTCACGCCCGCCGTCCCGCCCCCTGTGGCGCTGGCCAATCACAGCCCGGGAGCCGCCGCCGGGAGCCGCCGCCGGGAGCCTCTGGTCCCCACCCGTGTCGCGGGTGCCGCAGGGGGCGGCCGGGCGGGAGGCTCCACCCGAGGCCGCGGGGGCGCGGGCGGCGCCGGCCAATCCTGGCGCCAATAGCCGCCTACCCGCCCGGCTAACGGAGGCCGGCTCCGGGCGACCGCGGGGAAGTGCGGGCTGAAGGACCGCCCGGGCTCCTTGGCACCTGCCGGGCCCTCTCCCGCGGCCGGGATCTGAGTCCTCGGGGCCAGAGGGCCCGGGAGAACTTAGAACGCAGCGGCGTTCCTCCTCCTGAGGACTGTGGGAGGGGAGGGAGGGGAGGGGAGAAGAGAGGAGGAGAGGGGAGGATCCCTCTCTCCCGGGTGGCGCTTTCGCCCCGCGCGGCCCGCGCTCCTCTCCAGAGCTCGCCGGCCTCTCCCGCCAGGGGGCCGGGCGCGGTGAGGGGGCCCGGGGCGGTCCTGCCGTCGCGTCCCCTCCTGCGGAAGATCCCTTCTTCCAGGGGTCCTCAGGGGCTTGTGCGGTAAAGCACGCCATGGTGCCCAGCAAGGCCCCGGCCTTGAGACAAAGGACGGACCGGAGGATGGATGAATAAGGGGAGCCTTCGCACGCGCTCATTAGGGCTCTAACGCAGCCATACCGCTAGAGAAAGGGGGCTCGCTGTGCCACCAAACCCGGCGCCCCTGGGCCGCGGAACCGCGCGCACCGGGGCGCTCCTGGGCTTGTGTCCTGGGGCCATCAGGATGGGGCTGGGTCGCCCGCCAGGCAGCTGTCTGCGGTATGGGCGTTTAAGACGCAAAGCTCTTCTAGAAGAAACAGAGCTCTCACGCCACCACTTCCAGTTGGTTTCTGCCACGTAACCAAAGCTGAAACACAAGCCACTGGATTTTAACCTCTTCCGTTCCCAGGCCTGAGCCCTGGCGAGAAAACAGCGCAGACGGCGGTTTGGCCATCCTGAACGGTTCCTTATTGTTCACGTTCTATGGATTTCCTGTTTATTTCATCTTTTATTTGATATCTGCTTTGGCCACGCGAGTTACAAGGGAAACTTCTGCTGAGTCTTTTTACTGTATCACAGTTATTATATTTTTATATTTTTTTATTCTGCTTGTGAATTGTTCTTTAAAGACTTCCGTGGGTGGTCTTTTGTTTTTTCTTTTTCCTTCCTTCCTTCCTTCCTTCCTTCCTTCCTTCCTTCCTTCCTTCCTCCCCCCCTCCCTCCCTCCCTCCCTTCCTTCCTTCTTTCCTTCTTTCCCTTTCTTTCCTTTCTTTCCTCTCTTTCTGGGACAAGGTCTCGCTATGTTGCCCAGGCTGGTCTCCCAGTTCCTGGGCTTATGGGATCCTCCTTGGTAGCTGGCACCACCCACTGTGCCAGGCAAGGGAAGACTTAATTGTGGCTAACCTCAATTAAGGAGGAAGGCAATTTACTATAGATTTCTTGCTATAAAGGAGTCATCTTAAAACATGTCATGACATATTTGTGCAAATCAAAATGCCTTCATAAGGAACTTTAAGGAGCTGTCCAAATTTTGAGACAGTGAGTATTTTATTGCTTGGAGCCAGCCAGCTATTGGCTAGAACTTGTAAGGATTGTGTGTGGGGGGGGGGGGGGTGGGCGGGGGAGGTAGTGTCAGATGAAGAGCTGCACATATTTATATCTGGCTTTCCAGAATGCAGTTCATTTCTCTATGTGCACTGAAGAAAGAGTAATTCCTACAGACACACACTGTGTTTTGCCAATCAGCCCTTCCCTTTGTTTTGACTACCACGTTTATGCAAAAGACTCTCAAATCATGCTCCAGAAATGAGTCTTCGGCTGCCTGTTTTACATCTTCACCTGAATATCCTGCAGGCGTCCCAACTAAAATGTTCAAAACCAAACTCATGGTTGCCTTCCTCAAACCTGCTCATCCCTTCGGTTAAAACATAATTGATGACCCAGTCACCTCTGTGTGAAACTTCAAAGCGAACTTTGATTCTTCCCTCTGTGGTGCCTTCTCTCATCTAATGAATTGCCAAGTCCCACAGAGATTCCTTTCACAATATTTATCACATCTGCCCATCCCATCTATTCCCACTGCTACCACACTGGCTCAGTTCTTATTTCCTCACTTCTTATCTGGGCTATTGAAATGTTCTCCCAATTAGTCTTCCCACCTCCAATGCTCCTCTTGTTCCAACCATCCTGTATTTTGCCTTGCCCCAGGCTAATCTTCCTAATGAGTAATATACATGTTAGGATAAAGTTCAGCTTTCACCCAGCAGAAAAGAAAGAGCAATGAGGGCATGGCATCTCTCTTTAAAAACACTTCCTAAAAGTCATACACATTATTTCTCTTATATTTCATCGATAAGAATTTAGTCAAATGACCATTCTTTTCTGCAAGAAACGTTAGGGAATGTAATTTTTGTTTTACACAGGCATCCACCCAGTTAAAAAATTGGAGTTTCTGTTACTAAGGAAACACAGAAAAATGATATTGGAGGACAACTCCTTCATATCACTTCTTGTTCAAAAGCTTTCAGTGGCTCCCAGTGAATTAAGAATGTGTTCCTCATCCTGGCATTCGAGACCTACCATGATCTGGCCTCAGCCTGCTCTCTAGCCATGTGCCCTCTATGCCTCCTGCAAAAATGGCGCTGTGTGCTCCTTCCACATTGTTTTGCCTCTCCATCCAGTCCCAGTTCAGATACCACATTCCTCCCATAGCCTTTCTGAATCCTCTTTGCACCAACTCTGCTTGCTGCTTGCAGCTTTTTATGCTGTACCTGTGCACTCCAAAGCTGCAATAACAGTCAGTCAACCCTCAATTGGGAGTGGGGAACTCCCTGAACTACTAGACATCGTGTGGTGCTGAGTGTGAGAGCACTGTTTGGGGGTGCCTTATACTATGCCACATATATCTGTCATTGAATTAGCGAAAGGGTCTCTTGGGGCCTTTTATCTCCAGAGGGCTGCCCTGTAGCCATTCTGCCTACTTGTGAGGCAAACCAAGAAATAGGTGTCCTCTTCTGGCCTCCGTGACATTTGGTGGTATTACTATATCTCTCTATGAAAGGGTTCACTTTCTGCCACCTTTTTCCCTCTTTCTTCCTCTCCTTTTGCATTTTTTGGTCTTTTGATAATTTTACATGCCTCCTGTTTGTAGGTATTTTGTGCAAAAAAAAAGTTGATTCCTGTGTTAGACACCTTCCCCCACAGTACTTATATGTGTTTTCCCTGATTTCTGGATGCGTAAGTACTGAATTATAGCAACGCCTTACAAGTGATCCAGCCTGACAGCATTACCGCTACTGTCATCTGATCCCGTGATAGGCTAAAGTATTGTTCAGCCAAAATTTATTCCCTTGTTTCTTCCACTTAGATAGGAGTTTACCTTCCCCATTGCCTTTGAGCTTTGCCATTTAGCTCCTTGGCTAGTGGACTAAGTGGATGTGATGCAAGCGGAGGCATCAAAATGTTTTCACACAATCGCATGTGGACTCCTGCATACGTGTGACCCAGCATGCCTTGGGTAGATGCTGCCCTTTCAGCCTGGCACCAGAACAAAGACAGGAGTGTGCCTGAATTTAGCCTGCAGCCCTGATCAAACCCAGCTGCCTCACAGCCTAAAGAAGAACACCCCAGTCAACCCACAGACCCATGCGTGAGAAAAATAAATGCTTATTGAAACCCACTGAGTTCCGGAGTCATGTGTTATACTGCGTTATTGTAGCAATAACTGAGTAATACAAATGCTCACTTCAGCATCTGTTCCAGTTATCTGTTGCTGCATAACAAACCAGCCTAAACCACGCTGGCATAAAACAACAACCATCTCAAAAAGGAGTGGCATAAAACAACCACCAATTTTTTTATGCTCATGATTTTATAGGCCAGAAATTCAGACAGGGCATAACAGGAGGTCTCATTTCTGTTTCACAATGACTGAAACCCCAAGCTGGGGTGGCTTAATGGCTAGAGATGGCTAGGACAGCTCACTTGGGGTCCTTTGCCTGAGGCCTAGGTTCTGGCTATCTATTAGGATCCTCGTTTCTTTCCCACATTGCATCTATTGAGTCTGGAATGTCCAAGATGCCTCTTTCATTCACACGACTGGCACCTTGGCTAGTGGGTTTGGATCTGCTGGGGCTAGCTGGGCATCTGTTGCTCTCTCAGTGTGGCTAGCTTGGGTTTCCTCACAGTATGGCAATCTTGGTGAAGTCAAATCTCTTATGTAGTGATTGATTTCCCCCAAAGTGAGTGTCTTAAGAAATGTAGGTAGAAGCTGCAAGACTTCTTCTGACCTAACCTCAGAAGTCCCAGAACATTACTTCTTTCTCATTCTGTCAGTCAAGCAAATCATTAAGGCCAGCCCAAATTCAAAGGAGGAGAATTAGATCCCATCACTCCATGGTGGGAATAATCAAGAATTTGCAGCCATCTTCAATCCACAGTAACATTACTGCTTAAATACTCGTGTTTTGTGGGCCAGCGCAGCACACATAAGTCACTACTTGCCCTAGCTCTGGTGTTTCTTTAGACAACTCTACTAGAAATTTGCTTTGGACAGTCTCTCAATAAATGGTGCTGGGAAAACTGGATATCCATATGCAGAAGAATGCAATTAAACCCTCATCTCACACCATATACGAAAATCAACTCAAAATGGATTAAAAACTTAAATTTAAGACCTGAAACTGTTAAACTACTAGAAGAAAATATGAGAAATATGAGAAAAGCATCATGGCATTGGTATGGGAAATGATATTTTAAAAATATGACCCCAAAGCACAGGCAACAAAAGGGGAAACAGACAAATGGGATTATGTCACACTAAAAAGCTCTGCAGAGCAAAGGAAACAATCAACAGAAGGAAGAGACAACCTACAGAGTGGGAGAGTATATTTGCAAACCAGACATCTGATAAGCGGTTAATATCCAAAATATATAAGGAACTCAAACAATTCAACAGAAAGAAAACAAATAACCCGATTAAAAAATGGGCAAAGGACTTGAATAGACATATCTCAAAAGAAGGCATACAAATGGCCAATAAGTCTATAAAAAATGTTCAACATCACTAATTATCAGGGAAATGCAAATTAAAACCACAATGAGATATCACCTGACAGGTATCAGAGTGGCCATTAACAAAAAGAAGAAAGATAACAAATGTTATAGAGGATGTGGAGAAAGGAGAACACTTGCACACTGTTGGTGGGAATGTAAATTAGTATAGCCATTATGGACAACAGTATGGAAGTTCCTCAAAAAATTAGCAATGAAAACAGCAATCCCTGGATGTATATCCAAAGGATATGAAATCAGTATGTTGAAGAGATATCTGCACTCCCATGTTCATTGCTGCACTATTCACAGTAGTTGAGATATGGAAACAACCTGTCTATCAAAGGATGAATGGATAAAGAGAATGTGGTACATAAACACAATGGAATACTATTCAGCCTTTAAAAAGAAGGAAATCCTGTCATTTGCAACCACATGGATCAATCTGAAGGATATTTTGTTAAGGTAGGCACAGAAAGAGAAACCATATGATCTCATTTATATGTGGAATTTATTATACAAAAGTAGAACTCACTGATACAGAAAGTAGAAAGGTAGTTACTAGAGGCTGGTGATTGGGGGGATTGGAGATATGTTGGTCAAAGGAAACAAAATTTCAATTAGATAGGAGGAATAAGTTCAAGAGATCTATTGTACATGATGGTGACTGTAGATAATAACAATATATTGTATACTTGCAAGTTGCTAAGAGAGTAGTTTTAAAGAGTTCTTACCACAAAAAATAAGTATTTGCAGAAATGTGTATGTTAAATAGTTTAGGCATTCCACAATGTATACATATATCAAAACATCATGTTTTACACCATAAATACATACAATTTTTTATAAAATAAAAGAAAGTTATTTTGTCATGATTTAGTCATGTTCTTAAAACCAGGACTGCATCATCCATCATGAAGGAGACTCAGTTTCCCTCATTAAAGAATGGCTATAGATTTTTTACTTACAGAGTGATAACAATAGTTTTATTCCTTTCTTGTCAAAGTGACTGCCACTCCCAATATACTTATGTATCCATGAATAGTGTATTGTACTCACACGCCGGCTTCTGCTAGCAAAGAGGTTGTCTCAGCTCTATCTTCACATCTGATGACCTTTACATATTTTTCACATTATTTCACTAGATTCACCAGGAACATCACCAAAATCATGGAGCAGGAGTTATTTTTCTGCCATGAATGGACTGAAAAAAGAAAATTTTGTCCTTCATCACAGGCAAATTTGGATTTTGGAGTACTTTTTACTTTTCCTAAGAGATACCAGATAGTTGAAGTAACAATTATATTAAAAAGGTTAAATGCCAGTTTAGTTCTTTCCATATCAGCAAAACACAACTTTGTAGGAAGTACGATGTGATTTTTTTTTTAAAAAAAGATTATTTGCTCTCCAAATAGATCTGACTACTTAGCAAACAGAGCAAGCAAAGACAAAATCTAAAGTAATAAATGAATTCTTTTTCTCCTGTGGTGAATAACTTAGTGTACAGTGGCATACTGGCATCAAAGTACTGATGACTTTGTAATCAGTAATCCTTTTTCTAGGCTCCCCTCAGTATCATCCCTACAAACCAAAAAGAAAAAAAGAGAAAAAAGGGGCCATAGAAATGCCCCTAGAACCAAAAGGTCAGGTGCAGACTCAGATAAACAATTTGAGTCAATAGTAAAAAAGGAATTTGGTCAGAATGGGAGTAAAAGTCAGAATGAAACTGAAGTAAAGTGTCTGTCTCCATGGTTTTAGAGACTAGCTAAAGACATAATAACTGACATTTTCTTTGTAGAAGGGTCTGGTGAAATAAGAGCACCGAAGAAGACAAGTTAGAAGATGGGAACACCAGTTAGGTTGGTGTCTGGGTTTTGTGGGTGGCAGTTCTAAGGCTAGGGATTTAATTCAACAACACAATGAGATGTTTATGTAGTTTCCCACTAAGAATAAATCACTCTGCACGGCTCATAGAATGAATACAAAACTGGGGAGTAAGAATTACTAGAGCAGCTGATAAAATGCATATTCCTGAGCCTGGAGCAGGGCCTTGGAACCTGCATTTCAACAAGCCAATCCCTCCCCCACCATATTATTCAATTAAGAATAATTTATAAGGGCATTGAATTAACAGAGTTCGGCATTAAAGAACAAAATAAGATCTAGAGTTAGGCCTTTAAAGCCTGCCAATCAAGTCCTTCCAACTAAGTGCAATGCTATAAGGTGAGAAGCTGGTGGAATTAGAGGAGAGGGGGATTGGATAGGGTGGAGAAGAAATGGGTATCAGTTAGTATGAGTTATAGTTCTCACAAGAATTTATTGTGCTTGGTGTAAGAATTCACTGGAGTGGACTAAAGTCTATTTGGGAAAAAAGATATGGACTCCTGAAAAAGGTAACTCGTCTTACAAGTAGAGCTCAGAGCTCAGGGTTAACTTTCATCAGAGTCACCTAGAAAGAATTTGAAAAGGCCAGATTCCAGGGCTCTACCCTGGAAATTTTGTTTCTGTAGCTCTGGGATAGGACCCAAACATCTACATATATTTTATTCTTCCAGTTAATAAATTAATGAGATATAACAACAAAATGCAATGGAATCTAGATGAAAAGAAAAGTACAATATTGAGGGAATTAAGGAAAATCTTGTGTGGACTATATGTTGAACTTCATGTTGAGTTCTTTTAAGGGGTGACAATGGTGTTCTGGATATTAAGACAATAGCCTCGTTCTTGACAGACCATGAAGGAATATTTAGGGATGAAGTGTCATGGCGTCTGCACACAATTTTTGGGTGGCTTGGCAAACAGGAATTGTATACAAATATAAAGAGAATGATGCAGTGGGGGAGGTAAGATGTTAATACCTGGTAAAACTGGATGAGGATATATGGGTGTTGTTCTGTTCTTGAAACTTTTAAGTAGATTTAAATGTTTTCAAAATTATTATTATTATTATTTATTATTATTCTTTGAGATGGAGTCTCACTCTGTCACCCAGGCTAGAGTGCAGTAGTGCGATCTCAGCTCACCACAACCTCCACTTCCTGGGTTCAAGCTATTCTCCTGCCTCAGCCTCCGGAGTAGCTGGGACTACAGGCACGTACCACCACACCTGGCTAATTCTTGTATTTTTAGTAGAGACAGGATTTTACCATGTTGGTCAGGCTGGTTTCGAACTCCTGAACTCAGGTGATCCGCCCGTCTCGGCCTCCCAAAGTGCTGCTGGGATTACGGGCATGAGCCACCGCTCCCGGCCCAAAATTTTCAAAATTACAAAACATTGTTTTTACAGGAAAGAATAATGATAGAGCAAAAGACTCCACATTTGATTTTGTTCCACAGCAGAGTTGTGCAATTTTAGTAGAAAGGTAAGTATCACAGAAGCTCGGAGCAGTGAGACGTCACAGGGGCCCAGAACTGTGGTTCGCCATTCGTTTTCTCCAAGGGCACACATGACAAATGATGTTTACACACAGTGCCTACAGCCATAGGTGGACCTAGGTTTAGAGGTAATTCCTGGCTACCGGCCTGTAACACAACAGATTTTCTTTCCACTTAAGGAAGAATGTTGGCCTGCAAGTAAAGGATGTTATCACAGGGATAACTTTGAATTCACTCAAATTCATTTAAAAAATAATAATGTCTTAACTTCTGTACATTTGTGTGGAAGGAGTTTGGAAATACAATAAATCATTTGAATGTACAAAGAAAATTTAGATCCTTTGCTACCTGTAACTGATCTAATCTTTGTCATGAGCAGTCATGGCCCTGGGTCATTGCATGGAAGAGAAAATGACTTTAACCCTCTAGTGAATATAGAGGAAGTCTTTTCCTGCTTAGAGAGCCTCATGTGAATAATTCTGAGTCGTTTGGTAAATACACAGTGTTTTAGACTTCCTCTCTATCAAGTGACTCTACAATGATGTGATTATAGAAAGTTGTAAGGACAGTTACAATTTTTTAAAAATTGAGAAAGAAGAGTGCTTCACTTGTAAGACAAATGCATGGATATTGTGATAGATTATGAAAATAGTCCCATTTTTAACCTCTCCCTGTGTCCTGACCCTTTGTCATGTTGCTTTTCAGGGCCCTTCAATTCTGAATCTGGGCTCAATCATGTGCTTCCCTTTGGCCAGTGGGTATGGCTGACCTGAGACAAGCAGAGACTTGAAATGGGCTTACATGTTGAGCTTTTCTCTTGTGCCTGTGCCATTGCCATAAGACCATGCCTGGACTAGCCTGATGGAGGATGAGAGTCACCTGGAGCATGACTGAGTCCTCCAGCTATCATAGTAGAGGTCATTCCAGACCAACGACCAACCAGTCAGCCTGCAGATATGGCAGCAAACCCAGCCAAGATCAGGAGAGCTGTCTAGTTCCTGCCCCTTACCCCACCTCCTGAAACATGAGAAAGAAACACTTATTGCTGAATGCCCCAGAGGTTTCATTTTTTTTTTTTTAGCTGTATTGGTCCAAGTTCTCCAAGAAGCAGATGCCAGCTGGGTGCAGTGGTTCATGCCTGCCTATAATTTCAGCACTTTGATAGGCTGAGGCTGGAGGATCGCTTGAGCTCAGGAGTTCGAGATCAGCCTGGACAACACAGGGAGACCTTATCTCTACAAAAAAAAAAAAAAAAAAAGAAAGAAAGAAAAAAAAAGAAGATAGAATAAAATGTACAAGGGATTTTATTAGGGACTTTCTTATGTAAGAGAAAATAGAGAGGGAGCTGTGAGCTAGGAATGCTGTCAGAAGGCAATGCAAGTCTGATCCCGGGTGAAGGAAAGAGGGAAGGAAGGTTGAATGGAAATGTCCTAGACTGTCCTGCAATCTCAGGAAGGTGTAGCAAAGCTATTGGGGAACCTCAAGTGAAAGCCAGCTGTCAGAGGAGTCTTGAGCCTCCTAGGAACAGCAGAATCCCCACCGCATTCAGCCATTGGCTGGGAGCAGCCTGTGGGAGGCATGGCTTTGACACAAACATGGCAGTGGGTTTCAGAGCACACCAATTGGTGAATTAGACTAATTAGTCTGCAAGGTCTTTCTCATGGCTGCCACAGTTGCACTGCATTATTATGGGAAGACAACTGATACAGGCAGAGACTACTTACTGTAGAAATTTCTTAATATGAGCAGTACTGCCTCCTAAAGGACATTTTGGAAGTGTCTGGAGGAGTCTCTTAGCTGTCATAATGTTTGAAGGCCAGGGATGTTAGATGTCCTGCAATGCACTGGACCATCCTGCACAGCAAATCTGTCCTTCATGGGTTTCCAATATCCTGTATGAAATCCTCAAGGAAAATAATCTGTTGAAAATTATCTGAGCCAATAATCTGATTCTGTTTTATATAGAAACATCAAATATTTCTTGCTTAATATGAATATGCACTGAATTTCTAAGATTGCAATTGCTGTGCATATTGAAAAAAGAGTGCTTTGCTTGAAACTTTATTAAGTGTTGGTTACCTATTTTAGGAAATCATGCCAGTAAGTATCACTACTTGTGGTGTATGAGTCACCAATGCAGTGCTGCCTGGACAGTCTGCATTTGTGACTGTGGCCACCACATGCAATGTGGAGCATCTGGCTCTTTTTTGTTTATTTGTTTGTTTGTTTTTTGAGACAGAGTCTCGCTCAGGCTGGAGCACGATCAGTCGCTCAGTCGCCCAGGCTGGAGGGCACTGGCACAATCTTGGCTCACTGCAACGTCTGCCTCCCTGGTTCAAGCAATTCTCCTGCCTCAGCCTCCCAAGTAGCTGGGATTACAGGCACTCACCACCACGCCCAGCTACTTTTTGTATTTTTTTTTTAGTAGAGATGGGGCTTCACCATGTTGGTCAAGCTGGTCTTGAACTCCTGACCTCAGGTGATCCACCTGCCTCAGCCTCCCAAAGTGATGGGATTACAAGCGTCAGCCACTGCTCCTGGCCTGGCTCTTTTGTTAAATTGCCCTGCATGATCATTCCTGGGCACTGACAATGAAACAAATTTTATTATATTGATTTTCTTGAAATTATGTGGTTGGTAGGCTGTTTTACTTAAGTACTTCATTTTAGGATGAAAGAAGGTGCTAGGTCTCCCATGGCGTAGAACTACTCCTGTAGAATGGGGGTCAAAAAGCTGCATAAAGATTATAAAAGAGAAGAGAAATGTACACACATGTTCGTAGCAGCATTAGCCACAATAGCCAAAAAGTAGAGGCAACCCAGGTGTCTGCTGACAGATGAATGGATAAACAAAACAATCTATACACACTCCTTCCTCAGGAGCCCAAGGTCACACCGAGCTTCACCCTTCGTTGGAAGACTGAGCACCAGATGTGTGGGGAGGTGTCCGAGCCTCAGCCCTCTGAAGTCCTGGTTTCTAGTAACACCACCTCTTCCCTTTCGCTCCCCAGTCCTAGAGGTGGTAGCTTCTCCCTTCGGTTATTAATCTCTGGTTTGCCTCAGCATTCTCTTTTTGCTTTTTTCCCCAGATACCTAACACCATTGTAATCAATTACCTATATCATATCTCTTCTGTTGGAAATTCCTAGTGTGGTTTCCGTTTTCCTGACTGGACACTGACCAATGAAACCTCTTAAAAATACACATTTCTTTGTCAACAAAGTGGTGCAGTAGTGATGTTGCCTCTACCTGTACTCATAGGGCAGAATCTGATATGGATCTCAATAGCAGTTAGATTTCAATCTCTATTTTCTACTAAAAGGAACAAGAGCTCTTTGTTTTTGGGTTGTTTTGTTTATTTTATTTTATTATATATATTTATTGATTTATTTTTGAGACAGAGTTTCGCTCTGTCACCCAGGCTAGAGTGCAGTGGGAAGATGGCTTAAGCCCAGGAGTTTGAGGCTGCAGTGAACAACGATCAAGCCACTGCACTACAGTCTGGGTGGCAGAGTGAGACCATGTCAGAAGGAGAGGGAAGGGGAGGGGAGAGGAGGGGAGGGTGTAGGAGAGGGGAGGGGAGGTGAGGAGAGGAGGGGAAGGGAGGGGTAAAAAGAAAGGAAGGAAGGGAGGGAGGGAGGGAGGGATGAGGTTTATAAGTTTATAAGCTAATTTGATATTAATGAAAACAGTAACATCTAGCATTCTCCATACACAATAGCACTCCATGGATGCTGAAAACCCACCCAACCATCCTCCTTATGATGGGATGGGGAAGGCACCTAGGTAACCCTGTGGTGATACAGGCCCCTCGGGCACTTACTGCTCCATCTCTGGGGGCTGCCTCAGGACTAATGTTCAGCCCCTCCCAGTTGTCCACAGCTGTCACTGAAAGATTGTCTGGTTCTTCATCCTGGTGGATGGATGTCTTTTCTGATTGGCTGGAACCAAACTAATTACTAGACACTTTAAATATCACTGGTTATTTTGGATTGTCATCGTGTTCTGTGCCATTTCCTTTGGTCTCAAAGTTAGCACATGCTGAAGTTCTTTATCCTGACTTGAGGACTCCTCTAGACAGCCAACTCTCCCACACCCCTGAGTGTGCTCATGGTTGTGTGGGAACTTCCGGATCCCTGGCCCTTCTGGGGATAACTGAACCAACAGTGAGATCCTTTTTGCCCGGATCCTGTTTCATTTACCCTGCTATCCTCAGCACCTTGCAAGTTGCTGGGAGCATTGTAGATACTGCTGTATGATACAGAAGTTTGTTGAACAGTGTAGCAGTGGTGCAGTTGTTTTTTGAATGGTGTAGCAGTATAGAGTAGTGGTTTGCTGAATGAGACAGCAGTATGGAGTAGTGTGACTGGCATAGCAGTATGGTTTAGTGTTTTCTTGAATGATGTAGCAGTATGGTGTAGAGGTTTGCTGAATGAATGGTACAGCAGTATGATATAGGGGTTTTCTGAGTGGCTTAGTGGTATGGCATAGTTTGTTGAATGGTGCAGCAGAATGGAGTAGTGGTTTGTTGAATGGTGCATCAGTCTGATGTACAGGTTTATTTGAATGGTATAGCAGTATGGCATGGCAGTTTTTCGAACGGCTCTGCAGTATGAAGTGGGAAGTCTGACGTGTGTATATTTCTTTTTTGTCACTTAGGAGCCTTGTGATCTTGGGAAAGTTACTTAATCTTTCTGTGCCTCACTTTATACTCTATAAAATGGGGGTAACAACATCATAGTGTTGCTGAGCATCAAATGAATGATGTGCACAAAATAATTAGCACGGTTCCCGATACATTATAAAATGCTTCATGAACGTTAACTGAAACAATAATTATGTAACAAAATTTGTTATTGTTGTGTGTGGTTTAGTTCAGTTACTTTGACTAGTTAATGTGTCAGAATAAAGAAAAAACACACTCCAAGTTCTACTTCCATCTAAGGAAAAAGAATTTGAATTCTTGTTCACTATATGTTTGAATAATGCAAGGAAGAATCCAAGCAAAACCTTGCTGTGTCATGGGAGAAGGTTAGGCATTTTCTGGTGAATTTTTCAGATCAAATTCTTGTTTTCTTTTTTCTTTCTCTTGTACTCTGGCACAGCTTTCCTGGATTCTTGCTGCTGTTGCTGAGTGCTGGGGAGTAAGTCACCATCTGCAAGAAGGCACGTGTAGATGAGATGGAGTTAAAAAATCTAAGTGGCACTATGAAAGGTCATCACTAGTTAACAGGAAAAGGAATGGGCATTCGTCCCTGCTTGGCAGCCAATCTTGGCCCTTGGCAAGCATCCATTGTGAGTTTGGCAAGTGGCAGAAGTGGGCATGTCATCCTGACTCTTCTTCACCCCACACCCTCCTCCCATGCCCAGGGCCAGTGTGAAGGTCACATGTCTTTCTTTTGAGTCATCCCCGTGTTTAGGCTGCCTGTGTCCAAGCTAACTAGGGAGACTGACTATCGGAACTGTAACAAGATCCCCACCTTGACATGAAAGGCAAAGGACTTCATTTTAGCAGGAATGAGGAATGGTTAAATCTGCATAGGAGGCAAGATCAGCATCAACAGTGATGCCATGTTGATAATATGTACCATGATAATGATGTGATGAGAATGGCACTTTACTTCTGCGGTTTTTCTCCTCAAAAGCCATCACCCTGTTATTCATGAGAAAAACAGCAGACAAATCCCAATAGAGGGACACCCTACAAAATACACGACTGGCACTCCTTAAAACTCTCAGGGCCATCAAAAGCAAGGGATGTCTGAGAAACTGTCACAGCCAAGAGGAGCCTAAGGAGACATGATGACGGATGTAGCACGGCTTCCTGGAGGGGATCCTAGAACAGAAAAGGACATTAGGCAAAAACTAAGGGAGTCTGAATAAAGTGTGAACTTTAGTTAATAATAATAATGTATTGGTTCATTAATTGTGACAAATGTACCATGCTAACATAAGATGTTAATAATAGGGAAAAGTGGGTGTGGGAATATGAAAGCTCTTTGTATTATTGCCATAATTTTTATGTAGGTCTAAGACGATTCTAAAATTAAAATGTTTATTTTTAAAACTTTGCATAAGACAGGTCTGCATTACACCTTAGCCTGTTAACCCAGGGTGTCTCCAGGAAGTAGACGGGGTGGGGGTGGGGAGCTGCCACTTCGAGCCCCTACTGTGTGCAGGGTTAGGGGCTGGAGAGATTGAGGAGAATGAAAGGCACACGCTTGCCCTCACAGCGTTTAGAGTCCAGCAGGGAAGGGCTTTTGATACTTCTATAATATTTGAATTTTTCTCCCACGGACATGACCTACTTTCAAAATCTGATTTTTTATGAAAAAAAAAAAGGTACAACATAAAGCTAAATACAAGTGAGAAAGAGCAGATTCTCCTTATAAATGTTAACGTGGATTGGGTGTGGTAGCTCACACCTGTAATCCCAGCACTTTAGGAGGCGGAGGTGCGAGGATTGCTTGACCCCAGGAGTTTGAGACCAGCCTGGGCAACTTAGGGAGACCTCATCTCTACAGAAATAAAAAATTAGCCAGGCATGGTGGCACACGTCTATAATCCCAGCTACTCAGTAGGCTGAGGAGGTGGGAAGATGGCTTGAGCCCAGGAGTCTGAGGCTGCAGTGAGCCACGATCAAGCCACTGCACTATAGCCTGGGTGACAGAGTGAGACCGTGTCAGAAGGAAAGGGAAGGAAAGGAAAAGTAAAGGGAATGGAGGGGAGGGGAGGGGTGGGGAGGGAAGCACAGGGCCCCCAAAAATTAAAAAAAAAAAAAAAATTAGCAGATTTCCTTGGACACACTGCTACCTATTCTTGGACTATGGTTTTTAAATTTCTTTTTAGGTCTAGACTAGAGTTCTGTCAGTTGAGAATGATGTTTCCCAAACTTACTTAAACTTGACCACAGAATACATTAAAAATAATACAATCTTGACAGAACAACAGCAGATATGCATATGCTCTAATGCAAACTTGTATTAAAGAAGGCCAGGAAAAGGGCCACCTAGATGAATTTCCTTAAGGAAAAAAGTTCAGTCAAAACATCTTTTATCTCACACGTTCTTATAAAACTTTTAAAATGAGTTTTTAAATCTATTTTGTGTCTTTTATATATTTCTTAAATATTTTCTATCTTTTAGAAATCACTTATCTCCATGTTGGAAACAGCATCATTGTGGCTAAGAGGTGTATGAAGCACAGCTTTGGATCTACGCTTTCAGTGCAGTGTGTTGGGAAAAGTCCACTTTGCCCAGATACACTGCAGCCAAGGGACGGAGGATGAGAGCTGCATGCTGTGTGATATTTGTGCCCTCTTAAATTAGGCTACTTCAAATGCTGTTCATGGTTTCATTTTGGGCAATTTACAACTAGATTTTTTTTTCCTTTTAGAAAGTTCAAGCTCAATTGCTCATCTCTACTTTAAAGTATTCTATATTTGCATTTGATTCAGATATCATCTAGCAAGTGAAGACACTTCTTTTCATCTAAAGCTTTCTTATTTTAGCCGTAGATCTAAGGAGAACAAGTTAGTGCCATATATTTGTTTAGTGCTCAGTATGCATTTTGCAGTATCACAGATACTAAAACACATGCTAAAATTATGTGACAAGGTACATATACATTAGAATTGCATTTGGCTGCATGTAACAGGGATCTGACACCAATGGCTTAACTAAATAGGGGTGTTTGTTTTCCTATGATAAACAATTTGGAGATGAGCAATCCAGGGCGGATGCAGTAACTCTATGATGTCATCAATGACCCCAGCTTCATCTGGATCCCTGGGTGACTATTCTTAGCATGTGGCTTTTGTCCTCATGGTCACCAGCTGTCTACTGCACATCCAGGTGTCAAGTCTGCATCTCAAGCAGGAGGAAGGAGGACAAGGATAAGAGGCAAAATGTGCCTTTCTCATCCACCAGAAAAACAACATTTCTCTGAAAGCCAACTTAGTAGACATCCCCTTACATCTCACTGACCTAAATGCTGTTACGTGACCACTACTAGCTGCAAAGGAGCTGAGAAAAAGCAAGTCCTGTAGCTGGTCCCATGGGTACCTTGAACAAAATCATGGTTCTATTGTAAAGGAAGGCAGAGAGAGTGAATGCTGTGTAGGTGCCTCTCAGGGCCTGCTGCCATCAGCTTACAAGGCATTTGGTAAACACTGCTCCGTCCTTGGCGTACAGAGCAAACGTCCTGCGGGGATTGTTCCAGCTCTTTCTGGTATAGGCAGACTACTACGTAATTAAAATAATATTTTTCACATATGTGCTATTCTAGAATAAATTTTGGTAGGAAAAAATAGCATTGGCATCTGTTATTTTCATGGAACATGTATTAAATTTCTTCAGAGTACAGATTAGGAAACTCCAACCTAAGTCATAGAAATAACCTATTCCAAATGACAGCTGTATTTTATATTAAGAAAACCCAAAACTGGCCGGGTGCAGTGGCTCACGCCTGTAATCCCAGCACTTTGGGAGGCTGAGGCGGGCGGATCACGAGGTCAGGAGGTCGAGACCATCCTGGCTAACACGGTGAAACCCCGTCTCTACTAAAAATACAAAAAAAAAAAAACAAAAATTAGCTGGGCGTGGTGGCAGGCGCCTGTAGTTCCAGCTATTTGGGAGGCTGAGGCAGGAGAATGGCGTGAACCCAGGAGGCGGAGCTTGCAGTGAGCCGAGATCGCGCCACTGTACTTCAGCCAAAACTTACTTAAAGATTTCTTTAAATAATCTCTTAAATTTAAAAATCTAATTTAACTTTAAATTTTAAAATCTATTTATAGGCCGTATGCAGTGGCTCAACGCCTGCAATCCCAGAACTTTGGGAGGCCGAGGCAGGTGGATCACTTGAGGTGAGGAGTTTGAGATGCCTGGCCAACATGGTGAAACCCCCTCTCTACTAAAAATACAAAAATTAGCTGGGCGTGGTGGTATGGTGTGCGGCTGTAGACCCAGCTACTGAGGAGGCTGAGGCAGGAGAATCACTTGATCCCAGGAGGCAGAGGTTGCAGTGAGCCGAGATGGCATCACTGCACTCCAGCCTGGGTGACAGAGCGAGTCTCCATCTCAAAAAAAAAAAAAGAAAAAGAAAAACCTATTTATATATCTCAGTACCAAACCTGTTGTATCCTACTTAGGGCCACTAATTTTCATTTCCAAATTCCAAATGGATAAGTAGTAACAAATTGTACATTTTCTGGATAACTCTTCTGAAAACAAAAATGATAATTTATTCACCTGAATCTTTTTAGTATCTGCCTCACTGTTTTGGCATTCTCATATGGTTTCAACAGTGTGTGATTTGACCTGAGAACAAAAATGGCATGTTGGAATGTATTTCTTTACCTCAGTACTGACTTAGGTTTACAGATGAAGGCCTCTTCCTGCCACCATCAGTTTTTAGTCTATCTGTCTATACTCATCTACATCTGGAGTGAAATTAATCCTCTTTCCTGCACTCAATCCTAAATGATATTTTTTTTTAAGAGAAAGTATCTCACTGTGCACAGGCCAGGCTGGAGAGCAGTGATGAGATCATAACTCACTGCAGCTTTGAACCTGGGCTCAAGCAATCTCTCCCCCAACCTCAGCCTCCCAAGTTGCTAGGGATATAGGCAAGCATCGCCATGCCTGGCTAATTAAAAAAATTTTTTTAAGACAGGGGTCTTGCTATGTTGCCCAGGCTGGTCTTGAACTCCTGGCCTCATGCAATCCTCCTGCCTCAGCCTCCCAAAGTGTTGGGATTATAGGCATGAGCCACCATGCCCAGCTGACTTCATTTTTAAATGTAAAAAATAATGCCTGTTACTTACCAAGATAATACAAGCTTATTATAAAAAAATAAAAACATCACAAACATTTATGTCTCAACTAGCACAAGTTCCTTCTCATAATAATTATTAACATTATTTATATTCTTGCAGAATTTTCAATGCATATATATATGTGATATATAAAAATGTATACATAAAAGACATCGTTGGCTGTCTGTATAACATCTACCTTTGTTCTTTTCTAAACAACCCCATCTTGTTCAGGAAATCCAAGCTAATTCCTGTGCCAAAGGCTGGCTTAAGAGAGGGCCCACAATGCAATTCTGGCCTGTCTTCCTCTGCTGGATGTCACCTTATTTGAACTGGACACTTAGAACCATGACAGCCATCTGTGTCTATGAGGGAGTGAGCCAGAGAACCAAGCTGACATGTTGAATATGGACTTCTTTAAGGGCATGATGGCAAACATCCTCATTGTGTAAGTCGAATAAGCCAGGGTTTTCTGTGTTTTGCACCTGAAAAAACCTTAATTGATAGACTATATTTGTCACCATTATAGAAGTGAAATGTCATTGTCTAGGTTGATCAGTTTGTCCCTGTTTGCATGGGGCTTTTCAAGTCTCAAAACTAGAGTCCCATATCCCAGGAACCCCGTTAGTCCCTAGAAAACCTGGACTACCTGTTGCCCCTACATTATAGATACTTCTGCAACTTTTATTTCACATGTATCTTGCATGTCTTTCCATATTAATATATAAAGACCCATATTGTTACTTTGGGGCTTTCTAGAATTCCTTTGGATGGATCATTTTGTGTCAGGAATTGGTGGGTTCTTGGTCTACTGACTTCAAGAATGAAGCCGCGGACCCTCGTGGTGAGTGTTATAGCTCTTAAGGTGGCGCCTCTGGAGTTTGTTCCTTCTGATGTTTGGATGTGTTCGGAGTTTCTTCCTTCTGGTGGGTTCGTAGTCTCGCTGGCTCAGGAGCGAAGCTGCAGACCTTCGCGGTGAGTGTTACAGCTCCTAAGGCGGCGCCTCTGGAGTTGCTGTTCCTCCCGATGGGCTCGTGGTCTCGCTGGCTTCAGGAGTGAAGCTGCAGACCTTCGCGGTGAGTGTTACAGCTCATAAAAGCAGTGTGGACCCAAAGAGTGAGCAGTAGCAAGATTTATTGCAAAGAGCGAAAGAACAAAGCTTCCACAGTGTGGAAGGGGACCCGAGCGGGTTGCCACTGCTGGTTCCGGCAGCCTGCTTTTATTCTCTTATCTGGCCCCACCGACATCCTGCTGATTGGTAGAGCCGAGTGGTCTGTTTTGACAGGGTGCTGATTGGTGTGTTTACAATCCCTGAGCTAGACACAAAGGTTCTCCACGTCCCCACCAGATTAGCTAGATACAGAGTGTAGACACAAAGGTTCTCCAAGGCCCACCAGAGTAGCTAGATACAGAGTGTCTATTGGTGCACTCACAAACCCTGAGCTAGACACAGGGTGCTGATTGGTGTATTTACAAACCTTGAGCTAGAGACAGAGTGCCGATTGGTGTATTTACAATCCCTGAGCTAGACATAAAGGCCCCACCAGACTCAGGAGCCCAGCTGGCTTCACCCAGTGGATCCCACTCTGGGGCTGCAGGTGGAGCTGCCTGCCATTCCCGTGCCATGCGCCCGCACTCCTCAGCCCTTGGGTGGTCGATGGGACTGGGCGCCGTGGAGCGGGGGGCGGCGCTCACTGGGGAGGCTGGGGCTGCACAGGAGCCCATGGAGTGGGTGGAAGGCTCAGGCATGGCGGGCTGCAGGTCCCGAGCCCTGCCCCGCGGGAAGGCAGCTAATGCCCAGCGAGAAATCGAGCGCAGCGCACGTGGGCTGGCACTGCTGGGGGACCCAGTACACCCTCTGCAGCCGCTGGCCCGGGTGCTAAGCCCCTCATTGCCCGGCGCCGGCAGGGCTGGCCGGCTGCTCCGAGTGCAGGGCCGGCCAAGCCCACGCCCACCCGTATCTCCAGCTGGCCCGCAAGCGCAGCCCGCAGCCGCGGTTCCCGCTCGCGCCTCTCCCTCCACAACTCTCTTCAAGCTGAGGGAGTGGGCTCCGGCCTTGGCCAGCCCAGAAAGGGGCTCCCACAGTGCAACGGTGGGCTGAAGGGCTCCTCAAGTGCCGCCAAAGTGGGAGCCCAGGCAGAGGAGGCACCAAGAGCAAGCGAGGGCTGTGAGGACTGCCAGCACGCTGTCACCTCTCAATTTCACTAACATACTTTTTTTTTTTGAGATGGAGTCTCACTCTGTTGCCCAGCCTGGAGTGCAGTGGTGTGGTCTCGGCTCACTGCAACCTCCACCTCCCGGGTTCAAGCAATTCTCCTGTCTCAGCCTCCTGAGTAGCTGGGACTACAGGCGCCCACCACCACGTCCGGCTAATTTTTGTATTTTTAGTAGAAACGGGGTTTCATTATATTGGTCAGGCTGGTCTCCAACTCTTGACCTCAGGTGATCCACCTGCCTCGGCCTCCCAAAGTGCTGGGATTACAGACGTGAGCCACTGTGCCCAGCCTCATTGATACACTTTTAAATTAAACTGACCTATTCGTTTTGTTAGCAATATTGTTCCCTGTTGGTTTTAAAAGAAGAGTTACTATAAGCACTCAGATCTCAACTCTTTTTTCTCTTTGTAGTCAATATTTTATAATAAAGTGATCTCTGAGTAGGCAGAAGAATACATAAAATAAACAAAGCCCTCAGAGGCTCTGTCTCGTGTTTTAACATGCAGTGTCCTCCTCAGCCTCCCTTGGCAGAGCTGTTCTGTGCCTTCCCTCCACCTTAGTTCCAGCCATCACTTTCTCTTTCATTTGTCCTATCCTCAGGGACTTTGGGTTTGAAGGAAGAATTTGCGGATGCCACACCGGATACAGGGTATCCAATCCTGCATCTCACTCCAAACAAATGTTTTCAGTCTTTTAAACCTGAAATAAATTTGCTGGGATCTAGGTCTTCCCTAATTTTGAAGCATCAGGTATCAGAACACACCAATTTTCTGGGTAATGATTGGTTTTAGAACATTTTGTTCTGTGTCAGAAAATTTTCAGAATTACCCTTGAGAGAAAACTTTGTTTTGGCAAGTTGAATAATGTATCAGTTAGGATCATTTTTACCATAAGAAATAGAAAACCCATTGCAGGTTGGCTTAAGATAAGAATTTTTACTGCCTCTCATTACAAGAAGTCTGGGGGTAAAGGTAGTCCCGGGCTTAGCTCAGAAGTTCAGTGATACTATCAGGGACCTTGGTTCTCCCGATCTTTCCGCTCTGCCATGTTCAGTGATTGGCTCTTGGTTATAACACGGCTGCAGCATCACATACTCATAGAATGGCATCCCTACATAGAAAAAGGAACTGTGCCTATCATCTGTTCCCTTTTGAAAGTGAGGAAACTCTCCCCCCAAATCCTCTTGCAGACTTCCCTCATATCTCATTTGCTCCACTCACATCCAAGTGTTTGTCCAAACCATCACTCAGAAATCCAGGAATGAGACAGCTGTGATAGGCTCAAGCCAATCAAGAACCACCCTCTGCCTCACTTAAGGAACATCAGAACATGGCGCCTGGGAGGAGGGGAACAAAACCAAGTGGCTGGGAGGGAAGTGCCAGGTGAGAGTGAGGTTGGGGCTGTTGGATAAGCAACCAGTAGTTTTTGCCAATGGGACCGCTCCCCAAACTTTACTGGGTTATATAATTGCAAACTCTCTCAAGTCGTGTTTCAGTTATATTATGGCTTATGGTCTTCATTTAAATGGGATAACTAGGAGGGTTTTTTGGTTTTTTTTTTGCCTTGACTGTTGATTCTTTAAAGGAAATCCATGCTAATTAGCAGCAGCAGCTGTCCAAGCCTCGGTTTCCTTATATATAAAAGGAGCTTAGCAAACCTATACTCTGAAGGTTCTGAGAGGATTGGAATGATACACAAAAGCTCTTAGGACAGTTCCTGACACTTGATGAGCATCGTGTAAATATTTGTTATGCGAAGTTTTGATACAAGTCCAAAATAAATGATCTGGTTTCCTAACTTGCACCATTCCGATAAAAGTAGCAAATTACTGTATAATGGTTTACGGGTATCTCATTGTTTTAAAGTTCATTCTGAAAGATGGCCAGCAAATACACCTCATGGAAATCAAAACGATTTCACAGACCCCTAAAAGAATGAGTGCAGCTAGGCTCTAACGCAGGTTGAATTACTGTTCCCTTCCACTTTGCTTCACTGTATTTTCCTTTTCTTAAAGAAAGTTCTTTGTAGAGACAAGGCCTCCCTATGTTGCCCAGGATGGTCTTGAACCCCTGGGTTCAAGTGATACTCCTGCCCTGGCCTCCCAGAGTCCTGGGGTTACGGGCATGACCCATCGTGCCTGGCCTGCTTCACAGTATTTTCTAGTTGTTTTTTATTAATACACTTTAAGATGCTTATCATAAAAAGGGGACTATGGTAGGCTGCATGGTAGTCCCCCAAATATGTTTGAGTCCTAATCCCAAGAACCTGTGACTATGTTAGCTCATATGACAAATGGGAATGAAGGCTGTGGATGAAACTAGGTTGCTAGACAGCTCACCTTAAAAGGGGGAGCATAGCCCGGGTCATCCAGGTGAGGTCAGTGCAATCACAAGGGCCTTAAATGAGGAAGAAGGAGGCGGAAGAGTGAGTGTCGGAGCGATGTGACGGGAGGAAGACTTCACTGGTCACTGCTGGCTTTGAAGCTGGAAAGGGGCCACAGGCCAAGAAGTGTGGGCACCTCCAGGAGCTGCAAAAGATAAGCAGATGGATTCTTTTCTAGAGCCTCCAGAGGGAACACAGCCCTGCCCACACCTTGATTTTAGCTCAGTGAGACCTGTTTTGGACTTCTGACCTCTAAAACTGTAAGATAATAAATTTGTGTTGTTTTAAGCCTGTAAGTTTAGTGTTAGTTTTTTACAGCAGCAATAGAAAATGAATGTAGGGAAAGAATGTAATTTCAACTCAGGCAGAAATGACATTTAAGAACCCCAAATACCCTTTTGTGTCAAACCTTGCCAAACAAAAAGGTAAATACTGAACAGCTGAAACACTTGTCACACTGCTGTGATTATGGGGGTGGGATTGGAATCAAACCTCCCTCTGCATCAGGATGCAGGGTCTGTTGTGGTCCTGAAAATACATCTACAATGAAAAGGCATAAATAGGATGTCATGATTTTATTGAAATATGGCCACACGATGGGGTAAAAGCCAGGGATATTGACCAGTTTGCTTAAAAGAAGCAGAAAATATTAACTGGTGCATATCAGCAAAGGAGGAAACAGTAAAACGGTATGCAAAAACAAAGGAAAGAATGTCTGAACAAATGGTATTTTGGAGCCATTTAGTTTCAGGGAAAATAGGCTTACATTCTTGCCTGCTGTATTTATGGCATGGACATTCAAAGTGATGATGCATCCACATCAAAAAGGAGCTGAAGAGGTTTCTTTTCTTTTTTCGAGATGGAATTTCGCTCTCGTTGCCCAGGCTAGAGTGCAGTGGCGCAATCTCGGCTCACTGCAACCTCTGCCTCCTGGGTTCAAGCAATTCTTCTGTCTCAGTCTCCTGAGTAGCTGGGATTACAGGCGCTCGCCACTGCACCTGGCTAATTTTTGGTATTTTTAGTAGAGACGGTGTTTCACCATGTTGGCCAGGCTGGTCTCGAACTCCTGATCTCAGGTGATCTGCCCGCCTCAGCCCCCCAAAGTTCTGGGTTTCTTATGGTATACTTAAGATGGCAAGAGAATAGGCAAGACATTCCCAAAATGATATAAGTTTGTTTTTAAGCTTTAGGGCTTTAAAAGGAGTAAACCTCAGTTTTCCAAATTACGTCTCACATCACATCCCCCCTCCAAGTAGGAGACAAAGGATGCTTGCTAGGGTTGGGCTCGTGATCTCACACATCAGTGGGTTCAGTCTAGTTTGGGGTTGAGGCTTAGTCAAGTTCTGGCTTCCGTCCCTGTGTTCTGTGTTCTGTGGGCCTTCCAGACACTTGTGTGGCTGCCTGGCCCAGGTCAATGGAGTCTGTCCAGTGGTAGGGGACTCAGTGCAGGAAGAGAGAGAAAGCCTCATATTTTGTTCCTGTCATCTAATGTGTTACCATTAGTAATTCAGGCTTTTCTGGTAATGGGATGTAATTCCAAGCAGAGTGTTATGGTGACCAGGCCTTATATTTCTTTACTTAGCAGTTGTAAATGTCAATGGGATTTTTAGCTGATAGGTATGTTTGTTTGTTTGTGACAGGATCTCACCCTGTCACAAACTGGAGTGCAGTGGCGAGATCTTGGTTCACTGCAACCTCCGCTCCCAGGTTCAAGCAATCCTCCCACCTCAGCCTCCCTGAGTAGCTGGGACTACAGGCACGTGCCACCATGCCTGGCTAATTTTTGTATTTTTTGGTAGAGATGGGGTTTCACCATGTTGGCCAGGCTGGTCTTGAACTTCTGACCTCGAGTGATCTGCCTGCCTCAGCCTCCCAAAGTGCTGGGATTACAGGTGTGAGCCACCATGCCTGGCCTAGCTAATAGGTTTCTATATTCCATTATTGATGTTTTGGTTCTTAGCTCCTCTGAGGAATCTCTATGAAACCATCTTTTAAATTGTTTCAACTCTTATCCACTTATTATTAGTAATAATATAAGATGATTTGGATAAAGGTTCATCTTAACCTATTTGTTGTTACTTAATTATCTTATCACATTCCTTATTGCATGTTGACAGCAAACCCTTAGCCACTTTTAAAATATGTCCCACATATCAAAGCTAATAATAATAATGACTACCTTACACTGGGGCCTTACACTGGTGCCTACCATGTGCAAGGCACCATGTTTTATATGGCTTAATTTCCCCAGCAATTTTATGGGATAGACACCTTTAAGATCACTCTATATGTGAGAAGAAAACTGAATCTTGGAGAGAATCATTAGCTTGTGAAAATCACAAAGCTAGTAGATGTCAGAGCCAGGATTTAAATCTAGCCCATCTGACTCCAGATACAAACTCTTAACCACTCCTGCTAATGTGCAGAACTTATCTGGGAGCTTATGAACACCTGCAAACTAAAGTGGATGGGGCAAATCCATTCCTACCACCATCTAGTGGAGGCTTCTAGAGCCAGACAGAATTGTGTCTCCCTCTGTCCCTGTTCCCTCTTCTGCTCTGAGTCTGCTTCCCTGGCCAGTGGCTGCTGCCTAGGGCCTGCTGATCACCACCTGCATCTTGGGGACTCAACTGTTAATAATTGCCGGGAACTGAGCTGTAGCATGTCAGTCCAGGAGCTGGTGACTTAGCAAGTCACCTTACCTCCAGCAAAGTCCCCTAGGTCACAAGACCAGGCTTTCCGAGAGGCGGGAACCTGGGTGTCACTAGGGCAGAGTAAAACGGATGGGGTAGCTGCACACATGCCCTTTCTACTGCCAGGCCCTTACCCCTTGAGTCAGCAGCTCTTCCTCCCAGGAATGTCTGTAATTAAGGTCAATGGGAAACTACAACAATCCAATCCAAACAGGACTACAAATGGCCCAGACCCTTCAGGAATGAAAGTTTGGGTCAGTCCACAAGGTAAAAATCCACAACCCACTGAGGTGCTTGCTGAAGGCAAAGGGAATACAGAGTGGGTAGTAGAAGAAGGTAGTTATCAATACCAGCTACGACCACGTGACCAGTTGCAGAAACGAGAACTGTAATTGTCATGAGTATTTCCTCCTTATTGTGTTAAGAACGTGTTTGTGCATGTATACACTTGTACTAAGAAAATATCTTCATTTTATTTCCTTTCTTTTTCCTTTATCATGTGACATGAAATTTATTGACTTCACACCTGCATTTAAGTGTTGTTAACTTTATGTAATAGCATTTAAGGATTAGTGTGTTTCCAGTTGTAAAAGAATAGCTGTATTACGTTAGACATAATTATGACCGTATTATTGTCTTTATTTGGAGGATAAGTATGATTTCAGGAGGTGTTTATGGGTTCAAGTTGACAAAGGGTGGACTCATGATGGTTAATATTAAGTGTCAACTTGATTGGATTGAAGGATGTAAAGTATTGTTTCTGGGTGTACCTGAGTGTTTCTGAGTGTTGCCAGAGGAGATTAACATTTGAGACAGTGGACAGGGAGAAGAAGACTCACCCTCAGTGTGGGTGGTATCATCCAATAGGCTTTCAGCACGGCTAGAAAAAGCAGGCAGAAAGCATATTAATCTTAAATTTCATATATGCTTTTATGGTGTTGATACTACTTATGATGCCTAAATGTACAATCGTGTACATTTGTGCAAAAATGTACAAAAACTGGCAAGCTTTCAAGAAAATGACATTCAGTACTATGTCTGGTGATGTCAGAATTTTATATTTGTAAATATATTACAAATATATCAAAAAAAAAAAAAAGAAAGAAAAGAAGAAGCAGGCAGCAGAAGGTGGAAGGAGCTAACCTGCCTAGTCTTCCGGCCTTCATCTTTTCTCATGCTGGGTGCTTCCTGCCTTCGAACATCAGACTCCACGATTTTTGGCTTTTGGACTCTTGGACTTAGACCAGTGGTTTGCCAGGGGCTCTCAGGTCTTAGGCCACAGACTGAAGTCTGCACCGTCACCTTCCCAACTTTTGAGGTTTTGGGACTCAGACTGAGCCACTGCTGGCTTCCTTGCTCCTCAGCTTACAGATGGCCTATTGTGGGACTTCACTTTGTGATCATGTGAGTCAATTCTCCTTAACAAACTCCTTTTCTTTCTTTCTTTCTTTTTTTTTTTTTTTTGAGATGGAGTTTCACTCTTGTTGCCGAGGCTGGAGCGCAGTGGCACTATCTTGGCTCACTGCAACCTCTGCCTTCTGGTTTCAAGCGATTCTCCTGCCTCAGCCTCCTGAGTAGCTGGGATTACAGGTGCCTGCCACCACACCCGGCTAATTTTTCTATTTTTAGTAGAGATGGGGTTTCACCATGTTGGCCAGGCTGGTCTCAAACTCCTGACCTCGTGATCTACCCGCCTCAGCCTCCCGAAGTGCTGGGATTACAGGTGTGAGCCATTGCGCCTGGCCCAACAAACTCCTTTTTATATCTAGATATATCCCATTAGTTCTGTCCTTCTAGAGAACCCTGACTAATACACTTCCTCATGATCCATAATTTGTACCTTACCTTCTGGGGCTTTCGGGGACTTGAGTCTAGTTATAAATCTAGGAAAGAGAGAGGTGGTGGGGATGGGTTCTGCAGAGGATTATTACAGGATCTTTAGACAAAGGGGAACCAGTCCTCTCAGATGATGGAAGGGTTGCTTCTATTAGCAAAGAAGATTCAGCAGAACTTGGGGTTCAAGTTCCCAGCTTTACTGGAATCTCCCCGTATATCCCCTTCCAGTTCTCAGGGCCCCTCTCCTTCCCAATCAGTACCCTTACTTTAACAAAAGAGGTACTACATGGCTGCAAATTCAATTTGCCTTGTAATTCAGCCACCCACAAAATTAGACTTTGGATTTAGTTTCCCTGTGGCTATAGGAGATTAGGGTTTCTTTAAGTAGTCATTGGAGCTTCCAGATTCTTAATGTGAGCCTTGAGCTGGAAATTTGAAGTCCCGAGCTCATCATTTTCTTTCCTTATGTTCTCCAGCCCAATGAGAAGCATGTCCTCCTTATTTTCATTAAAAGGAACTACAGCCTCAAATGCTTAGTAACCTAGAGCCTAGCTTTCTATAAAACTTGATTACAGGTCTCTAAATGTAATAATTTTACATTACTGTCTTGTCATTGCAGGCCATAAAGTATCAGTGCCCTCTTTACCTCTGGAAATAGGCTCATTAATGCCTGTAAATCTAATCAGATCAGAAAATCAATTCTAGATAAGCCAGAACGAATTCAAAGAAATCATCCTAAGATTCTGCTCCTCTGGAACTACTCTGAGTACTGGATTTTTTTTTAAAGTGCCACAATTGACCTTTCAGTGAGAGAATTCTCCCAGTTGAGTTTAAATTCACAGAGAGCAGGCTCCAGACACCCACCACAGACTGAGTGTCCTCTGGCAAGGCTGATCCAAGACGGCCTTCACTTTGTTTATCCTCCTTCCCTCAGAACATCTTGTTTCTCCTGTAGGCTTTGACAAAATAGTTGAGTCTAAATTCTATAAATACAGGGTACTGAGAAGATGGTTTTGCCTGGGAACATTTTTTAAAGCCCAAAGTGTTAATAGGTGGTGTTGTAATTATCTCCTGTGTCCTATTAATTTCTGAGGTCCTGAAAGAACCACACTTATTCTTAGGAGAGATGTCTGATCTTGAAGTTACTGAAGAACCCCCAATTTTATCCAGGTATCGAGGACCTCTCTGAAGGACTCTGAGCAGAATTTAACATTCAGGAGTGATTTCTTTAAATTTTAATTTTATTTAAGAAATTTGGCTCTTCCTATTCTCCATGATGGTGCAGGATCAAGGTGAAAAGAAGATCCCCACTTGGGAACTTCACATCCACAAACTCGCCTCAATATCTGTGTGGGGAGGGTAGAGACAGACTGACCTGAGCAGCTCACAGGCCAGACCCCTGTGTTTTCCAAAGCCAAGTACAGCATCAGATCCTTCAGCATCAGGAGAAATGAAGAGATTGCCGTCCACTGCACACTCTGAGGGGCCAAGGCAGAAACAATCCTGGAGAAAGGTCTAAAGGTACAGGAATATGAGTTAAGAAAAGAAAAAAATAATCCCTCAGATACTAGAAACTTTGGTTTTGGGATCCAGAAACACACCGATATAGGTATCAAATATGACTCAAGCACTGGTATCTATGACCTGGACTTCAATGTGGTGCTGGACAGGTGAGGTTTTAGCATCGCAGACAAGAAGTGTGGGACAGACTGCACTGGGGACAAACAGAGTCAGCAAAGAGGAGGCCATGTGCTGGTTCCAGTGGAAGTGTGATAGGATTATTCTTCCTGGTAAAAAAGTTCCCGTTTCTACCCAAAAGGCCAATACAAAGTTTTCAGTGGGGAAGCAGGGGGAAAGGAAAAGAAACATAAAGTGTAATTCATAGGGCAAGATATATATATATATATATGTGTGTGTGTGTGTCTGTGTGTGTATATAATTTTCAGGCAAGGTCTCACTCTCACCCAGGCTGGAGTGCAGTGATGCAATCTTGGCTCACTGCAACCTCAGCCTCCTGGGCTCAAGTGATCCTTCCACCTCAGCCTCCTGAGTAGCTGGGACTACAGTCACACACCACCACGCCTGGCTAATTTTTTTTGTATTTTTTTTTTGGATGGGGTTTTGCCATGTTACCCAGGCTGGTCTCGAACTCCTGGGCTCAAGTGATCCACCCGCCTCGGTCTCCCAAAGTGCTGAGATTATAGGCGTGAGCCACCATGCCGGGCTGATAATTTTATTTTGGACTCTAGTTCCCATTAAACATTAACTTAAAAATTTTGGACTTTGGGTTCATTGGACTGAATTTAAAAAGTTAATTTTTAGGACTTTAATTTTCCTTGGGCATTTGATAGCAGCAAGGATGTTTATATTCAAATTTGGGCCCTCTCTATTTGTTAGAATTTTATTATTGGAGCATCTTTTTGTTGTCATTTAATTCATTGCAGAACCAATGATGGGCAGCATTAGATAGTGCGGCTGGATGTAATTTTAGATGAAAAACAGAATAAGCTTTGGTACAACTTGACCTTAGAACATGTGGCAAATTGTATTTTATGAAATTGGCCTTCGGTGAAATAAGCCAGACACAAAAGGACAAGCACTGTATGATTTCACTTTTATGAGGTACCTAGAATAGCGAAACTCCTAGAGACAAAAAGTAGAGTGGGGTTGCCAGGGGCTGGAGCCGGGGGGAATAGGGAGTTACTGCTGCATGGGTACAGAGTTCAACTTGGGCAGGTGAAATTCTGGAGAGAGAGAGAGAGAGAGAGAGAGAGAGAGAGAGAGTGGTGATGGTGCACAGCAATGCAAATGTACTAACTGCTACTGCAGTGTGCATGTAGAAATAGTTAAAATGGTAACTTTCATGAAGATTTCACCACAATTTTAAAAAGGAAAACAATAGCCACAACAATATTTCCAGTCCCACATGCTCTTCCAAAACCTTGCCACTCTCCCATTAGGAGTAAGAGTCTCTGTTCCTAATAGAGGACAGCAGCAGTGATGCTGTGTGGATTCTGAGACCCAGTCATGAAAGACGACGTGGCTCCTGCCTGGTTCTCTCTTCATTTCAACATGGACCTTTGGAGCCCTGAGCCAAGCTGAAGCCACCCTGCAGGAAGACCATGTGGGATGGTTACATAGCGATAGAGAGAGCTGCCCAAGGAGCCCCGCTGTGTGAGTCTTCCTGGTTCACGTGCCAGGCGTGCGAGTGAGGAAGGCATCACACTGACTGCAGCCCTGGCCGCTGACAGAGAGACCCCAAGTGAGAACTGCCTGCCGAGCCCAGTCAACCCCACAGCTGTGAGAGACAATAATCATAGATTCTTTTTCTGACACTAAATTTGGTGTAGTTTATTATACAGCAATAGACAACTGGAACACAGCCCATTTAATTTTTGTTTTAAGACAGGATCCTGCTCTGTCACCCAGAGTGCAGTGGTGCAATCACATTTCACTGCAGCTTTGATCCCCTGGGCTCAAGCAACTCTCCCAACTCAGCCTCCTGAGAAGCTGGAACTACAGGCACGTGCCACCATGCCTGGCTAATTTAAAAACTTCTTTTGTAGAGATGAGGTCTTGCTATGTTACCCAAGCTGGTCTCAAGCTCCTGGGCTCAAGAGATCCACCTGCCTCAGCTTCCCAAAGTGCTGGAGTGACAGGCATGAGCCACCAGGCCCAGCACCATTTAAGTAATGTTTTCATCTAACACATTCATTTTTATGGTCATCTGACCCCAAGAGCCTTCTTGGGGTAAAGTGGATGCTGCCTGCCTGCAGTCCCAGGAGGATACTCCAAGGCCATTCAGTGTCAGAAGGTGGGAGCAACACCTCCTAGGTCGTTTGCCATTTCTTCTTTCCTGAGGGGGGCTGCCACATCCTTGGCTGGTGGCACACTTGATAGAGGACTCCAATGCACTGGGAGAACAAACAGCTGGAGGCTGTTATGGGGACGCTTGTTCCCCACTTCTTATGTTTCCTGTGGAAACTTTTACCTAGAACCCTACTACTGGCCTTTCTCCCCACCTCCCTGAATCTTCTTCTCAGAAGTGACATCTGGTAGGTGAGTCTGAGAGAATGACCTGGGCATGCTGGCCCAACCCCTTCCTCCCTTCTTTTGAGATGGGCTATGCTCTGGTTGACGTCTCTGCTGTACAGTACAAAGCATTCGCCCAGCTGGGCCTGGGACTGGGGACTGCCTAATTCGTAAGTTAAGCCTGTATAAGCCCAGTTGGCTGAACACCTTAGCCTTGTTATTTTAACAACTTCAGAGATAATAAAAGTGATATTGTAATTTCCATCTGCCAAGCTCCTGTGTCTATCTCAGAATAGCTGAAAACTCAGGAGGGTGGAAAAAAGGATGTAAATTCTTTGTCTTTGCTCTAGCCTCTCTCTGCATTTCATTGTCTCCTTTTCAGTCACTTGTCAAATCTGGCTTTAAAGTTATTTGTGGACTTCTCATAGGCCACTACTGCATCGCATAGGTAGTCCTCAACTTTAATGATTGTGCTTTAAAACGATCTAAGCACCCTTTTCACACTCTACACTGACACTTCTAAACTGAGTGTTACATGTCAAATTCAGGCTGTCAAGCGTCAGCTGGCAAAAACGAACATTCCCAGCTATCCCACAGCAGAGCTGCTTACCAGCCAGCTGCTGTGTTCTACGGTTTCATCACTTTCGTTGGCATGGCAGTTTGGGGACAATTATTTAAATACTTTATTAAATTTGCAGTGATTATTTTATTAAAAAAAAGTAAAGTGGAAAAATGAAAATATTCATCCTGGTGACAAAAAAAATGAAGACCTCATAAAACTTGATGCAGTTGAGGCAAAGATGGAGATCATTAGGCAAGCTGAATGTTAGGGATGGAACCTCGATTTGGGTGTTTGTTTTATTTATAAGGGGTGACTTTTGTGTTTAACCGTGACAAGGAAGAATAAAGTGAACAAAATATATAGAACATAATGTATAGTCAGGGTTCTCCAGAGGATCAGAGCCAACAAGATATGTATCCTGAGAGAGCAGCAGAGACTTATTTTAAGGAATTAGCTCATGTGATTGTGAGAGCCAGCAAGTCCAAAATCTGCAGTCCAGTCTGAAGGCCACCAGGCTGGAGACCCAGGAAAGAACCAGTGTTGCAGTTCAAATCTAAAGGCCACCTATTGACAGAATTCCTTCTAACTCAGAGGAGGTCAGTGATTTGTTTTACTCAGGCCTCAACTGATTGGATGAGGCTCACCCACATCACTCGGGGCAATCTGTTTTCCTCAAAGTCCACCGACTTGGCCGGGCATGATGGCTCAAGCCTGTAATCCCAGCATTTTGGGAAGCCAAGGCAGGTGGATCATTTGAGGTCAGGAGTTTGAGAGCAGCCTGGCCAACATGGTGAAACGCTGTTTCTAGTGAAAATATAAAAATTAGCCCGGTGTGGTGGTGCATGCCTGTAATCCCAGCTACTCAGGAGGCTGGGGCATGAAAATCACTTGAACCCAGGAGGCGGAGGTTGCAGTGAGCCGAGATTGCACCACTGCACTCCAGTCTGGGTGACAGAGTGGGAGTTCATTTAAAAAAAAAAAAAGTCCAATTACTTAAATGTTAATCTCATCCAAAACACCCTCACAGAAATATGCAGAAAATCTTCCATCACATACATACCTGGGCATTATGGCCCAGCCAAGTTGACACACAAATTAACCACCACATATGGTGGAAATAGAGCTTCAAAATGATGTTCCAAAGGCAAGCAATATTATACTTTTAAAATCTCTGGGAATATACCCCTTTTGTATACTATTTTGAAATCCTTGGAAATACACAATTTTTTTATACTTCAGTGTAGTTTTAAGGAGCAGAAAATTAAGGGACTGCCTATAAACTCCTTGAGGAAAGGTGTTATGT
Organism: Homo sapiens; assembly: GCF_000001405.40. Taxonomy (NCBI): domain Eukaryota; kingdom Metazoa; phylum Chordata; class Mammalia; order Primates; family Hominidae; genus Homo; species Homo sapiens. The sequence continues at coordinate 64,955,995 of NC_000002.12, read as the reverse complement.
CTTTATAACAGGAATGGGATTGGCAGCAAACAACTGTATACCTGACTAACAGTGGCCTGAACAAATAACGACATAATTTTCTCACCTTATGAGAAGGCTGGAGGTAAGTGGCTGCTTGTATTGGTTCAGAAGCTCAGTGGTGTTGGGACTGACACCACTGTGATTCTCTTTGCCTTTCCCCCATGGTTTCAAAATGATGGCTGTATCCACGTTCAAGGAAGGAAGAAGAAAGTGCTGCAGTTCCATTTTATTGGGAAAGCAAATGCTTTCCCAGAAACTTCACCAGATTATGCTTATATCTCATTGGCTAGAACCACGTCACATGGCCACCCCTAGCTGCAAGGGAGGCTGGGTAAGCAAGTATTTATTTGGCCATATTACTGCTTTGAACAAACTTAAGATTCTATTAAGGAAGAGACAAGTGAGATAGATTTTGAATAGATGGTAAATCATGTCTGCTATAATCCTATGTATCTTTTATTCTTGATGCCTGCTCAAGACTTAGGATACAACTTCTATCAATAGAAGTACTCAATAAATATTTATTAATTAAAAAGGTAGAAAAAGAAGCAAAACTTGATTTTTTTTCTCTCATTCCCTGTGAGATTCTTTCATCAGATGGCAATACTGAATTTTTTTTTTCTATTTTCCATATAATTGCTCACCATTCTATTGGATAATATTAGGTTTATTATTAGATAATAAACACCAACTGTCATTTATTGCATGTTTACTAAGTACCAGACACTAATTTATGTACCTTATGTATATTAACTTTAATCTTTAACATAATCCTGGGAGGTAAGTAGTATTACTGTCCTATATCATAGATAAGGAGACTGAGGCACAGAGAGATTAAGTAACTATAACTTGTTCCAGATCACACAGCTGGAAAGTGGCAGAACTGGGTTAGGAATAGAGTTGGAAGACTTAGCAAATAAAAATTACAAGATGTCCAGTTAATTTTATATTTTCGATAAACAGGTTTTTTTTTTTTTTTTTTTTTTTGAGACGGAGTCTTGCTCTGTTGCCAGGCTGGAGTGCAGTGGGGCAATCTCGGCTCACTGCAACCTCCGCCTCCTGGGGTCAAGCAATTCTGCCTCAGCCTCCTGAGTAGCTGGGACTACAGGAGCGTGCCACCATGCCCAGCTAATTTTTGTATTTTTTTTTTTTTTTGGTTGAGACGGGGTTTCACCGTGTTAGCCAGGATGGTTTCGATCTCTTGACCTCATGATCCGCCCGTCTGGGCCTCCCAAAGTGCTGGGATTACAGGCATGAACCACTGTGCCCAGCCCAATAAACAGTTTTTTAGTATAAATATGTTCCATGCAATATTTGGAACCTACTTATGCAAAAACATTATTCGTTGTTTATCTGAAATTTGCATTTAACTGGATGTCTTGTATTTCATCTGGTAACCCTAGTTAAGAACCCAGGCAGTGTGACTTCAGAGCCTGTACTCTAAATCACAACTTCATACTCCCTTTCGTAACGTATGAGTTTAATCTTTATCAATTACAACTTATAATTATCCTTTGTATTTACTTGTTTACTTATTTAGTACCCATGTCCCTCACTATAATATAAGCTCCATGGGGGAAGGGAGCTATTTGTCTAGTTCATTGCTGAATCTTCTGTGGCTGGAACAGTGCCTGGTACAGAGTAGATGCCCAATAACTTCTTGTTAAAGAAATGAAGATGATGTCCTTTTTAGTAGCATGATCTGATTTGAATGTGGAAGGCTAGCTATGGAAAGGTTTTATTACTATCTGCCACATACTGCAGTATCTCCTTATGGCACCCTCCCCTGCAATACATTTTGTTGCAGTCAAGAGCGGCCATGTACTTGCTTTGGTCAATGAATTGTGAATGGAAGTGATTTGTGTCTTTAAAAGCTGGTACATGACACACGATGTGCTTCTTCTCCTGCCATCTGGTTGGCAACATTCAGATGAAAGCTACTCCATCATCTTGAATCCTGGAGTGAAGATGAGATGGGGAAGAACTAAGCTGACCTTTGATGAACAGACGGCATGAGCGTAAAATGAACCTTTATTGTAAGTCAGTGAGGCTGGCGGGGGCATGTTAATGACTGTGGCATGCCCTTGACTGATTATATTCTTCACTGACATGCTGCCTAGCATGCAGAGGCCATGCGACCCTTGGGGAGGCTCCTACTTGCCTTGGAAAAGTAGCTCCTCCTCTTCTCAAATGTAATAATGGAAACCTTACATGGGTGGATCCAGGGGTAAAGCTCTTTGTGGTGTATAGCAACAGAATGTTAAGTCAAAGTGGTTGTCAACAAAGTTTATCGAACAGCAGCTATATTTTTTATAATGAACACTGGTTTGCCTGGAACCTTGAAGTAACCATGAATTTTTCCTAGACCCTAATACTATCAGAAAGAAACAAATCACCCAACAATAAGATCAGTAACTAAAACCAACAAATCCCAAAGGCATCTCACAGTGCTGGCATATGTCTCTGCCATAGCTCATGCTCATAAACTGCAATGAGCCAACCCTGGCATCATGAAGGACCCCGATTTTAAAAATGGGTAAAGAAGTTCTGAAAGCCTGGGCAACATAGTGAGACCATTCTCTTAAAAAAAAAAAATTAGCGAGGCATGGTTGGTCATGCATCTGTAGTTCCAGCTACTTGGGAGACTGAGGCAGGAGGATTACTTGAGCCCAGGAAGTCAAGATTGCAGTCAGCCATGATTGCACCACTGCACTCCAGCCTGGGCAATAGAGTGAGACCCTGTTAATGAAAAAAAAAAAAAAAAAAAAAAAAAAAAAAAAGGAGTTCTGGAGATATGTGCTAGTGATGACTCACGCTAATGTGAATGTACTTAATGCCACAGAACCGTACACTTAAAAATGGTTAGTGTTCTGTGTATTGTACTATATAAATAAACACAAAATGGTGAATCACTTGCTTTGTTTGTCTGATGTGTTATTCTTGATGGGCTACTTAAGACTTATTGGTTGCAAGTTACAGAACCAATGAGAACTAGTTTGAACAAAAAAAGGTAAATTGTAAGTATCCTGGGTTGTATCTCACCGAACCCCAGGGCAGGAAGGCTAAGAGGTCTCAGGAAGGACTAGAATTAGGAACTGGAAGGCCACTTGGACTCTTCCTGGTCTTGGCTTTTCTCTGTGATTCGACTTCATCTTCATTCTCATTGCAGCCTAGTTTCTCTCTTCCTGGCCCCCTGGGTGGGAAATACTTGCTGCCTTCTCCTTAGCTCCAAGTTTACTCAACATGTTACACTCCCATGTTGAGAGGAACGCACGCTCTCTCACTCCTAACCGCATATTCCCAGGAAAGCGAGGCTGATTGGCATGTCCCGGGTCAGCTGGCCTCCCTGGGGGTACAAACATGGCGGATTCCGAGAGAGGAGTGACGGGGCACGAGCATCAAACAGTGCCTTAATATTTGGGAATATTCATCACACTCAACCAGATCATGTTCTTCTCTGAAGCTCTTGGCACAGAGTTCCATTCCGTTTGACGAGCATAAAAAGATACACAGTGATATGAATTGCATTGTTAGTAGACAAGTCAGGATCCCTTCCTCTCCTCCTGTATGGCCAAATTCTCCATTTTCACAGCGACAGGAGATGTGGGTCCTTTCTGTAGTGTTTTGTCTCCAGCCCAGTCCTCCTTTGGGCTCCGGCTCTGAAGGGAGCACAATGCATGCTCTGTGTTTGACCACAAGTGCTCGATAAGGCCTTGGCCCACAGCCCAACTGCTTGCCCCACTTTCTCTGGGTCCCACAGACCCCACAAGGTACTGGAAGACTTTCTTGTAGTAAAGGGAGCCCTTTCCATTTAGCCTTTGTTGTATGCGACTCCCTGTTTGTCAGTTTTTGGCCAATGAGATAATCTCTTTGGCTCCCTCATAGGGCTTTGTTTTCTAACTCTCCAGAGGCCCCTACTCTCGATGCATCCTTCAATGCCTCTCACTTGCCAGGAGACTGCAGAGATGCGTTTATCCAGAGTCAAGTCTAACAGGTATAAATTTGCTTCACAACATTCAGGTATGAGAAATGTCATATTTCTCCTTTTTAAAAAATTTTGTACCATCCAACTGTGAGCACCTGCCTGCCAACTGATGGGAAGCCTAGTGTAGCCCCATCCCTGGAGCAGGCCTCCATCTCCATGGAACCAGAGTCTGAGGAACCTGATCCTAGGCACAGGCAAACAGCCAACCGTGCAGTTGCTCCCCAGCCCCAGCTGCCCTGGCTCACAGGGAACCTCCCCATGGGCCTTAAGGTCCCTGGGGCACTGCAGGGGGTGTGTGCAGGTCTCTGCCTCTGTGGCACTCTTCCTCCCGTAGGTCCCCTATCTCTAGAGTCTCTGTCTCCCCTTCGGACAGGTCATACCCACTCATTAATCTTTAGCCTTACCTCATCCCTCTGCAACGTTTGAGACTGGGCTTTAAAAAACATTTATTGTCCCATGAGGCAAGTGAAGCTCCTACTAACATGACATAGCACAGTGGGGGAGGGGACAGAGGTAGGTACTAATGATTCCCCTTGTTGGCCTTGAAAACCAGACACCACTGACTTCTTCATCAGAAGCTGCCACACCCACTGATTTGCAACACCTCCCAGTTTCCCACCCCAGCAAGGAGAGGAAGGCATCCACCCAGATCCCATCATCGTCTTGGAACAGGAAGACCCCACTACAGCACCTCATCCCCAGAGGTTATGCCAACAGCAGCAGTGTCAGGTGGAAGACCCCCTTGCTATGCAGCTTCCTATGGGAAATGGTGATCACAGGAATTTTTTGACAAAAAGAATGCAATGTTAACTAAGTTATTTTATATTTAAAAATTTATTGTGGTAAGAAAACATAAGATCTACCCCAAAAAATTTTTAAGTGTACAATACATTATTGTTAAACACATTTTTTTTTTTTTTGAGACAGAATCTTGCTCTGTCACCCAGGCTGGAGTGCAGTGGTGCAACCTCGGCTCACTGTAAACTTTGCCTCCCAGGTTCAAGCAATTCTCTTGCCTCAGCCTGCCAAGTAGCTGGGATTACAGGCACATACCACCACGCCCGGCTAACTTTTTTATATTTTTAGTAGAGACGGGGTTTCACCATTTTGGCCAGGCTGGTTTCAAACTCTTGACCTCATGTGATCCACCTGCCTTGGCCTCCCAAAGTGTTAGGATTACAGGCGTGAGCCACCGCACCCAGCCGGTCAAGTTTATAAAATACGTTATTTAACACATAAATAAATGAGAAGCATTACCCTGGGTACGGCCTTCCCCAGGAGATAAAAGACTTGAATTTTCGGTTTCCATTACAACCTCAAGTTCCAACTCCTCTACATTGTAAGCCCATAGAGGTCAGCATCCCCTGTTTTAATCATCTCTGTCCTCCTCACACCCAGGCATGACAGACCTCCGTAGTAATTTGGCGAATTAATCTCTTAGTTGGTTCCTGATTCTTCATTTGAGCCCTCACACGAAGATAAAATCTTCGCCTGACATTTCCTTCTGGACCTGCAAAGAGAAAGCACTTGTGATATTTTGCATCTGAAATGAGGCTGAAGTTAAACAACTCCCAGGACAGTTGTGTAAACAAATAGTCTGGGAATGTCTATTAGCCCTCAGGGACTGGGAATTCACTCCTGAATCACCCTGCTGTGCCTAGACAGGTTGGGAACTGAGGCCAGCATCCATTGATTCATCAGCACTTCCTCCAAGAGTAAGAACCACCATCTGAACTTTCACTCTCCAAACATTTGTTATAGAGACTTAGCAACATTTTTACTTAAAATTTGCTATGTGATGCAGGCTCAAGAATTGGTAGCTTAAAAAAGAAAAGAAAAAAATGTGCTATATGAATCAAAACACTATTATAATCTGCTCTCCAGCAACCTTTCAGGTCCTAGTGGAAGGGTGGAGGATGTGCGACAGGCACATCTCAGCTCTCCTCCTGGTAGAAGCGCCTCTCGTGTCTATGTTGTTCTGCCATATTGGGAAGATGTCTTGTAAGAAAGTTGAAAAGCCTATGAATAAAGCAATTGAGACTAAGAGATCTAAACAACCCCCATAAATTAGAAGAAAAGTTGAGGCCGGGTGTGGTGGCTCATGCCTGTAATCCCAGCACTTTGGGAACCCAAGGTGGGTGGATCACCTGAGGTCAGGAGTTCGAGACCAGCCTCACCAACATGGTAAAACCCCGTCTCTACTAAAAATACAAAAATTAGCCGGGTATGGTGGCGGGTGCCTGTAATCCCAGCTACGCAGGAGGCTGAGGCAGCAGAATCGCTTGAACCCGGGAGGCGGAGTTTGCAGAGAGCAGAGATGGCGCCATTGCATTCCAGCCTGGGCAACAAGAGCAAAACTCCATCACACACACACACACACACACACACACACACACACACACAAAAGAAAGAAAAAGAAAAAAGTTGAATGTGATCAAGTGTATTGTGAGAGGCAAAATCATATGTGATATGAACATAGGCATGCACATGTCCTGTGTACGTGCAATTCTTTCTATGCACTCTATGCATTCACTGTGGATTCTTAATAAGTGATGTCACTATTTTTATATTTTTGTGATGAAGAAGTAAAATGTAGTTCATATCTCATAACTCAATCCAATATGAAAGTGTCTTGAACACAAAGGTACCCACTGATGACTTCACCCAATGTTAAATAATTAGGTAATTGTTCAGTGTTTCATATCAGTGGTTCTTAGACCTCAGCAAGCATCAGAATCTCTTGGAGGTTTTGCTAAAACTCAGATTGCTGGACCCCATCTCAGAGTAAACCCCTGCTTTAGTAGGTTTAGAATGGGGTCTGAGAATTTCCTTTTTTTTTTTTTTTTTTGAGAAAAGGTCTGGCTCCATTGCCCATGCTGGAGTGCAGTGGTGAGATCTTGGTTCACTGCAACCTCTGCCTCCCAGGTTCCAGCTCCACCCATCTTCCCACCTCAGCCTCCCGAGTAGCTGGGACCACAGGCATGTGCCACCATGCCTGGCTAATTTTTTTGTACTTTTTGTAAAGATGAAATTTCACCATGTTGCCCAGGCTGATCTCGAACTCCTGAGCTCAAATGATCCCCCCGCCTTGGCCTCCCAAAGTGCTGGGATTACAAGTGTGAGCCACCATACCCACCCTCGATAATCTGAGTTTTTTACAAGTTCCCAAGTGATGCTGATGCTGCTGGTCCAGATTCATACTCTGGGAAACACTGATTTCTATTGTTCAGAGCTCCTTGGTGGATGTTTACATAAATGTTTTGAGTGTTTTAGTGATTAAGAGGATATTGATTGGAGTGTTTGGATAGGTTGGCAATGTATTATCATTTTCTCCATTTTATTTATTTTTCATTTTTTATTTTTTAAAATTTTAATTTATACAAATATATGTTGTCCAGGCTGGTCTCAGACTCCTGTCCTCAAGCAGTTCTTCCACCTTGGCCTCCCAAAGTGCTGGGTTTAATGGGCTAGGTGTGAGCCACCACACCCCACCCCTTTTCTCTATTTTAATGAAATATAGACGCTTGTTATCCTAAAGTTTTCTTTTTCTTTCTTTTTTTTTTTTTTTGCCATGAAGTTCATGAACACACTAAAATGTTCTATGCAGCATATTTTTAGGAGCAGATTCGGTTCAGATAATTTATTATGTCTGTGCTGCCAACTTGAGGCTGCCTGAGAGTTTGTTGGGAGCTCCAAACTCTCCAGTCACCACAGAAGCCACCTTTTCACCCAGCGGGCGCACACTCGGGATCTGAACTCTCTGATAGATGGGCCATGCTGGGGAGACAGCAGCAGCCTGAAAAGGGTTCACAGCCCTCCAAGAAAAAGGGAGAAAAGACCCTGCATTTGACTGCAACACTAAAGAACCCTTTCATTGCTCATGAAAAGAGTTTGGAGAATATTGGCCAGGAGCCCAGAGCTAGGGGATCCAGGGCTGTGGGCAAGTTATTAAGGGCCCTGGAAAGGCCCCATTGGGCAATTTAGGGAATCCCTGGGCTGGTATTGGAAGGCATTAATGGAAGAGATTGAATGGCCACCTGCCCCTCTACTGGGGCCTGAGGAGGGGTCAGTGCCCCGGCCTGCATAGGGGCTGTAGACTGCTGCTGTTGGGGCCAATACCAGGCCAGGGAAAAGGAAAGAAAGGGAAAAATGAAGCATGAGAGAGCTATTTTCAACTTTAAGGATGCCAAATGGGGTTTTAAACATTATGGACAAATGAAGCAGGGTAGGGAGCTTCATTTGCTCAAGGAGTCGGGAATCCTAGCCTCTCTTACCCCAGTATCATTTTTCAGAATTCACCACTGGCTTTTTGAATCAGATCTGGAAACTTAAGCTTCTCATTGGCATGAAATCAGAAGATGTGCACAGCAGATTTTCCCATTCTGTGAGATGAGCTGGACTGAGGCTCCAGGAAGTGAGATCTGGGGCATTTCACCTCTGCTGTGTCTCCTTCGAGACTACAATATCATTCATTCTGAGGTTCCATTCCTACATGTAGTCATTCTTGGTCTGCCCATTTGGAAAAGGGCACTAGGAATACCTGTCCTGCCCATTGTCATGAGGGTGTTATGGGGATCCATACACTCTGAAAGGTGCATGACTGAATTATTGGAATATTGATGAAGAGTGGAAGTCCTTGTGTTTGAGATTGTGTGTAAGGAGTTCTTCATTCCATGAGGGTGGGGGTTTGTCTGGTTTTTCACTGATATCCCCAAATATTAGGACAATGATTGACGCATACTGGGCACTTAAAAAAAGTTTATTGAATGAATACATGTGAAAAAAAAAACACAAAGAATTGCAGAATTTAACAACTGGAGAGATCTTTAGAAATCATGTCAAATCTCAATTTATAAGTCCCAGCAAGGTTTATGCTCCTCTCCAAGCTATTACAGCCTCAAGGGTCAACAAGTGAACAGACCACCCAGATGAAGCTGACCAAAGTCTTGCATTCAGTTTCTCTTACTGCTTTGCAGTCACATGAAACTAATTAAGAAAAACAAAACAAAACAAAACAAAACTTAAGCTCTAATGATTGATTCTTTTTTTTCTTTTGGCAAGGGCAAAAAAACATTCCAGTCCATCTCTGAGCTTAACATGTCTGGTCCTATTACACTTTTAAAAAGTAAAAAGAGAAGAAAACAAACAAACAAAATCCAACACTTGGAAACTTGCTTGGCATCCAGTGTACTCATTCCTGGTTCATGGAGCAGTCAGAAAACACATATCATCTGTGAATCCCTTCTCAGGCACAACTAAAGCCAGAGTGTGAGTTACAACAGTCTAGCTTCCCAAAGGCTCTTCCGCATCTCGGACCCAGCAGCAGCTCATCTCTCTGCCAGAGCAATCTGATTGACAATCATCAATCAGGAAGGACTTCAGAGGTCTCGTGGCCCCTTTACTACAGAGACTTGCCACAGCCACCTAGCCGGCGAGTGACGGCCTGGACCCTCCCCATTTGCCAGGTCTAAGGACATTTATTAGAAAGGACACTGCTCACCACTGGCCCTGGACACCTCTGAGACCACTGGGCCTGTCACGTGGGGGGTGTGAGTGGGGAAACCCAGCAGGATGTGGGTTAACGGCAGGGGAGGTTGCACGTCTTCCTCTGCTGCCTCTCACTACTGTAGCACCAGAGAGCCGTGTCTGTTCATGTTGCCGGTCCTAAATGCTCTCTGGCCTGTCCTGAACTTTCTCTGGCTCTTTCTTCAGCATTTCATGAGCTTTTATGATGAAGCCTCTGTGTATGTTTGTGTGAGCAGCAGAAAAGGTGCAGAAAGACGTTTGTTAAACTGTTAGCAGTGGTTACCTGGGGCAGTGGGATTACAGTCAGGCAGATGGAGATGATTAACTTTTCCTTACTATCTCTGTGTTGCTTGAACTTGTTATAACCAGCATGTATTACACATGAAACTTTAAAGAATCCAATAAAATTAGAAAGCAAGTCGCAAAAGGAGACACACAGTATGATATCATGCCCATAAAATCCGAAATCCAAAACTCCCATAAACAATATGTTGTGTTGTTTATGGGGTATCCTATGTATTGTTTACGGGGTCTAAACCTAGGGGCCTAGTAAAAAGCCTAAAGCCTGCTGGAAGACGCCACACTGGATGGGAAGAGCTCATAGAGAAAGGAGGTGGAGTGATGTTGAGGAAGGCAACTTCAACTGGACCCATGGCATTTTGTTTCCTAAGAAAACAAAAACCTCAAAGCAAATATGGTGAAAAGTTAATGTTCGTTGGAGTGGACGATGGGTCTTTTATGACTGTTATGTTATTCTCCATACTTGTCCATTCGTTTGAAATATTTCAGAAACTAAATTAACTATAACAAAGGAGAGATAATTGAATTCATCCTTATTTGTAACTTATCTTGCACGACACCCGATATGTACCCCAGGTATAAGAAAGGAAAAAAGGGAAGAGGGAGGGGGAAAGGAAAAATCAAAGTGAGTTTTGGAGAGCTGGTTTGCTTTTCTGATCTTCTTTATTCTCCCAATGGGTTTTGTTCAGAAAATAAACATGGGAAAGAGGCAAAGTTAATGTCCCCTGGAGAAATGGATGGATGATTGGATGGATAGACAGATGGACAGGTGGGTAACCTCATGAGCCAACAGCTGCCAGGTTTTCAGAGCAGGTAGGAATCTACCTTCATCATGGAGGCTGCGACTGGGACCGCTCACTGCCCACAGCTCACCTCTGGATGTGATACGATGCATTCATGAAGTTGGGCTCTTATGCCTTAGCCTGTAAGGCTGAAAGTGCCTCCTGTGCGAATGAGTAGCTAGAACACAAAGAGCACCTACGGCCCGTTCCACCCCTGTGCCCCATGGGGAATATTCCGGGTGTCTTTCCCCAGCCCCAAGTTGAGACCTGCAGCTATGACGGTAGGGACCCAAGGGGGACAGTAGCTCCCCGCTGCTCTTGAGGGCCAGGAACTAATAATAAACCATGTGGCCATTTCATAGGAACCACTTCAAATTTTTTTCTCAAAAACCGAAAAAGTTCCTGAGAAATCGTGGACAGCAGAGGGGTTCTTCATTGTACCTTTTTTCTTGGGGCATGTAACCTGGACCCGGGGAGGTGAGGGTCTGGCCAGGGTCACAGCTAAGGACATGTGTCCTGGCTCAGAGAGCAGAGCAGTGCTCGCCCACTAGCCAGCTCAGGTGGGCTCTAGAATTTAGTCTGGTGGAGAAGTGCCCAGCCCACACAGGTGACAGCTCTTACTACACTCCAGGTGCTGTCGGCTTATCAGATGTTATTTAATTCTCGCAGCAGCCTATGGGGTAGTTGAGTAGTGTGGCTGGAATGTCAGGGGTGTGTAGGGACGCCTTAGGAATGAACCTGCAGAGGTCAGTTAGGACTAGGCTGGGGAGGAACAGAATGCCATGCCAAGGATCCCTCCTCTGGGTGAGGGGGAGTGATCAGGGGCTTTTGGTAGGGAAGTAATGTGACCTGGCTTATTTTTTTGAGAATGGATTGGAGGGGCAAGAGCAGAGCAGAGCAGAGCAGAGGCTGAGAGAGGAGGTGATGGGGCATGAGGGATGGCGGCTGGGACTAATGCTGGGGCCTTGGGCGAGGACAGGAAGACAGCTTTCTGGTCTGGAGAGGGAAGCAGCATGGGGATCACTAGAGAGGAGAGCCAGAGAGGAGGCAGAGGCCCCAAAGGAGGAAGAAACCATGAACAAGAGTCTTGCTTAGGCTCTGTCCCCAACCAGCTTTGGAACCTTGGGCAAGTCACGTCATCCCTCCGGGACTCAGTTTTCACTGCTGTAAAATGATGGGGCTGAATGCATCCTCTCCCATGGTAAGAACGATGGGCCTTTTGCACATTTCTTTTGCTCCAGGGGTGGGGAAAGCCTGAACCATGGCATAATGCCTGGCACTGCCAGGAGCACCAGAGGAACTGCCAAAGTGGCAGGGAGTGGCCGGCACATGGGGCCAGTTGGCATTGAAGCAAGCAGCATGGCAACGCTAAGGCAAAGAGCAGGCCAAGGCTGCCGGGGCTTGCCAGTGTGGGCAGGATGCTGGAGTAACTGTGGCAGGGCTCCAGCAGACACGAGCAAGGCCAGTCTGGGAACCGCATCCCCCCTTTACATAATCATCCTTACGGCAACATGTTTTCTCATTTCAGTTAAGCAGTGCCAGGCCTCTGATCAAATGGCTTTTGTAATCCTTGTTGTCAAGTTTAAGCTTGAGCAAACAGTAAGGCAGCCTGAGAGTCACCTCAGCCTTCTGACTCAGCGTCCCTGTGTGCAGCGGATGGGATGGGATCTTCTAAATGTCCCTTCTGACACTAAAATGCTAGGAGCCTTCTGTTAGAATTCCACCCTCTAAATCATACCATGCTGGGGGCACCTCACGCCTCTGAGTGTGATCAAAGCTCACTGCAGCCTCAAACTCCTGGGCCCAAGTGATCCTCCTCTCTCAGCCTCCTGAGCGGCTGGGACCACAGGCGTGTACCACCACGCCCAGCTAATTAATTTTTCTTTTCTTTTTTTTTTTTTTTTTGTAAAGACAGAGTCTCACTATCTTGCCCAGGCTGGTCTTGAATTCCTGGCCTCTAGCAAGCCTCCCACCTCAGACTCCCAAAGTGCTGGGATTATAGGTGTGAGCCACCACACCCAGCCTTTATACATCTTGAAATACACTTTTCAGCTGTAGAGCCATGATACGTGATTTAAATTCTCTGTGCCTGTTTCCTTGGGCCTGGCAGAGAAAGTGTGAATAGCCTATTGTGGCCGTATACCTGGGGATGATAATGCTACCTACTTTGCTGTTAGGAATACTAAGTGAGAAAGTATGAGTGAAACCTTCAGCACAGAGCCAGGCACACCGTAAGTGCTCCATGAACGGACAGCTATTATTGTAATTACGCATTCAGCCATCAGAACTTACTGCATGTCGAGAGCTGTGCAAGGCTCAGGGGATAGGGTACTAACCAGTTAGGCTGACGAGCAAGTGTCCTGTCCTCACCGGGTGGCTGTCTGAAGGAGAGGCAGACCAGTCAACCAGTTTCCCTTAACTAGTACATATGCCCTCTGCTAGGGAAGCAAGAGTGGCTGCAGGAGCCCACAGGAGGGGCACCCACCCCAGAGCCATGGGCGGCAGGCCACTGCAGCTGCCCTCTGCTGTCTGGATGCCTTCCCCTGGCCTGGAAAGAGCTTCCCCCAGATGGCTCCATGACCCACTCATTCATGTTATTCAGGACTCTGCTCAGGCATCACCTCCACAAGGAGCCTTCTCCAATCTTTCTGTCTAAAACAATCCCTACCCACCCTGCCGCCTTTATCATTCCATTCCATGCCCTCATGCTGCTTTATTCTCTTTACAGTACTGATCTTTTCTACCAGCGGATTGTGGATCTGTTTTGAAAAATATGTTTATTGACCATTTACCCACCACAAAGTAAGCTTGGTGAACGCAGGGGCTTTACCTATTTTGTATTCCTTATTGCATCCCCAGTGCACTCCCAGAACAATGCCTGGGCCACGGTGAGCCATCAATGCCTGTCTTGGGTGAACAAAGTGACCACTAAGCTAGATCCTGTAGGATGCATAGAGATTGACCAGGGAAAGGGTCAGGGAGAGAAGAGAGAATCTTCCAGGCAGAGGGAGCAGCATGTACAAAACCAGGGGAGGAGAGCAGAACATGATGGGAGGTAGTTCTGTATGACAGGCATGTTCATTAACAGAGCAGGAGGAGCAGGCAGCGAAAGGAAGAGCTTTCTGCTGGAGCTTCTGAATCATGATGTGGGTCTGACCCCATGGAAGGAGCCAGGGCAGGAAGGATGATTGGAGAGGAAAGTCTCAGACTGCAGCATGGTTCTAAGAAGGTTTTGGCCAGGCAGATGGGGAGTCCCTGAGCCAAAGCTGGCCCTCAGAGGAATTCCCCATCAGGCAGAAGCTAGTGCCGTGTTATGCTCAGCCTTTGGCTGGAATTAGCTCAGGGGACGTGTGGCTTTGGAGGGATGCAGTGAGGGATCCTGAAGGGCGGGAACTGTGGCTGTCACTTGACTGCTCCCTGCAGCCGGAGACCTCGATGGTGCAATTCCATGGCTGCCCAACAAGCAGAGAGGGCAAGGAAGGAAGTGGTGAGAATTGAGTCTGGAGAGCTAAACATGGACCAGATCACCAAGGGTACTTCAGGCCCTGTTAAAGAGTTGGATTTTATCATGAAGGCAATGAGATGCCAGGATATGGTTTTGTTCAGGGGAAACAGAATGATTGGATTTGCATGTCAGAAGGATCACTTTGGCTATTATGTAGAACATGGAAAAGAAAACCTTTTGAAAAGTCTAGACTAGTAATCCAGGCTCCCTTTATTATTATTGTTATTATTATTATTATTTGTTTTCATTCTCACTGTGAAAGCAGTTTGAGAAATAGACACAGATGGCCTCCTCGTGGAAGTCAAACCTCACCTTTATTCCTGAATAAGCAGTTAGCAAATGTGCCTTTGTTGTGAGGGCCAAATGGGTTTCCAGTCACTCCCTGCCCAATGGTTCCCTCCAGTCTAGGCCTTGGGCAGCCACCCAGGCATCCATCTGGGTCTTCTCTGGAGAATCACTGCCTTCCTCTGGCCAGGATGAGGAGGGGAAGAAGAGGCTGAGTCCCCGGCACTTATCATGGTCTTTCCATTGCTGAGCTCCACCTAATGGAGGAACATGGACACCTCTCACCCCAGGTGAGTTGGCCGTGTTAGCTCTAGAAGCACAGGGATGGGAAATCTGCGTTCTCCACCTTTGCAGGTGAGAGATAATGGTGGCCCAGTCAGGTTGGTGGCATTGGAGGGAGGAGGACAGAAAGAAGAATTGACAAGACTTAGTAACTGACTGGATGGTGTGGGTGATGGTTCTGTGTGCTCAAAGAAAAGTCAAGAATGAGGCTCAGGTGTCTGCCTCGCACGACAATGGTGGGCCATGCAATTCTATTTCCAGTCCACTTCCAGCCCTTAAGGTACCTTTGTGAGAGTTAGAAACAGGGCCTGCTGAGCAGGAGTAGCTATTGCCAAGGTGACATCCTATGAGTGGCATAGGCTGGATTCTGTCTCCCACACTCCTCCTGGCTAGAGGCCTCTGTGCAGGCTACAACCTGTATGGCCACACATTGTGGACCTGACACCACTGACTGAAATAGGGAGTGAGGAGCCAGTTGGTGAGCTGAATTTTAAGCATATTAGGTTTGAGGTGTCTGAAGACAATATGACATTGTGAGTCTGTTTCTTATTATTATTGAGGTGAAATTTGCATAACATAAAATTAAATATTTTATGTTATGTTATGTTATGTTATGTTTGTTATGTTATTTGACAGAGTCTTACTCTGTCACCCAGGCTGGAGTGCAGCCCCCACTTGATCCCTGCTCACTGCAACCTCTGCCTCCCAGGTTTAAGCGATTCTTCTGCCTCAGCCTCCTGAGTAGCTGGGATTACAGGCGCCTGCCACCACACTCGGGTAATTTTTGTATGTATAGTAAAGATGGAGTTTTGCCATGTTGGCCAGGCTGGTCTCAGACTCCTGACCTCAAGTGATCAGCCCGCCTCGGCCTCCCAAAGTGCTGGGATTGCAGGTGCCAGCTACCGCGCCCAGTCAAAATTAGCCATTTTAAAGCGTACAGTGGCATTGAGTACATTCACAGTGTTGTGCAGCCATCGCTTCTCTCTGGTTCCAAAACATTTCATCATCTGCAAAAAAGATTCCATACACAATAAGCAGTCACTCCCCATCCCCCTCCCCTCAGCCCCAGGCAACCACTAATCTGCTGTCTTTATGGATTTACCTGTACTGAATATTTCATATAAATGGAATCCTGGCTGGGTGTGGTGGGTCACACCTGTAGTCCCAGCACGCAGGGAGGTTGAGGCGGGAGGATCACTTAACCTCAGTTCAAGCGAGACCTCATCTCTACTAAAATTCAAAAAAATAAATATTGAAAATAAAAAATAAATGGAATCCTACAGTGTGTGACCTTTTGTGCTTGGTGTCTCTAACTTAGCATTTGTTTGTTTATTTCTTTTTAAGACTGGGGAAAAGATGGGAAGAAGCCAGTAGAGAAGGGAGATGTTGAAAACACAGGAGGGAAAGAGGAGGTGAGCAATAGGATGCATCCCTGAGAATGTGCTGGAGGGGGTGGTATGGGACTGCCTCTACACCTGCGAGGGCTGCCTCTCACGGAGGAAGCAGGAGCGATGAGGCAGATGCCGACAAGATCCTCCTGATAGGTTTGGTGGCAGCTGAGGGGATTTCCACCTAATGGTTTCTGTTTTTTCTGCGAAATAAGAGCTTGACCATCTACTGAGGGGAGAGTAGTGGTATTGTAGGTTTGAAGAAAATGATGATAATTGGAAATAGCTGCTGTGGAGAAAGGGCACAATCTTGCCGGGGAAATAGAGGAGGTTTTCTAGGCAATGTTGAGAGCGGAGTGAGGCTGGGGTCAGTGAATTCACAGTAACATAAATCTGTGGTGTGATCTGGTTTTATCTGCGGATCTCAGCAGCCTGGACGTGAGTGAGGTGTACGTGTCACATTTGGAGCCATGGCAACCATCCTGTGACCTGGAGGACAGAAGTCTAAAGGTAAAGTGAAAACACTGAGGATGGCGGAGCAGAGGATGGTGGGCGTCCCTCAGGCTGTTCTGTGCACAGTAGTGAGGATGACTCTGTTTGGAAGTCAGAACTCATTGCTCCTCTCCTCAAAACCCACTGATGACTCCCTCCCTCTCCACGAATAAAATTCCACATCCATAAAGCCCCATGTGATCTGACTCCCCACTGCCTCTTTGATCTCATCCTTTTACTCTCCCCCTCCCTCCCTCCAAGCCAACCTCTGGCTTCCTTGTTGATCCTTGAATGTTTCCAGCACGCTCCAGCCTCATGGCCTCTGCGCTAGCTGTTCTGCTTCACCTGGGATGCTCTCAGCCTGGAGTGATCTCAGCCCACACCTGGCCTGTTCACCCACTTGCTTCAGCTCCCTGTGTAAATGTCACCACCTTGGAGAGGCATCCTCTGACCACTCTCTTTCTAATGCACCCCTTTCTTAATCGTTCTATTCCCTTTTCCTGCCTTATTGTTTTTCAGAGTGCATATTAGCACTTTACACTTTAAGGACTTGTTTATTCTCACACACAAACTCTTACACTTCCTCATACGCACATGCACTCACACACAAACTCTCACACTCATATGCACTCACGCTCCCTGATACATGCACACACACTCTCTCACTCACATGCTGACCCGCAATCACTCTCACACATGCACAAATGTGAACTTCCAGAGAGCAGCACCCTGGTCCATTCCCCAACACCTAGAGCAGCACCTGGCATCTAATAGGTATTCAACAAATCTTTATTGAATTAATTAATGAATTAAAATAAAAAGCTAGGGGCTGGGTGTGGTGGCTCACGCCGGTAATCCCAGCACTTTCGGAGGCCAAGGCAAGCACATCACCTGAGGTCAGGAGTCCAAGACCAGCCTGACCAACATGGTGAAACCTTGTCTCTACTAAAAATACAAAATTAGCTGGGCATAGTGGTGCATGCCTGTAATCCTAGCTACTCGAGAGGCTGAGGCAGGAGAATTGCTTGAATCCAGGAGGTGGAGTTTGCATGAGCCAAGATTGCGCCATTGCACTACAGCCTGGGCAACAAGAGCGAAACTCCGTCTCAAAAAAATACAAAAATAAAAATAAAAAGCCAGCGTGCTTCATGTTATTGAGTCACTGAACTGACCCTGGAGCCACCCAGGCGCAGACTTTTTGTCATGGGAGAGTTGTCAACTGCCAGGTCCTGGGAGAAAGCAGCTAAGGCTGAAGCAGGGGGGCAGGGCGTGGGCACCCGGGATGGCACCCCTGGCACTCTGGTCAGAGCCCGCCCACTTCACCCATGGCCTGGCCCAGCTGGCCTGCCCCAGCCCTGCAGAGAAACTGAAACCAGAAATCTAGCTCTGAACCCTGGCCCCTCGCGTGTACGACAGCCCATGTGCTTGGTTCCTGCAAGAGAAAAATCCCACACTTCTCCAACCAGGACAAACCTGGTGTTTTCAGAACTTCCTGTCCCCAGGTTCACTGGTAGAGAATGGATTCAGTTGTAAATAGCAGGAATCTGAAAATAGCAGCTTCAGCAAATTAGGGGTTTAAGTTTCCCAACCGCACAAGCCTAGACTAGAGGTGTGTGGGTCAGGGCAGGTGCAGCAGCTCTGTGCTCTCAGTGGCCCTGAGTCCCTGTCTGTCTCTCTTCTGTCCTGAGCATGTGGTCCTGATTCCCACTTTCCCAAGCAAAGCCAGGGTTCTGATAATGAGGAAGAGAGGTGACCACGGCCAGAGTGTAAGCCAGTGGTTTTTCTTTTTTTCTTTATTTGCCATGGAGCCTAGCTCTGTCACCTGGGCTGGGGTGCAGTGGCATGATCTCAGCTCACTGCAACCTCCGCCTCCTGTGTTCAAGCGATTCTCCTGCCTCAGCCCATGAGTAGCTGGGATTACGGCCATCATGCTCAGCTATTTGGTATTTTTAGTAGAGATGGGGTTTCACCATTTTGGCCAGGCTGGTCTCAAACTCCTGACCTCAAGTGATCTGCCCACCTCAGGCCAGTGGTTTTCAAACTTTGCGTGCACTGGAGTTGCCTGGAGGGCTTGTTCAAACTGAGATTTTGCTCCTCCTCTCAGTTTCCTCCCTCACCGGTTTCCCAGTGATGCCAGTGACCAGGGACCATTCTTTGAGAACTACTGGCAACTGGTGTTGTCTGCTACCCCAGGTGATGTCACCTGGAATGTAAGAGAAATATGCAGAGTGGGAAAGCTGGCCACTGACTTACTGGCTTATCCTTAGAGTGGTCACCATTGACTTACAGGGACAACCTCAGTGTAGCTAAGTCTCATCTTATTTGGCTGTGTCCTCCTTCAGGCCCCTCACTTCCAGCACTCCTCGCACCTTCCTCTGTTGTCCATACAAGAAACTGGCTTCAGGACTTTCTGGCCAAGTGTGTGTGTTTGCACAGAATGCTGAATCCAACTCCCAGGTGCCCAGAGAAGTCAGGACTGGGCTGCTCCTTGCAGACTTTTTGTGAGAGGCTCCAAGCTGCCCTTCCTGGCTAGCAGGCTCTTCTGGAGAAAGGATGTTTACCTTTCACAGGTGAGGGCAGAACTCATTGCCACCTTTTGTTGTAAGTTTCTAAAGACACATGCTGCATGAATGTCTTAATGTCCTGCCCTAAGAAAAGTTTTCCATGCGGACAGGTACCCACCTGTGCTTTTGTGGAAGAGGATATATATTTTTTAATTGAGATATAATTCACATACCATAAAACCATCTTTTAAAAATGTACGAATCAGAGGGGTTTTTAAAAGTATATCCATGGAGTTCTGTAACTATCACCATGAATTCCAGAACATTTTCATTACCCCATAAAGAAACCCCACACCCTTTAGCCATTACTCCCTAATTCCTGATCCCACAGCACTAGCCCCCAGCAAACAACCTTCTGTCTCTGTGGACCTGCCTATTCTGGACGTTTCATATAAATGGAGTCATGCAACATGGGAACATTTGTTTCCGGCTTCTTTCACTTAGCATAATGTTTTCAAGATTCATCCGTATTCTAGCTTGTGTTATTCTTTTTATGGCCAAATAATATTCCATTGCATGGATGTATCACATTTTGTTTAACCATTCATCAGTTGATGGACATTTGAGTTGTTTTTTTTTCTGTTTGGCTATTACGGATAATTCTTCCATGAACTTTCATATGTGAGTTTTTGTGTGGAAACGTTTTCATTTCTCTTGGGTACATACTTAGGAGTGGAAGTGCTGGGCTATACTATATGGTATGTTAATCTGTTTTGCATTGCTATAAAGAAATACCTGAGGCTGGGTAATTTATAAAGAAAAGAGGTTTATTTGGCCCACAGTTCTGCAGTCTATACAAGCATAGCACTGGCATCTGCTCAGCTTCTGGTGAGGCCTCAGGAAGCTTTTACTCATGGCAGAAGGTGGAGGGGGAGCAGGTATGTCACATGGTGAGACAGTGAGCAGGAGAGACGAGGAGGTGCCAGGCTGTTTTTTAGCAAACAGATCTTGCCTTAACTAATAGAGTGAGAACTTGCCCATTACCATGGGGAGGGTACCAAGCAATTCATGAGGGATCCGCCCCCATGACCCAAACGCCTCCCACCAGGCCCCACCTCCAACACCAGGATCAAATTTCAACATGAGATTTGCAAGGAACAAACATCCAAACTATATCATATGATAACTCTAAGCTTAACTGCTGAAGGAACTGCCAGACTGTTTGTCAAAACTTCTTCATGATTTTACATTCTCCCAGCAGCGTATGAGGGTTCAACTTTCTCCATATCCTCGCCAACACCTGTTATTGTCTGTCTTTTTCATTGTGGCCATCCTAGTAGATATGAAGTGGTATCTCATTGTGGTTTTGATTGATGATGTTATTTTACAAGAATATGTCTGAATGGTACTCATGAGAGCTGTCTCCAAATATCTGAGGGCTTATTAGTTCTAAGGGGGGACTTATAAGTTGCTATGGTTGTGGGCCCAAAGTTGGAAGACTCTGCTCATCAAAAGGAGGCACCAATCACACAGCAAGTCAGCACCTCATGTGTGTTCAGCACTGTTGAAGTTAAACCATTAGGCTCGTACTTTGCGTCAGGCTTCTTGCTAAGTCCCAGGGATCTAATAAATCCCAAGCTCCTGGCAATCCTAGGATGGCTGCCTTGTTATCCCCATTTTAGGAATAAGGAAACCGAGGCTCCTCTAGGTTAAATCACTTGGCCAAGGTCACACTGAATAGGTCTGGGTTTGGACCCAGTTCTGCTAGACTCTAAACCCAGTGCACTTAGCCATTACACTCTACTATTGTGAAGGATATGGAAGCATAACATGTGAGGCTTGGTTTCAAACAGTTCAGTTGTAGGCACAAACCTAAAATGCATGAAATAGTGATGAATTAGAGGAAAACAGTGGATTATTAATTACTGAGGTATGGGGTGGTACCATTCTTGGAGGGAGCAGGAGTTTGTGTCAGTTAGCATTGACTAGATTATGTATCAGTAACAGATAATCCCAATATTATAGTGGCTTAAAGGAACAAAGATTTATTTCTCATGCTGCATGTCCGTTAGGAGTCCACAAGGAGGCTGTGCTTGTCAGAGTCACTCAGAGTGATGTCAAGATATCACTCAGAGTCACTCAAGCTGATGGAGCTTCCCTGCCTCCATTGTTGCTGGTTGCTTTGCCAGAATGAGCAAGATGAATGAATCTTGCACTAGCTCCTGTCTGGCAGTGACACACCTCAGTTCCATTCACCTTCGCTCACCAATGCAAATGATGTGGCCACACCCAACTTCAAGGGGGGAGGAAGTATAATCTTTCCATGTTCCAGGTGGAGTACTAAAAACACTTGGTGGACTACACCAACAACCGCCACCGAGTTTGTAGACAGAATCATGTAGGACTTGTGGGTATTGAGCACCAGTTCAAGCCAAGGGCAAAATGAAGTCTCCATTTTTACACAGAAGAATCTAGGCCTGCAAATAAACAGGTCAGTGAACTATCCACTAGGAAACTCACTGGAATACAAGAACATTTATTCATTACTCTAGAAACACCAAGAGATGGTGCCCCATGCATGGACAAGCAGGGACCACCTTGGTTCCACCTTCCTGCGGAACAGTCGTCTATCAGCTTGCATGGTATTCTTTCCTTAATGTGACATCTTCATATGAAAAAGCCCTTGTTTTCAGCAGCAACCCAGTTAGGTCTCTTTGGTTATTTTTGCATTGTGTACCTCCCATCACACGTTAGGGTTGGACAAAGATCCAGGAAGCCAGGCTTGGAAGAGAGGCTGTCTGAGTCTTGACCTACCTGCTGCTGCCTGGAGAGGCAGGGCTCCCCTACAACATCCAGCCTGCTCTCCTGGTTGACCAGCACTCCCTGGGAAAGGTTAGTGGCATACACACAGCCCTGGGCAGCAAAGTAGAGACTGAATTGAAACAGATACTAACTAAAATAAGACCTGCCCATTATTGTATCGATCTGTGCTTTTCAGCTTTTTAAAAACAATTTCTTCTTCAGATCGACATACAAGTCTCAAAGGTCATCCCTGACCCAAGGTTCTGATACATGAAGAAGCATCTCTCTTGTCTGTGTGTCCCCACTTGCCATGAGTATTTTTTTTTTTTTTGAGATGGAGTCTTGCTCTGTCACCAGGCTGGAGTGCAGTGGTGCGATCTCGGCTCACTGCAATCTCTGCCTCTCAGGTTCAAGCGATTCCCCTGCCTCAGCCTCTCGAGTAGCTGGGACTATAGGCGTGTGCCACCACACCCAGCTAATTTTTGTATTTTTAGTAGAGTCAGGGTTTCACCATGTTGGCCAGGATGATCTCACTCTCTTGACCTCGTGATCCACCCATCTTGGCCTCCCAAAGGGCTGGGATTATAGGCATGAGCCACTGCAACCAGCCAAGAGTATTTTATTGAATTTTACTTTCTATACTTTTGTCAGAAAATAAAAATTTCCAAATATAAAATTGTTATTATTTATAATTATTAATTATATTAAAATTGAATCTTCCTTTTAAAAACACTCATGTTCCTGTGAACCAGCAAGTACATCACTCCCTTGGGCTAGAGCCCCCAGTTGAGACTCGATGAACTCCAGCAGAGACTCTGACGAAGGAGTGACACAGTGTGTTGGGTCAGAGAGAAATGTGAAGCCCAGCAAACATATGTTCAAATCCAGATGCCACCATTCGGTGAACATGCACCCCGAGCAACTTTCCAGGGCTTACTTTCTTTGTCTATAAAATGGGAACAACAGGTACAGTACCATCTAGTCCATGGGGGTCACCAGAAGAAACTAGAAGATGTAACACACAAGGAACATTTAGAAGCAAGCATGTAACAAACACTCAGCAAATGGCGACTACATTATAACTTGTCCAGCCAAATAGATATGACCAGTGGTAACACGGAACTGAGAATTTTCACAATGTACTATTTTTACATCTTAATTTCTTTGGGCTTCTCTGCTTCCTCTTTTTAAAAAAGCTTACCACCCACTTGTTATTCTGGAGGGGGATGAACATAGATAAAAAGAGAGTTTAAGAACTCTTCATGGAAAGATAGCCAAACCACTAAAATACTATTTCAACAGAGGAGGTCACAGAATGGTGGAATGGTAGATCTGTAGGACTAAAGGAGACCTCAGATTTGTCACTCTTATCTGACTCATGAAACTGAGACCCAGAGAGGTGAAAGGGTGTGCTCGGTCCGGTAGCTGTGTTGCAGACTATGTGAATGGCACCTCTTGGTGTCATGCAATGCATAACAACCACCTGTGCAGCCTCATGGCCCTGCACAACCTCCTGACCACAGCGATGGAATAAAGTGGTCCAGTCAGGGGCATTTTCAGCCTCTGGGGATGTTGATATAGTAACTCCTCCTCTTTTCCCATACCCTGAAAAAATGCAGCCCAAGAAGCTGCCGATGCTCTTACAGCTGTGAGGGGAGGGGCTGCCCGAGGAGAGAGGTAACCTAGAGTTGAGAGATGGAGGAAGAGATACAGAATCTGGATGGCTATGCTCTGATCCTGTAATCCGACTATGCCTGAATGTGGATCTACCTTCCAAAGGTAGGGTGCTTTTCGTTTGTTTGAGCCATCTGGTGTCAGATGTTCTGTCACTTACTACCTTGTTATAATTAATAGAGGAGCTCAAAGAGCTATAAATATCTAAGGAGGAAGAGTTCAGGTTGCAAAGCCTTCCTAGACAAGGTTGCTTCAAAGGAAGGTCTGAAAGGAAGAATGGGAGGCAGGCAGGCTGCAAAGGGAGAGAAAATTCAGGGAAGGAGAAGACCAGGAACAGAGGCCTGAGATATGAGAGCCTGGTACTATGGACTGGATGCTTGTGGCTCCCCCCTTCCCCCTAATCGACTTGTTGAAGCCCAGTCCCCATTGTGATGGCATTAGGTGGTGTGGCCTCTGGAAAGTAATTAGGCCATGAGGGTGAATCCCTCATGAATGGGATTAGTGTCTTCATGAAAAGACAGGAGAGAGCTTGCTTTCTATCCTCTCTGCCATGTGAGGACACAACGAGAGAATGGTCATCTGCAAACGAGGAAGAGGTCCCTTACCAGAGCCGACCATGCTGGCGCCCTGATCTGACTTCCCGGCCTCTAGAACAGTGAGAAATAAATCTCTGTTGTCTAAGCCACCCAGTATATAGTCATTTATAACAGCACAGAGTGACTGAGACACCTGGGGTGGGGGTGTTTGGGGAATCATATTTAATTAAGCCTATTTGGTTAGAGTGTTGGATATCCAAAGCAGGTAACGGGGGTTAGGATTAAAGATGTAGGTTCCTACCAGTCTGTGAGTTTGTTCTTTTGTATTTTGGATAATAATTCAGCAAGAGAGGAGGGATGAGAATGAAAGGAGAGAACTGGTTGCGAGACTATTGGTAATTTTTGAAGTATGAGAGTCCATGGCTTCTAAGGTGACCAACTGTTCTGATTTGCCCGGGACTGAGGAATTTCCCAGGATGTGGGACTTTCAGTGCTAAAACTGAACAGTTCCATGCAAATGGGGATGATTGAACACCCTGAAACATCACCCAAACCATAAAGGAAGATATTGATAGATTTCATTCCATAAAAAATAACATGTGAATGAAAAAACAGAAAATAGTCTGAATGCATCTAAACTGTTTTTCTCTAGAAAAAAATTAAAATAAATGACTATCTCTTTGGGACTCAAGCCATTTAGTGACATTGCCCTTCATTTCCTGATTGCCAGTATCCAACCTCCTTGTGCCTGAACCCCATCAGTACTAGGAGCCCTGTCGCCTATGAATTCCCAAGTTCCTACATCTCACTTTAGCCAAAATCATCCATGTTTGCAGCACTCTCTTGCCTGTCATGGCCCTCCAACCTCCTGGAGCCCTCTGACTCCTCCATTGTTGCTCTTTCTTTCTTCTGTCTTCCTTCTCTAGCTAGTCAAGATCACCTAATCAGTCACTTCAAATAACTTGGTCGATATCATACCCTGTGGTCCTCTGCACTTGGCAAAATTCTGGACTCCAGATCAATTCCACGATCTATTCACCTTCTGCACAAAGGATGTGGAAAAACCGCAGATGAATTCTCAACTGCAGACCAATGCTTCTTTATATTCTTCTCTCCCACTTCCCACACAACTTTGAGCCCCTGCTCTACCACTGAACTAGCTGTGTGATTTGGGGCAAGTTGCTTCATCTCTCTGGGTCACTGTTTTCTCACCCAAAAAGTGAGATGTTGTAAGGAATAACTGAGTTAGTACGCATAAAATGCTAAGCACAGGCAATGGCATGTAATAAGCACCTCATAAATGCTGGCTTTTACTGATGCTAGGATTTTGAATGCACACTTAGAGGGGTTAAGTCAGTGTGTCAGGAAGTAGCAGGTCATAGCATTGTGATGTTTGGCAAATAAATGACACAGGACACTAAACTGTGCAAAATTTTACTTTTGCAAAGATTTAATTCCACATTTCACCAAAGATGATGCTTTGGTCATCAGTCAATGATGAAGGCATCATTGACTAATGATCCCTTATGATCATTAGTCATAAGGGAAATGCAAATTAAAACCACAATATACCACTATGCATATGTTACAATGTCTAAAGTTTAAAAGACTGATCATCCCAAATTTTGGCAAGAATGTGAAGAAACTAGAACTCTCATACCCTGCTAGTGGGAATGGAAAACATTTGAAAGAACAGTTTACTGTTTCTTTTTCATTTTTTGGCACTTTCTTAATATGCTAGATAAACATCTACCGTAAGATCCAACTATTCCACTCCTAGGTATTTACCCAAAAGACGAGAAAGCGTAGGTCCACACAAAGATTTGTACACAAATGCTCACAGCAGCATTATCTATAATGGCCCCAAAACTGGAAACAAGCCAACTGTCCCTTAACAGGGACATGGATGGGTAAACAAATTGCATTGTATTCATACAGTGGACATAGTCCTCAATAACAAAAAGGAATGAAGTATTGATACAACACAACATGGATGAATCACAAAATTACATTGAGTGAATGAAGCCAGTAAAAATAGGACATATGGCTTAATTTCATTTATATAAAATTCTAGAAAATGGAAACTCATTTATGGTGACAGTAGGCAGTTCAGTTATTGCCTGGGAAATGAGGAGGGGAAGGTGAAAAAGGGCAGGAGTGAGAAATTACAAATGGGCTTGAGAAAATTTTCTGGGGTGATAGATACGTTATCTTGATTGTGGTGATGGTTTCACTGGTGTATAAATATGTCAAAACATGTTGAATTGCATACTTCAAATATATGTAGTTTGTTGTATGCCAGTTGTACTTCAAGAAAGCTATTACAAAATGACTTTTGCAGATTAAGAGTCTCAGCTCTTAGAGATGTCAGCTGCAAAAAGGGAACCCAGTTGACTTGGATAGGAAATGCATGTCACCATATTGCTTAGACACCACCAAACTAGTGAAATAGCTTAAAGGGATCTGATATGAATAAATGTATAATTACTGTTTGGAAGATATTTGTTGTAGTTTATTATTTTATAGTTGCATCCAGAATAAGAAACCATGAAGACACATATAAATATTTTCCAGTGCTAAAATATTTGCCTCTTGAGCAGGGTTGAGTGGATTATTAAGAATTCCAAACAATAATTACACATTAGTTTAAATATAAGCCTAGGACTAAAAAGAAATATATCTCAAAAAGATAATAAAATGAAACAAGCAAATGTTCACAATGGCAATTAGCACCAATTTAGTAAAAGAGAAGGACAGTCCATATTCCTTAAAGGGAAGCCAATTCCTGAGGCTTTCTCCCCACATTCATCAAGGCTGCTGAAGAGGGCATTTCCCAAAGAACAGCAGCCTCCAATGAGTGCCTGGCCATGTGAGAGAAATTATAAGTAGATGGCTGCTAGGACGTTGTTTTTCCCAAAGGGGAAATTGTGCCAAACCCAAGTGGGAGAAGGCAGCCAAGAAGAAGAGAGCAGGCTCACCACAATGTAAAGCAGCAAAAAAGGAAAAGTGCCCAGGTCACAGTGACTCTCTCACTGTCAGACTAATAACTGTCATTTCTTGCTGCTGTCAGTAAGACTTTTCTCCAGCAGCCATCCCCTATCTACCAATTTTCTTTCCTAATCTTGGGCCAGAATCCCCTAAGATATATGGAGCATTTTACTAGGAAATAGTACCAGATTTCCCTAAAGAATTAAAAACCTAAAACCCAAAAGGAGTAGGGTGATCAGGCAAGTGGAATAACTATAACAAATAACTAAATATAAGAAATAGCCAGGTGTGGTGGCTCAGGAGTGTGAGGCTGCCGTGAGCTATAATTGTGCCACTGTATCCAGAGCCTGGGCAACAGAGCAAGACCCTGTTTCTGGGGGGTA
Organism: Homo sapiens; assembly: GCF_000001405.40. Classification (NCBI taxonomy): domain Eukaryota; kingdom Metazoa; phylum Chordata; class Mammalia; order Primates; family Hominidae; genus Homo; species Homo sapiens. The sequence goes on along the minus strand of NC_000002.12, from coordinate 64,928,542 downwards.
ATGGGGGGAAGGAATGTATACAGAGGCCAGATGTGGTGGCTCACGCCTGTAATCTCAGCACTTTGGGAGGCTGAGGTTGGTGGATCAACCTCTGAGTTCGTGGAGTTTTCAAATGCCCCTTGGAACTGACATAAATGTTTCCTACAGAAGAAGAAAGGCAAGGAAGAGTTGAGGCTCTAGCTAGCCCTGTGGCTGTGGGTGAGCTGCCCGGCCTTTTCAAGCCTCAGTTTCCTTGCCTGTCAAATGGGATTGTTAATGGCTACCTCACAGGGTTGCTGAGATGCTAAGAGCCCTGAAAGGGTTTTGCAAAAGCCAAAGCATTTTACCAACATGGAAAATTAGCACCATCTGTGTGTCTATGGAAAATCAGACAGAACTTTGATATATTGTTTATACCAGGTTTCTTGATACTTTCTAAACAATATCCTGGGCTGGTTGGGGTAGCTCATGCCTATAATTCCACAATTTTGGGAGGTCAAAGCAGGAGGATTGCTTGAGCCCAGAATTCGAGACCAGCCTGGGCAACATAGTGAGACCTCATCTCTATGAAAATTAAAAAAATAAAAAAACACAAAAAAACCACCAACCAAGAATATTATGCAAAGCTTTAATTTCGGCCCATTGCATTATGAAAACAAGTAGACATTTGTCTTGCTTCCCAGTTGTACAAATTTCTGCCTCCCTTGAGATCTTGATTTATCTGTCCCCTTTACCCCACCCACCATCATGTGTCTAAGGAGATGACAATGACAACCCAACTGAGGAGGCTGGACCCAAGGACTAAACTGTGGTTGGCCTTAAGGTCTGACTGGAAGCCAGCAGTTCCTGGCTCCTCACCCCTTTTGCCTCTCCTCCCCAGAGCTGAAGCCACATGTATTAGTCCTTTCTCACACTGCCATAAATAACTACCTGAGGCTGGGTAATTTATGAAGAAAAGAGGTTTAATCAACTCAAGTTCCACAGATTTGACAGGAAGCATGGCTGGGAGGCCTCAAGAAACTACTTACAATCATGGCAGAAGGTGAAAGGGAAGCAGGTACATCTTACCATGGCAGAGCAGGAGAGAGAGAGAGCACGAAGCGGGTAGTGCCACGCACTTTTAAACCATCAGATCTTGTGAGAACTCACATATTATCACAAGAACAGCAAGGGGGAAACTGCCCCTATGATACAATCACCTCCCACCAGGTCTTTCCCCCAACACCGGGGATTACAATTCAACATGAAATTTGGGTGGGGACACAGAGTTAAACCACATCATTCTGCCCCTGGCCCCTCCCAAATCTCATATCCTTCTCACATTTCAAAACCAATCAGGCCTTCCTAAGAGTCTTCCAAAGTCTTCACTCATTCCAGCATCAACTCAAAAGTCCAAGTCCAAAGTCTCATCAGAGACAAGGCCAGTCCTATCCGTCTATGAGACCGTAAAATCAAAAACAAGTTAGTTACTTCCAAGATAAAATGGGGGTACAGGCATTGGGTAAATGCACCCATTCCAAATGGGAGAAGTTGGCCAAAACAAAGGGGCTACAGGCCCCATGCAATTTTGAAACCCATCAGTACAGTCATTAAATCTTTTTTTTTTTTTTCCGAGGCAAAGTCTGGCTCCGTCACCTATGATGGGGTGCAGTGGCACAATCTTGGCTCACAGCCTCTGCCTCCAGGGCTCAAGCCATCCTCCTACCTCAGCCTCCCAAGTAGCTTGGACCACAGGTACACACCACCATGCCCAGCTAATTTTTTTTTTTTTAAAGAGACAGGGTTTTGCCATGCTGCCCAGGCTGGTCTCAAACTTGTGAGCTCAAGTGATCCACCACCTTGGGCTCCCAAAGTGCTGGGATCACAGGTGTGAGCCACCGTGCCCAGCTGATTAAATCTTAAAGCTCCAAAATAATCTTCTTTGACTCCATGTCTCACATCCAGGCCATGCTGATGTAAGAGGTGGGCTCCCATGTGCCATGTCCCAAGGCTGCACAGAGCAGCTGGGCCCTGGGCCTGGCCCATAAAACCATTTTGCCCTCCTAGGCCTCTGGGCTTGTGATACAAGGGGCTGCTGTGAAGGTCTCTGACATGCCCTGGAGATATTTTCCCCATTGTCTTGGCAATTAACATTTGGCTCCTCTTTACTTATGCAAATTTCTGTAGCTGGCTTGAATTTCTCCCCAGAAAATGGGTTTTTCTTTTCTACTGCATGGTCAGGCTGCAAATTTTCCAAACTTTTATGCTCTGCTTCACTTTTAAATGTAAGTTCCAATTTCAAACCATCTCTTTCTCTATGCATATCAGCATACACTTTTAGAAACAGCCAGGTCACATCTTGAATGCTTTGCTGCTTAGAAATTTCTTCTACCAGATATCATATGTCATCACTTCCAAATGGAAAGTCCCACAGATCTCTAGGGCAGGGGCAAAATGCCACCAGTCTCTTTGCTAAAGCATAGTAAGAGTGACCTTTACTCCAGTTCCCAGTAAATTTCTCATCTCCATCTGAGAGCACCTCAGCCTGGACTTCGTTGTCCATATCACTATCAGCATTTTGGTCAAAACCACTCAACAAGTCTCTAGGAAGTTTCTAACTTTCCACATCTTCCTGTCTTCTTCTGAACCCTCCAAACTCTTCCAACCTTTGCATGTTACCCAATTCCAAAGTCACTTTGTCATTTTTAGGTATTTCTATAGCAGTGCCTGACTCCCAGTACCAATTTCCTGTATTAGTTCATTCTCACACTGCTATGAAGAACTACCTGAGACTGGTGATTGAATCATGGGGGTGGACTCCCACCAGGCCCCACCCGCAACATGTGGGGATTGCAATTTGAGATGAGATTTGGGTGGGGACACAGAGCCAAACCATACCACCTCAGCATTCCATCTCTGGTCCCAGCCAACTGCAGACTCTCAGGCTTTCATGCTGCATCCCTAGTATCTGCCTGTTCCAGCATCTTGAATGCTCGTTCAGGTTGTAAGCAAATACCTATGCAGTCCTTGTTCCTGAGGCTCAGTCATCATAACTTGCCCAGAAGCTCGGGGCACTTAGGATGGGGTTCCTGCCTTGCCTTTTCCAAACACAGTTCATTTCCCCTGTCCTTGCTACAAGAATGGGTCTCCCCCAAAATTCAGGCCACATGTCCAGGCTGTTGTCCTCTCTGCAGACATGCCTGATGAGCTGACCTGTGAGGACCTCTGAATAAATCAGGGATTCTCAGCCTCAGCACTGTTGACATTTTAGTGGGATAATTCTTCACTGGGGGCATGTGGCTGTCCTGGGCATCACAGAATGTTTACCAGCACCCTTGGCCTCTACCCACTGGATGCCAGTAGCACCCCTCACCCAAGATGTGAGAACCCAGCCTGGATGTGAGACATGGAGTCAAAGAAGATTATTTTGGAGCTTTAAGATTTAATCAGCTGGGCACAGTGGCTCACACCTGTGATCCCAGCACTTTGGGAGTCCAAGGTGGTGGATCACTTGAGCTCATAAGTTTGAGACCAGCCTGGGCAGCATGGCAAAACCCTGTCTCTATTAAGAAAAAAAAAAATTAGCTGGGCATGGTGGTGTATACCTGTGGTCCAAGCTACTTGGGAGGCTGAGGTAGGAGGATGGCTTGAGCCCTGGAGGCAGAGGCTGTGAGCCAAGATTGTGCCACTGCACCCCATCATAGGTGACGGAGCTAGACCTTGCCCAGACATTGCCAACACTGTCCCCAATGGAGAGTCACGAGATGAGGCTTCCTCTGAGAGCCCCTGTTGCTGCCTCCTGGAGACCTGTTACTGTCGGTTGGAGCCCCCAGTTGCCCCATGAATAGCTTCCACCTCTCATCAGTAAGCACAGTTTCAGAGACTGATCAGCTGGCCTTCCACTCTGGGACATTTGTTGAATTTTTGGCCACCCAGCCTTGACCCCACTTCCTGAGTTTGGGACCACCCCATTCAACATGGTGAGAGGCAAAGTCAGCTTTGTGTTAGGCAAAGACCCCTGCTAAGGTAAGGCACACTCTCTCGAAGCTTCCCTTGTGGTTAGGGCTTGGCTGGTTGGAGGCACTCACCTCAGACTTCAGGTTGGTGGGGATCTACTTTAACAGTGGCCACAGGGGCAGTCACCACAACCAGACCCAGTGATACCAGAACAAGCTACCTCCAGGGGTGTGACGTGGGCTCCAGTCCCATGACATCCCTCCTTCTTCCCCATTTTGCAGACACAGTTCTGTCTTCCCACCATTGTGTGGCCACCCAGTATCCTCTCACTAAGTTTCTTTTCTGCCTGACTTAGCCAGCACCAGCTTCTGTGGTTGTACGTAGGTTGCTAAGGATTATCACCTCTTCTTCCCCATCCCCATCTGTGGGTCTGACCCCCATGGTGACCCATCTCCTCTAAATCTCTCCTCTCACAGTCAGCCTTCATGTCTAGACAGGTCCTTGGAGGATGGAAATACCTTTTTGTTCCAACTATCTGTGTTACAACCCTTCTAGAGGCCAGGCACAGTGGCTCACACCTGTAATCCCAGCACTTTGGGAGGCCAAGGCAGGGAGATCACCTGAGGTCGGGAGTTCGAGACCAGCCTGACCAATATGGTGAAACTCCATCTCTACTAAAAATACAAAAATTGGCCGGGCGTGGTGGCACGTGCCTGTCATCCCAGCTACTCGGGAGGCTGAGGCAGGAGAATTGTTTGAACCTGGGAGGCAGAGGTTGCAGTGAGCTGAGATTGCACCACTGCACTCCAGCCTGGGCAACAGAGGGAGACCCTGTCTCAAAAAAACAAAAATACAAAAAACAAAACACCCTTCTAGACATAGGCAGCTCTTGCCTCACAAGCATCTGGTTTACAAGGGAGCATCCACTCACCATCATCACTAGTGTGTGGGCTGCTGCAGAAACTTCTGGAAGAGGTTTCTCTGTTAGTCTAGTGTGGCATTTTGGCCTGTGGTCTTACTTCCACAAAACTTAGAAAATGATGTGTGAAAACAGCACTGAGAGGTGAGTGAGTTGTCTGAAGGCCACACACCTGGCTAGTGCTGAGTCCGTGGCAGGAACTGAGCTGCAGGGTCTCAGCCAGGCCACCTGCCTTCCCTAGTCCTTGCTGAGCCACCAGGACTAGCAAACAGTTCAGCAACAAAGTTAAAGGGTGCACTAGGCCGGAAAAATTGACCTGGTTTAAATTTTGGCAAGAATGGAGGCAGGGACTCAGCTAAGGTTGCCTTTCCTTTGTTTACCACTACCCTAGCCAACAAGCAGCACTGGGACGTCAAAGGTCCTGGGAGCATTGTGTGTGGTTCCCTTGCACATAGTGGAACGAGATCAATATCTGTTGAGAGGAAGGTGATGAGGCAGGAGCCTCCTGCCCATGCTCCTCAACCATTACCTGGGTAGCTGCTAAATGACCTGATAAACACACTGAGCTCTGAGACCTTGGGGCTTTGAGATAAAGACAGGACTGGTTCTAGTGGCCCAGGGGTCCGGGTTTCTTTCTAGAAGCATATGTGTCTCCAGTAGCTGTCTGGGGAAGCTGCTGGGTTTTGTAAGGGGCTTTGCAGGGAGATCACAGGGCAGCGGCTACTTGAAAGGCTTCGAGAACAAAATCAATACGGGCCCTGCAAGCCAAGATTTCACAGCAAATTTTAGCTATTTGCTGCTGCTGACCTGGAAAGAGTTGAGAGGGGGCGCCAGTTGCCTTTGCGGGAGGGGAAGGCTGTTGGCAAAACCTGAGGTCAATGACCTCAATAGGAAGTAATAATAATAGGAGACCAGTAAAATTAGCTTCCTAGGGGCTGCTGATTGGCTACGAATTACCAGGCACCGCCCATACGGCTACAGCATGAACCTCCACAACAAGCCAGTGGAAGCCAATGGGGAAGGACATGTGACTTGCCCAAGGTCACCCAGCTGGCAAGGGTGAGAGCTGGGATTCCAACCCATTTTGCTGCACTTCGGAGCCCGGTCCCTGTGCACACCACACCACCACCTCCCAAGGATAACGAGAACATGACCTAGACTCTATGTGAAGGCACAGTAAGTACATCTTAGGTTTCCAGAGAACAGACTTGAAACATTCTGCTGTGTTAATAAAAACTTACTTTCTCACCTTGCAAAATTGGCAACGGCTCTGCTCACCCCGACCACAGTCAGCCCCTGCTGATGGCTTTCCCAAAGACATTCCCACACCCCCAAGTCCAGGGAGAGGTTTGTGTCTCCCTCTCTACAGCAGATCCACTAGCATCCCTAGGGAGAATCTAATGGAACAGGAGATGGGTATTTAGCTATGCATTTTTCTTTCTTTTTTTATATTTATTTTTTGAGACATGATCTTTCTCTGTCACCCAGGTTGGAGTGCAGTGGCATGAATATGGCTCAGTGCAGCCTTGAACTCCTGGACTCAGTGATCCTGGACTCAGTATTTAGCTATGCATTTTTCTTTCTTTTTTTATATTTATTTTTTTGAGACAAGGTCTTTCTCTGTCACCCAGGTTGGAGTGCAGTGGCATGAACATGGCTTGACCTCCTGGACTCAGCGATCCTCCCACCTTGGTCTCCTGAGTAGCTGGGACCACAGGTGCTCACCACCACACCTGGCTAATTTTTTTATTTTTAGTAGTAATTTTTTAATTTTTAATTTTAGTAAAAAAATTTTTTAAATTAATTTTTAGTAGTAGTAATTTTAATTTTAAAAATGAAAACTAATTTTTTAATTTTTAGTAATTTTAATTCTTTAGCAAGAGATGCAGTCTTGATCTGTTGCCCAGGATGGTCTTGAACTCCTGGGCTCAAGTAATCCTCCTGCCTCGGCCTCCCAAGGTGCTGGGATTACAGGTGTGAGCTGCCACGCCCAGCCTAGTTATGTACTTTTCTCAAGAGTGGCTACCTGATTTGGCTTAGTCTAATTTCTCCCAAGCCCTGTGGCAAGGGGACAGCATAATCATGTTAAAGTGTACATTGGAGTTAAACTTTATTTCTCCAAGGCCCTCACATTATTTCATAAAAAAGCAGTTGCAGAACCATATGTACGGTATAATCCTGTTTCTGTAAAAATAAAATCTCTATAAATTCATGTGTATTCATAAGAAATAACCTGAGAGGTTGCTCAGTAAATTGCTAACAGTAGTTGGCTCTGGGGAGCAGGATCAAGGCTGTGCTGTGTCTGTGGAAAGGGCCCTTACACTTTTTCCTTTATTTTTATTTCGTAGTTTTTCAGAGACAGAGTCTCACTGTGTCACCCAGGCTGGAGTGCAGTGGCATGATCATAGCTCACTGCAGCCTTGACCTCCTGGGCTCAAGTGATTCTCCAACTTCAGCCTCTCAAGTAGCTGGGACCACAGATGCATGCCACCACACCTGGCCCATTTTCTAGAATGTTATCTGAATGGAATAATATAGTACGTATTCCTTTTATCTTGCTTCTTTCACTCAGTGTAGTTTTTCTGCAATTCATCCATATCGTTGAATGTATCAATAGTTCATTCCTTTTTAATTTCTGAGAGTATTTCATTGAATGGAAACATCTCAATTTGTTTATCCATTCACTTGTTGGTGGACATTTGGGTTGTTTTCAGTTTTTAGCCATTACTAATTAAGCTGTTATGAACATTATTGTACAAGTCTTTCTATGGCCATATATTACCTTGGGTGAATACAGTAAATACCTAGGAGTGGAATGGCTGGGTTATCAGTGCGTGTATGTTTATCATTTAAGAAACTGCATAACTGTTTTCAAAGTAGTTGCACCATTCTGCATTACTATCTTCATTAATAAAGCATTTTTTTTAAAATGGCTTTACTGGTATTCATTGACCTTTACAATATAAACTATATAAACTTTCCCCAGTTTCAGAGTTTGGGGTGGAATTTGGGAGACAGCTGAATCTTCTTCATAATAAAGGGAAAGAACTGAAGGTGGTGATGTAGGGTGTGGCCCCTGTATGGAGCCAGGAATCTGCACCCAAGTGGCAGAAACACAGACAATAAAAAGACCCAGGCCGGGCGCGGTGGCTCACGCCTGTAATCCCAGCACTTTGGGAGGCCGAGGCAGGCGGATCAGAAGGTCTGGAGATCAAGACCATCCTGGCTAACACGGTGAAACCCCGTCTCTACTAAAAATACAAAAAATTATTGGTCGTAGTGGCACGTGCCTGTAGTCTCAGCTGCTTGGGAGGCTGAGGCAGGAGAATCGCTTGAACCCGGGAGGCGGAGGTTGCAGTGAGCCGAGATCACGCCACTGCACTCCAGCCTGGGCAACAGAGCAAGACTCTGTCTCAAAAAAAAAAAAAAAAAAAAAGAAAGACCCAGTGGACTGGGCACAGTGGTTCACATCTGTAATCCCAGCACTTTGGGAGGCTGAGGGGGGGCGGATGGCTTGAGCTCAAGAGTTTGAGACCAGCCTGGGCAACATGGCAAAACCCCGTTTGTACAAAAAATTAGCCAGGCATGGTGGTGCATGCCTGTGTTCTCAGCTACTTGGGAGGCTGAGGTGGGAGGATCACCCGAGACCAGGGAGGTCGAGGTTGCAGTGAGCCAAGATAGCATCACTACACTCCAGCCTGGGCGACAGAGCGAGAACCTGTCTCAAAACAAAAACACAAAAAGATCCCGTGACTGTGTGGCCATGAATGGACTTGGGAAGAATGAAAATGAGTCCTGTGGGGTCCTATGGCTGTGTGGGATGTGGGCTGTGCTACATAAAGACCCCTCCTCAATTGCTACCATGAAGTCTCCAGTGAAGTCTCCGTTACTCACCCACACTTTTGCATGTGTGAATTCTGTTGGCCAGTGTTTCCCAAACTTCAGATAAGCACTTATCCTATAGCCTATTATTGTTCTCTAAATCAACTCACCTTACTTTTACCAAATTTATTTTATCTTTATCTCAACCTTATAAAGATAGCTATTCCTTAAAACTATTTAGACTTAAAACATTAGCTTCTGGCCTCCCTTACTCATCTCATGGCCCACCAGTGGGCCTCACTGCACTGCTTGGGAAACTAGGTTTTAGGGGAACTCAAAGAAGGCTCAGAGCCTGGCAGCTGCATACATAGGCCCACTACACATATGTGAGATGTGCTTTGACATCTGCGTGTTTTCCCCATTGTGAGGATGTGGGCTCCCATTCAAGCTTGGTGCTGAGCCTGGCACATCCTGATTGGGCCACATACTCTTTTTAAAAGAATAGCAAAGCTCACGACTCATGGCCAGGCAGTATATGATCAGTGCCATACATGCAGAGGCCCTAGTGCCTGAGGAACTCAGAGGAGGACACAGGCTTGTTCTTAGGACACTCTCTCTGGTCATGACTGTTCCAATCAGCCTGTATCAACCAGTGGGGGTCCCATCTGAGTTGTCCACCCTCCCTCTGAAATGTCCAACACCCCCATCAGAATCATCCAGACCTCTGCTGTTTCCTATTTCTAGGGGGAAGTGACTCTGCTTTGGACTGGTGGCATCAGGCAAAAAGAGTGCTCTCCGCAGGTTTGGTGCCACAAGTGGGACTAAGCAGGGTTTTGAGGGTCTTAATCACCCTTCTCAGGACACAGCAAGAGTTATGAATTAAGAGTCTGGAGGGAAGTGGGGACCTTAACTTGGGAATAACCCTAGCTCCTGGCCCTGTAGCCACTTTTCCTGTCCACATGGGGTTTCAGGCTGACAAGTCCCCTGACATGGCCCAAGGGGGACTTAAGAGGTTCCTAAGAGTGCTGAGGGTGTCACCATGGGTGGGGTGTTAAAGGAACTTCCTCTGGAGTGATGTCCTTCTCTTGAACTAGGAGTATCTAATTTGGTCCAGGTGAGCTTTTCAGTTTAGGGTAGTGAAGGGCGGTCCCTGGATCAGAAGCGTCAGCATCACCTGGGAGCTTGTTTGGAATGCAAATTATTCAGGCCAGACCTCCCACTGAATTGAAAATTCTGAGACTATGGCCAAGCAATCAAGCCTCCCCAGGTGACTGTGAGGTAGGCTCAAGTTTGAGAAACTTTAGAAATCGACTCCTTAAAAAATCCCAGCCAGAAACGGCGGGTCATACCTGTAATCCCAGCACTTTGGGAGACTGACATGGGAGGATCCCTTGAGCCCAGGAGTTTGAGACCAGCCTGGGCAACATAGGGAGACTCCCATCTCTACCAAAAATAAAAAATTAGCCGAGCATGGTGGCACATGCCTGTGGCCCCTGTTACTCAGGAGGCTGAGACGGGAGGATTGCTTGAGCCAGGGAGGTCGAGGCTGCAGTGAGCTGTGATTGCACCACTGCACTCCAGCCTGAGAACAGAGCAAGACCCTGTTTCAAAACATTAAAAATCCTCTCTCTGTCTCTCCTTCTCACACCCACACCTCCCACAGGCTCCCCACCCCGACTCCCCGCCCACACACACACCCATATACTTGGCCAGCAAAGGGCTGTAGTTTGAACATGTGGTTCAAGGAACACAAGTCGTTGCACAGCTGATACAGAAAATCCGAAACTTCCCTGCCCCCAGCCCTCCATCAGGAGTCTCCGGCTTCCACGACCACTTTCACACAGCCCTTATTGAACTCTTGGTTCGACCCTTACTTTTGCATTCCAACTGGATACAAAGCTGAGGACTGTTTTCCTATTATCTGCCAGATGAATGCTTGGATCGGTGTCCAGGCTGCCCGGTCGTGCTTAGTAATCGGAAACAGAGACAGCGGAAATCTCAAATTCTGGTTTCCTGCCGGGGAGCCAGCTCCAAGTCTGCGGGAGAGGAAAGGACGTTGTGACACAGCGCCACCCTGTGGCAGAAAGGAGAAGAGCCGCTCTTGGCCTGTTGTCTGCATTGGATCTCAAGGCCTGGGGTTGTCAGAAACCTGAAACCTTGCAGAACCCCAAAATAACAAAACTGTCATTTAAAGAGCACTTACTGTGTGTTAGGGAGGCACTGTGATAATTGTCTTATATTGTTATGGCCTCAGAGTTTCCCATGAGATGGATACTATTTTCTGAATAAGGAAACTGGAGCCCAGAAGGGTTAAGAAATTTGCCTAAGTTCACACAGCCAAGAAGTAGCCAGGCTACACATCCGCTGAGTGTGGTCACAGAGGCCACAATTTTTTTTTTTTTTTTTTTTTGAGACAAGGTCTCACTCTGTTGCCCAGGCTGGAGTGCAGTGGCACGATCTTGGCTCACTGCATCCTTGACCTTCCAGGCTCAAGTGATCCTCCTGCCTCAGCCTCCCAAGTAGCTGGGACCACAGGCATGCACTACCATGCCCGGCTAATTTTGTTTATGTTTTTGTAAAGACAAGGTCTCCCTATGTTGCCCAGGCTGGTCTCTAACTCCTGGGCTCGAGTGATCCTCCAGCCTCGGCCTCCCAAAGTGCTGGGATTGCAGGCATGAGCCACTGCATCCGGCCGAGGACACACATCTAACCACCACTCTGTCCTTCCAGTCACCTGCTCAGCAGAGAACATTCCCTATAGCAGGGCTTCTCAAACTCACACCTGCAGGAGGCACTGGGGAATCTTGTTAAAATCCAGATTCTGATTCGGCTGATCTGGGGTAGGGCCCAAGAGTCTACGTTTCTTTTCTTTTCTTTCTTTCTTTTCTTTTTTTTTTTTGAGACGGAGTTTCACTCTTATTGCCCTGGCTGGAGTGCAATGGCACAGTCTCAGCTCACTGCAACCTCCGCCTCCTGAATTCAAGCGATTCTCTTGCCTCAGCCTTCCGAGTAGCTGAGACTACAGGCACCTGCCACCACGCCTGGCTAATTTTTGTATTTTTAGTAAAGACGGGGTTTCACCATGTTGACCAAGCTGGTCTTGAAGTCCTGACCTCAGGTGATCAGCCTGCCTTGGCCTCCCAAAGTGCTGGGATTACAGGCGTGAGCCACTGTGCCCAGTCTGAGCCCAGTCTACATTTCTAAGGGCTCCTAGGTAATGTGGTGCTGCTGGTTCGTGGACCACACTTGGAGAGGTGAGGCCCTAGAGCAGCTGTCCAGTAGAACTTTCTGTGATGGTGGAAGTGCTCTAACTCTGCGCTGTGTCATACATCGCCACTGGCTGCAGGTGCTATGGAGCACCTGAAACATGGCTACTGCAACAGAGAAATACATTTTAATTTTAGTTCATTTAAATTAATTTGAATTTAGCCACATGCACATAGTGGCCTCCATACTGGATAGTGCAACATCCATCATGAGTGGGGGCTCAGGCTTGTCATTCAAGAGCCAAAATACCATGGTAGGTTAAAGCAAGACTATATAGGGTAACAAATTTTTGGAGTCATTAGAGATAGTATATTCAACACTGCTGTTTTACATATAAGGAAACTGGCCAGAGAGGCAAAGTGACTTGTTGCAGAGCCACAGAGCTGTTCCTGGCAGAGGGAAGGCTTCAGGTTCAAGGACAGCATTCTCCCTACCATGCCACATTTTGTTCTAGGCCCACTGACCTTCAAAAGAAAAATGTACATTTCCAATTTTGGGAAATCCAAGCTGGGTGTGGTGACATGTGCCTGTAGTTCCAGGTGCCCAAAAAGCTGAGCTGGGAGGATCATTTGAGCCTGGGAGGTTGAGGCTGCAATGAGCCGTGATTGCACCACTGCACTCCAGCTTGGGCGACAGAAGGAGACCTTGTCTCTAAAAAAAAATAATAATAAAAAAAAATAAAAGAAAGAAAATCCTCTATAAACAAAATGTAGCTGTTGGTAATAGTCAAATGCTATTTATTACTTTATACAACGTTTGAGGCAGTTAACCAGGTTTAAATGTTATCCAATTTCCTGAGGGAATTAACTGATTTTTGGCTACATTTGCAAGACCTGCATCACACGAAAAGAATCATCCCTTTTTATGGGATGTTTTGCAACACGAAGTTCTCTGGCAAAACCAAATTAAGACCAACCCCTGTTCAGGCCTCCCTGGTGTGTAGCTGGTGTCTTACCACATGGACTTCAGTGGGTACAGGTGTGCAAAGCAGTGATGGTACTCAGACAGACAACTGAACAGGTTGTTCTGTATCACACTGGAATGAAGGATTTACTTGATCTTTGAAAACATTTTTTTTCTGGTTGTAAGGCAATATATGTACATTATATAGAACTTGAAAATTGCGGGGAAAATACTGTGTTAGTTATTTGTTGTTGTGTAACAGGTTATCTCCAAAACCCAGCAGCTTAAAATATCAAACATCTGTTATCTCACTATCACTGAGAGCAGCTCAGCCAGGTGGTTCTTTTCTTCCTCTTTTATGGTCTCGTCTGAAATATGCTGGGTAGTTCTGACTCAGGGAGTCTCAAGAGGTTGCAGTCCAGATGTTGTCAGGGCTATTCTCATGTGAAGCCTTGGCAGGTTGCAGGATCTGCTGCTTTTTCAGCGTTGTGATCATAGCTCACTGCTGCCTTGAACTCCTGGGCTCAAGTAATTCTCTAGCCTCAGCCTCCCAACTAGCTGGGACTACAGATGGATTGCATCAGTGGCCTGCTAGGGTCTGGTTCTAAGCTCACTCATGTGGCTGTTGGCAGGAGGCCATGGCTGGGCCCCTCTATAGTGCTTCTCAGGACAAAATTTCCCTTAAGAATAAATGATGTGAGAGAAAGAGCAAGAGAGACAGTGTCCAAGATGGAAACTACAGCCCTTTATATAGCCTCAGTGGGGAGTGACGAACCTTCACTTCTGCTGTATTCTATAGGTCACCCAAACTCGCCCTGTTACAGAGTGGGAGAGGGCCACACAAAGGTCATGAGTACCAGAGGTGGGGTCGAAAATAAAACTCACCTGCAACCTCACTCTCCATAAACAATCACCGTGACATTATGAGGTGATTCCATATACATCTATTTACATGTACAGATTTTTTTCTGACTCTTACTTCATATGTTATTGTCCATATTTCCCCTCTATCTCCCTTTTCAGATGGAAATCCAGCTTTATTTAACCTCCTTTCCCTGAGGAAGAGGTACATTCAATGTTTATTATTATTATTATTACTTTGAGACAAAGACTTGCTCTGTCGCCCAGGCTGGAGTGCAGTGGTGTGATCTCGGCTCACTGCAACCTCCGCCTCCCGGGTTTAAGCAATTTTCGTGCTTCAGCCTCCTGAGTAGCTGGGACTATGAGCACGCATCACCACACCCGGCTAATTTTTGAAATTTTTTTTTTTTTTTTAGTAGAGACGGGGTTTCACCAGGTTGTCCAGGCTGGTTTCTGGTTTCCATGTTGCTGGTATCCCCTTATTCGATTATTTCAGCAAGGCTGATGTACTTCTTCCTCTTGAAAAACTTAAACTCATTCAAGAGTATGTGTTCTGAGGGGCAGGTGGGAGAGAAGGAAGAAGGCAGAAAGGAGAGGTGAGAATGGGGGGTGGGTGGTGTGGCAAGACTTCCGGGGTGACGCTGCAGAGGGTGCCTCTGAGGAATCGAGTCTCCGGGCCCACCAAGATTGATTCGTGTACCCCAGCCAGATGGGGGGCTTCCACGGACTGTGTGGAGTGGAAGAAGGCTGTATCCATGGACTCAAAAATCACAGGAGAATGCCAGTGTTTTGCAGCTATGGACGAGAGACCCCAGCACAACCATGGCAGTGGGAAACCCTAAAAATAACTGGGGACAAATTTTTATCAGGATGAATGAGAGCTCAGAGGCAGGACTAAGTTGATTAAAAGGAAATAAAGGAATCAAATATGTCTTGCCCATATAGTTTGTGGACTTATTCATACCTGCTACACACACACACACACACACACACACACACACACACACAACATTCTTTTCAAACTGTCATTTGTAGTCTTATTTTTGTATCTACCTTTTTTTCACTTCGTTTATGTAATGGACATGATGTAATGTCATTATCTGTACTTCCCAACCGTGTCCACAAAGTATTTTGTCATTTAGATTGCCACACATCACAATACGTCTGGCTTCACCTTCTGGGAGCAAGAAGCCAGGTTGCATTCCTTTTACTACCTAGAGATCCCACGCCCTGTGAACATCTCTGGAGAAACCTTCTCTTCCCTCCCAGGGAGCCCTTGGCCTTCATACTCCTAAGTCCTCATCCCCAGATACCTGCTCAGCCCAGCAGGCCAGCCAGTGCTGGGAACTCTCACCTGGGGGCCGGAGAATAGGGACACTGCTCCTCCCTCAGGAGTCTGGGGCTTCCTGGCTGCCACCAGGTGTCACCAGCAGCTTGGCAGGTGGGTGCATTTCCTGTCCCCAGCCACAGCAGAGACTCAGGCTCTTTCCTTCACCCTAGAATGGAGCTATTGGTTACCATGTGCAAGTTTTGTAAGAATGAAAGGATAAAGAAAAAAAAAGATGAAAATTATTGCAGCAATCATTGAGGCTGGCCACTGCATATTCTTATTCTGCCCCCCTGGAAGCATGGTGAAATCGTACTTCCCCGCCTTCTGAATCAGTGTTGGAGGCCAAAGAAAAGCGAGTGGAAGTGACACAGGTCACTTCCCAGTGGCAGGCTCACCAACCAATTTGCAATTTGCCACATTTTCCTTCTTCCTGCCACTACTGCTGTCCCGGTTCCAGACGGCGCCACTCCATCCGCTAGGCTCCCTGAGTAAGGAGGACATGGAGGACAGTCCCTAGCCACCCCAAGAAGGGCATGTAGGATGGATACAAAATAAATCTTTGTGGTTCTAAGCACTGAGATTTTGGCGTCGTTTGTTACCACAGCATAACTTAACCTGCCAAGATTGGTTAAACTTCTTTTTTTCAAAGAGACAGGGTCTCACTTTGTTGCCCAGGGTGGTCTCAAACTCCTACGCTCAAAGGATCCACCTGCCTTCTCCTCCCAAAGTTCTGGGATTACAGGCGTGAGCTACCATGCCTGGCTTATTAAACTTTTTAATAAAAGGATGAACCTACTCATGATCATAGAAACTTAACAGAAGGAAGGAAGGTGTGCAGGCCATTGGGATCATTTTAGGGTTCTTCCTCTTTCCTCATTCACTAAGAGGACGGCTTCAATGCCTGAACACTGCACAGAACACTTGCCTTTCCACTCTTTTAGGATCCAGCTACTTATTTTCAGGCCATCTCTGCAGGCCTCCATCCTGCTGTATCCTGAAGGAGATCTGGATTCCCATTCTGTCAGGTAACCATTACACAACTTGGGGTTTTCATAAGCAAGATGGCAGACAGAGCTCCAGGAAAGCTGCTCAGAAAATGCCATGGGCAACATAAAGAAGATGAAATTCTCGGCAAGGTGCACATTGAAACTTTTCTCCTGTAGTGCATTGGGAATAAAGGCAGGGTGGACCCATCCATCAGGCACAGCTGGGGCAGAGCCCAGAGTTCATGATAATTTTAGTGGCTCATGAAAATGCTTCAATTTTTTTTTAACTAGAAGACAATGTTTTAATATATAATGTTAATACAGACATACCGTAGGGGAGAAAGATTTCTCACTCATCACAAGGTTCGAGGCTGAGGCACCTATAATAAAAGACAGATTAACAAGAGAAAAGCACACAAATTTATTTAATACAAATTTTATGTGGGCTGGGCAAGGTGGCTCACGCCTGCAGTCCCAGCACTTTGGGAGGCCAAGGCAGAAGGATCACTTGAGCCCAGGAGTTCAAGGCAAGCCAGGTAACATAGCCAGACCTTGTCTCTACTAAAAATTTTAAAAATTGGCCAGGTGCAGTGGTGCACACCTGTAGTCCCAGCTACTTTGGAGGCTGAGGTTGGAGGATCACTTGAGCCAAGGAGGTTGAGGCTGCAGTGAGTTATGATTGTGTCACTGCACTCCAGCCTGGGTGACAGAGTGAGACTCTCTCTCTCTCAAAAAGAAAAAAAAAAAGAAGATAGAAAAAGAAAATTATATAACATGGGAACACTCAGAAATGAAGGCCCAAAGAAACAGAAAAAACTGTGTATTTTATAGACAGCCATGCAGAAGTATGATTGGAGGATAAAAAACTATGATCTAATGATATTAAACTGGAAAGTACTTAGCAAGTCCTGTTTAGATTCTTTTTTGTGTTCCTGTGTCTTCAGAGAAAAGGAAATTCCTTTCCTTGGGTGTAGGAAGGACATCTCTGGAATGAAGATTTTCTTCGGAGGAAGGTCAGATAATTCTCTTAAGGCCCTCTTCAGGGGAGCAGAGTGAGGAGAAGGTGAGAGTGGCCTCCCTGCTTCTGCTGTTTTCTCAAATGCCAACGTGCTATATTTGTGGATACTATGTCTTGAACTCTGTCAGTATCAACTTAGTAATATAGTTCTTAGTACTATTTATAGAAGAAAGGGATGATGAAGGCAAAAATGGAGACCCACAAAAGTCATACTCTGGCCCTGGAGAAAGAGTTTAAGAGTTTCACAACCAATACACATGTGGGTTACAATGTGGTTCTTGGAAATGAGTATAGACATGGCATTGCTGTGACCTATCATGTCTTTTCCTTTATGAGTCTGTCAAAATTTCCCATGACAAACTAGCTCTATGTTGCTTCTTTAAGGTTAACTTAGGACACCAGAAGGCCATAACTGCTGGGGGAGGAGTCATGGGTCAAAACAGTGTGCATGGATATAGCAGATTGTGAGACAGCATAGGGACAGGACTCAGCCCTCACTGGAATGAGGCCCCCACTCCCACACCTGTCAATTAGCAGACTTTGCACCACCATCACTCTAACGCATCCCCGCTGACCTTGCGATCTTGAAGAATCTAAGATAAGCAGCATCCACCCTAAATCTTACTCAAGGGAGTTAATCCTACAGCCTGCATGCACATAAGATCCGAAGAATGATATTTGCCCCTTGCCTCATTATAATACTAAAATCCCTGCCCAGAGGAGGGCTTATCTGCTATTTTCTGCTCACACAACAGTATGTGTTGGCATGATTCCTTACCATGCCTGCACACCCTGTACTCCACCCCGCACATGTAGTGAGGCTCACCTACCTCATGAATTATGCATGTCACCCTCCTTAAGACACCGAAATGCACTCCCCTCAGTGGGGCCAGCCAAGAACTCTTGCTTGTGGGCTAGTTTCCTTGTGTTGGAGCACAAGCGCCCATAAAGTCTTGTCTGGGAAACTTGTTTGGCCTCCTGTCAATTGCTATTGCATGGGTGCCTAAGAACCTGTGGTCGGTAACAATTCCTCTAGCTTGCTTCCCATGCTTGTATTTTCCCTTCCTTCTTCCCAGCAGCCTCTGACTTCTGAGAGGAGTCCAGTAGGTTCCAGGGAAGCCAATTCCATACCTGGTTCCATGGGTGGGGTGTGGCCCTAGGCTCAGCCCATTAACCCTGCCCACAATGAGGTTCTGTGGGTGGTCACCATTCCAGTCCAGCTAGAGTGAGTCTTAGAACCACGGACAGGAATGCTGGGTGTGAACATCCTTTCCTAGATGGCAGGCTGTGCAAAGGGGAATCTGCGTTCCTACCCAATTTGCTGCTATGATCAAAGTCAAAGGAAATCTCAGAGAAACTGAACCGGAGTCTTGATCAAACCACACCTGAATGCTACCATTAGATCTTTTGAATTACATAAGCCTGTAATTTCCCTTTTCCTGTTAAAGCCCATTTGGATTGGGTTTTATGTTAGTTTCAACAACCTTACTGGAACTAAATGTATTCTTATTATCTCCACTTTATAAATTAAGAACAGAGGGGCGAAGTCACTTGCCCAAAGCTGCAGAGCAAATTCGTATATCGTATAGAAGCCAGGATTTGATCCCTCGCAGTGTGACTCAGAAATTATCCAGATTTATCTCTCTCTCTCTTTTTTTTTCTTTTTTTTGAGATGGAATTTTGCTCTTGTTGCCCAGGCTGGAGTGTAATGGTGCAACCTCGGCCCACTGCAACCTCCGCCTCCTGGATTCATGCGATTCTCCTGCCTCAGCCTCCTGAGTAGTTGGTATTACAGGCACTCACCACCCCGCCTAGCTAATTTTTTGTATTTTTAGTAGAAACGGGGTTTCACCATGTTAGCCAGGCTGGTTTCGATCTCCTGACCTCAGGTGATCCGCCCGCCTCGGCCTCCCAAAGTGCTGGGATTATAGGCATGAGCTGCCACAACTGGACCCCAGATTTATCTTAACGTGTGCTTTGCATTGATCTAAAAGGCTATGTTTTCAAAGATTTCATAAGTTTCATCCGCAATGCTCCAAGCGTGGGTTACCTAATAAACAGCATAAGTATGAACAGATCTAAGTAGAGAAAAATCAATGCACACAAGAATTTTGTTGGCCAGGTGCAGTGGCTCACACCTGTAATCCCAGCACTTTGGAAGGCCCAGGCGGGCAGATCACTTGAGGTCAGGAGTTCAAGACCAGCCTGGGCAACATGGTGATACCTCATCTCTACTCAAAATACAAAAAAATTAGCTGGGTATAGTGGCAGGCACCTGTAATCCCAGTTACTTAGGAGGCTGAGACAGGAGAATCGCTTGAACCCGGGTGGCGGAGGTTGCAGTGAGCCGAGATCATGCCATTGCACTCCAGCCTGGGTGACAGAGCAAGACTCTGACTCAAAAAAAAAAAAAAAAAAAAAGAATTTCGTCCTTCTGTGTATATGTCTTCTTTAAGGAGCTACCCCATTCTGGGAAAGCACGGTTGGTACCATGTGAAAAGGTGCCCCCATCACCACATTTACAAAGCATGAGATCAGGAATTTAAAAGGCACCTTCACTGCCTCCCATCTGCCTCCCCCACACTTGTCTGATCCCCTCTTCCTACCACGTGTGTCCTCTCCTTCCTTCAGTTTCACACACGATCCAATTCTCTCAGCCCCCAGCATGGGTTGCCTCCTGGTTGTGCCTCCTTGACTCAGCCCATCCCTGGACAACAACAGCTCCTTCCATGGCTTTACTTAGCTCCCTGGACCTCGCCTTCCAGGTCTTCTTAAGCAGCTCAACCCACCCCTAGTCCCACCTTCAAGGAATGAACTTGTATAATATTCTCTCTGATCCTTTTGCAGTTATGCATAATGACTGGGTTTTCACGCTTATGAATGAGATGTGCCTCCCTCAAACATTGTTATATGTCAGCACATTATGCATCTGACATGAGAAAAAAAATTCTCCCTTGCTTCAAAACACTTTTGCAAATTCTCTTCTATGTGGAAAACAAACACAGAGAGGAAGTAGAGATGATGAATGTGGACAACTCATTTGAAAACTTGGGGTGAGAAGGAGAAAATTGAGATTGGGCTGTTCTTAGGGGGGATAAGGTGTGCAGGAGTAGACTTGCTTGCTGTACCCTATACCCATTCTCCCTCCTGGTACATTAATAGAGTCTCTGTGTTTAACTGGTATATTAGGGCATTCTTGTATTGCTATAAAGAAATACTTGAGACTGGGTAATTTATAAAGAAAAGAGGTTTAATTGGTTCATTAATTTATAAAGAAAAGATCTCATGTGAACTAAAGTGTGAGCTCGCTTATTACCAAAGAGATGATCCAAGCCACTCACGAGGGATCCACCCCCATGATCAAAACACCTCCCACCAGGCCCCACCTCCAGCATTGGGGATTACATTTCAACATGAGATTTGGGCAGGGACAAATATCCAAACGGTATCAACTGGGTACCAGAATAATGGCTGATCCCCAGCCTTCCTTGCAGCTAAGCATGGCCATGTTGCTAAATTCTGGCCTGTTGGGAGGTGATTGGAAGTCACACCCTCATGTGGAAGGGCTCTCCATCTCCCCATCCCTCTTTCCCGATGCTGCTTACAGCAGTGAGAGTTATCATGAACTGTGGAGACAAGGCCACCCCTAGGAATGGTGGAGTGAGGACCCTTAAGAAGCTGAGCTCCCTGCCACTAAGGTATTGCCCTGCCAGCTTATGTGAGAAATAAGTAAACTTTCATCTTGTTTAAGCTTTTTAAGTGGATTTGATTATTTGGGGACTTTATAGCAGTCAAACCTGCTTCCTAATTAATAGTGGTGGATAAAAGGATCTTCACTTTCTTATCTTTAATGAATTTTGAACGTAGTCTGATGCCAATTGGAAGAATCCGGGAAAAAGTGAGGTTGAAAATACAGAGTGATCTGGAGTGATGGTTAATGCAAGTGTCCTGAGAAGGCAGGAGGAAAGAGGTGAAAGGGTGTGGGGGCGCTGGCCTTGAGGGACTGCGCCACCTGGACAAGGGGAGGGCAAAATGGGAAGCTGGATTCAGGAGACTTGAGATTTGGCAGCAGGAAGTTGAGGCAGTTCCTGCCTCATGCTTCTGATTTTTCAGCAAAGCAGGAGGCAAGGTCCTCTATGGAGAAATCAATCCAGAGCAGGAAGGTAAACCTGACAGAGCTTATGTAAGGGCTCAGAGGTGGTAGCGTGGGCTGGGCAGCCCTTCCATGACTGTCTGCATTTATGTTGTCTAAGAGCACAAGAGCTAAAAACCAGACACTGTGACAACTTAACTCTATGTCAAGTACTACACAAGGTCATCACTGAATAGGACTTGAGAGTAAACATTTGTTCTATGATTTTGATCTTTAAAAATAAGAATATAGCTGGGTGTGGTGGGCACACACCTGCAGTCATAGCTACTGGAGAGGCTGAGGCGGGAACAGTGCTGGAGCCCAGAAGCCTTGGGCTGTAGCACACTGTGACCATTAGGTGTTTGCACTAAGTGGAGCGGGGGTGCCACCAGGTTGCCTAAGGAGGAGTGAACCAGCCCAGGTCAGAAACTGAGCAGGTCAAAACTCCTGTGTTGATCAGTAATGGGATTGCACCTGTGAATAGCTACTGTACTACAGCCTGGGCAACATTGCAAGACGCTGTCTCTAAAAAAAATAATAATAAGAAATAAATAAAAACTAAAAAAATATATAAAACAGGTTGAAAGCCTTATTCAATATATCCAATTTATCAAAATTTCTAGCTAAAATGTATTCATTGTCTGCAGTTTTCAAATTATAACAGGTCCTTTTGTTTTTTTAAAAACAATGGCACAATTAATGCCTAAATAAAACACCTATGAGTGGTATCGGGGCTCAAAAACCAATACCCCAAAATATGGCCATTTGTACATGTTGAACTGAAAAAGGAGCCTCAAGGTCTCTCTGACCTCCCCTTCCCCACCCATCTCTCCCAAAGCATAGGAGGACGCTGTTCTCTGAAGCTCCCTTTTCTGCCTAAAGTCTGCACCTACCAAAGATGAAAAGAATTGCCTTTAGCCCCTTCTCTGAGTTTTCATTAACTGAATCCATATTATAGGAAAAAAGACTAGTGTCTGCCCACACACCTGATGGACTTTTGTCACAAACCATTGTCCATTCTCTGGGCCCAACAAGCTTTGCCCCAGGCCATTGTATGTTCTTCAAGCCCATTGAATTCCCCTAAACATCATTTACTACTCCTCTAAAATCATCCACACTTCCCCATCGCCCTTTCCCCTGAGAAGAAGGGTATCTTCCTCTGAAGCAAGTTAGAGAAAAAAAAAGAATTAGACCATATAAGCCTCTACACCCCACTGGGGGGTTGGGTCTTCACCCTAAAGCCTCCCTTATCACGTTAACTCTAATAAAATAAATGTGTATGTTCTTCCTCCACTGAATCTGTCTTTTGTGAGTCGAATTTTCAGCAAATCTTCAGAGGGCAACAGTGGAGTTTTTTCCTTCACCCGAACAGTGGCCATTTTCATTGTGAATCTGGCATGGTTAGACGCGATGCTGAGCTTTTTACATGGCTTAGCTCTCCAAACTATAAAATAGGTGTTTTTATCCTTATTTTATAGACAAGGAAGCTGATGCCCAGAAACATTAAACAACTTGCCCCAAATCACACAGCTATTAAAGGGTCAAAATTTGAGCCAAAGTAGATCTGATTTCAAAATCTGTGCTCTTAACCACGCCCACTGCCTTCTCTTAGTGCAGGCCAGTCTAAGTTTTGCTGCCCTTCTAGAAAGTTATGGGATCTTTATGGAAACAGAATTTCTGGTGGCCTGCCTGATATCTCAGGGTGGCCAGCTGAGAAATCAGGTTAGACACACCCTCGGCCCCTCCCCATTCCAATTTGTGCTGCAACAAGCGCTGGCCTACAGCCCTGCACTTTCTTCACACTGCCAGGCATGTAGCACTACTGTGGGCTGGCAAAGACCTGCCTGCACCAGCAAGGGCCTCCGCCCAAAGTGTAGGGCAGCTGTGTGCAGGTCTGCACAAAAACAGTCTCCAACAACAACACCTTGTGGCAGCCACTGAAACAATCGTCAGGGGAGCTTCCCCATTCTCTCCATCAGACCTGCAGACACAGTACTGACTTCCTGGAACCAAGTGCTTAGGATTCTTAGGAGGTTTAAAGGGATGTTTAGATGATCAGATTTCCTGCTTATAAAGGTAGATGGGAGTTAATGATAAAAATGAGAAACATGGCCTTATTTGCACCTCAAGGCAGTCATACATTATATTTGTATAGATTGCTACCTCTGGGACTGTCCCCAGAACAGGACCCAGAACATGGAGACATGTGTCAGGTAGCCAACTGTCCTGGGCTGCCTGCTGTGTTGTCTCCTAGGACTTCTCCAGCTCCATTTACAGTCTGGCTCCTGGGCCTTTGGATCCCAGCAGTGTCCGAGCAGGAGCTCAAAGGACAGCCCCACCATGGGGGATCAGCCCTAGAAGCTGTCACTACATCTCCAACGGACGCAACTATTTTCCAGGTAATAAAGCTGCAGTGAATGCCACCTGTCAACTAGTTCCTTTCAAATTCTGACTTGGTTTGGTAAGTCTGTGGCTTGTTGTCATACCACTGGCAGAAAAGGCCCCTTCCCTGTAGTCAGACTGTAGAGGCCACAGGGGCTCTTCTGAAAGAGGAAGCAAGCTCTTTTCCAAGCGTTATTTTTATTTGTTGTACATTTTAGCAGATTAAGCACTTAGGGTTGGGATTTTAAAAATATTTCTTCTTTGGGCCAAGGAGTGTTTTCACACAGCTAAGTTCTTTGTATAAAGCTGCTCCAAATCCCTGACTAATTAATTCCTAAAGAAGCAGCACGTGGCTCACAATGACTGGCACCCCCTCTTTATAAACAGGAACACCGGGGGAGAGAGCCAACAACAGCACAGTGGCCCCGGACCGTGACCCTTGGACTGAAGGAACCTACAGATGTGGTTTTTTTTGGTGACATTTTACATGCAACTCCAGATTTCAAACTCTTTTGGAGAAGCAGGCAATCTGGCAACAGTCGTTTTGGATTCTCAGAAGGCAATAAAGAACAGCTGCCACCTTCCGAGGGGCACGGTGGATGCCCTGTTCTGCCAGAATTGCCAACACGTTTATCGTCTTAGACTTGCCCAAGGTGTCGCAGTTAGAGACTGCCTCCCTTATTCACGCTCCTGCCTGGTGCCCGTGGGCTTGAATTTGCTCCCCTTGGAGTGGGGTGAGGCTCTGCAGACACTTCTCATACACCTCCCCTGCAGACAGCAAGCTCCTGGAACACAAGTCACATGCATTTCATTTCCTGCTCTCTTGCTACCACCCAACATGGGCTCTCAATACATGTTGAAAGCAAGGATCAATGAATAAATGGGCAACTATCAGCTGTAGACTTGTATGTGCCAGGTATGGTGCTAGGCATGCTAGGCACCAAAAGGGCCACAGAGGTGTTACATGCCAGGATATCAGGGAGTTCATGACATAGTGAGGGAAAGAAAAAGCTTATGCAGTGTGTGTGTGAAACTTTAAGCAAACATGGTGCATAACAATAACAGGAATGACTTTGCCTGCCCCTGATGAAACTTCAGCAGGGCTATGCCCTGTCTTGCCACCTTTAGGAAACAGCAGTCTTATAGTCCTTTGCCCCTCTGAGTTACAACCACTGTCTCCTTTCAGGAGAATGCCCAGTGTTATATCATAATCAAGGCTTTGAACTTGATGTGGCATTACATGTTCTTCCATCTCCCCAGCCACCTGAGAAGGGAGATGGGGTAGCTTTTCTCTCTCACTCTCTCTCCCCCAACCCCTCCTTTTCCCACCGGCAGGTGAATGAGCTTCCTGCCCATAGGAGAAAGGGTAAAATCACAAGGTGGTGCCCTTGTCTCCAAATCTCAAGGTCCTCTGGATGGCAGGTGAGTAAAGGTGACTCTTGTGATTATGGGTGTTTTGGGTGTTCCTCAGAGATCCCCCAAACTGGGGTCTTGTCCACCATTCCCAGGACTCTGCCATGTGGAGCCATGGGAATGTGAAGTTCACCTCACACTTCCTTTCAGCTGAGGTCACCACACAGCCCCTACCAGCCCGGCTATATTGGGTGGGATTTCAGATGCCCCCACAATGGCTGCCTTGGAGACTTTCCACTGGTCCTCAAGAAGCAACAACGCTCCCCTTGCTCTGCCTTTGGTGGAGGGCAATTCCTCCTCTCTCTCTGCCTGGCCCCAGGCTGCTTCCACTGTCTCAGAAACTGGTCCCCGGATTCCCCCAGTTACAGAGAACCCTCATCAAGCTCTCAAGTGGCCACTGAAACCCAGGCTCTCTAGGCTCTGGAGTATGGAAGTGACAGCTCCATTTAATTTCTCCTTTCCTCTTGTAGGCTTACAGCATAGCACTCTCCCAAGAAATCATCCAAAAATTACCTCAACCATTCTATAGACCCCAAGCTGACCAGGGGAGGGAGGACCAAGAATCTTGAAACGTAAATACTACATTTGATGGTCTCCTTCAGACTTATTTTGGGATCTGATATCTCTTTAACAAAAATTATAAAAATTGAGGCAAAGAGAGCCCCATTTTTTATATACTGTTCTAATAAATAACAGGTACCCTTAGAAGAATGCAGACAAACACTCCTATGGAAATTTAAAGGAGCATAAGACTTCTTGCAGTATAGGGAGAGAACCAAGGAAGACTTCCTGGAGGAAATGGCCATTGAACTGGGCCTTGGACATGTGGAGGTGAGGGATGAGAGTATTCCAGATGAAGAGTCCAGCATAGGGAAGGCCCACAGGAAGGAATTGTGCTGTATTAATGCTGTCTTAGAGGCATTTCCATTGCCAGACACAGATACTCAAATTACTTCAGAGAGAGAGAGAGAGAGTATTGAAAGGGTTTCTGTGAATACCTCCACAACTGTGGTTCTCAAAGTGTAATCCCTGGGCCAGCAGCATCGGCATCACCTGGGAACTTGTTAGAAATGCAGATTCCCAGGCTGGGTGCAGTGGCTCACGCCTGTAACCCTAGCACTTTGGGAGTCCGAGGTGGGTGGATCACCTGAGGTTGGGAGTTTGAGACCAGCCTGACCAACATGGAGAAACCCTGTCTCTACTAAAAATACAAAAAGCCAGGTGTGGTGGCGCATGCCTGTAATCCCAGCTGCTTGGGAGGCTGAGGCAGGAGAATCGCTTGAACCCGGGAGGCAGAGGTTGCGGTGAGCCGAGATTGCACCACTGCACTCCAGCCTGGGTAACAAGAGCGAAACTCCACCGAAGAAAGAAGAGAGAGAGAGAGGGAGAAAGAAAGAAAGGAGAAAGAGAGAAAGAAAGAAAAAGAAAGAAAGAAAAGAAAAGAAAAAAGAAAGGAAAAGAAAAGGCAAATTCACCAGAGCCTTTGAATCAGAAAAGAACCCCCAGGGGCTGGTGGTAGCAGTCCTTGCACAGGCCCTCCAGGTGATTCTCATCCAGGGAAGCCTGCGAGCCCTTGAGGTGGAATATTCTCAGGAATCCCTGAGATATGTGAAGAACTGATGGCATAGGCTATTTCTAGGGAGGAAATGGGGCTGCTGGGTGCACAGATGAGGGGAGGTGGGAGACCTCTGTAATTGTGTACCATGTGCATATATTACCTATTCAGAGAATAATAAAACAATGCGTTTAATCCCCCGTCTTCCTCCATCTACTTCTCTCGTACCCCATAGCTGCTCTAGCACCTCCACCTCCCTCCTCAAATGGTGTTCTTTGCTTCCTAGGCAAGCTGGTTTTCTGTTCTCCCTTCCCCGGTCTTCTCTTGCCTGGTCTTTATTACAAGGTGTGCTAAGCCTCATAAGGACAGTTGAAGAGAAAAGAAGTGAGACTGTGCTAGTGGCTATAGAATTCTGCCAGGAGAGCTGGAGGTGGGGAGGAAGACTATGAATTCAACCATGCCAATAATTTCAGTCAAAAATTAAGAAAAAGCCCATCTCCGCCCCCTTTTCGGTTATCAAATATGCATTGTTTTCCTCTTTTGTTGGGCTTTTGTGTCTGTTTCATTCTCACCTTGACTCAGCCCCTGTGAGCTTCAACTCTAAGCCTAACTCCAGCCACGGAGAAACCACGGAGAGGTTTGTCCAGTGTCTGGAAGATGGACTGACTGCTGAAACAGGAGCAAGAAGAACCTCCTAGCAGGTCAGACATACCCAAAGACAGCCACATGGAAATGGACACTGTTGCAAGGACGTGTGTCCAGCAGAGCAGGGGCAAATGCCCCTGGTGCTATAACTCCTTAAAGGCTCAAATATCTCTGCTGACCCAGTGAGTGCCCCTCAGCTTGTGGTGTGAGACTGAACTTACAGACACCACCTCAACTCGAGGAATTCAATGCAGTGATGAGCTGATTTATGGTGTTTGCCAATTCCTGTGGTGTAAATAACTCATCGCATGGCCAGTTTCAGGCTACCAATGTGAAGTCACTGAACCCAAAGTTTGGAAGAGATTTACATAACAGTGGACATAGTTACTGGGCTTCATAGAGAAAGCTACTAAACACAAGTGCCCCTGGGGTCCAGAAATCAACTTCTGGTTGGAACTGACCTATATGGTGCCAAGTGTGCATCTTCTAGGAGGACACTAGCATTAGCATGTCATCCGCCAGTCTTGCAACAAGCCTTTTCCGTAAGAGCCTTTGACTAACATTTGTTGAATTTTGTATTCACTGGGGGCTGGACGTGGTGACTTATGCCTGTAATCCCAGCACTTTGGGAGGCCAAGGCGGGCAGATCACTTGAGGTCAGGGGTTCAAGACTAGCCTGGCAAACATGGCTAAACCTTGTCTCCACTAAAAATACAAAAATTAGCCGGGCGTGGTGGCACACGCCCATAGTCCCAGCTACTTGGGAGGCTGAGGCAGGAGAATCACTTGAACCCAGGAGGCAGAGGTTGCAGTGAGCCGAGATTGTGCCACTGCACTCCAGCCTGGGTGACAGAGTGAGACTCCATCTGAAAAAAACAAAACAAAACAAATTTTGTATTCATTGAGCCAACTAATTTATTGATTTTTCATTAAGTTTTTTTTTTCTTGAGATAGAGTCTCACTCTGTCACCTAGGCTGGAGTACAGTGGTATGAGCTTGGCTCACTGCAATCCCCGCCTCCTGGGCTCCAGCGATCCTCCCACCTCACCATCCTTAGTAGCTGGGAACACAGGCACGCACCATCACACCCAGCTAATTTTTGTATTTTTTGTAAAGACAGGGTCTCACTGTGTTGCCCAGGATGGTCTTGAACTCTTGGGCTCAAGCGATCTACCTGCCTTGGCCTCCCAAAGTGCTGGGATTACAGGCACGAGCCTCTGCGCCTGGCCTTGATTTTTCTGAGTGCTATGAAAGAAATAAGCAATTATTATGGGTTTTCCTCCTTTAGGATTAATGAGTCAGTGAAGGGCCAGAAGAAGGGTCCCTTGTAGAAAGTTGGGCAATATTTACACGTCATAATGAGGAGAGAGGCCATTTCTCTTACTGTCTCCTGTCTCTGAAGAGAAGGAGGAAGTAAAAGTTGAAAAACAACAGGAATGAAGTCAGTGGCAAGACCAGCCAGTGCCACTGATGACCAGGCCTGAGGTTAAAAGATTAACCCCCGACTCTAACCGCATGTGCTCTCAATCTATCACGACCCTTTCACATGGAACCCCTTAGAGTTGTAAGGCCTTAAAACTCTGGCTTCCTGGAGCTCGGTTCTTGAGACGCGAGTCTGCCAAAACTCCCCGCCGTTGAGACGCGAGTCTGCCGAGGCTCACAGCCCAATAAAGCCAAATCCTTCGTAGCCGGGTGTCTGAGGGGTTTTGTCCGCGGCTGTCCTGCTTCATTTCTTGGTTCCCTGACCAGGAAGAGAGGTGGTTGATGGACGGTCGAGGCAGCCCCTTAGGCAGCTTAGGCTTGCCCTGGGAAGTATTCCTACGGGGGACTCCGGCCAGCTTGAGCGATGCGGATCCTGAGAGCGCTCCAGGGTAGGCATTTGCCTCGGTGGAACGCCTCGTCAGAGCAGTGCACTGCAGGCCCCCGCGGAGGATCAATGCAGCAGCCGAACACCGGGAAGGAACTGGCGCTTGGAGTCTGGACATCTGGAATACGGTAGGCCCGGTCCTGGGAACTTGCCCACTCGATTTGAGTGGAAGCGTGGCCTGATCACCCACAGCCCACCTTTGTCGGCACTTTGGTTTTGGTTTTGATTCTTGACTTGGTTTGAATTGCTTAACAGGCTGGTTCTGGGAATTTGCCCACTCCATTTGAATGGAAGCGAGGCCTGATCAACCACGGTGTGCCCTTATCAGCACTTTGGTCTCAGTATTGATTTTGATTTGGCTTGACTCGTTTGCAAAAAGGAAAGTGAAAGTGAGTGAGTGCTTGAGTTTAAGATGGGCGAGACAAGTGAGTGACCCCTTTACCCTTTCCTTCTTGTGGTGGGAGTGTTGTTTTGTCTCGGGAGGAAGATGGGTGCAACGCAAAGTAAGCGCCCACTCCGCTAGGAACTATGTTGGAAAATTTCAAGGAAGGATTTAGTGGAGACTATGGAGTTACTATGACACCAGGAAAACTTTGTGTGAGATAGAGTGGCCGGCATTAGAAGTGGGTTGGCCATCAGAAGGAAGTCTAGACAGCTCCCTTGTTTCAAAGGTGTGGCACAAGGTAACTGGTAAAGGATACCTAGACCAGTTTCTGTACATAGACACTTGGTTACAGCTGGTTTTAGACCCCTGCACCGTGGTTAAGAGGACAGACGTAGAAGTACTAGTGGCAAAGGGACAGACAGCCAAGGAAGAATTCCGCTCCACCCACTGAAGGGAGTAGGCTCCTAAAGTTCTGTCCGACCCAACATAAGAGAAACAATGCTAGTGCCCCCCCACCCTTTCATCAAGAAGGAAGGCCTCCACAAGGCCTATATACCCCTAGGCCACCCAGAGTAGAAAAGAAAGGATGCGAGACCTCGGGAGAAACCCCTCCCTTGGCAGCCCGTTTGAGGCCTAGAACTGGGATACAAATGCCTCTGAGAGAGCAATGGTATACTAGGGTAGATGAGGACGGGCATATGGTGGAAAGGCATGCCTTTGTGTACCAGCCCTTCACCTCTACCAATCTCCTCAATTGGAAAAACAATACCCCATCCTATACCGAAAAGCCTCAAGCTATAATTGATTTGCTCCAAACTATTATCCAGACCCACAACCCCACCTGGGCTGATTGCCACCGGTTGCTTATGTACCTCTTTAACACAGATGAAAGGAGGAGAGTGCTCCAAGCAGCAACTAAGTGGCTGGAAGAACATGTTCCAGCTGATTGCCAAAACCCCCAAGAGTATGTGAGGATCCAATTACCAGGAACAGACCCCCAGTGGGACCCAAATGAAAGGGTATGCAAAGGCTAAACCGGTACAGGGAAGCCCTTCTGGAAGGGTTAAAGAAGGGAGCTCAGAAGGCCACAAATGTTAACAAAGTCTCTGAGGTCACTTAAGGGAAAGATGAGAGCCTGGCACAATTCTACAAGAGACTATTCTACGTAAGGCCTATCGTATGTATACTCCCTTTGATCCCAATAGCCCTGAAAATCAGCATATGATTAACATGGCTTTAGTCAAAGTACAGAAGACATTAGAAGAAAATTGCAGAAACAGGCTGGGTTTGCAGGCATGAATACGTCACAGTTATTGGAGATAGCCAACCAGGTGTTTGTAAATAGAGCTGCAGTAAGCCGCAGAGAGAACTGCAGAGAGCAAACAGCAAGCCCGGCGAAACACCGACCTGCTAGCTGCAGCTATTAGAGGGGTCCCTCCAAAGGGCGAGAGAAGGGGGCCCCAAGAAAAATACCCAGTCTGGCCATCTACGCTTGCAGCGTAATCAGTGTGCTTACTGTAAAGGACATTGGAAGGACAAGTGCCCCCAGTTGAAAGGGAAACAAGGTGACTCTGAGCATGAGGCCTAAGGCAAGGATGAAGGAGCCTTGTTCAATCTGGCAGAAGGGTTACTGGATGGAGGGGGACCAGGTTCATGTGCCCCCAAAGAGCCCATGGTCAGGATGACAGTCTGGGGGCAAGGACATTGAGTTCCTAGTCGATACTGGTGCTTAACATTCAGTAATGGCCACCCCGTCACCCCCTTATCCAAAAAGACTATTGATATAATTGGAGCCACAGGGGTTTCGGCAAAGCAAGCTTTCTGTTAGCCCCGGACCTGTACCATAGTGGGGGCATGAAGTGATTCACCGGTTCCTGTACATGCCTGACTGCCCCTTGCCTTTGCTAGGAAGGGACCTACTTAGCAAACTGAGAGCCACCATCTCTTTTACAAAGCACAGCTCTTTACAGCTAAAGTTACCTGGAACGGGAGTCATCATGGCCCTTACGGTTCCTCAGGAGGAGGAATGGAGACTCTTCTTTTTATTATTATTATTATTACTATTATACTTTAAGTTCTAGGGAACATGTGTACAACGTGCAGGTTTGTTACGTATGTATACATCTGCCATGTTGGTGTGCTGCACCCATTAACTCGTCATTTACATTAGGTATATCTCCTAATGCTATCCCTCCCCCCTCCCCCCACCCCAGGACAGGCCCCGGTGTGTGATGTTCCCCATCCTGTGTCCAAGTGTTATCATTGTTCAATTGCCACCTATGAGTGAGAACATGCAGTGTTTGGTTTTCTGTCCTTGCGATAGTTTGCTCAGAATGATGGCTTCCAGCTTCATCCATGTCCCTACCAAGGACATGAACTCATCCTTTTTTATGGCTGCATAGTATTCCATGGTGTATATGTGCCACATTTTCTTAATCCAGTCTATTATTGTTGGACATTTGGGTTGGTTCCAAGTCTTTGCTATTGTGAATGGTGCTGCAGTAAACATACATGTGCGTGTGTCTTTATAACAGCATGATTTATAATCCTTTGGTTATATACCCAGTAATGGGATGGCTGGGTCAAATGGTATTTTAGTTCTAGATCCTTGAGGAATCGCCACACTGTCTTCCACAATGGTTGAACTAGATCACAGTCCCACCAACAGTGTAAAAGTGTTCCTATTTCTGCACATCCTCTCCAGCACCTGTTGTTTCCTGACTTTTTAATGATCACCATTGTAACTGGTGTGAGATGGTATCTCATTGTGGTTTTGATTTGCATTTCTCTGATGGCCAGTGATGATGAACATGTCTTCTTTTGAGAAGTGTCTGTTCATATCCTTTGCCCACTTTTTGATGGGGTTGTTTGATTTTTTTTTTCTTGTAAATTTGATTGAGTTCTTTGTAGATTCCGGATATTAGCCCTTTGTCAGATGGGTAGATTGCAAAAATTTTCTCCCATTCTGTAGGTTGCCTGTTCACTCTGATAGTAGTTTCTTTTGCTGTGCAGAAGCTCTTTAGTTTAATTAGATCCCATTTGTCAATTTTGGTTTTTGTTGCCATTGCTTTTGGTGTTTTAGACATGAAGTCCTTGCCCTTGCCTATGTCCTGAATGGTATTGCCTAGGTTTTCTTCTAGGGTTTTTATGGTTTTAGGTCTAACATTTAAGTCTTTAAATTAATCCATCTTGAATTAATTTTTGTATAAGGTGTAAGGAAGGGATCCAGTTTCAGCTTTCTACATATGGCTAGCTAGTTTTCCCAGCACCATTTATTAAATAGGGAATCCTTTCCCCATTGATTGTTTTTGTCAGGTTTGTCAAAGATCAGATGGTTGTAGATGTGTGGTATTACTTCTGAGGGCTCTGTTCTTTCCATTGGTCTATATCTCTGTTTTGGTACCAGTACCATGCTGTTTTGGTTACTGTAGCCTTGTTCTTTTTGCTTAGGATTGTCTTGGCAATGTGGGCTCTTTTTCGGTTCCATATGAACTTTAAAGTGTTTTTTTCCAATCTGTGAAGAAAGTCATTGGTAGCTTGATGGGGATGGCATTGAATCTATAAATTACCTTGGGCAGTATGGCCATTTTCACGGTACTGATTCTTCCTATCCATGACCATGGAATGTTCTTCCATTTGTTGGTGTCCTCTTTTATTTCATTGAGCAGTGGTTTGTCGTTCTCCTTGAAGAGGTCCTTCACATCCCTTGTAAGTTGGATTCCTAGGTATTTTATTCTCTTTGTAGCAATTGTGAATGGGAATTCACTCATGATTTGGCTCTCTGTTTGTCTGTTATTGGTGTTTAGGAATGCTTGTGATTTTCACACATTGATTTTGTATCCTGAGACTTTGCTGAAGTTGCTTATCAGCTTAAGGAGATTTTGGGCTGAGATGATGGGGTTTTCTAGATATACAATCATGTCATCTGCAAACAGGGACAATTTGATTTCCTCTTTTCCTAATTGAATACCCTGTATTTCTTTCTCCTGACCGATTGCCCTGGCCAGAACTTCCAACACTATGTTGAATAGAAGCCGTGAGAGAGGGCATCCCTATCTTGTGCCAGTTTTCAAAGGGAATGCTTCCATTCAGTATGATATTGGCTGTGAGTTTGTCATAAATAGCTCTTATTTTGAGATACGTCCCATCAATATCTAATTTATTGAGAGTTTTTAGCATGAAGGGCTGTTGAATTTTGTTGAAGGTCTTTTCTGCATCTATTGAGATAATCATGTGATTTTTGTCTTTGGTTCTGTTTATATGCTGGATTATGTTTATTGATTTGCATATGTTGAACCAGCCTTGCATCCCAGGGATGAAGCCCACTTGATCATGGTGGATAAGCTTTTTGATGTGCTGCTGGATTCGGTTTGCCAGTATTTTATTGAGGATTTTTGCATCGATGTTCATCAGGGATATTGGTCTAAAATTCTCTTTTGTTGTTGTGTCTCTGCCAGGCTTTGGTATCAGGATGATGCTGGCCTCATAAAATGAGTTAGGGAGGATTCCTTCTTTTTCTATTGATTGGAATAGTTTCAGAAGGAATGGTACCAGCTCCTGTTTGTACCTCTGGTAGAATTCAGCTGTGAATCCATCTGGTCCTGCACTTTTTTTGGTTGGTAGGCTATTAATTATTGCCTCAATTTCAGAGCCTGTTATTGGTCTATGCAGGGATTCAACTTCCTCCTGGTTTAGGCTTGGGAGGGTGTATGTGCCAGGAATTTATCCATTTCTTCTAGATTTTCTAGTTTATTTGCGTAGAGGTGTTTATCGTATTCTCTGATGATAGTTTGTATTTCTGTGGGATTGGTGGCGATATCCCCTTTATCATTTTTTATTGCATCTATTTGATTCTTCTCTCTTCTTCCTAATTAGTCTTGCTAGTGGTCTATCAATTTTGTTGATCTTTTTAAAAAACCAGCTTCTGGATTCATTGATTTTTTTTTTTTTTGAAGGGTTTTTTGTGTCTGTATCTCCTTTGGTTCTGCTCTGATCTTAGTTATTTCTTGCCTTCTGCTAGCTTTTGAATGTGTTTGCTCTTGCTTCTCTAGTTCTTTTCATTGTGATGTTAGGGTGTCAATTTTAGATCTTTCCTGCTTTCTCTTGTGGGCATTTAGTGCTATAAATTTCCCTCTACACACTGCTTTAAATGTGTCCCAGAGATTCTGGTATGTTGTGTCTTTGTTCTCATTGGTTTCAAAGAACATCTTTATTCTGCCTTCATTTCATTAGGTACCCAGTAGTCATTCAGGAGCAGGTTGTTCAGTTTCCATGTAGTTGAGCGGTTTTGAGTGAGTTTCTTAATCCTGAGTTGTAGTTTGATAGCACTATGGTCTGAGAGACAGTGTTCTATATTTTCTGTTCTTTTACATTTGCTGAGGAGTGCTTTACTTCCAACTATGTGGTCAATTTTGGAATAAGTGTGATGTGCTGAGAGAAATGTATATTCTGTTGATTTGGGGTGGAGAGTTCTATAGATGTCTATTAGGTCTGCTTGGTGCAAAGCTGAGTTCAATTCCTGGATATCCTTGTTAACTTTCTGTCTCGTTGATCTGTCTAATGTCGACAGTGGGGTGTTAAAGTCTCCCATTATTATGTGGGAGTCTAAGTCTCTTTGTAGGTCTCTAAGAACTTGCTTTATGAATCTGGGTGCTCCTGCATTGGGTGCATTTATATTTAGGATAGTTAGCTCTTCTTGTTGAATTGATCCCTTTACCATTATGTAACAGCCTTCTTTGTCTCTTCTGATCTTTGTTGGTTTAAAGTCTGTTTTATCAGAGACTAGGATTGCAACCCCTGCTTTTTTTTGTTTTCCATTTGCTTGGTAGATCTTCCTGCATCCCTTTATTTTGAGCCTATGTGTGTCTCTGCACGTGAGATGGGTCGCCTGAACACAGCACACTGATGGGTCTTGACTCTTTATCCAATTTACCAGTCTGCATCTTTTAATTGGAGCATTTAGCTCATTTACATTTAAGGTTAATATTTTTATGTGTGAATTTGATCCTGTCATTATGATGTTAGCTGGTTATTTTGCTCATTAGTTGATGCAGTTTCTTCCTAGCATCGATGGTCTTTACAATTTGGCATGTTTTTGCAGTGGCTGGCACCGGTTGTTCCTTTCCATATTTAGTGCTTCCTTCAGGAGCTCTTGTAAGGCAGGCCTGATGGTGACAAAATCTCTCAGCATTTGTTTGTCTGTAAAGATTTTATTTTTCCTTCACTTATGAAGCTTAGTTTGGCTGGATATGAAATTCTGGGTTGAACCTTCTTTTCTCTAAGAATGTTGAATATTGGCCCCCACTCTCTTCTGGCTTGTAGAGTTTCTGCTGAGAGATCCGCTGTTAGTCCAATGGGCTTCCCTTTGGGGGTAACCCAACCTTTCACTCTGGCTGCCCTAACATTTTTTCCTTCATTTCAACTTTGGTGAATCTGATAATTATGTGTCTTGGAGTTGCTCTTCTTGAGGAGTATCTTTATGGCATTCTCTGTATTTCCTGAATTTGAATGTTGGCATGCCTTGCTAGGTTGGGGAAGTTCTCCTGGATAATATCCTGCAGAGTGTTTTCCAACTTGGTTCCATTCTCCCCGTCACTTTCAGGTACACCAATCAGACGTTGATTTGGTCTTTTCACATAGTCCCATATTTCTTGGAGGCTTTGTTTGTTTGTTTTTACTCTTTTTTCTCTAAACTTCCCTTCTAACTTCATTTCATTCATTTGATCTTCAGTCACTGATACCCTTTCTTCCAGTTGATCGAATCAGCTACTGAAGCTTGTGTATGCGTCACGTAGTTCTTGTGTCATGGTTTTCAGCTCCATCAGGTCATTTAAGGTCTTCTCTACACTGTTTATTCTAGTTAGCCATTCATCTAATCTTTTTTCAAGGTTTTTAGCTTCTTTGTGATGGGTTCCGACATCCTCCTCTAGCTCAGAGAAGTTTATTACCAATACTCTGAAGCCTTCTGTCAACTCGTCAAAGTCCTTCTCCATCCAGCTTTGTTCTGTTGCTGGTGAGGAGATGTGTTCCTTTGGAGGAGGAGAGGTGCTCTGGTTTTTAGAATTTTCAGCTATTCTGCTCTGGTTTCTCCCCATCTTTGTGGTTTTATCTACCTTTGGTCTTTGATGGTGATGTACAGATGGGGTTTTGGTGTGGATGTCCTTTCTGTTTGTTAGTTTTCCTTCTAACAGTCAGGACCCTCAGCTGCAGGTCTGTTGAAGTTTGCTGGAGGTCCACTCCAGACCCTGTTTGCCTGGGTATCACCAGCGGAGGCTGTAGAACAGCAAATATTGCAGAACAGCAAATGTTGCTGTCTGACTGTTCCTCTGGAAGCTTCATCTCAGAGGGACACCCGGCCATATGAGGTGTCAGTTGGCCCCTACTGGGAGGTGTCTCCCAGTTAGGCTACTCAGGAGTCAGGGACCCACTCAAGGCGGCAGTCTGTCCGTTCTCACATCTCAGAGTCCGTGCTGGGAGTCTTTGAAGACTACTCTCTTCAAAGCTGTCAGACAAGGACGTTTAAGGCTGCAGAAATTTCTGCTGCCTTTTGTTCAGCTATGCCCTGCCCCCAGAGGTGGGGTCTACAGAGGCAGACAGGCCTCCTTGAGCTGCAGTGGGATCCACCCAGTTCAAGCTTCCTGGCTGCTTTGTTTACCTACTCAAGCCTCAGCAATGGTGGGCGCCCCTCTCCCAGCCTCGCTGCTGCCTTGCAGTTCGATCTCAGACTGCTGTGCTAGCAATGAGTGAGGGTCCATGGGCGTGGGACCCTCTGAGCCAGGTGCAGGATATAATCTCCTGGTGTGCCGTTTGCTAAGACCATTGGAAAAGCACAGTATTAGGGTAGGAGTGACCGATTTTCCAGGTGCCGTCTGTCACAGCTTCCCTTGGCTAGGAAAGGGAATTCCCTGACCTCTTGTGCTTCCTGGGTGAGGCGATGCCTCGCCCTGCTTTGGCTCACGCTCCGTGGGCTGTGCCCACTGTCCTGCACCCACTGTCTGACAAACTCCAGTGAGATGAACCTGGTACCTCAGTTAGAAATGCAGAAATCACCTGTCTTCTCTGTCCCTCATGCTGGGAGCTATAGACTGGAGCTGTTCCTATTGGGCCATCTTGGAACCTCATGGAAACTCTTATTATTAACTGAGCCAGGCCAAGGGATAGGAATAGCTCTGGCTAAGCGGTGGCCAAGGATGTGGGCAGAAGACAACCCTCCAGGGTTGGCAATCAACCAGGCCCCCATACTCATAGAATTTAAGCCTGGGGCCCAGCCAGTCAGGCAAAATCAGTACCCGGTCCCCAGAGAAGTTCTTGAAGGTATCCAGGTCCATCTCAAGTGCCTGAGGGCCTTTGGAATTATAGTTCCTTGTCAGTCTCCATGGAACACTCCCCTCCTGCCTGTTCCCAAGTCAGGGACCAAGGACTACAGGCCAGTGCAGGACTTGTGCTTGGTCAGTCAAGCTACAGTGACTTTGCACCCAATGGTACCTAACCCATACACATTGTTGGGGTTACTGCCAGCTGAGGACAGCTGGTTCACCTGCCTGGACCTGAAGGACACTTTCTTTAGCATGAGACTAGACCCTGAGCGCCAGAAACTGTTTGCCTTTCAGTGGGAGGATCTGTGGTCAGGTGTCACCACTCAGTACACTTGAACCCAGCTTCCCCAAGGGTTCAAGAACTCCCCCACCATCTTCAGGGAGGCATTGGCTCGAGACTTCCAAAAGTTCCCCGCTAGAGACCTAGGTTGCGTGTTGCTCCAGTACATTGATGACCTCCTGCTGGGACACCCCACAGCAGTCGGGCGCACCAAGGGAATGGATACCGTGCTCCAGCACCTGGAGGACTGTGGGTATAAGGTGTCCAAGAAGAAAGCTCAGATCTGCCAACAGCAGGTATGTTACTTGGGATTTACTATCCGACAGGGAGAGTGCAGCCTGGGATCAAAAAGAAAGCAGGTCATTTGCAACCTACCGGAGCCTGAGACCAGAAAGCAGTTGAGAGAATTCTTAGGAGCTGTGGGGTTCTGCAGGTTATGGATCCCAAACTTTGCAGTACTGGCCAAGCCTCTGTATGAAGTCACAAAGGGGGATAACAAAGAGTCTTTTGAATGGGAGTCCCAACAGCAACGAGCTTTTCATGAGTTAAAAGAGAAACTCATTTCAGCCCCAGCCCTGGGGCTGCCTGACCTGACAAAGCCATTTACACTATATGTGTCAGAGAGAGAAAAAATGGCAGTTGGAATTTTAACCCAGACGGTGGGGCCCTGGCCAAGACTGGTAGCCTACCTCTCCAAACAACTAGATGGAGTTTTTAAAGATTGGCCCCCGTGTTTGAGGGCCTTGGCAGCAACTGCCCTGCTAGCACAAGAAGTGGATAAACTAACTCTTGGGCAAAACCTGAACATAAAGGCCTCCCATGCTGTGGTGACTTTAATGAATACCAAAGGGCATCATTGGCTCATGAATGCTAGACTAACTAGGTACCAAAACTTACTCTGTGAAAAGCCCTGCATAACTATTGAAGTTTGCAACACCTTGAACCCCGCCACCTTACTCCCGGTACCAGAGAGCCCAGTTGAACAGAACTGTGTAGAGGTATTGGACACAGTTTATTCTAGCAGGCTGGACCTCCAAGACCATACTTGGGCATCAGTAGACTGGGAGCTGTATGTGGACAGGAGCAGCTTTGTCAACCCACAAGGAGAGAGGTGTGCGTGATATGCAGTGGTAACCCTGGACGCTGTCATTGAAGCCAAATCATTGCCCCAGGGTACTTCAGCCCAGAAGGCCGAACTCATTGCTTTAATTTGGGCCTTAGAGCTAAGTGAAGGTAAGACTGTAAATATTTATACTGGCTCTCGGTATGCCTTCTTAACCCTCCAAGTGCATGGGGCTTTATATAAAGGAAAAGTCCTGTTGAACTCTGGGGGAAAAGACATATATCAGCAAGAGATCCTG
Source organism: Homo sapiens (assembly GCF_000001405.40). Lineage (NCBI taxonomy): Eukaryota > Metazoa > Chordata > Mammalia > Primates > Hominidae > Homo > Homo sapiens. The sequence continues at coordinate 64,889,186 of NC_000002.12, read as the reverse complement.
CAGTTATTGAGGCAGTATGGAAGCTCCAAAAGGTGGCAGTCATGCACTGCAAAGAACACCAGTGAACTTCCACCTTGATTGCATTGGGCAACTCCTGAGCTGACTCAGAGGCTCGAAAATCAGCATCCACCCCCTACCGGGCATCAGTCACAGTCCCCCTGCTCCCTCAGGTACCTGACCTTGTACTTACTTAATCTAAAGAAGAGAAGGACCTTCTCCAGGCAGAGGGAGGGCAGGTGATAGAAGAGGGATGGATCCAGTTGTTGGATGGAAGAATAGCCATGCCATAACTGCGAGGAGCCGCAGTCGTACTGGCTGTGCAGGAGACCACCCACCTAGGTCAAGATCACTTGAAAAGTTGTTGGGCCAGTACTTCTACATCTCGCATCTGTCAGCCCTTGCCAGAAATAGTGGTGCAGCAGTGTGTTGCCTGCCGGCAGCGCAGTGCTGAGCAAGGTCCAACCATCCCACCCGGCATACGAGCTTCTGGAGCAGCTCCCTTTGAAGATTTCCAAGTAGACTTTACTGAGATGCCCAAATGTGGAGGTAACAAGAAATTGCTAGTTCTAGTGTGTACATACTCTGGGTGGGTAGAGGCCTATCCAACACGGACTGAGAAAGCTCGTGAAGTAACCCGTGTGCTTCTCTGAGATCTCATCCCTAAGTTTGGGCTGCCCTTACGAATCAGCTTGGACAACGGGCTGGCATTTGTGGCTGACTCGGTACAGAAGACAGCAAAGGTGATTGGGTGTGGATCAAGGATTGGAACATAGCCCCGTTGCGGCCACAGTGGAAAGGACCCCAGACCGTTGTCTTGACCACCCCCACAGCCATAAAAGTAGAGGAAATCCCAGCCTGGATCCACCACAGTCACATAAAGCCCGCAGCACCTGAGACCTGGGAGGGGAAACCAAGCCCAGACAACCCATGCAAGGTGACTTTGAAGAAGATGACAAGCCCTGCCCCAATCACACCCGGAAGCTGACGGGTCCACGCATGGCCAAAGCATGAGGAAACTCATCGTGGGACTCATTTTCCTTAAATTTCGGACTTGTGCAGTAAGGACTTCAACTGACCTTCCTCAGACTGAGGACTGTTCAAGTTACTGAGTAGGGCAAAAAGTTAAAACAGTCTTTCTGTTTTATAGTTATTATGAATGTACTGGACTCTAAAAGGGACTTGTGTGTATAATGCCACCCAGTACAAGGAATGCATCCCAGGAAGTGACCAACCTGATGTGTGCTATAACCCGTTAGAACTACTTGATCTCCGTTGGAAAACAGGAGAGTATGTAACTCTAGGAATCGATGGAACTGGACTGGCAGGAAGACCTGGGTTGTGAACATGACAGTGAGAACTCTCACTAGTGAATGAGGTTCTCAAAGGGGGAAATGAGGAGCGAGGCCATTTCTCTTACTGTCTCCTGTCTCTGAAGAGAAGGAGGAAGTAAAAAGTTGAAAAACAACAGGAATGAAGTCAGTGGCAAGGCCAGCCAGTGCCACTGATGACCAGGCCTGAGGTTAAAAGGTTAACCCCCCACTCTAACCACATCTGCTCTTAATCTATCACAACCGTTTCATGTGGAACCCCTTAGAGTTGTAAGCCCTTAAAAGGGCCAGGAACTCTGGCTTTGGCGAGCTCGGTTCTTGAGACATGAGTCTGCCGAAGCTCCCGGCTGTTGAGACGTGAGTCTGCCGAGGCTCCCGGCCAAATAAAGCCAAATCCTTCCTTCACCCAGTGTCTGAGGGGTTTTGTCAGTGGTTCGTCCTGCTACAATAATATTACAAATAGGCACGTTATTGTGAATAATCTTCTTAACCAGCAACATTTATAACAGGACTACTCTCTGCCAGGCCCTGTGTTCAGTGTTCCACGCACACTATCCGCCCCCTGCCAAGGCCTCTCAATAGCCTTCCAATGTGGGAAGTAGGTACCTTTATTTCATCACTGATTGTCACACACATCATTATTTTATATACTGTTAAAAAAGGAAAATAAAGTCAATTAATTGACACAAAGTATTTCTTAGCCCTTAGAATTTTTATTTTACAGTTCTGAAAGAGCTCTTTTAGATTTCCTTCAACAGAGATGGTTACTGCATACCACTCTTGTGCATAGATAATAGGGAAAATACAAGTGAAATGAACAGGTGAAGATACTCCCCAAACTTCCTCTGATCTAGGGCCCACTCTTGGGATCACCATGGCCCAGTCCTTGAGATCCGAGTTTTACCCACAGTGCTGTCCTTTGTGGCAAGAGTGTTGGTACGGTGGCATTGCCTCAAAGAGGCTCCACTCTTGTCTCTGGGGTTCTCTATCTGGCAGCTGACATCCCATCTGCGAGTTCTAATGTGTATGTCCAGGTGAGAATGACTACATTCACAACTCCTGCCAGCCCCACAAACACCTTAAAACACATCTCTATTTCAGAGATGTTAAGATGTGAAAAGGGTATATCTTAGAGTCCTTGAAATAAATTAGCAGTCACTTAAATTATTCCCATTTTAGAGATGAGGCTTAGGAAACTTTAATAACTTGCCCTTTAATAAGTTCATCCTCGCTAACAATTGGCAGAACCAGGATTGAACCCAATCCACCTGAGTCCCTCTGACAGTGTCCTCGGTGAGGAGGAGGTCTCCAGGCCAGGGCCCAGTGGTGAGAACAGAAGAAGCAGAACCACAAACTGTCTTATGCTGGCCTAACATAGAGAACCTCCATGGTTTATCACAAACAGCAAAGGCAAAAGAATGCCTATTTTCCTAGTTACAAGACAGATTTCACCACAATGCAATACTACTTACTACTTCACCACAATGCGATTCATACCCTTAGGATGGCTATAATTAAAAAAAAAAAAAAAAAGAAAAAGGACATTGTCAACTGCGGGTAGGGATATAGAGAGATTGGAGCCCTCATACATTGCTTTTGGGAATGGGAAATGGTGCAGCTGTGTGGAAAACAGCTTGGCAGCTCCTCAAATGGTTAAACATCGAGTTATGAGCCCAGCAATTCTACCCCTAGGTACCTGAGAGAATAAAAAACCTACGTTCACACAAACTCTTGCAATGAATGTTTATAGTCATATAATAGGTAGCTAAAATGTGGAATCAACAGATGAATGAATAAACCAAATGTGTTTCCAGGCAACAATCTATCTTTTCTCTATTGCAGAGGCTAAAGCAACTAACTCCATCTTGGATGCTAATCTGCCATTTTGACTTCTGATAAACCCATTTGGGGAATGCCTCTAAGATTTCTACTTTACTACTTACTGTAAATCCTGCTCTTAGGCAAATTCCTTTTGAGGCATGGATATCTTTTCCCTATGGTATATAAGCCCTGGGCCTGGGGGGTAATGGTGTGGGGATTCACTGTCTCGTACCACCAGGAACATGGCTTCCATTCCTATATCCCTATTAAATGTTTACTTCTGAGAAGCTGGATTGCCAGCCTCTTTCTCTGGCCTCTCAACTCCCTTGGCCTTTGGAGGCAGGTTTGCATAGACCTAATCACTGCAGAATAGCCATAAAAATGAATGAAGTACTGATGCATGCTATACCAGGGATGAATCTTGAAAACATTGTAAGTGAAGCCAGACACAAAAGACCAGGTATTGTATGGTTCTATGTATATGAGATGTCCAGAATTGGCAATTCTGTAGAGATAGGAAGAAGATTAGTGGTTGCCAAAGGCTGGGTAGGTGGGAATGAGGACTGAATACTTGCTATGATCTGAATGTGTGTGTCCCTCCAAAATTCATATGTTGAAACTGAATATGTTGAAAGTGAATACCCAGTGTATTAAGAAGTGGTACCTTTGAGGAAGTGATGAAGTTATAAGCACTCCATCCCAATAAGGGAGACTATTGTTCTTATAAAAGAGGTCAAGGCCAGGCCTGGTGGCTCACACCTGTAATCCCAGCATTTTGGGAGGCCGAAGCAGGCAGATTGCTTGAGCCCAGGAGTTTGAGGCCAGTCTGGGCAACATGGTGAAACCCTGTCTCTACAAAAATTACAAAAAGTTAGGTGACAGCCGGGCACGGTGGCTCATGCCTGTAATCCCAGCACTTTGGGAGGCTAAGGCAGGTGGATCACTGGACGTCAGGAGTTCGAGACCAGCCTGGCCAACAGGGTGAAACCCTGTCTCCACTAATAATACAAAAATTAGCCAGGGGTGGTGGCACATGCCTGTAATCCTAGCTACTCGGGAGGCTGACACAGGAGGATCGCTTGAACCCAGGAGACAGAGGTTGTAGTGAGCGGAGATCATGCCATTGCACTCCAGCCTGAGCAACAAAGGGAGGCTCTGTCTCAAAACAAAACAAAACAAACAAACAAACAAAAGTTAGCTGAGAGTGGCGGCACATGCCTATAGTCCCAGCTACTCAGGAGGCTGAGGTGGGAGGATCAGCTGAACCCAGGAGGTTGAGGCTGTAGTGAATTGTGATTGTGTTGCTGTACTCCAACCTGGGCAACAGAGTGAGACCCTGTCTCAACAACAATAAAAAAGAGATCAAAGGGAATGCCTTAGTCCCTTTTCCCCTTTCACTTTTATGCCATGTGAGGACACACAAGAGCACCTATCTTGGAAGCAAAGATGGAGCCCTCACCAGACACCAAATCTGCTGGCTTTGATCTTAGAGCTCTCAGCCTCCAGAGCTATGAAAAATAAATATCTGGGCCAGTGGCAGTGACTCGCACCTATAATCCCAGCGCTTTGGGAGGCTGAGACAGGTGGATGACCTGAGGTTGGAAGTTCGAGACCAGCCTGACCAACATGAAGAAACCCCGTCTCTACTAAAAATATAAAATTAGCTGGGCATGGTGGCTTATGCCTATATCCTAGCTACTCGGGAGGCTGAGGCAGGAGAATTGCTTGAACCTGGGAGGCAGAGGTTGCAGTGAGCCGAAATCACGCCATTGCACTCCAGCCTGGGCAACAAGAGCGAAACTCCGCATAAAAAAAAAAAATTAAAAAATAAAAATAAGTATCTGTTATTTCTAAATTACCCAATGTTGGGTATTTTGTTATAGCAGCAGGAATGGACTAAGACACTGCCAATAGGTACAAAGTTTCTTCTGGGGGTGATAAAAATATTCTGGAATTAGATAGTGATAATGGTTGTACAACATTGTGAATATACTAAAAACCACTGAGGTATACACTGTAATTAATTAATTAATTAATTAAAGACAGTGTCTCACTCTGTTGCCGAGGCTGGAGTGTAGTGGCATCATCACAGCTCACTACAGCTTCAACCCCCCAAGCTCAAGTGATCCTCCTGCCTCAGCCTCCCAAGACCACAGGCATGCCCCACCATTCCTAATTTTTTTTATTCTTATTTTTGAGGAGATGGGGGTCTTGCCATGTTGCCCAAGCTTGCCTGGAACTCCTGGGCTCAAGCAATCCTTCTGCCTCAGCCTCCCAAAGTGCTGGGATTACAGGCATGAACTACTGTGCCTGGCCCAGTTATACACTTTAAAGTGCTGATTTTATGTTGTGATAATTATATCTCAATTTTTTTAAATCAAAGAACTGATTTACTTCTCCATCCACACTCCTTTGGGATAATAAAAACATAACTGGAGGCCTGGCGCAGTGGCTCACGCCTATAATCCCAACACTTTGGGAGGCCAAGGCAGGCGAATCACGAAGTCAAGAGATGGAGACCATCCTGGCTAACATGGTGAAACCCCATCTCTACTAAAAATACAAAAATTAGCTGGGCGTGGTGGCACGTGCCTGTAGTCCCAGCTACTCAGGAGGCTGAGGCAGGAGAATTACTTGAACCCAGGAGGCGGAGGTTGCAGTGAGCCGAGATCGCGCCACTGCACTCCAGCCTGGTGACAGAGTGAGACTTCATCTAAAAACAAAACAAAACAAAAACATAACCGGTCACCTGTCAAATGGAAAGCATTGATGTGGACTGGCCCTGGTGGTGAGGGCAATACAAAGGCTGAGCTGTAAAAATTCACATTCTATGTGGTCTACCAGGACCTCATGAAAGCAGGCTTTGTTTCCATTTCTTTACCTCCTGTCACTTGCCGTATTTTGATAATGCTCTAAATTACAGGACCTAGAACTGGTCTTTAATTACAGAGTACTTTAACAGGGCTTGCTGGCGAATACCATAGAATTACAGGAGCCACTAATGAAATACAGCATCATTTTATCTGTTCTCTGGTGGCAGCTTTTAAAATGCAATTAGAACCGTGTAAGATATTTATTTAGGATTTTATCTCATTTATTTATTCCATCTCCAAATGAATGTTGTACTTCCAGCTGCCTTTTTACTCCTTCACGCGAGCATTTTCTTATTTTCAATCCACTCTTTTCTCCCCTGTTAGACTTCAGGGAGCCAGGATGTCAGCAGCCTGGAGAGCTGAAGAAGGGAAGCAAACATCTTCAAGACGTCTCCCGGCCTGCCCACTGCTCTGCCCAGGCTTGGAGGGAGGGAGAAAGGGACACAAAAGTTCATGTCACACTCCAGGCTAAAATTCTCCCAGGTGCCCTACCATTACCTACAGGCAAACAGCCTAATTCCTGTTTTCCCAAGACAGGAGAAGCCCTGCACAACCTGGCCTGGCCTCTCCCATCCCTGTTCCAGGCATGCTTTCTTGTGTGGATCACTCACTCCCACCCTCAGAGGGGCCAGGCATTTCCACACCTCTCCACTTTTGTCTCAAATAAAAATATTCTGGAATTAGATAGCGATAATGGTTGTACAACATTGTGAATATACTAAAAACCACTGAGTTATACACTTTAATTAATTAATTAATTTAAGACAGTGTCTTACTCTGTTGCCGAGACTGGAGTGCAGTAGCATCATCACGGCTCACTGCAGCCTCAACCTCCCAAGCTCAAGTGATCCTCCTGCCTCAGCCTCCCAAAGCCACAGGCATGCACTGCCATGCCTGACTAATTTTTTTTATTCTTAATTTTGAAGAGATGGGGGTCTCGCCATGTTGCCCAAGCTTGTCTGGAGCTCCTGGGCTCAAGCCATCCTCCTACCTCAGCCTCCCAAAGTGCTGGGATTATGGGCATGAACTACTGTGCCTGGCCCAGTTATACACTTTAAAGTGCTAATTTTATGTTATGATAATTATATTTATAGCATTTAAAGCCCACTCAAGTGTCATATCCTCTATAAAAGCCATTCCTTAGCCTCTTCTGTCACCCAACCCATCTTCCCACCCCAAAACAGATCCCATTTCTTCTAGGATCCCTTTGTCCATACTCATCAATACCCGCCTGGTCCACTGCATGGTAGCCAGCAGTATGTGTATCTCCCCTTCAAGGGTGAAGCCCTGGAGGGCGAGAGATATGAGTTCATCTTTGTGTGCCCCAGCGCCACAGCCTGCATGCTGCATATAAGAAATGCTCAACAAATCTTTGAAACCATTTCAACTCTTTCCTATGCAATAGAGCTGTCAATGTATCTGTGTCTCTTAAACCTCTCCTTCTGCCTGAAGACACTTTGGATTTATCTGGCTTGTGACCAGGCGGCTTCTGAACAAATAGGGACTTTGATCAGTTTCACAAGGTGCCCACAAGTGCCAAGCACTGTGCTGGGAGCAGTGGCCATAACAGAACTAAATGGCATGGTCCCTGCCTTCAAGGAATTGATAATCCAGTAGTGGGAGATGAGGCAAGAGTCCATACCCCTTTATCCACAGTTTCACTTTCCGTGGTTGCAGTTACCCATGGTCAACTGAGGTTCAAAAGCATTACATACAATAAGATATTTTGAGAGAGAGAGAGAAAGGGAGAGGAAGTAACCACATTCACATGACGTTTTTACAGTATAAGTGTGAAATGCCTTTTGATGAGAGTGATGAGGAAGATAGGTGGTAGACACAGCCCCTCCCCTCACTTCTGTAGCCTTAGTGCTGCATTGACCCTTGGAGTCACCTACTCGGAAGGATGTTCTAGAATAGTGTGCTAGGAAGCTCTTCTTTGTGTCCAGTGGAAGGATGTTGTTGAGGACGCTGGTTAGCACTCTGTGTTGACAAGACGAGCCATGCTGAAGACTTACATCTCTGTATGTACAGAAGAGAGCTCATCTGGCTCCAGGCAACGTCACCATACCAGGTTTGCTGCCCGATGTGTGGAAAGTGATGACACCAAGACACCAAGGTGCAGCACAGAAAGAGGGTTACTCATAAAGCAACCAAATGAGGAGATGAGAGTGAACTTCAACTCTGCCTCCCTGAGGAGTTGGGGCTAGAGATTTTAAGGGGTCTGCATGAGTGTGGGGCTGAGATGTGGGGATCATTCCTTGGCCAAAGAGTGCAGGGTGAAGCCATGGGATGGGGGGAATGAAACTACATTCTCATGCCAATTTGGTTCCTCTGTGGGGGCCTTCAGATTGGTTGGCGTCAGCCATTCCGCTGGAATTCAGGATCTGAAAAACATCTTAAGCAATCCTTAAACGAAAGCCTTATGATGCTAACCTCAGAGATCCTATCCATAAGAACAATGGGAATGCAAATGGTCATGTGTGGCTTTTATTTAGCAAGCAGCTACAAGGAAGTGTGCCAAGTGCAGCCTGATTAATGCTTAATTATATTTCTGTCAGAACCTGGCATGTAATTTTTGTTAACCCTGTGATGGTTTCAGCAAGAGACCAGGCCACACTTTCCAGCGGTGGTGTTTTCCAAGGAGGTGAAGCCCATGCAGGTGGCTCCCTCTTCTCTCTCTTCTTTCCAAGTGACCCTGGCATAGGCAGACGCTTCCCTCTGAGCCAGCCCATCCCTGTCTCCCTTTCTGTATGGACATCCTTTCTTCCTCCCTCCTGGCAGCAGGCTGAAGCAGCAGCATCGGCACACAGGAAACACACAGCCTCTCACCCTGGCCCTGCTGGGGATCCATTAGGCCAGGCTGCCCAGATCACGGTGGCGAGATTGGAGACTCAAGTTGGGGTGGCGGCTGTGAAATCGAGCACGCCTCCCAGGCTGCTTCGTCAGAAGCCATTTAGGCCTAACTGACTTAGAAAAGGGAGGCTGTTCTGGGAATCAAAATCTAGCTTCCCAGAGTTTTCTCTGCACTGGAGTTGGGGGCCCAAGCCCCAGATAATAGTGTTACAGACATTACATGCCATTTGCTCATGGGAGCCTTCTCAGCACATATATTCCTTGGGAACCTCACGGGACCAAACTGCTTGGATTCAACTCCCATTTCCTAATCAGTTGTGTGGCCTTGGGCAAATTACTTAACCTCTCGGTGCCTCAGTTTTCTCATCAGTAAAATGGGCGTAAGGTCATTGTCTTAATAAATTTACACACGTACAGCACTTTGGGCCACAGTTGGTTCATGGCTAGCACTAAACTAATGTTAGCTGTCGCCACTCCCACCTAAGGCCAGTCCCTCCAGGAACCTGACACTTTTGGTGTTCCATCTCTTCTTCTCAACCATATTCCTGTCATGGTGGGTAGCACCCCTGTTCATCCAGTTGAGCCAGCCACAAGCCTAGAGGTCACCCCACTCCCCATCCCCACAAACCGTCATCAAGTCTCATCAACCTTATTAACTTCCTTAAAAACTTCCAGATCTGTTCCCCTCTGTCCTACTCTACAACTTCTCCCCAGAGCTAGCCCAGTAGCCCCCAAGTACAACCATCCCAGCCACTACCCATTTCCACCCTGCGGCCAGAGTCCTGCTTTGAAATGCAGACCTGATCTTGTCACCCCTCCCTGGACTCGCCCTGCTGAAATCTCTTAATGACTTTCCACTCCTCTTGGGGTGAAAATCAAAACCCTAACACCATGCAGACTGAGTCTGTTAGAATATTTTTGACCCTGAGGATCAGAAACCCTAGCAAACCAGATTTAAATTACAGGCAGTTTATTAGCTTCCTCACAGGTAGACTGGATAGGGTGGGCTTCAGGCATTGTATGATTAAGGCTCTAGGAACACGTCCTGCTATTCTCTCAGCCCCGCCTTCGTCTCCAGGTGCCAGCTTTGTTCACGGTTCAGCTAGCATTCTTTTGATCAATATCAAGTGAAACACTTCCAGAGAAAAAAGGGAACATCCTGCCCAGCCATGAAATAAAACTCCTTCCTGTCAGCCTGAGTGAGCCAGCTGAGGCCATGTGCCCATTCCCAACCAAAAAATTCCTAGTGACATGCGTACACTGAGTCCTTCCATGCTCTGCCTCTGGTGGGAAATGGGTTCTTCGGGACAAAAACACATTGAAATCATGCTGAAAGATACAACTAGTATTAAAAAAGCTTTGCTTGAATGATGCACAACTCTGAAGAATATGGAAGAGATAACCATGAACCTTATAGCTCCCCACTGTTCTCAATGACGGATCTAGGATCACAGGTTCCCAGGGCCTTGACCCCATGGAGATGAGCAGCAAGAGCCAAGGGCTGGAGCACCAAGGGAGGACAAAAGGTGAGGGGCTTGCTGGCCTCAGAGGAGACTCAACGGATGTGATGGAAAAAACAAGAACGTGCTGCCGTAGCGTCTTCTGCACCCGGGCTGGGTTCTCAGCCTGCTAATTGTTTTCTTTCTGAAAATGGACTAGCCACCACAAGACTTGAAAGCAGGGACTCGAACCGCTATTTGTACATTGATAGTCACAGCAGCACTATTCACAGCAGCCTTTTGGTGAAGCCTTTTGATTCACCTTTTGGTGAAAACAACCCAAATGTCCATCTACGGAGGACTGGATAAACAAACTGTGTTGTACACATATGATGAAATATTATTCAGCCTTGAAAAGGAAGAAAGGAATGAAATTCTAACACGTGTTAAATAAAATTGATAGGCCATTTTTTTGGGCTAAGCTTCTGCACTAGGTCCCAGTAAGACCAGAGTTAAAGTCAAAATGGAGTCACCCATGCTAAAGTTTCACATCACTAAACCTAAATTATTATCTATAGTTCTGAGAAATCAGGAGAGAGAGATAACAGCCAATTTCCCAAACAGGCCAGCTTCAATCTTCAATAGACAGGATAATGAAGTTCCCTCTGCCTTAATCCTTGCACACAAAAGGTAGCCTGGCATAACCTGAGGTTCACTGATCAGTGATTTTTCTATTTTTTCGATCTCCTTGTCTGTGCCTTACAAGGAAAGTAGCTTTAAGTGACTAATACACTTGGCTCTTTGCTTCCACTCCCGCTAGTTCTTTTCTGTCTGTAAGGCCAACCTCTCTGCTCAGCTCATCGGAACATGTATTTTTTTTTTTTTTTTTTTTTTTTTTTGAGACAGAGTCTCGCTCTGTCACCCAGGCTGGAGTGCAATGGCTCTATCTCAACTCACTGCAACCTCCACCTCCCAGGTTCAAGCGATTCTCATGTCTCACCTCCCAAGTAGCTGGGATTACAGGCCCATGCCACCAGGCCCAGCTAATTTTTGTATTTTTTGTAGAGACAGGTTTTCATCATGTTGGCCAGGCTGGTCTCAAACTCCTGACCTGAAGTGATCCACCCGCCTCAGCCTCCCAAAGTGCTGGGATTACAGGTGTGAGCCACTGCGCCCGGCCCAAAACATGTATTCTGTTTTATGGAATGAAGTATTGCCCAATTTTAGAATCACAAATAAAGTCAGTTAAGATCCTTAAACTGGATTCGTTGTAATTTTGTGTTTTGACATATGTTACAACATGGACAAACCTTGAACATATTATAATAAGTGAAATAGGCCAGACACAAAAGGACAAATATTGGATGATTCCACTTACATGAGCTACCTAAAGCAGCCAAATTCATAGAGACAGAAAGTAGAACGGTGGTTGCCAGGGTTGGGATGGCAATGGGAGGCAGAGCGAGGAGTTATGCACCCAGTTTCAGAGTGTGGGATGGTTAAAAAGTCCTAGCCATGGCGTGGTGGCTCACGCCTGTAATCCCAGTACTTTGGAAGGCCGAGGTGGGTAGATTGCTTGAGGTCAGGAGATTGAGACCAGCCTGGCTAACATGGTGAAACTCTGTCTCTACTAAATATACAAAAATTAGCCAGATGTGGTGGCATGTGCCTGTAGTCCCAGCTACTCGAGAGGGTGAGGCAGGAGAATTGCTTGAACCTGGGAGGCAGGAAGCTGCAGTGAGCCGAGATCATGCCACTGCACTCCAGCCTGGGCAATAGAGTGAGACTCTGCCTCAAAAAAAAAAAAAAATTCTAGTGCTGGAAGATATTGATGGTTGCACAATGGGAATGAACTTACTGCCACTGAATTGCATCGCTGGGAAATGGTTAAATGGTAGATTTTATGTTATGTATATTTATCACACAGAAAAAAATAGATCAGCCAGATGTGGTGTAGCCCCAGCTACTTGCGAGGCTGAGGCAGGAGGATCGGTTGACCCCAGGAGTTTGAGGTTATGGTGAGCTATGGTCGTGCAGCCTGGGAACAGATCGAGACCCCAATTCTAAAAAAAAAACCTTATGAACAGTAGAGGGGCAACAGGCGAGTCTCAAAGAATAACTATTATTGATTGATTCACCGATCTGGATTAAAGACATTTTTAGTGAAATACTTTCATTAGATCTTGCGATGATGATAATGCTCGTTCCCAGGCCTCCCAACGCACGGAGTCCCAAGGCAGCGTGTGTGAGAGTGAGCTCCTCTCAGTCCCTGCACAGACTAATCCTCAGTAACAACCAGTCCCTCTGAATCATGGCAGGCTCTTTGTGAGATGGGCGTTTCCTCCTTCTGTTCTCTGCAAGGAGGAGGCTGGGGAGTGGCAGGAGGGAGAGAGAGGAGGTGGAGATGGGAATTTCCTCTGGCCAGGCAGGAAAATACTGTGAGGAAACCAAACTGTTCCCATTCATGGAAAATGTCCTTTCCTCCCCACTTCATGTTGCCAGAGGGTTGTTGGAGCAGCTGTCACCAGTTGGGTGTGACTCATTAGTTTATCATCTCTCCCCACCCCTATTCCCAACCCCCTCCCTCCAAACCCACCCACCCTGAAAATGCCTGAGCACAGTCTACTATTTTAAGAACTGAATTCCCTGTCGGCATGGCAACTTCAAGGCTGTACCTCTTGTTAGTGACTGCCTGGATGGAAGAAAAGCCACCTTTCACCAGGGCTCCAGCCAGCCTACAGCCGAGGTTAGACCCAGCCACAGGGTGTCTGTCAACCTATTCTTTTTTGTGTGTCTGCTTGTTTTACAACCCTTCAAAAATGTAAAAACCTTTGGGTAAGAACAATCCTAATGACACTCATCAGATCCCAGAAAAGGTGTTGGTTGATATGGACAGCAGGACAGTGGCCAACTCCCCCGTGGAAAAAAATAAAATTACATTAAACATTTGAAAAAATATGTATAATGATAGAACCATTTTTAGCTTGCTGGTCAAACAAAACAGGTCAGGACCGTAGTTTTGGGTTTTGGGGTTTGGGTTTTTGATTGGTTTGTTTTTTTAGAATTTAAAGAGAGTGACAATATGCCTTCATGTTAATTATTTAGCAAACAGCAATACAAAATCTGAATTTTAATTCCTCCATTTTTGATTAATGTGTTTATCTTACAAAGTAAATGCACAATAGCAAAATCATATCTTTAACGTTATTCAAGGGCCATCTTTTAAATCTGTGGAAGAAGTCTGATTAAACCGTTCCCAAGAACCATAGTTTACCCAACCCCTGCTGCAAGACAAAAGCAACAGGTGTCAACACTGTATTTCTCACTGTGGACATTTGAAAGGTTGTGAGGAAGAGGAGGCTGCTAGGGGAGAAGATGGGAAAGGGATTGTGGAAGAAGGACAATATGATTGATTTTTAAAATTTCCCTCCAAATCTACACATTTTTATTATACTTTAAAGATTGATTTAGATTCTTCAAGTACTCCAAAATTAAAGTCTTCAGCTATGCCACCTTCCCGTACCCCAGATAATGATTGAGGCTCACAATCTACGATTTCCACTTGTAGAAAATGACATTTACTGCATAACCTCTTCTCTTTCTCTCTTTTTTTTTTTTTTGCAAAGGCCAGATTTCCTTCAGACATGTTGAAGAAAGGATGTATTTTTAATGTTTCCCTTTTCTGTTTGTTCTCTGAATTTTTTATTTTTATTTATTTTTTGTCACAATCAAGATAATTTTCAAATAAAAATTTTTAAGCATATTTTAAGCATATGCAAAAGTAGAAAGACTAATGAAATAACCCCTCATGTACCTGATACTCCTAATTTATATTTAAAGGGCTTTTCTGTGTAAATTAAAGAAATGGTTCTACTTGCTTAAAACATGGATTCAAAGGGAAGAAAGGCTGAGCACACGTGTAATCCCAGTTACTTGGGAGGTTGAAACAGGAAGATTGCTTGAGCATAGTAGGACTCCATCTCTATTTAAAAGAAGAAAAGAAAGAAAGAAAGAAAGAAAAAGAAAGAAAGGAGGGAGGGAGAGAGGGAGGGAGGGAGGAAGGGAGGAAGGAAGGGAACAATACCTCTGCAAATGGCATTTGTACAGAATCCAGTTCTAGGTCATGCCTGAAGTGCTGGGTGCAGGTGAAGGTGGGAGGAACATCTGTAGGTAAGAAAGGGGGACCACTCTTTGATGGTTACCATGGAGACCACTAGGCTAAGATGGTTGAGGTCATTTATGGGGCAGTCAGGTTACTGCTAATGGACTCTGGGTCAGAACTGTAGGATAAACCTCACTGTCTCTGAAATTCCCTCACCTGCTTCCAATAGTATTATCAATTTGAGGATATTCTCATTCTGAATTTCTAGGGTTTGATTAAAATAGAGACAACAAACAAGCAAAACGAACAAGCAAAACAAACAAAGTGTTAATCTGCATACTCACTTTGAGGAGTTCTGGGATTTCTGGGATTTTATAGTTGACTACTTGAGTCCTGTTTACAACAGTAGGGCCCCTAAATCCCCAGAAGAAAGTCCTAGGAGGACTCATGCAGGTCTTGGGGTATTGATCCTTATGTGAGGATGCTGAAAGTATAGCCAGTGACATGCAGTCCAGAAGAGCAGGGAATCTAGCTAAGCCAACAAGATTTGGAGAGTTGGGACTCGCTTTACCCCTCCTGAAGGAACTTGATCCCAGTGTAGAATATCCATCAATTGCCAATGTCCAGGGTTACTTTATACAACAGATCATTTGCTATAGGGCAGATCAGTAAGAAGTGTAACTTTGGCATGGCACTGCCTGGACTCAGGTTCAATCTACAACATATATTATTTCTACTGTGATGTACTCTCTTTAAAAAAAAAATTGTTTTTAAAGAGATGGGGTCTTGCTATGTTGCCCAGGCCGGTCTCAAACTTCTGGGCTCTAGCAGTTCTCCCGCCTCGGCCTCCCAAAATGCTGGGATTACAGGCCTGAGCCAATGTGCCCAGACTGATATACTGTCTCTATCACCTACAAATATGGTTGGCCAGGGGAAGGATGTCTAGTACTCTCAAAGGGCAGGTACACAGGCAGAAGCAGGCTGGGATTAGTCATCAAGGGATAAACATGAGCAGAGGGGACAGGCAGAAGGCCACCCGGGACCTAGACTGCTCCTCACGGTGATGGGGTCCAGGCCTGAGGTCCTTAGTGAGCATTCTGACGCTCCGGAGGAAGAAGACTGCACCGGCGAGGGGCGGCCACCAGGGGGTGCGCAGGGGCCGGAATTTCGGGAACCTAGGGCTGCGGCGGGAGAGAGGCAGGGGTGGCCTGGCAATGACAGGTATGTTATGGGCGGCTGCTGACCTGTCGCTAGCTCCTACATAACCAGCAGTTCCTTAAGGGCAGTTATTGTGTTTTAGTCGCATTGCTTTCCCAACTGCCCATGAGCCTCGTTCTGAGGTTTGCTCTTTCAAGAGTCAAATGGATACGTTTTCACTCTGGGAGGAGGGGAAATGAGGCAGCGCTGCTCAGACTTCTTGGTCTCGGGGCACCTTTATACTCTTAAACGTTACTGAGGACCTCGAAGAGCTTTTAGTTTGTTTATGTGGGTTGTACCTCTCAATAGTTACCAGTTTGTAGATTAAAACTGAACCGGCCTGGCCAACATGGGGAAACCCCATCTCTACTAAAAATTTTAAAAATTAGCCGCCCTGTGGTCCCAGCTACTACTCGGGAGGCCGAGGCAGGAAAATGGCTTGAATCTGGGAGGCAGAGGTTGCACAGAGCCAAAATCGCGCCACTGCACTCCAGCCTGGGTGACAGAGCGAGACTCTCTGTCTCTCAAAACAAAACTGGCCAGGCGCGGTGGCTCAAGCCTGTAATCCCAGCACTTTGGGAGGCCGAGGCGGGCAGATCAGGAGTTTGAGACCAACCTGGCCAATATGGTGAAAACCCGTCTCTACTAAAAATATAAAAATTAGCCAGGTGTAGTGTCGCATGCCTGTAGTCCCAGCTACTTGCGTGGCTGAGGCAGAAGAATCACTTGAACTTGGGAGGCGGAGGTTGCAGTGAGCCGGGATCGGGCCACTGCACTCCAGCCTGGGCAACAGAGCAAGACTCCGTCTCAAAAATAAATAAATAAAATAAAATAAAATAAACTGAAGCAGTCACGGTGGCCCATGCCTACAATCTCAGCTACTTGGGAGGCTGAGACAGGAGGATGCTTGAGCCCGGGAGTTCGAGGTCAGCCTGGGTAACACAGCACAGACCCCTGTCTCAAAAAAAAAAAAAAAAAAAGAAACGTTTAAAAAGTGTAAAATAAAATAGAAACCGACGGCCGGGTGTGTTGGTTCATGCCTATCATCCCAGCACTTTGGGAGGCCAAGGTGGGTGGATCACCTGAGGTCAGGAGTTAGAGACCAGCCTGGCCAACATGGCAAAACCCCATCTCTACTAAAAATACAACATTTAGTCGGGTGTGGTGGCACATGCCTGTAGTCCCAGCTATTGGGGAGGCTGAGGCAAGAGAATCGCTTGAACCTGGGAGGCGGAGGTTGCAGTGAGTCAAGACTGGGCCATTGCACTCCAGCCTGGGCGACAGAGCGAGACTCCGTCTCAAGAAAAACAACCAAAAAAACAAAATGGAGAATTTAAAAAATTTATTTATTTATTACAATAATCAACCTGCTACATGTTAACATAACATTTCTCATTTAGAAAAATACCTATATTTTCCAAAACAAAAAGAAGTTTGGCCCTCTTTTATATTTCTGCAATTTTAAAAAGTGTCTAGCTTAATAAAAGACAGATGGAGTCTCATATCTGCTTTTGCATTCAGTCTGCTGTGATATCAGACTGAGTTTCCCCAAAGCACGCAGCTTTGTACACTCAAGAGAGAACAGGGTGAAATGGGCAAATAACATCTCATATGAAAGTAGTTTTGACCCTGCAGACCCCCTGCCCATTTTGATATTAAGTAGAGTCTAAATGCCATATAGTGTTATTTTGGGATGAGGATCGAATTGCTTTTTGTAAAAGGAAGGTTGCCTTTGGTGAGGGCTGAGGGCTGAGCACCAGTTTACCTGAAGTTCACCCATAGGCAAAGATGTGATGTCCACAGCCAGGGATGCTAGAAAGCAGGGCCTCCGCTGGTGTAGACACACACGTGCTTCATGTCTATTCCCCGTCTGTGAGCAGTAGGGCTCTATTGCAGTTAACTTGTCACTGCTTGCTGTCCTAAACTGCAGCTGATAGAGGAATGGCCAGAGGCGTAGGAAAAGGTTGACTTGCTGGGAGGAGAATCTTGTTTTTCTGATTCAGGTACTCTGCTGACTTTGAAACCATAGGGTTCTTATCAATCCAAAAGTATTTCAAGACAGGCTGGGCACGGTGGCTCACGCCTGTAATCCCAGCACTTTGGGAGGTCGACGAGGGAGGATCGCTTGAGCCCAGGAGTTCAAGGGAGGATCACTTGAGCCCAGAAGTTCGAGACCAGCCTGGGCAACATAGTGAAACCCCATCTCTTACCGAAAAAATGAAAAACAATTAAACTAGTATGGTGGCATGCATGTATAGTCCCTGCTACTTGGGAGGCTGAGGTGGGAGGACCACTTGAGCCCAAGAGTTCAAGGCTGCAGTAAGCCGTGATCACGCCACTGCACTCCAGCCTGGGTGACAGAGCAAGAGCCCATCTCAAAAAAAAAAAAATTATTTTTTTCAGAACAATGGCCCCAACATCTCTGTACCCCTAGGCCTGCCCTGGTGGGGTTGGGAGGGCTGTGCAGAATGTCCCATCTGAAGGCAATGTGGGAGCATTGAGTAACAGATCATGCAAATTTCTTCCCAGTTATTTTCCTCCCAGGGTACCAAACCGAAGGGATGATTGTAATCACCTGAGGAACTTCCTAAGTATACTGATTCCTGGTCCCACCTCAGATCAACCAGGAGGGTAGCCTGGTTTTTAATGTTTCCAGCAATTCTGGTACCACCAGGCTTGGGAGCCACTGGCCTTCTCTAACCCTGTCTACAAACTCAACAAAGGCCCTCCATCCTTAGGGCCTTGAAATCACCTGGAGCATATATTTAAAATTTTGAATTCCAGCCTGTATGGTGTGCATACCTGTAGTCCCAGTTACTTGAGAGGCTGAAATAGGAGGAATGCTTGAGCACAAGTGTTCAAGTATAGCCTTGTCAACATAGCAAGACCCCCATTTCTAAAAAATAAAGTAAAATGTGAATTTCTCAGGCCCAATCCTTAGAGGCCCAATATCTAGATTGGGTAGATCTGGGATAGCCTCAGGAACAAGTTTTTAACCAATAGCCCAGTTAATTCTACTGTAAGGGGACTAGGACCACAGTTTGCCTCCAGGGTTACTGCAGTCTGTGTGTCACACTCCATGTGTCACAGTCTGGGTGCCACAGTCCTTGTGTTGCCCATGAGTGACACTTGGCTGGGCGCGGAGGCTCACACCTGTAATCCCAGCACTTTGGGAGGCTGAGGTGGGAGGATTGCTTGAGCTCATGAGTTCGAGAGCAGCCTGAGCAACACGGCAAGATGCCCATCTCTATAAAAAATTTAAAAATTCACCCAGCGTGGTGGTGCATGTCTATAGTCCCAGCTACTTGGGAGACTGAGGTAGGAGAATCGCTTGACACTGGGAGGCGGAGGCTGCAGTGAGCCATGATTGCACCACTGCACTCCAGCCTGGGTGACAGAGGGAGACCTTGTATCAAAAAAATTTACCAAAGAGTTACACTCCACGTGTCGCCGTGTGTGTGTGTCACAGTCCATGGTGTGTCACAGTCCCTGTGTCATGGTGTGTCACAGTCCCTATGTCATGGTGTATGTGTCACAGTCCGTGGTATGTCACAATCCCTGTGTTGTGGTGTGTGTGTCACAGTCCATGGTGTGCCACAGTTCCTGTGTTGCGGTGCATGTGTCATAGTCTGTGGTGTGTCATGGTCCCTGTGTCACACTGCGTGTGTTGCCATGTGTGTGTCACAGTCCAGTGTGTTACTCTGTGTTGCAGTCCATGTGTTACAAAGTGACTTTAGGGCCCCACTCAGAATCAGCATAATCTTAGCCTTCTCTCCTTTATCCCCTGAGCAACCAGATGCCCTCCTGGGAGTCAAAATTTAAATCCAGGAGTTCCAAGTCCCCTCTGATGAAGGTGACAGCCTTCTTCCCCAGTCCCAGGACTGTGTACTCCAAGAAGATCCCTTTATTCTCAAATCCCGCCTGGGCCCCAGCCTGAGCGCTGGTCATGCCACTGTGGCCCGCATTCACCCACTTGCCTTCTCCCCACTTTTCTACCATCCTTCTGATTTGGTCTTGGGGGTATGTGCTTGTGGACAGATACACATCCATCTTTCAAAAGAGCTCAGCTAAATGTGCACCAGGAAAAAAAAAAAAAGTGGACTTAGGAGCTCACTCAGATTTCCTTACACAGAGCCCCGCCCCACCTTCTCCCCCTGATTTCATAGAGGATATTTTAGTCTCATCTTCCCACAAGGAGCCGCTCTTTGCTCTCCACCTCCACCGCCCACCTCCAGCCATTGGTTTGGATGGCCACCAGCCTGGGCGGCTCACAGAGTTTCCTACCAGGACTCCTAGAGCCCTGGCTCCCTGGGAAACAGCCCCTGAGATCCGCATGCAGCCCGCAGCCCTCACCCTCTGCTGCTGCCTCAGCTTTCACCATCACGTGTGCCCTGCAGGACCCACGTACGAAGGGGGTGAGTGGTAACTCATTTCATGAATTGCGTTAAGCATCAAATCATGATGTGTGTGTGTTTTCTTTTTACACTTGTGTCTATGCACACACACACACTCTCTCACACACTCACTCGGGATGAAGTTGGGTTTGTCTGTTTCTTTAAATCCCTGCTCAGCTCCATTATCTGTGGTCTGAACTGCATGGGGACCATCAGCAGAATCTGGGGTTCTCTGATGTCAGTTTTGGAAGACTTGATTCAGGGAGAGACCTGGTGAAAATGATGAAGCACACCCATCAGGGCTATCTCCCAGCTCCCATGCTAATTACAGCCGAATCTCTGGGGGTGGCCCTGGCTCCCCAGGGCTGCAGTGTCAGCAAGGCTGAAGAGCACGGCCCCACTCTCAGTCCTCAGGTGCAGCTTCCCTTCCTCCTTCCCTCATTTCCGTGGGTTTTCTTGGTTTGGAGACCATCCAGAAGAAGCGGGTCTAACCCAAGGAAAAGGGAAACTATCAGAATGAAGTCCTCATTCATTTATTCAGCCTCTCTTTAATCAACATTTATTGGGTATCTACCATGTCAAGCCCTGGGCTAACTATTAGAGGTACTAGGTTGAAAATAAAACAAAGGTACAGGCCCCAGAAGTGTAGTGGGGGTAACAGTTATCAAACTAGCAACTGCAGAGAGAGCTTAGCTTGTTCCCTAGGATGTTGGCCCATCTTGCTGGACCAGGGGCGGAGGGCTGTATGAGTGATGCAGGCCATTGTGGGGAGTAAGGATTCATCCACAGCAGTTTCCCCTGTAGGAGGGGCAGCTTCAGATACCACAAGAGTCCTTTGAGAGCCCTCAGCTTTCAGGCCCAGGCTCTTTAATTCTTCACGTTACACTTCATCGGCTCTGTGCCAGGTACTGCTGTCACACCCATTTTACAGACAAGGAAACTGAAACTCTGAGAATTAATTCGATCGTCTAAATCCCTCAGGAAGAAGAGCCAGAAGCAGTCCTGGGGTCTGTGTGACTTCAGAGCTCTTTTTGTGACAGCTGACCCGTCCCAGCTCTAGACAGGCATGCTTTCTTTTTTTGAGACAGGGTCTTGCTCTGTCGCCCAGGCTGGAGTGCAGTAGTGCAATCACCACTCACTGCAGCCTCAACCTCCCAGGCACAAGTGATCCTCCCACCTCAGCCTCCCCACTAGCTGGGACTATAGGGGCATGCCACAATGCCCAGCTAATTTTTTTGCATTTTTTGTAGAGACCTGGTTCCACCGTGTTGCCCAGCCTGGTGTCAAACTCCTGGGCTCAAGTGATAGGCAAGCCTTGATGAAGGAACTGGTAAAAACTGACAGGACCATTTCGCTGGCACCTCAAAGGGGCCCTGCCCCTGCCCGGAGAGCTGGCAGTGTGAGGCTGCTGGTGTCAGCAGTGGTGAGTGGGGCTTTGGGGCTACTGTGGAAGATGGTGCTGCGGCTGCAGCACTCCTGGTGGGCAGCCAGCCATCATCTCCTGGGCACAATAGCTGACATTTATTGGCCACTTACTATGTGCCAGGCACTGCCTAAGCATGATATAATTTATCTAATATTTACAGCTACCCCCAGTTTTACAGAGTAGGCAACTGAGGCACAGAGAGGTAAGATAATTTTTACGGGGTCAGATGCTGGTAAATGCGGAGCCAGGATTTGAACCCAGGCACGTTGACTACTGAGCTTGTGCACTTAAGCACTGTGCTAGACTGCCTGTGTTTGGTGTGTCTGAAGGATGTCATATTTTTAAGTGCATTTTGCTTCATTGATAACGTGCCCCAAGAAAGAAGACAGCCAGTGTGGTAGACTGCACACATGGCTGCAGTACTTTGCAGCTCTTTCCATTTCGAGTGAAGTCCATTTGCCCACCCCTTGTGTTTGGCCCACCTTGTCACTTACTTTGATGAAGAGAATGCGGTGGAAGGGAAGGTGCGTCCGTTCCAAGCCTGGGGCTCAAGAAGTCTTGTAGCTTTTGCTCTTCCCATCCGTGGAAGCCTACTGCCATTGGAAGAAGCCTGGGGTAGGCTAGCCTGCTAGATGAGAGACACGTGGCCGGGTCACCCTTTCACCCCAGCTGACAGCCTGCCAACCACCAGATGTGTGAGGGAGGCCATCTTAAACCATCCGATGACCTGCCAGCTCACCACAAACACAGTGAGCCCAGCAGAGCCAAGCCAGAAGAACCGCCCAGCCGACCCACAGAGTCATGAGCAAATAAATGTTTATTGTTTTAAGCTACTGAGTGTAAGCCACTGGGTGGCTCGTTTTGTAGCAACAGATAACTGATACAGCAGGAGACACTTGAAAGAAGAGGAAGCTCTGGAGTTGGAGGCATTCCCACCGGACAGTATGGCTAAGTAGAAACCCTATGAGCAGGAAAAAGACGGATTCAGAGGACAAAGGGGAGAAGCGGGAAAGACCCTGCCTGGGTCCTTCAGAAACCCAGCACCCCTACTTCTGGCTTCTGCCAGATGGAGGAGTGGCAAGAGGAGAGAAATTCCAGATAGATGATGGGAAGCCGAAAGCAGGGGTTCTCTGCTGACTTTGGGAAGACAGTCCCCCCACCCCACCACCAGCACAAGGCAGCCGCCTCTTGACAGATTCAGTGGTGTTGCGTATTGTACAGAAAGGACTTGAGAGACTCTCTTGAACTTCCCCAGGACCCTGTGTGCTATGGAAGGGATCCAGATACTCCCACTGGGCTACTGCAATGATTGGGACTAGCGATAAGATGCTGTGAACCTCCAATCAAGCAGGATTGTGAGAATGGGAAGTAGAATGATTGGAGAAAGGTTTAGGATGCAAAGGGTAAGAAAACTTGGAGCAACTGAACTAGAGGGTCTGGCCACTGCGGGCGGGGCATCCTGAAGAAACACTGCTTGTCAGAGTACAAAAGGATGCCTGGACAACCAACAACAGGAATAAAAAAAAGATTAAACGCTGCTTATTAAACGCCATTACCATATAGTATGTACACATCATGGCGTAATCATGTCTCTTTGGTGACGTTGGTGATTTCTTGATGTAGCCTGCCATCTGCCCTTGTTTTAAGGGTTCCCCTTCCTTGAGGCATTTGCATTTTAAAAGGAATCAAAGCCTGCAGGTGAAGGGATGATGCTGGATTGGTAGAATTTCAGGCATTCATTGAAAATGGATCAAGGGTTTTCTTTTATGTTGGCTCCTTCCCTAGGTTCTTGACTTCGGCGCCAGCCACGAAACCACAGAAAGCATCCCCCAGGACCTTGGCGTTGGACTCCTTTCATTCCCTTCCTCCCAAAGTGTCCCACTGTTGCTCTGACTTGGGGGAGCAGGGGTCTCCCTGGCCCTCCCGGCTGCTCCCGGCTCAGGAGCGTGGGAGGTGAGGGGAGGTGAGGGGACACGGCCGGGGGCGGCTCGGTAGGGGCCCCGCGCGGCCGCCAGGGGGCGCTGCGCCGCCGCCGAGGCCGCGGCCGCCTGGGCGTGTGGCCTGGCGTGGGCACTTTTGTGTTGTTTAGATGCCAGCGTTCGCCGCTCACTCCTTTCTCAAACATGTTTCTAATTTACCCAGTATGTCTTCTACGGAAAAAAAACTTCAGGGAAAAAAGATGCATGCTTAACGTCAGTGCCAGGGTGGGCAAAAAGGGGTTTTGACACCAGATGCAGGTTTAGTTCCCGAACCCTCCGGGCCTGGGGTGAGCCGCCAGCAGGCCCCCTCCACAGCCGCTCCTCCCGCTGGGGACAGAGGCGCCTGGAAACGCACACGCCCGAACCCGGCCGCCCCGAGAGCCGCGCGTGGAGCCAGCACGCCCGCAGGCGCTCCTCCTGAAAACGGGTTCGGTTTCTGGCCGGGCAGGTTCAGAGCCGGTGCCCAAGGAGGGGAAGGACGACGCGGCACAGAACCTGGCGCGCCCACGGAGGGGGCCTAGCCTGGGCTTCTGGCCTTGCCCGGGCACTGCCGGCACTCCCGGGGAGCAGAGAGGCGGAGGGGGCACTGTCCGTGCGCCGGGGGCAGCCACCGGGCACAGGGCGGGGTGGGGGAGGTGCGGGAGGAGAGGAGAGCCAGAGTCCGGTCTGATGGGGGTCGGGGGGGACGTGGGAAGCAACAAGCCTGACGCCTGCAAATAGAAGTCATCAGGAAAGAGACCTCAAGGCCCATTTGACTGCTGGGAGGTCTCCGGGGTGGGGTCCTGGGGGGAGGAGTGTCTGATTGGCGGCTAGGTTCTGTTTTTCAGACCAGATTAAAAAAAAAAAAAATTCCCCTGTCGCCTGGGGAGATGTCTCAGTCACTTTTCTCCAGCAGGAAGCTGCTTCATGTTGGAGCCTCCTGGGATTGGCAGAGTTAAAAATCCTTTAACCCAGGATGCCTTGGGCCTTTTGTTCAGCCCTGACAATAGAATTGGGTGGAGGGGGCTGGGAAGGCAAGTAGCTGGGTTAGAGATGCATCCGTGGGGTGGGGGTATGGGGAAGCTTGTGTTCAGCCACTGGGTACATGAAAGCAACTGTGTGTGTGTGTGTGTGTGTGTGTGTGTGTGTGTGTGTGTGTGTGTGTGTGTCGGGGGAGGGTATAAGGGAGCCCAGGGACACTGGGGCACCAGCTCGTTAACACGTGTGTATGAATGCCGGCTGTGCGCTTGGCAAATCCTTAATTACACAGGGAGAACTTCCTGAACCGGGAACTCAGTATCGGTCCCTGAAAGGTTGGGTAATGGCTTCTTCTTGCATCTGGAATCCAAGGGGACCAATCTCTCTGGCTCCCCTGGGCTCTCAGATTCTTCTAGATGTCTTTGTCTTCTAAAATTCTGGGATCCCAAGGGAAGACACATAGTTAAGGACACTCAGAAATGCATACCTTTCAACCCTACTAATCATCCTAAAACCTGTGCTTTCAACATATCACGTCCTTGATCTGTAACCCTCAGGGGCACCCACGATCTCCAATGACTGGGAGTGATGGCATTTAAGTCTTTCCACCATGCAGAAGTTTCTTCCCTCATTCCCCATGAATTCTCTCCTGTAGCCAGCCTGGCCCCTCATAACCCCTTGGATATACTGTATCTTGAATTCTCCAGCCTTTCTGCAGTTGCCTTCCTGGGACATTCATTCCCATGTTCACAATCTAGCCAATTGTATCCCTTCTCTATTCAGTTCTAGCATCAGTCAGTCAATCAACAAGCATTTATTGAAAGTCCACTATGTACAAGACATGTTCTAGGCCCTGGTAATACATCAGAGACTGAGACAAATACCTGTTCTTAAGGATTTTATATTTTAATGGGAGAAACAGAGTAGACTCATGGCTCACGCCTATAATCCCAGGACTTTGGGAGGCCAAGGCAAGAGGATCACTTGAGGCCAGGAGCTCAAAACCAGCCTGGGCAGCAAGTGTCTTCTTTTGCCTCTGCAAAAGAAAATTAAAAATAACAAAAAAAGGAAGCTAAACTAGAGTATTGTGGTAGAGGGGTGTGTGTGTGTGCATGTGGGTGCATCCGTGTGTGTGGTAGGTTGATGGGTGCTGTTTTATTTAGCCAGGGAAGGTCTCTTTGAGGAGGTGGCATTCGAGACCTTCTGGGTGGGAAGGAGGCAGCCATGTGGTGATCTGGGGAAGAGTGCTGCAAGCAGAAAGGCAAGTAAAAACAAAAGCCCTGAGGCAGAAATGTGCTCCTTATGCTTAAGAAACACCGTGAAGGCCAACGTGGTTGGAGCAATGTGAGCAAGAAGAATAGAGGGGCCTTGGGAACATAGGTAGCTGAGTCCTCATGGATCAAGGTAAGAAGTGTGGGTTTTATTTTGTTGCAGTGGGAAGCCTTTGGAGGGTTAGAAGGTGGGGAGTGAAGAAAACAGTTAAGATACTATTGCAAAAGTCCTGGCAGGAGGAGATTTTAAAAACCACAGTTGTGGCTATGGAGATGGTGAGATGTGATACTGGTTTCTGGGTCAGTTTTGGAGGTGGGAATAGATAAGGCTTACTGATGATCTGACCCAGGACTAACTGGGTAGTCCTATGTTGGGGGTAGGAGGTGGATCCATAATTGTGTTTGGGCCATGCCAAGACCTATCAGACATCAGGTAAATATGTGTAGACAGCTTTGAGTCTGGAGTTCAGATTTAAATTTGAGAACCAGCATGTAGGTAGTCTTCAAAGCAGTAGGCCAGAATAATTCCACTTAGGGAGAGAGTCAAGAAAGAAGGTAGCAGATGGCTGAGACTGATGCCACTCCAACCTTTAGAGATCTGGTAGGGGAAAACCCAGCAGAGCAGACTGAGGAAGACAGCCCATGACACTGGAGGAAAACCAGAAGATGGTGATTACAAGGAACTCAGCAAAGGAAGTATTTTGAGAAAGAGGATGTATCAGTCTGCTATTGCTAGGTAACAAACAACCACAAAAATCTCAATGGCATAACAGTAAATATTTATTTGATTCACAAAGCTGTGAGTCAGCTGGAGGTTGGCTAGATGAGGCTGATGTTGGCTGGGCAGCTCTAAGCCACCGTTGGGCTGAGCCTGCTCTGCATACATGTCCCTCACTCTTTTTGTACCTGCAGGCCAGCTAGGGCACATTTTTCTCCCATGGTGATAATAGGCACAAAAAAGCAGGTGGAAACATAAAATGCCTCTAAAGACCTAGATTTGGAACTGGCACCATGTCACCTCCTCCTACATTCCATTGGCCAAAAGGGGTCATGCAGCCACGCCCAAAGTCAAGGGGCAAGAAAGTACAGTATAGTCTACATCTAGCGGGAGGGACTGCAGAGTCGGATTGAAGGGGATAGGGATAGAGTGAGGCAGGACAAGAAATAGGACCCATAATTCAGTCTTCCACAGAGAGAGTGGTCAAACGCATTCAGTGCCACTGACAGGCCAGATGAATAGAGGATGGTGAACTGGCCACCAATGTGACCTTAAGATGTCAGTCATTGGCATCCTTGATAAGAGCTATTAAAACAGACAACTAGGGCTAAAAGCCCAGTTGGAGTGGGTGGAAGTGAGAATGAGAAGTGTGGAGGTGGAGATGTCAGTGTGTAGACAACTCTTTCAGGAACAGTCACTCTAAAGAGGGGCAGAAACATGGTATAATAGCAAGAAGGGGATATGAGGCTAAGGCTTTAGAGCTTTTTAAGTCCCATTTAACTTCCATGGAAAGGCTCTGGTAGGAAGGAAGAAATTGATGAACACAACAGAAAGGGGATAATTGTGCTGGCAAAAGGGGATGGGGCCCAGGGCACAGATGGAGGGCTCGGCCATGGGTGGTGGGTGGAGAGAATGCAGAGCTATAGGCATTCTGGTGGCTTTGGAGGGAGGTAGGAAGATCCGGCAACAGATCGTACCTACTTTCTCTATGAAGGATAGTCTGAGGTTACAGTGAGAATGAAAGAGGAAGGGGAGTTGAGAATATGCAGAGAGAGGAGAAAGTGTGACATTATTGCACTGCGGAGAGGGAAAAGGAATTTTCTAAGTAACTGTAGTAGGATTGTCCAACAGTTCAAATGCCTGTTTGAAATTTATGGCCAGAAATTTGAATTGAGTCCATCCAGAGTAGCTGGCCGATTTTCTTTAGTGGTGTTCAATTGCTCAGGTGCAGGTGTGAAGTAAACAGTTTGATTTAACCACAGCTGGGTTTTCGCCCAGTGAATACAATGGAGAGAGACCAGAGCAAGGAAGGTAGGAGTGTTTGCCAGGGAGATTTTGTGTGCTGGAGCATGGAGTTTCAGTTCTCAGCTGGCTGAGAACGAAGGCCTGAGGGGAGAGATGTCATGAGAAAACAGGAGAGTCATGGAATAGAGGTCTGAGATGGGAAAATTGCTGAGTCCAAGAACTAAAGTAAGTGACCTGGAGGACTGATAGGTGAAGGGATCTCTGGATCTGAGAGTTTAGAGATGGTGTAGACATTCATGGTTCCAAGATCTAGCATATGACCAGGAGGCTGAGGCAGGGCAGGAGGAATATTCTGCTAGGGCTAAGGATATTAACAGTCTTAGAGATCGGAGTGTTGGGTGGGTCATCAGCATAGATGCTGAAGTCACCAAAAATGATGATATGAAAGGAGATAGAGCCTGATACTAAAATAATCAAGGGTTGGGGGAAGTGACTAGGAGGGTGACAGATGACATTAGGAGGGGTGATTTGTGGCTTTTTTAATTAAATATTTTTAATTTTTAATACTTTTTAGAGTAGTTTCAGATTCACAGCAAAATTGAGTGGAAAATCCAGAGTTCTATATATCCACCCTCCTGGGAGCAGTGTCCCCCACTATCAACATTCCCCACCAGCATTTGTTACAATTGATGAACCTAAGTGACACATTATCACCCCGAGTCCACAGTTTACATTGATGTGAATGCTTTATTCTTACTTTACATTACTTTTGCTGTTGTACATTCTGTAGGTTTGAACAAATGTATTATGACATTTATCCACCATTATAGTATCACATCTAGTAGTTTCGCTGTGCTAAGAGGCCGGGCTTTTGAAAGAGGAAGGAGAAACCGTTTAGAAACTTCAGTGATCAATGCGGAGTACATCTTCAGGCCCTGAGCTGCATAGCTGGAGGGAGAAAAGAGCCTCTACTGGAGAGGGCTATAGGGCAGCAGTGTCCTGGGGGCAGGTGGGCTTCTGGAAGAAGAAAGTGAGGGTCCTAGTTTTGGAGGAGCTTGAGAGTAGAGGCCTGGGGTAAGACTGGGGAGCGCAGGCAGGGTGGAGGCAGGGTTGGCTGCTGGGTGCTCAGCAGTGTGGGGTCGGGCATGTGTGCTGTGGTGAGTGGGGGCGGCTGGGGCAGGTGGCAGGCCCTGGAGGGAGGTGGCAGGTCGGATACCCTCACCTCGCCCTGTTGTGGAAGCTTTCCAGAAGACTTTGGGGAAAAACAGACTTCCCTTTCCAGGAACCCCTCTAAATTCGGTTGGTCGTGGTTCTCGGGGTTTATTATGTCCTTCCCGGTATCTCCAGCGTTCTTCTTCTCTGTGGATTTCTTATTTCCTCAATTAGACGAACGTTTGGGCAGGAACCCCAGCTCTACCATTTTACACCCGCTCAAGTGCAATACAGCACTTGACACATCATGTTTGTTGATTGCGTTGGATACAAGTGCGGTTTGGTTTCCCTTCCCGGCCAGGAATCCAAGAATGCACCCTCACCCCGCGGCTGCCTCCCGGGGCCAGCTGCCGTGCTGGTCCCCGGTAACCCGACGCCGGGCCGCTCCCCCTCCCGCCCCGGGGCTGCGGCCGCCAATGGACGCAGCCCGAGCCTCCGTCTGGGCCATGGGCCCCTCTCGGCGCCGCCCCCGCTGGGCTGGAGCGGGGGTGCCCGAGGCAAAGGGCCTGCAGGCGCGCGAGCACAAACCGGCTCCAGTTCCTAGCCCCTGCTCGCCTCCCTCTTCGTGTCCCGGCCCCGGCCCCGCCGGGACACCTCTGCCCCCTGCCTCGAGCCCAGGAGGCCAGGCTGCCGCCCCAGGGCGCCCGGGCAGTCGCAGACGGCGGCCTCCAGAGGGCCACGCCGGGGCCTCTCCCAGCCCGGGAGCCAAGACACTTGGCTCTGGCCTCTCTCCACCGTTTGATCTGCCCAGAGACCTTGGGCGGTCCGAGAGCCTCCGAGCCTCAGTCTCCTCATCTGTAGCTGGGGCTGGGCCCTGCGCACCTCTGAGTGGAGTGATGCAAGGGTGAAGGGTGTGAAAGTCTCCCTGTGTTGCCCAGGGGTCAAGGTCAAACCCAAGACACAGTGCCGCCAGCAGCTGCCCCGCCCGCAGCAGCTGCAGAACCGCAGCTCCTCCTGCCACCATCCAGGGAACTCCCTAGCTCCAGAGGAGGAGCCTATCAAGGGCACTTGGCTTTCCTCCACGTCCCCGGCACGGCACGAGGCGTTTCCTGCAGCTCCTAACTTCCAATGTAGAAATCAGCTCCGGGTTTCAGCAACCCTGGGAGAGGAGGCTGGAAATAGACGCTGGGCCAGCAGGAAGGTGCACAGGCGGGACACCTTTCAGCTGCCTGTTTCATCTCCCGTACATGATACTTGCTAGAGTGTAATAAGTGTACCAGAGGAAACACTCACTGACAAAGCCTATTTTCTCCCCAGATGGTTACAAATGCACATTCTTGAGTGACCTTCTACAGGCTACAAATACTGACGTATTTATACTGTACCTTGGGTCATGGTACCCAAAAGAAAAGCAAAGCAAAGGAGAGCTCAGAAAATACATTCTAGTCTCAAAGAGGAAGGAAGACAAAAGAGGATGTCTTTGTCAGTCTGCATTATGTTAACATTCATAGCCTCCCGTCACCCCCCATGATGGCAGGGCACAGGTCACCTATGGTGATGGGGACATATGAAGTTCCCTGAGTTCTTCACTTCTGTGTCATGTCCTGAACGGAATCCCAAGTTAGCTCCTGGAACCCGCAGCCTTGGCTCACACCAGCAATGTCACAGAGGTAAACTGCTCTCGCTTCCCTGAGCTTGGACTTCAGGGCCTGGCAGCCCCACCAGGCCCTCACCCTGGATGAATCCAACAGTAGGAAGTGACTGGGGAGTCCCTGAGCAGACAGAGGGAGAGGTGCCCACCGGCCCAGGCCTGATGTTCTTATGAATTCTTTTGGTTCCAGACCTTTTTGGCCTTGCCAAGCCCTACAGGAAAGATCAGAGCAGCTGGAAATTTCTAGCAGGAAAGTGCCAGGTTCTGAACAGGTCCTAGTCTGACTTAGAAACAGTTAGGGGCTGGGGCTGCTGGCGGTTGGCATTCTTGTCTGCTTGGTCTCACAGACAGGCAGGAATTGCTTGCTCTCAGAAGGGAGTGCTGCCCCTGACGCTGGGCTGGAGCCGAAGTAAACCCAGGACACGGGGCTGGGGACGATAATTAGAAGCCTCACTTCCACTCCAGCACCAAGACAGCGACACAAAGGGCCTCCTCTGCTGGCCAAGCAGGAGGGGACGGGCTGCCCTGGGGAGGGCTGAGACTGTCACCCAGTGTAGGGCCAGGCAGCTGCAAATGAAACACAGGCCCAGAAGGCTCAGACAGGCATTCAATCTTTCCCAGAGCCAAGAAATCCTGGCTAGAAACTTGACTACAGAGCGAGGAAAGGCACCGGGAAATACTTGAAACCAGGCAAGACCCCTGGTAATGCTGGACTTCTGACAAGCAAGGAGTCGGGCCAAGTGCTTCTTCCCGCCTGGCCCAAACACAAAAGCTGAGCTGGCCAGAGAGGTCCCAGGGGAGATGGGAGAGCAGCTTGGGAGGAACCCAGCAGGAAGAGGAAAGCAGGCAGCAGAGTGATTTTTACCCTGCTCAGACCCCAGAGTTTTCGCACCGCAAGTCTGCAGAGCAGGGGCCCCCACTGTCTTCACACCCACAGCCAAGGCCCCTCCGGCCATTGGAGGCTCACACAAGGGGGTTATGGAAACGCCAGTGTGGCAGCGTGGGGTCACCAACACCTCAGTGGCCAGGCTGCATGGTGCCTGGGCCAGCTTCTCTGTGAGGAAGGGGAGTTTGCAGGGAAACTGTTTGCAGAAAAGCTGTTCCTACTGTGGAGGGACTGACCTTGGCCCCTGGAGCAAACTCAGTCCTTAACCACGTGCTCAGGCTACTTAATTTTAAATGAATTTGCACAGTTGCGTGTTATGAGTGAATTCATAAACCTACAAAGGAATAGTCTTTTATTCATGCTGGTATGTGTGGAAGGGGGTTACTTTTTTAAAGTTCTAAAATTAAAGAAAAAAAGATAAATCATCCTGTGTTGAGGATTGGATTTTGCAACTGAATTCTCTTTATCCTTTGCTAGATCTTGAGAAAAGAAAGAAGAAAAAGAAATATGCTGAAGTATGATGACTTAAAAAAAAACTCTGAATATAAAAGTAGAACATGCTCTATAAAAAGAAATTCAGACAAAAAAAATAAAGAAGGGAACAAAAATCACCTGTCACCACGCCACCAGTGATAGCCCTGATAACATTTTTGTATATTTTTCCCATACTATTTTCTGTGCATACAGACATATGTTTTTATGTGAGCTAAAATTGTTAACATGGTCATGCTCTTAGCATTCTTCCTGCCCCTGTCTACTGAAGAAAATCTTGAATTTGTCTATTTGGTTTCCTTCACTTCTCTCTTCTAGGGAGAGGAACAATTATTACTTGCTGAGAGGAGCTAAGCTGATCTGCATGATGAAGGAATGGAATGGGCTAAGGAAGACGTCCAGACAGGGAAAAGCCTTATGGAAGGGAATTCAACAGAGTTTTCAGAGATTAGCACATTTGAGGCTCTCTAAATAATCAGATGTGGAGGAAGGGGCTTCTGAGATGAGCTAACACGACTATGACCCAGAGTCTTTTAATGTTCTTCCAAATACGTGATCAAATAATGGAATTTATTCTGTATTAATTTTGAGCACTAAACTGTGCATTAAGTCTATAGAGGGATTGGACCCTATGGTCTCCCCTCTGATTTACAAGAATTATGTTTTTAAAAGATGGGGTCATACTATATTTACTTTTACTTATAAAACATTTTAAAATTTTAATTTTAAATTAATTAATTTATTTTTGACACAGAGTCTCGCTCTGTTGCCCAGGCTGGAGTACAGTGGCTCGATCTGAGCTCACTGCAACCTCCGCCTCCTGGGTTCAAGTGATTCTCCTGCCTCAGCCTCCCAAGTAGCTGGGACTACAGGCCCATGCCACCATGCCCAGCTAATTTTTCTATTTTTAGTAGAGACAGGGTTTCACCATGTTGGTCAAGCTGGTCTCGAACTCCTGACCTCATGTGATCCACCCACTTTGGCCTCCCAAAGTGCTGGGATTACAGGCGTGAGCCACCCCCCGGCCTTTCAAAAAAATTTTTAATTCACCACTATACTAATGAGGATATATTTGGTACTTACATGATCTTTTTTTTTAAAAAAAAAAACAATTAAATCTTATGGTCAATAAATGCAGAAATGAATTATCCTTTGAAACAGCTGCATGGTTGGCCTTCATTTGTCTTCATCATAATTTATTTAACCCCCACTTACCGATTTTTGTCATTGTTGTTGTTTGTTTGTTTTAAATAGAGTCTCACTCTGTTTCCTAGGCTAGAGTGGAGTGGTGTAGCCTCAAACCCCTGGACTCAAACAGTCCTCCCACCTCAGCCTCCTAAATAGCTGTGACTACAGATGCACACCACCATATCTTGCTTTTTTTTTTTTTTTTTTTTTTTTTTTTTGGAGATGGAGTCTCGCTGTGTCACCCAGGCTGGAGTGCAATGGCGTGATCTCAGCTTACTGCAACCTCCATCTTTCAGGTTCAAGAAATTCTCCCGCCTCAGCCTCCAGAATAGCTGGGATTACAGGTGCATGCCACCATGTCCAGCTAATTTTTGTATTTTTAGTAGAGAGTGTTTCACCATGTTGGCCAGGCTGGTCTCGAACTCCTGACCTCAGGTGATCCATCTGCCTCGGCCTCGCAAAGTGCTGGGATTACAGGCATGAGCCACCATGGCCGGCCACATCTGGCTTTTTAAAAAATTTTGTGGAGATGGTGTTTCACTATGTTGTCCAGTCTGGCCGCAAACTCCTAGCTCAAACAATCCTCCCATTTCAGCCTTCCAAAGTTTTGGGATTATAGGTGTGAGCCACTGCACCTGGCCAACCCCTCCCCTGTTGATGCCCACTTATGTTGTTTCGAAGTTAATAAATGGTTACCTAAGGTCATCCTTATGTTCGTACATCTTTGCATCTTGCTGAATTTTTCTTTAGAACATATTCCTAAAAGCATCCATGCAGAGTTAAAGGATAATAAGAACATCAGAATTCAGTGCAGTGCCAAGTTGCTCTCTGGAAAGCAAAATTAACACAATGACCTCCAGGGTTGGGTTTCTGCTCCTGAGTGTAGTTGTGCTGCCCAGGGAGGTCCAAGTAGGCAGAGATGCTTAGGGATAGGGTGGAGTCTTTGCACATGGTAGGGAAAGAATGGAGGCTCTTCCTGGATGGAGGGCAAGAAAGGCTAGTGAAGGCCCTATGGAGGATTCATTTTGCTACCCAGCATTCTTTCCTCTGCCTGGCAATCACCTTTCCTTATTCCAAAGAGACCATTCAGTCCATAAGGTTTGGGTGGTGTTGACCTCACACTTTGCCTCTTACCTCCAGCGTGGGCTAACCATGGGGGTGACCACATAGCTTGAGCCAGATCAGTCAGAAGACTCCATACCCTGGAGTCCTTGGTGATTGGACCAAGGATGTGTCTATATCTGCATGTTCACATGACCCATTCCAGGAAGCAGCTTCCTCTCTTCTTTACTCAGCCTCATGTGACACCAGAACTGGCAGTGTCCCTCTCCTCCCACACACAAGGGCTGCTGGGATGGAGACAAAACCCTGACAACATTGCTGAACCTCAGGATACAGCCATGTCTGAAGTCAGCAGGATTCATACTGGACTTTGCAGTTACATGAGAGCCCGTATACTTCTTCCTCCCTGCCAAATTTTCATTCGATTTTATTTCTTATGTATTGAAAAAGAAAAAAGAGCCAGGCATTGGGGTGTATGTCAGCAGTTTCTGTGACTGGGGGTGGGAAGTGGAGTTTTGGGGAGAGAGTGGCTGAGGTGGGAGAATTACTTGAGCCCAGCCTGGGCAATATAGTGAGACCTTGTCTCAAAAAAAAAAAGAAAAAAAAAAAAGCATTGGATTTTTTCTTTTTTTTCCCTCTTTTTTCTTTTCTTTTCTTTTTTTTTTTTGAGATGGAGTATCACTCTGTCACCAAGGCTGGAGTGCAGTGGTGCGATCTCGGCTCACTGCAACCTCGACCTCCTGGGTTCAAGTAATTCTCCTGCCTCAGCCTCCCGAATATCTGGGATTACAGGCACCTGCCACCACACCCAGCTAATTTTTTTATTTTAGTAGAGACGGGGTTTCACCATGTTGGTCAAGCTAGTCTTGAACTCCTGACCTCAAGTGATCTGCCCTCCTGGGCCTCCCAAAATGCTAGGATTACAGGCGTGAGCCACCACACCCAGTTGGATTTTTTTCTTTTTATTCACATAACACAAAATTAATCATTAACCATTTTAAAGTGTGCAGTTCAGTGGCACTTACATTCACAAGTCTGTGCAACCAGCACCTCTATCCAGTTGAAGATCTTTTCATCATCACAAAAGGAAACACCATACTCATTAAGCAATCACTTTCTCTTTCCCTCTCCCATCAACTCCTGGCAACCACTAGTTGGCTTTCTGTCTCTATGGCTATACTTCTGGAAGATGGCTTTACCAAGTCTGAAAGTTTCATATAAATGGAATCATACAATATGTGACATTTTGTGTCTGGATTCTTTCACTTAGCATAATGTTTTCAGGCTTCGTTAACGTTGTAGAATGTTTAAGTACACCATTATTTCTTGGGGCTGAATACTATTCCACTGCATAGATACACCACCTTTTGTTTACCTATTCATTAGCTGATGAGCATTTGGGTTGTTTCTACTTTTGGCTATTACGAATAATGCCACTATCAACATTCATGTACAAGAATTT
This sequence comes from Homo sapiens, assembly GCF_000001405.40. Lineage (NCBI taxonomy): Eukaryota > Metazoa > Chordata > Mammalia > Primates > Hominidae > Homo > Homo sapiens. The sequence goes on along the minus strand of NC_000002.12, from coordinate 64,853,690 downwards.
GAATACCTGTTTTCAATTTTTTTGGGTATAGACCTGGATGTGGAATTCCTGGGTCATTTGGTAACTCTGTGTCCATACCTTCCTTTTCTAGTGTAAGCTAGAGCGCAGCGTGGTTCTGTTCTGGGCAAACAAAGGAGTCCTGACTTACTCAGGCCTCCAAAGAGGAACCAGCCAGGCATGGTGGCTCTCATCTATAATCCTAACACTTTGGGAGGCCGAGGCAGGAGCATTGCCCAAGCCTAGGAATTCAAGACCAGCCAGGGCAACATAGTGAGACCCTGTCTCTACCAAAAATAAAAAATAGCCAGGCATGGTGGTGTGCACTTGTAGTCCCGACTACTCAGGTGGCTGAGGCAGGAGGATTGCTTGAGCCTGGGAGGTCGAGGCTGCAGTAAGCCATGATCGTGTCATTGCATTCCAGCCCAGGTGACAGAGCAAGAGAAACAAAACAAAACAAAACAAAACAAAGAGGAAGCAGCATGGCCAAAGTGGGGAGCAGTGAAGAAAGTGCTCTGCCCAGAGAGAATGTGAAGCCTCAAGATACGGGAAGCAGAGCAGGGAGGAAGCACTTTCTCTACTGGGAGTGAGTGGCATATGAGAAGGTGGTGTTTTCTGAACAAGTAGCAGGGCCGTATTGTCCAGAAGACCCAGGGAGAAGAGGCATCTTAGAGCAGTTATTTGGCAACCCAGTCTGTGGGAGGAAATGCCCCTCTCCTTCCTCTTTTTCTTCCTCCTCCCTTCTTGCCTATGCAGAGTTGAACCTCTGGGGAGTAGCTGGGTGGAAAAGAGCACATTGTCGTTTTTAAGTGAAAGGTTTTGTTTCAATCTGTGCCTCTCACAGCCCTGCCAGGGATTTCTCCATTCTGGTGAGCTGCAGGTCAGAACTCAAGGCTGTATTTGAGGGCGGTCAGCCATCTTCAGCTATGTCTGCTCTGCCTGGGGGAGGCTCCCCCTTTTCTAAGCTGGGTCAGGGCCTTCCAGGTGCAGTGAAGGCCCTGACCCAGCTTAGAAAAGAAATGGTTGGGGTTTCTGCTCCTATTTCTTCATCCCCAATGCCTATCACTCTCTACACCCCTGATGTTATTAGTTCATTTTGGGGAGATCAAACCAGGACAACTGAAATCCATGTTTTTGCTCACTCTAACTGAGCACAGTTCTCTTCAAGGTCAGGGTTACATCCTCTCTGTGGAACGCACTATGGTGGAGACTGGTTCTATTCAATTCTCTTCATGTTGAGTGCCTTTTGTGTGTGTCATGCTGGGCCAGGTCCTGAGCAATGGGGGAAGAAGAGATGGGCAAGGACATAGGGTTGCAGGCACTAGAAACCGAGGCACCTGACCCTGGGGAGCATGGACATGTGTCTCAGTGGAGATAGGTACCCAGAGGAAGCAGGTGGGGACATTCAGGAGAACAGACAACATTACAAAGGTAGGGGGAATTTTAGATCCCTCTAGTGCATACCTATGAGTGTAATATAAATTTTAAATTTTTAAAGTAATACCTTCACATAGTCTAGAAGCTGAGGCCTCCTGCCAATAGCCAGCACCAACTTGCCAGTCATGTGAGGAGCTTCTTGGAAGCAAATTTTGCAGCCCCAGTCAAACTTTCAGATGTCTGCAACCCCATAAGAGACCCTGAACCAGAACTGTCAAACTAAGTTACTCCTGAATTTCTGACCCACAGAAACTGCATGAGGTAGTAAGTGTTTTATTATTAAGTAGCTTCATTTTGGGGTGATTTATTGCACAGCAATAAAGAACTAATCCATAATGCTTGCTGTTATTACTTTCTTGGGTCAGCATCCCCAAGCAAAGAAGCTAAGGAAGGAGATGTCCTGTGCTATGCTGCAAACAGTGGGGATTGTGTGTGTTGGCAGTGGGGGGTGGGAGGGAGGGGAGGGGCGTGGGTACTGGGATTTTTTAGAGAGAGAGTCTCACTATGTTACCCAGGACTCAAACTCATGGGCTCCAGTGATCCTCCCACTTCAGCTTCCCAAGTAGCTGGGATTACAGGTGTGCACCACTACGCCTGGCTGTGAACACACACCTAGTGTTAATAGCTAGGACCACCTTGCTCCTGGGTTGCATATAACATGACGGACTAAGGATCATCGGGCCACATTATAAAGCTTCCTTCAAAATGAGAAGTTTCACACCAAGTGAAGTGTGCTTCAGAAGCCAGCAGTCTCTGGAGGAGATGCCTGGGCTGGCAAACTTTGCTCACAGATGACCTCAAGTGCTCAGGTAACACACATCAAAATGAGAGTCACGGGGCTATAGATCTAACACAGTTCTCATAGCTGCGAATTGACTGAGCACTTTCTTTTCTTTTTCTTTCTTTTTTTTTTTTTTGAGATGGAGTCTTGCTCTGTTGCCCAGGCTGCAGTGCAGTGGCACTATCTCGGCTCACTGCAATCTCCACCTCCCAGGTTCAAGCAATTCTCCTGTCTCTGCCTCCTGAGTAGCTGGAATTACAGGCACCTGCCACCATGCTAATTTTTGTATTTTTAGTAGAGAAAGGGTTTCACGATGTTGGCCAGGCTGGTCTCAAATTCCTGACCTCAGGTGATCCACCCACCTCAGCCTCCCGAAGTGCTGGGATTACAGGTATGAGCCACCATGCCTGGCCAACTGAGCACTTACATTAGGAAAAGCTGGTCTCAGCCACAGATTCATTTGGGTCTGGCCTATGTTGCCAGAGAGTGGAAGCTTCAGCCTCTCCCATGAAAATGAGGCAAAAACCTCTGCAGTATTTCCCAGCAAAACAAGTTTCCTTCCTTGTGGTGTGGGGCACATGCAGCTGTGTTTCATCAGCTAATGTGAGCTTGTGTCCAAGAAGTCCCCACCCCTCTCTCCTCTGAGTACCTGAGATTCTGGGAAATGAACTCTATTTTAAGCCTCTGGGTTTTCCTTGTCATTAGGAGCACAGAGCTCCTTGCAAATAGGTAGCCACAGGGGAGCTAAAAAAAGGGAAGATGAAGTGAGACCCACATAGCCCCAAGTCTTCCACCTGAAGACTCTGGAATCCATCATCACCCTTGGAGACATTAACTGTCTTTGGGTAGGGGCTTCTCTCAGCGATGGAATGGTTAACCGATCTGAGCTCCTTCCCTGTAAGAAGTTTGATATAAAACATGTCAAGAGTATTTTAACACTTCTGTATTTTTTCAGCCAGCCGCAGTGGCTCAAGCCTGTAATCCCAGCATATAGGGAGGCCAAGGTGGGCAGATCACTTGAGGTCAGGAGTTCGAGACCAGCCTGGCCAATATGGTGAAATCCTGTGCCTACTAAAAATACCAAAATAGCCAGGCATGGTGACAGGTGCCTGTAGTCCCAGCTACTCGGGAGGCTGGGGCAGGAGAATCACTTGAACCCAGGAAGTGGAGGTTGCAGTGAGCAGAGATCGCACCACTGCACTCCAGCCTGGGTGACCAGAGCGAAACTCTGTCTCAGAAAAAAAAAAAAAAAAAAAAAAAAAACAACTATATTTTTTGTTGTTTGCGCCTTTCTTTTTTGATTTTGCTGCAGCAAAATGGATATTCAGCACCATCTACCTCTCAACAGCTATAAAGGGAAGTAGTTGAGAAAAGACCACTTTCCAATTTTCCTACATCCCTTGGGAAGAAAGGACATGACACTTGGGTTCAGATTTTTTAAGGCCCAAGTGTTGACTAGTCTTCCCTCCTCTAGCCAAAGCCCATAGGTAGTAAACAAATTCAGTCAACTGGTTTCTTACAAGCCTTCCTTAAGCATTTCATGAAGGATGCTTTTTGGATTAACGGCTAATATTGACTTCAGTTCCCAAAGGAAATTGAACATTTCCATGTACTTCCCAAAGGGTAAATGAAGAAACCCATGTTGAAAAAGTTAAATCTGCATTTCTGAGAAATAACCATAGTTTGTGTGGGAGGTGTCCTTGGCCTTCACTCTCATGCTCCTTGAGGCGACAATGTCAGTGCCATAGCTGAAGGGTAAATGGTGTGTGAATGAGGTGCCCTCAGCAGCAACTTTAGACAAGGCTGACAGCGAAAGACAAGCAAAAATAAAATCAAGGTAAAATACTGCCAATGCTTCTATTGCTATTTGTATCATGTTACCCTTAATGATTTGTAATTTTACATTTAAAGTTATTATCTTTTGGCAGGCACCTTGACTTTAAGTGTCTGTTACACCAAAGGTTATGGCAAACTGTGTCTGCAGCCCACAGTAAAATCCAGTTTAAGGCTCTCCACACTGGAGTGCAGCTATCCAGGTAGGTAGTGCCACCAGCCTAAGGTCACACCTTCTTCCTTGGCGTGAGGTTGCCCTACGTTGGCACTTATCATGGTCACTGCTTTGGTGACTGTCATTCTGCCCAGGGCTTTAAGTGACCACCTTCCACAGACTCCCCCATTTCATACTACAGAGAAAGCATCTTGTGTCTTACCTTCCCTCCCTTAGTGTGCTAGGACTGCCTGGTGAGTGGCACTAAAGGATCATCCCTTGGTTCCTGATATCTAGGAACCCACATATGCTTAAAAACAGCAAGATAACTCCCCAGATTGAATCTCTGCAGGCTGAAAAGTTGGATGGATTCCAACTAGAGCACCATTTCCCTAATCCCACACACTTTTAAGGGACTAGAGACTGAGGAATGTTCAGGGATTATCACAGAATATTCTGGTCCTTTTGTTGGAGCCTGAAAGCTCTTTAGAGCAATTGAGTACACAGAAATTCAGCCAGAATGGGAGCACAAGCAGAAGCAGACCAAGCTATTTCTCCCCTGAACACACACTCTGCACACTGACAGGTACAAATATAGCTAAAAGAAATGACGATTACATAAGTTCCTAGCCAGTGTCCAGCACATAGTAAGTCTATCAGTTAGCTCTTCCTGTTTAACAAATCTTCCCTAAACTTAGTGGCTCAAAACAACCACCCTTTAGCTTACGATTCTGCAGTCTGGCATATTTCTGCCAGCTTGCCCATGCTCAGAGGCCAGCTGCCTGGTGGGCTAGGGCCTGGCTGGACTAGGACAGCCTCAGCTGGGGCAGCTTCTCTGTGTTTCTCATTCTCCAGCAGGCTAGCTTGGGCTTGTTCACACAAGTTTCCAGAGAGAGAAGTAGGCAAGAGCTTCAGAACCGTACAAACAAGGTCCGCTGCATTCTACTGGCCACAGTGAGTCCCTAGGGCAGCCCCAGTCGAAGGAGCAGAGAGGTAGTCTGTTCCTCTTGATGGAAGAGAGGCACAGAGTCATTTAGCTTAGGGGTAAACATATAGACGCAGTGAAGGATTGTGGCCACTTTTACAATCTACCACTGTAGCTACCAATAAGTTCTGTGTTTACAGTTTTTCAGCCATTTCCAAAAGGAATTATATTGATGTGTTAGTTGACAAGCCTACAATGAAAAGATAGATGGGAAAAGAAGACCATCAGACAGGTAAAGAAGATTGTCAAAGACCAATACCTTTGTTAATGCGCTTGCTCCCCCAACAGCCAACCCCTCGAAGGGTCCCTCCCTGACCCAGCCCTCCTCCTCCCTCCCCTTAATGTGAGATCCTCACTGGGCCTCAGCCCAGGGCTTGCGTCCTGCCCTCAGGGCATGAGCATCTGGTTGAGACTGTCTCCATCTTCTGGCGTAGCAGCTTTGGTCCCTTGTGAGCTACTCAACTCCTTGATGGAGTCATTTCAGAGTCTCTGGGAAAAATTGAAGCTCTCCTCCAAGAGTTGGGGGTGGGCTCCCCTGGTCTGGAATGTTCTTTCCCGTCTTATTTGGAAGTTAGAAAGTGGCTAGTAACATGGCCAGCGCCTGTGGGATCATCCTCTTCCTCAAGGTGGCTGGATATGTGGAGACAAGCACGAAGAAGTCCAGGCTCTGTCACGACGTTGCTGACTGGCTTCTGTCACATTTTCAGGTGAGGCAAATCTGTGTAGTGATTTCCTGTCAAGAATAGGAATGACATCCCCTCCTCCCTCTGATTGCACTACAAATGCCATCACACACGCAATGCACTCATGAGAACTCCATTGTTCTATTTCTTCAGCAGAGCAGACGCTGTTGGCTTCTCATCTTCACTCACACAACCCTCTTTTCCACAGGCATCTTTTAGCTAGAGGTGCGCGTGTGACACCACATGGACTGTGAGAAATAGTCAAGTTCAGCCTAGTGACGCTTCTGGCAAAGCTTGTTTTCCTGATTTTTAAAAAAGGAGTTGGGGGAGTGCCATGCCTTTTGTCCTTCCTCCCTCCTCCTGCCTGGAACATGGATGTGAGACCAGGAAGTACAGCAGCCATCTTGTGACCATGAGGACTAAAGGCCTGCGCTGAGGATGGTACAGTAAAATGAAAGAAGCAGCCTGGATGCCTGATGAGCAGCTGTGCCAGCCCCAGGGTCATGCAAATCAGTGTCAATCATTGTGGTTCTGGTTTTCTCCTATTTGTAGCCAAATAAATTCCTTACTGATATAGGCAGGGTCCTTGTTGGTTCCAAAAAAAAGTGGATTCACAGAAATATAACTGAGAGAACCATGAATTTCTAAAGAAGTCCTAGAAATAGATCAGTCAGAGAAGTTGTCCATTTCAGGCAGGGGTTTCTACTGTAAGTTGCTTGGATGGAAAATAAATCAGTGTTAAGGAGGTGAGAATGCCATCACTTGAATTGTATGACTATATCTTATTAAATCTCAGATGCCATCAGTTGTAAGGTATAGCATTATTTTACATATCACTATGAGAGAAGAAAATGCTCTCAAGACATATCACTGATTGTAAGATGCATCCACCTTGATTTCAGAGATTTTAAAATGTGAAAAAAGGGAGGGACATCTTAGGATCAGTGAAATATGGCACATATTTATTTGCTTCCTTGATTCCTGCCTGCTGTGCTCATTAGACCAGAGACACTGTCTGCCATGCTCTCTGCCAAGTCCTCCATACCTAGAATTGGGCCTGGCATAGAGTGGGGTCTATAAATATTGGTTAATTAATAAGTTAACTAATAAGTTCTAGTCCTTGCTTTTCCAATAACTTCCCATGCTACCCTGGCTGGAGAAAGCATTTCCCTTTCTCTGTACCTCATTTCTCCATAATCTAGTTCAACTGACCCTCACCAGAACTGAAGAAACAAAAAGCCCCAAATACATGCAAAGCGGACCTACACTCTGCATCACCATGGTGACGCCTCCCAGGGTCCCAGAGGGCAGGGAGGCCTCATCTTCCACCATCCCTAGAAATCTCTCTTTCCCCAGAGCCCAACTCCTTCTAAAGCTCTGTGGTTAACCCTTTCCAGGCAAGCCTTTTCCAACACTCTGTTAGGGTTACTAAATGTGCTCCCTACAAATGGACTAGGGCCAAGGAATTATGCAAGATCCTTCAAGCAAAGAGATGGTATTTTGTAACTTCCCTGAGTTTCTCCAGGAAGATGAAATGCACAACATATTTTAGAATAATATCAACCTACATATGTCAGAGAGGTAGTCTTGTCTGACCAAAGCCCTTGAGCTGGTGAGGGGCGGGGTTCCAGGTGCCCCTTCTGCTGCACTAGCATTGTATTCAGAAGTAATAAAGATGATGGCTTTCATGTAATGAGTGACGAACCCTTTGCATATATTCCTTCATTGAGTCTTCAACAGAAACTTATGGGGTAGGAAGTATCTTTATCCCCATTTTACAAGTGGGGAAACTGAGGCATATAGCTGTTAAGTAGGTGGCAGAGCCTGGCCTCGAAGTCAGGTGGGGTAGCACCAGAGTTTATGCTCTTAACCACTATGCTCTATTGCCTTATAACTGCCTTACACTGGGTACCTAGTTCATCCCAGGCTCTGTGCTTGGCATTGAGGCACAGACAAAAATAAAGCCTAGTTTCTACTCTGGAAGAGTTCATGCTCTAATGGAAAAGACAGACCTGCTGGCAGAGATGGTCATGAAGTGTCACAGGAACACAAAAGAAAGAAAAAAAAAGGCCCATGCCTGTAGGCAATCAAGGAAGGGTTCACAGAGGAGGTGCCTTTGAGTGGGCCATTGAAGGGAAAGTAGGAGTTTGCTACATAGACAATGGAGGGAAGGGCATCCCAGAGAGCAGAAGCTTCTTGGAGGCTCTGGGGAGGAGGAAGACACAGAGGAGCTGACAGAAAGCAGGACTGGAAATTAGGGAAGGGGCCCCATGAGGAGGGAGTTTGCCTGCCTTGGTCAGGGAATCTGAGAAGGGTTTAAACAGTGGAGGAATACGCTTGCCTTGCATTTTTGAAAGAGTTCTCAGGTAGTTGCATAGGGAGTGATTGTGGTGAGGAGAAAGAACTGCATTTGAGTGGATGGCAAACTTCATGTTTCCCCTCTGTGAGTGACATTGTGAAGAGGAGAAGAAAAGTGTAGACAGATATGGAGATTAGCATGCGTTTTTTTGTTTGTTTGTTTGTATGTTTTTGTTTGGGTTTTTTTTTAAGACAGGGTCTCACTCTGTTACCCAAGCTGGAGTGCAGTGGTGCAATCATGGCTCACTGCAGCCTCGACCTCCTGGGCCCAAATGATCCTCCCACCTCAGCCTCCCAAGTAACTGGGACTACAGGTGTGTGCCACCATACCCGGCTAATTTTTTAATTTTTTTGTAGAGATGAGGTCTCCCTATTTTGCCCAGGCTGGTCTTGAATTCCTGAGCTCAAGCAATCCTCCTGCCTCGGCCTCCTAAAGTGCTGAGATTACGGGCATGTAATCTGCCACTGCACCTGGCCAAAACTAGCATGTATTAAAACATATATTTGGCTTCAAGCATAGGAAAGGATGAACATCCACACCTACAGAACTCTCTCAACCTGAATAGGCTTTTTTTTTTTTTTTTAACTGCTCTTTGTGGAGTAGGGTTACCCCATAGGTAGTGTGCCCTAGCCCCATGTGTTCGTGTGCATTGACTTGAGGGCTCTGGCAGGGTTTCTACTCCCTCTTCTAAAACACCATCTCTCTGATGCCTGAAATTCCACTTTCAGAAATTATTCCTATAGGGTAAGTGCTGATCTCTCTTTTCCAGAATTTCTCTTATTTTTTCCAAAATGGTTTTTTTACTTATGTTTTAAATTTCCAAAGTGACATGGCCTTCTTATAGAAAAAGAATGCATTAAAACATAATTGGAAGTGTCTGTTATTTCCTCCCAACTCTGGCTTAGACTCTGAGCATCCCTCAATACCCATTCTCCATTCTTTGTTTTGGTGGAAGGACCCTGATTATATTCTGGGTGACAATGTGTCTTGCTAAAAAAAAACCCTTCATTTCTCAGACTTTCTTAGAGCTAAGTGTGCACAACCTATGTGACTAGGTCCTAGCAATGAGACAAGTGCAAGTGTTCTGGGGGCTTCATGGGAGATGACAGCAGGGAGTGGAGGAGCTTTTGTCTTTCTTTCCTCCTTCCAGCCTGCAACTCCATGTGATGTAACGACTGGAACTTCAGCAGCCATCTTGGATCATGAGGTGACCTTGAGGATAGAAGCTGCATACCCAGATAGTGATCAAGGGGCCACTGTACCAGTCCTGGACTGCTCGCCTCTTATATGAGAAAGAAAAAAATTTATGTTTATATATATATAAAATATAATATGTAAGTTATATTATATTTATATATTATACTTAATAAAATATGTAAGTTTATTATTTATATAATATATAAACATATATATTATATAATATATAATATATAAACATATATATTATATAATATATAATATATAAACATATATATTATATAATATATAATATATAAACATATATATTATATAATATATAATATATAAACATATATATTATATAATATATAATATATAAACATATATATTATATAATATATAATATATAAACATATATATTATATAATATATAATATATAAACATATATATTATATAATATATAATATATAAACATATATAATATAATAATATATGTTATATATAATATATAAACATATATAATAAACATATATATAATATATATTATATATTATATGTTTATATATTATACATATAATATATGTTTATATATTGTACGTACAATATATGTTTATATATTGTACGTATAATATATGTTTATATATTGTACGTATAATATATGTTTATATATTGTACGTATAATATATGTTTATTGTACGTATAATATATGTTTATATATTGTACGTATAATATATGTTTATATATTGTACGTATAATATATGTTTATATATTGTACGTATAATATATGTTTATATATTGTACGTATAATATATGTTTATATATTGTACGTATAATATATGTTTATATATTGTACGTATAATATATGTTTATATATTGTACGTATAATATATGTTTATATATTGTACGTATAATATATGTTTATATATTGTACGTACAATATATGTTTATATATTGTACGTATAATATATGTTTATATATTATATATAATATATGTTTATATATTACATATGTTTATATTTTATATATATTTATATTATATATGTTTATATTATATATATTTATATTATATACTTTTATATATTATATATATTATATGTTTATATATTATATAAAATATATGTTTATATATTATATATAAAATATGTTTATATATTATATATAAAATATATGTTTATATATTATATATAAAATATGTTTATATATTATATATAAAATATGTTTATATATTATATATAAAATATATGTTTATATATTATATATTATATGTTACATATAATATATAATATATGTTTATATATTATATATTATATGTAACATATAATATATAAAATATATGTTTATATATTATATATTATATGTTACATATAATATGTTTATATGTTACATATAATATATGTTTATATGTTACATATAATATATGTTTATATGTTACATATAATATATGTTTATATGTTACATATAATATATGTTTATATGTTAGAGAGAGAGAGAGAGAGAGAGATGGAGTTTCACTCTTGTCACCCAGGCTGGAGTGCAGTGGCGGAGTCTCTGCTCACTGCAACCTCCGTCTCCTGGGTTCAAGCAATTCTCTGGCCTCAGCCTCCCGAGTAGCTGTGATTACAGGGGCCTGCCACCACACCCGGCTGATTTTTGTATTTTTGTATTTTTAGTAGAAATGGAGTTTCACCATGTTGGCCAGGCTTGTCTCAAACTCCTGACCTCAGGTGATCCACCCACCTCAGCCTCCCAAAGTGCTGGGATTACAGGCATGAGCCACCACACCCGGCCAGAAATTTGTATTTTTAAGCTGCTATTGTTTTGAATATTCTGCCACATGCAGCTCAACAAATCCTGCGTAATACACCAAACATCCTGGTCTTTAAGAGAAACTAACTGGCCCAATAGTAGCAGCACCATGACTGACTGAGCCAGATATGGTCAACTGACCCCAGTGGAATCATCTGTAGGCTACATGAAGCCAGATCCTCCCTCTCAGGAACTGGAGGCCACAGAAAGTCTAGCTAGTTGGTGCTAGACTTGAAAGTCACATAGTCACGAGGTGCGGGGGCCACCATTTTAGGGCAGCCATTTTATGAGACCATGTGCAAGCTGACAGCTGAGTGAAGAGAGCTGTCTGCTGAGAGAAAAGATTGAGGTGGACGCAGGTAGCAGAGATGAGAAACGTAACAGATCCCTAACATAACCTAACATACAGTCCTGTGATTTCCTTTTTCATTTTCTAGGTTCCCCTTTAAGTAATGCATACACCAATAATACTTTAGGATAAATTACTTTTGTCATCTTCCCAAGTGGAGGAAGTAAAGGAGGAGACAGACAGGTAATATGAGGTTCAGGGGAGAGGATGCCAAAGGGATGGGAAGTGGCTCTGGCAAGTCTGCCCTCACAGCACCTGAGCCCAGCCCAGCATGTAGAACACTCTCCCTACTTTTGGGTCTGCAGGGGCTGGCTATAAAATTCCTGGAGAGATTTGTTCCAGAGCACGGGGTTTAACACAGAAGGTCAAGAATTAGCTGGAAGTATGGTATCTTCAGAGCAGGATCTGTGGCCCATACTTGATTCTGCAAAAATTCAAGATGCTTATATTTTGCTCTAAGAGACTGTGGTTTCTTTATTCTGTTGCACCAAAAACTTGCCACATCACACTTGAGTTGTTTCTTCCTCTTTCTCATATCCTAGGCAATAAACTGTTAACTAATATGAATAAAAACTCAGCTTTCTTAGTTACCTACCTAAACGAGTAGCCCCTGAAAAAGCTTTCAGAAAGGGCATCAGAAACACCTATACCCTCAAAGAGCCTCCAAAATCAAGTGCCAATGCCACTTTATTTACTTGAACTTATCTATACTGTTAAATAAAAATTGCAGGAGGCCATTGTTTTGGACTAAGCTCCTGCACTAGGCCCCAACAGACAAGACTAAAAATAGAGTCACGCTGGCTGGGCGCGGTGGCTCACACCTGTAATCCCAGCACTTTGGGAGGCTGAGGCGGGCAGATCACCTGAGGTCAAGAGTTCCAGACCAGCCTGACCAACATGGAGAAATCTCATCTCTACAAGCTGGGCGTGGTGGTGCATGCTTGTAATCCCAGCTACTTGGGAGACTGAGGCAGGAGAATCACTTGAACCCAGGAAGCGGAGGCTGCAGTGAGCTGAGAGTGTGCCGTTGCACTCCAACCTGGGCAACAAGAACGAAACTCCGTCTCAAAAAAAAAAAAAATTAGAGTCACGCATGCCAAAATTCCATTTCACCAGACTAAAACTAAGTTATCTGACCTTCTGAGAAATAAGGTAACAGCCAATTTTCCAAACAGGCCAGTTTCAATCTTCAGTTGGCACGATAATGAAGTTTCCTCTGCCTTAATCCTTACATGCAAAAGTTAGCCCGAAGTAACACAAGGTTCACTGATCAGTGATTTTTCTACTCTTCCATCTCCCTGTCCCGCCTTACAAGGCAAGTAACTTTGAAATGATCAATCTGCTTTTTGTTCTTTGTTTTTGCTTTCTTCAGCCTTTTCTGTCTGTAAAGCCAGCCTCTTCTCCTCAGTTCATTGGACACTTATTCTGTTTTATGGAACGAAGTGTTGCCCAATTTTAGAATTGCAACAAAGCTTGTTGAGATCTTTAAACTAAATTTGTTGTAATTTTGTCTTTTACGATACTCTTTCTCATGCCACAAGGGATCTAAGGGGGGTTCTGATCTCATGTGTCATCAGTATCATCCTCCAAGCATGTATTAAACATTGGCTACATGCAGAGGGCTAGAAATAGAACAATGGCTAACATGAATGGAACACTTACTGTGGGCCAGGCATTGTGCTAAGTGATTTACCTACATTAGTCTGTAAGAGGCACTACCGTGTTTCATTGAATCAACAATACCAACAATTGTGAGTTACACCACTATGTATTAAGAAAGAAAAAGGAATCTGTCAATTAACTGGAGCATGAAATACCAGTCAGGATATGCTAGACTGTGCTGTCAAAACACAGAACCCCAATCTCAATGGCTAAAGAAGAAAGGTTTATGCTTCTGTTCAATGCCCACCAGCTGCAGCTCAGCTCTACATCCTCTTTACTGTGGGACAGGGCCCACGAAACAGCCTCCATCTGGAACTTTGCTGGCTGCTGACGTGGATGAAAAGGAGCATGAGCTGAACGACAGTTGCCTTTGAAAGTGCAGCCCGGATGTGATAGATGTTGCTTGCTTCACACTCCATTGGCCAGGACAAGTCATATGGCCACCCTGGCTCAGGAGGTGGAGTGTGGGCTTCTCTGGCAGGGCACTCCTAGAGGCACTACAGTCGATCTAGGAGTGGGAATACACCATCTCCTACCCCCATATCAACTGTAAGACATAGCCCAATTTCAGAGAGATTAAGATGCAAAAAGCTGCACATCCTAGAATTGATGAAATACACGATATCATCCCCAGTACACAGGTGAGGAATGGAGGCTTAGGTGGGTCATAAAATGTGCTTGAGATCTTAGAGCGGCAGAGCTGGGGCTTCAACCCAGGTGTCACTAACTCCACTTTAAACCACCCAACTTCCCAGGTGTGGCCTAAATGAGTCCTTGAGTCCTTACCAAAATAGTAGGATCTGTCAGGTCCTGGGGAATTACTCTCTATTTATTTGTAATTTTTTTTTTTTTTTTGGAGATGGAGACCTGCTCTGTCACCCAGGCTAGAGTGCAGTGGCATGATCTCAGCTCACTGCAACCTCTGCTCCTCAGGTTCAAGCAATTCTTCTGCCTCAGCCTCCCAAGTAGCTGGGATTACAGGCTCCCACCACCACGCCCAGCTAATCTTTTTGTACTTTTAGTAGAGATGGGGTTTCTCCATGTTGGCCAGGCTGATCTCGAACTCCTGAGCTCAGGTGATCCACCCGCCTCAGCCTCCCAAAGTGCTGGGATTACAGGCGTGAGCCACAGCACCTGGCCAGTAATTTTTTTTTAAACCTCTTTTATTCAAAGATGCATTGAGTCAGCACTGTGTTAGGTACAACACTAAAGGCTAAGACTCTAGTTCTCCTAAATAAAATGCCCCAGGTCAGCCAGGGGCCAGAAGGAAAGATCCACAGAGGTCAGTCATTAGCTGTGGAGCAAAAGGAGTGTGCTCAGAGGGTAAGATACACGTGACCTCTTCCCATACTGGGCTGGCCCTGGTCATAAATTGTCCCGTAAAGAGATGACTATTTAGTCAGAGGCCTGGTGGGTGCAGTTTGAGTGCCAAGAAGCAAGTGAGCTGGCCGTTGGAATGTGAGTGTGGGTGGGTGGGAGGGGGAAGTGGCCACTGGCTTCCACTGAGTCACAGAGGGCTGGGTGCGGAGGCAGCTGGGCTCCACCTTGGCGCAGCAGGAAGGAGAAGGGCAGGAAGAGCAGAGGCTCTTCTGGGGTGGGGTGGGGCGCGGAGGGGAGGAGGGCGGGCTCAGGGCACAGCAGATCCAGGCTGCAAGCAGGCCTTTGGCATAAACACTGCCCAGGGAAAAGCACCCAGGATCCAGGTGGCCACCCAGAAGGCCCCTTCTTGGGTGTAAATTGGGGTTGCCGTGAGAACATCCAGAACCCCTGCTTTTATCAGGTGTGAAATTCAGAAGCTGCTGGATGGAGTGTCAAATACAGGTCCCAAGAAGTAGAGATTTGGGGTCCTTTAGTTGCCACTCCTCCTCCCAGAGTAAGAGTCTCAACATATTAACAATGGGGAGCACAGTGATGTGGCTCACACCTGTAATCCCAAGCTACTTGGGAGCTGAGGTAGGCGGATGGCTTGAGGCCAGGAGTTTGAGGTTGCAGTGAGCTATGATCACACCATTGCACTTCCAGCCTGGGTGACAGAGGGAGGTGTTGATTCTAAAAAAAAAAAAAAAAAAAATGGGGAAGAATAAGAAAAGCCGAGGGTTAGCGGGAAGAAGAGGAGAGTAGAATGGGTTGGAGGGGAATGTGGACAAAATGTAAACATTAACTAAAGCCTGCTCCAGGATGGCATCCCTGGGTACCTACAGCATAGTCTGAGTGTGCAGTGCCAGTTCTGCTTTATATAATAAATGGAGAGGAAGTGTGCTGGAGGCCTGTGTGTGCGTCCGGGGACCGTCAGTGTGGGCTCCTGCTAAACCCAGAAGTCAGGCAGAAGCCAAAGCTCCCAGGAACCCCTGGAGAGCAGATTCACCCAGGGCACTCTGCCCAGCTTGCTCCCAGCCTCCACATGCACTCCCGACCGTCAGACCCACCCTCCAGGGCTGTCATGTCCCTAGAGCCTGCTTCCTTTTCCTTTCCCTTTCCTCCCTTTCCCTTCTTTTCTTTTCTTTTTTTTCTTTTTTTTTTTTTTTTTTTGAGATGGAATCTCGCTCTCTTTGCCCAGGCTGGAGTGCAGTGGCGCGATCTCAACTCTCTGCAACCTCTGCCTCCCCGGTTCAAGTGATCCTCCTGCCTCAGTCTCCTGAGTAGCTGGGATTACAGGCACCCACCACCACACCCGGCTAATTTTTGTGTTTTTAGTAGAGACAGGGTTTCACCATGTTGATCAGGCTGTTCACGAACTCCTGACTTCAAGTGATCCACCCACCTCAGCCTCCCAAAGTGCTGGGGTTACAGGCGCCCACCACACCCGGCTAATTTTTCTTTTTTTAGTAGAGACAGGGTTTCACCATGTTGGCCAGGCTGTTCACGAACTCCTGACTTCAAGTGATCCACCCACCTCAGCCTCCCAAACTGCTGGGATTACAGGCGTGAGTCACAATGCCCAGCCCCTAGAGCCTTCTTTCACGTCGTCGTCTTCGCCCTGGATGCTCTCTCTCCTCCACAACCTTCAAGGCCATCCTCCTGAATCACTTCAGCTGCCGCTGAATAAGTGCAGTGTGCTCATTGCTCAGGGCTCCTCTGCCTACACAGGTGGGGACAGGACCCACCCTAGCTAAAAGGAAAAGGGAGGGACTATATTGTCTCATGTAACTGCTCTGAGGAAAGTGCCACACTAGAGCTGGCCCTGGGGAGCCCTGGCAGGCCAGCGACTTAAACTCTATCTGTCCATCTGTCCCTGCCTGGCTTTCTTCAGCATGGTTTTCTCTTTCTTTCTCTCAAGCTGGCTGCCCACTAAGGCCAGAATATGGCCTTGGGGCACTCCTAGTTCTCCCCTTACAACCTTGTAACCAATGGAAGCCACTTTTCCTCTCCTGGCTGATGGCTTTAGAGGTAACATCTCAGCGAGGGACTCTGGCTTAGCCTGAACCACGCTTGTACCCCAGGGGCCAGGGTGGTGAAGTCTGAGTAGAATTTGGAGGGGGTGGTGCCGGGAAGACCAGGGCAGTCTGAGGCACACGTTATGATGTCATATCATTTGCTAGTTGTTGCAGGTGTTAGTTAACTTCAGGGCCTCAATTACCCTTCTGAATGCCTCAAAATAGGGGACTCTCTCCTATGCTTGTTTTGGTGCCCAGTAAGCAGGCCCTCAATAAATGTTTGCTGACTGGTTGATTAACCATTAGACAAACAGGCCTGCCCAGGACGGCTAATCCCTCAAAATAAACACTTGTGAAACTCAGAGTTGATCCCGAATCCTGGGGATCTTTCAGGCTCTTTGTAAATCTAGTATTATCCAGGGAACGGCAGACCTCTGGAGGCTGAGCTGCCTTTAAGAATAAAAACCTCTCCTCTCCCTCCCCTCCCACTCCTCCCAGGACAGAGAAGGGCGACTTTTGCAGGGAGGGCACCTTCCAAGGATCTTTGCTCATTTCCCTCCCCACCAGGGATCCCTACCTTAAAGGTTGGGATAACAATTGCCTATGATGGGGATGGAGCAACAGCACTCGCCCAGCAGAGATGATACTAAACGTGCATCTTAGAAGACAGTCAATGGGTTATCGTACGTCATTTAACCTGTCCGTTTGAGGGTGGTCATTTATGTGCCTTTCAGCTTTTTGTCATCTCTCTTGTCTCCCACTTGGACATCCCAGGGTTGCCCAGCAGCGCCTCTGTGTTTCAGAGCCAGACTCCCTCCCATCCTTCCTCTGGACTTTTTCTCCTGAGAGCCAGTCTGCAGCTTCAAAAGCGGGTGGTTATACTCACTCCTCAGTCTGTGAGCATTTATTGATTAACCTGCCAGTCAGCAAGTACTTAGTGAGCATCCGTTGTGTGCATCAGTCATTGTGTTGGGAGTGGAGAGGACCCCTGAGAAGTGTAAAACAGGATCCGCTCTCAAGGAGCTGCAACTACGCAGGGAGATGCCTGAAGAGAGATGATCCTGGGCTGGAAGGTCTTGAAGCTTCTCTGGGGCATTAATATAATGTGGTTATAGACTAAGCAATTGGGTTTGGGTCAGCGCCTGATGGATGGGTAGGATCTGGCTATCTATTAGAAGGTGGGGCAGCGGGGAGATGGGTAGACATTCCAAGAACAGGGAAAGTCAAGGAGGTTTGAAAATACAAGGTGTGTTCTAGACTTGACCTGCTTGGCCAGAGCAGAGGAGTTTTATGAAGAAATGACAGAGGTTTACCTCAATATTGGTTAGAACTAATAATTATGTAATGTATCCCATAGGCAGCAGAGAACAAATGAACAATTTGAGCAGGTAAAAAACTAAAATTGAATAGTTTTTATGATAGTGTTCACATCCCAGTTGCTCAGTGTTGCCTCTGTGATGAACACTGTTTACTTTACACTCAGCAACAATTCCTGACTCCTTTCTAACAGAACTCCAATGTTGTTCAAGATCTACTCCCCCACTATTCTGCCATGTGCCCTAAGAAAAGCCGGCCCCACCCTGCGGTGGCTCATGCCTGTAATCTCAGCGCTTTGGGAGGCCGAGGAGGCCGATCGCCTGAGGTCAGGAGTTCGAGCCCAGCTTGGCCAATGTGGTGAAACCCCGTCTCTATTAAAAATACAAAAATTAGCCAGGTGTAGTCGCACATGCCTGTAATCCCAGCTACCAGGGAGGTTGAGGCAGGAGAATCGCTGGAACCTAGGAGGCAGAGGCTGCAGTGAGCCAAGATCACGCCACTGCACTCCAGCCTGGATGACAGAGTGAGGCTCTGTCTCAAAAAAAAAAAAAAAAAGAAAGAAAAGCCGGTCCCACCCCATGCTCCAGAGTGGGTCTGATTGGTCTATCTTGCCAATGGCTGGTGCTAGAATGAGTATGACTCACTTCTAGCCCATGAGAGCTGATGGGAAGTCCACTAGGGGACTCCTGAAAAAAATGTCCTTGTTCCTAAGAGGAACTCAAGAAAGAGATGGTCTTTTCTTTCCCCGCCCCCTTTGACATGAACCAGGCAAGATGATTTTTATTTTTACTCTGGACATTGTCATATCTGGAGGTGGCCGTTTTGCCACTAGACTGAAGATACAGTCACCAATTAAGGTAGCCAAGCAGAGAGATGAAAAGAACATGATTATCTGATTATATTGTTGAGCCACTGAATCAACCACCCTGAAACCTACCCATTCTATTATGTGATATAATACATTTCTGTATCATTTAAGCTAGTTGGAGTCAGGGTTTTCTGTTACTCGCAGCCCAAATCATCCTCATTGCTTTTCTCCTGTCTCTTGAAATCCTTTTTCCCCATTAAGTCCATTCTCTAGTGAACTCATTGGAAGCTCTAGTTCCATGGCCTTTCCTGTTTCTCCAGTTCTATTGACTATTTGCTCTCCTTACTGTCTTTCATGTCATTATAGAATCCTATAGCATAGTAGTTCACCTTCACACTTCTCTTGCCAGCTCCCTCCAAAGCCTCAGTCCTCCCATCCCCCCAGCACATTCTCCCATGAAATCCCCAGCCATGGACCAATCCAACTCTGCCTTTGCTGCTCCCACCCTGAGCTAGGATAATAAACTGTTGTCCAGGTTTGTCTGGGACTGAGGGACTTCCTGGGATTCCAGCCTTTCACTGCTAAAATGGGGATTGTGCTGGGTAAACTGGGATTATGGGGGACCCTATCTTTTGCTGGTGAGGCTGCTGGGAAAAGCACCCAACAAGGTGATCAGTGGCCATTATCAATGTGTGGCTCCAATCTCCACTGCAGCGCACCCCTATTTGGCAGTCCTGTTGCCCAGTCCTGGTCACCCTGGCAACATTAGCCCCCTTCACCTCAGTGGTGGTTTTAAATCTTCACCAGGGGCTGGCTGGAATGTAGTGATGTTTACAACTAATTGATCACAAGCAGTTACCGATTCCTTTGTTCCTGCTCCACTCTCACTGCTTCACTTGACTAGCCTTTAAAAATGTCTTCACCAGGGCTCTCAAACTGCCTACCCAGCTCCCACCCAACTCCTGTCACAGCTGACTAACAATTTCATGGAGAAAATAGAATCTATTGGCCATCAACTCCTTCACCTTCCTGCATTCTCAGAACACATCTTCTCTCCTGTTTCTTAGAAGGAAGGCTTTCTCCATTCCAAAGCAATCACCAGAAATCCAGACCCCTATCCCTTCCTCTGCATCCATCTCTAGCTATCACCCTTTTCCTATCCCTTCACCAACAAGCTACCTGCAATGTAAGTCTCATTTGCAGTCTGTTCCTAACTCTCCCTTCAACTCTGCCCCTATTTCTGCTCTTGCTGGGTTCTCCAAGGACCCATTAATGGACTGAGGCCATGGGCTGTCTTCTCACTGTGGTCCTGCTGATCAACCCATCTCCTTGGAGCCTGCTCTCTTCCCTTGATATCGCTTCCCTAATTCCCTTCCCATCTCTGCCTGCTCCTGCTCAGTTTTCTCTTAGGGCTTCTCTCCTCTGCACTGTAAATATTGGCATTTCCTCCCTCTCTCTTTCTCAACTGCACACATATCTTGGAAGTTTTTAATTGATAACTATGGTTTCAACTATAAGCAAATCTTCCCCCCCTCCAAGTTACTTTTGTTGTACTGTATTATCAAATCTTGACAACTCCTGAATTTGTAGCTCTAGCCAAGACTGTTCTTCTATGCTTTGACCTGTATTTGCTGTAAAGACATCAGTGTGATTGTTAAGATTCACAGTTTTGGAGTCAGACATATCTAGGTTTGAGTCCTGGCTCTGCCACTTATTAGCTTTGTGCATTTGGTCAGGTGTCTTAAGTTTTCTGTGCTTCAGTTTCCTCACTTATAAACTGGAGATCATCATGTGCTTGCCTTATGGAGCTGCTGAGAAGATTACATGAGATTATGTACTGTGCGTAGGCAGTGCCTGGCTCATAGTAACAATGCAGGTATGTTTATAGCATTCAGTTGCCTATTACTCATCTTTTTTTTTAAAGCTTGTATTTCCTAAACAGGCTTATACTAAACAACTTATATCATTTAAGTCTAAAAAACAAAAAATTTTTAAAAGCCATGAAGGAGGTATCATATTCTCTCTTTACAGGTGAAGAAACTGAAGCTGACAAAGCATCTGTGTAAGGTCTCACATCCTGGTGGTGGCCAAGCCTGGCTTTGGACAGACTGATGCCAAAGTCCTTCTCAGCCACAACGATGACCCCATCTCAAACCGTATTCAAACCAAAATTCATGTTCCATACCTGTTTGTCTGCTTAAAATCTCATTTTGCTGGAAGGATGTTAGCAAAAACCAACCCTGCAGGGTAGAGAAGGGTGTAGACAGGAAGGTGGTGCTAGACTCTGCTTTCTCTATAGCCCTACCCCATTCAACCCATCACCAAGGCCAGTTGAGGTCCTTCCCAAATATTCCCCTCCCTGCAGACATCCTCTTCCCTCCATCCGCTTGCCCTCTGTTAGTCCCTCCAGATGTTTCTGTTGGGTTATTGCCACAGCCTCCTAACTGGTCTTTCTGCTGGAGACAGCACCTAGTAGGACATCAAGAAATAATCAAGTACCCCTGCTGACCCTAGCCTTGCTCCTAATCCTCCCTTTGTTCTGCTGCTAACATGTAACTACATGTTCATTTCATTCTCCTAAAGGCCTTCAAGCAGGGGTGTCCAATTTTTGGCTTCCCTGGGCCACATTGGAAGAAAAGTTATCTTGGGCCACACATAAAATACACTAACACGAACGATAGTTGATGAGAAAAAAAATGCGAAAAAAAAAAACTCATAATGTTTTATGTTGGGCAGTATTCAAAGCATCCTGGGCCACAGGCGGCCCGTGGGTGGTAGGTTGGACAAGCTGGCTTTAAAGGCTCCTCATTTCCCATAGGACAAAACATTAAGGGGAGTTAAGCAAAAGAGAAGTCCAGTGTGAAAGGTTTTGGGGCCCCTTGAAGGAAACGGAATTCCCAAGGTTAGATCCTCTGCATCTGTGGCCTAAGGTTTAGGCAGGACTCATCCTCCAACAGCAGATGTTGGATTTAAGAACCCAGTAGACATGTCTGGGTCTAGTTTCTTTCAGCTGCTTCCCAGCCCTCAGCCGCTTGTCTCCACTTCCCCAGTAGGGGTCAGTAGCGAGCAAAAGGTGTTGCCATAGGATGGGGCTAGTGACCTCGCTTCTGAACTGGGTATCCTCCAGTTCCCTGGGCAGATGTCCGAAGAAAACACTCTGGCCACACAATTGGTCTTTCATTAGCATCTTTTCTGGCAGTCTCAGGGAAAATTTAGGACTGAAATGACTGGAAAAGGAATTCTTTTTCCTCTTTTTGGCGCCTCCTGCTCCTCCTTCTGGGGCCAGGAGACTCCTGGGCTGGGTGGAGAGGGATTGGAACCACAGTTCTGCGGGGAGGGCCCACTGTTGCCGGGGCTGTCCACCGCCGCCTCAGGCCCTCCGGAGAATTGTCATGGTAGTCACTCCTTTGGCCTCTACCCTGGAGAGCCCCACCCCCAGGGTGACTCACCCTTTTCCGGCCCAGGCTGAGCAACTCAGTGGGAGGCCCAGTGGGGAACCCCATTGGACTCTGTCGGGTGTGCCCCTTACGTGGCACGTGCCCTGGAAATTCCTGGGTGGTGCATGGCTCACCCAGTGTGTAGCCCGAGCTGGACTGACAGGCTTCTCTTAGCCTTGTTTGAATGTTTCCCGGTCCACACACCAGGCTTAGAGTCACAGACACATGGAACCCTGGAGCAGGAAGAGAGGGCACAAAGAGCTCATTGCTTCTGCAGCCACGTGCTTCCTGGAAAACAGCACAAGGGGAAAGGGGTTGTCTCAGTCAGTTCATCACAGCAGCGGGGTTGCTCTGGAACCTTAAACTGTTACGGGGCTAGGGGGCGGTAAGAATGCAAAACAAGGCCGGGCGCGGGAAATCTCAGCACTTTGGGAGGCCGAGGTGGGCAGATGACCTGAGGTCAGGAGTTCCAGACCAGCCTGGCCAACATGGTGAAACCCCACCTGTACTAAAAATACAAA
The DNA here is from genome assembly GCF_000001405.40 of Homo sapiens. Lineage (NCBI taxonomy): Eukaryota > Metazoa > Chordata > Mammalia > Primates > Hominidae > Homo > Homo sapiens. The sequence goes on along the minus strand of NC_000002.12, from coordinate 64,831,007 downwards.
AGTTAGCCGGGCATGGTGGCGGTCACCTGTAGTCCCAGTTACTCGGGAGGCTGAGGCAGGGAGAATTGCTTGAACCTGGGAGGCGGGGGTTGCAGTGAGCCGAGATCATGCCACTGCATTCCAGCCTGGGTGACAGAGTGAGACTCCATCAAAAAAAAAAAAAAAAAAAAAAAAAAAAAAAAAAAAAAGAATACCAAACAAACAGAGGAAAATCCTAAAGATATTCTCTCATTTGCTGTTTACCTCAGGACAGTGGCTGACCTGGTGGGGCCTGACCCAGTCAGACCTGTGGGTTTATACCTACTTGGTACAAATCCTTGGGCTAGTTTAAGATTTACAAACATGTTTCTTATTCCCTTGAATTCTAGAGCTTTAAAGCTAGAGAAACGTCAGAGAGCACCCAAGTCCCTCACTCAAATGAAGAGACCTAGAGGGCTGGGTGATTTGACCTAGGCACACTGTTCCTATTGTTGGTTAATCATGAGTCACACCTGGAACCCAAATCCCCAACACCTTACACCGATTGTCAAATGGGCATCCTCTCCTAACCTTAGGCCAGTTAGAGGTCTGGTGGAGAGGCAGTGTGGCTTATGACCAAAGGAGCTGGTACTGGGGAAACATTAATCAAATGAATAGTGTATCCCTTGGGTTAAGAACCTTATGTAGAAAAAATTTATTGTTTCAGTGGGAAACTACATATCACTTATAGCACACCACTCAGGGTTATGATATTCTAGCCCCATTCACTGCAGTCTCTACCTCTCAGGCTCAGTGATGCTCCCACCTCAGCCTCCTGAGTAGCTAGGACTACAGGTGCACACCACCATGCCCAGCTAATTTTTGTATTTTTTGTAGAGATAGGGTCTCTACAAAAAAAAAATTTTTGTAGAGATAGGGTCTCCCTGTGTTGCCCTGGCTGGTTTTTGAACTCCTGCGCTCAAGTGATCCTCCTGCAGGAGCCTCCCAAAGTGCTGGGATTACAGGCATGAGCCACCACACCCAGCCCATTGTCTTTTATTATTTTTTTGTTTTGTTTTTACTTAAAAGACAGGGTCTTGCTATGTTGCCCAGGCTGGTCTTGAACTCCTGGCCTCAAGTGATCTTCCCAGCTTGGCCTCCCAAAGCGCTGGGATTATACGTGTGAGCCACGTGCCGGGCCCCTTGTTCATTGTCTTTAGGCTATTTTGCGCATCCATAAATTGTAGGTAATCTGTAGATACATAAATTCTGTTCTGTCTGGTAGAGATTTGACTTTTTCTCACTCCCACTCACTTGGCAGGAAAAAAACCCACTTTGTCTTCATTTGCAATTCATCTCAACATTTCTTTACTCCATATAAATTTGTGTTGTTTTTTTCCTTTGAACCAATTATAACACCTATCTGGTTTCTTCATATTATTTGAGCAACATAAATTCCTTAACGTGTTCTTTTAAAAATATATTTATGGAAGTCATAATTTTACCTTTTAACAATGTCACACCTGTCTACTAAGCCCAGCCATCCCTCTGTGTGGTGCGGTGAATAGTTGCTAGATGGATTTGTTTCCATATCCACATGAGCTGCTCTTGGCTGAGTTTTTCTGAGGAGACAGTGTGTGTAAAGATGGCAGATAGGGTTGGTACAGGGTGACCTGGGTCCCCCAGCCCCATGCCATGGACTGGTGTTCCCCTTGACACAGTATCCAAAAACAATGTCAGAGAATAAGTCCTATCCCCTCTGAGAGCAGGAAGCTGGCTTAGAAGCAGATAAATGGCCAGCCCTTAGAAGCCAGGCTTACCTGGGCATAGTATAGCCTAGCTATATGTCTCTTTGGGTCATCTTTCCCAGGTTTGAATTTTCTTCTCTGTCTTTTTTTCCTTACGGTAATTAGTCCATTGAAGATAACAAAAGTATTTGCCTACTGCACTAAAAAGAAAGGGGGAAAAGGGAGAAGGAAGTAGGAAGAAATGAGGGGCAAACAGGGAAACAGGGAAGCAATGAGGGAGAGAAAACAAAGGGTAAGGTAAAGAGAATTGTCTTAGTCCATTTGTATTGCTGTAAAGGAATACCTGAGGCTGGATCATTTATAAAGAAAAGAGGTTTATTTGGCTCACGGTTCTGCAGGTTGTACAAGAAGCATGGTGCTGGCATTTGCTTGGCTTCTGCTGATGGCCTCAGGCTGCTACCACTCATGGCCAAAGGCAAAGAGGAGCTGGCATGTGCAGATCTCATGGCAAGAAAGAAAATAAGAGAGAGGGGGAGATGCTAGGCCCTCTTTAACAACCAGCTCTCATGGGAACTAATAGAGCAAGAACTCACTCATTACTGTGAGGATGACACCAAGCCATTCATAAGGAATCCACCCCTATGACCCAAACACCTCCCATTAGGCCTCCCCTCCAACATAGAGGATCACATTTCAACATGAGGTCTGGGGGGAAAACATCCAAACTATAACAAGAATACACTGGAGTAGTCTTCGCACCATTATTTCCTGAGCTATAGAAAATGATCTAAGGACACAGCATTAAGCAGAGATTGATGAGGCCATGCCCTTGGCACTTCTGATTATGTGACAGAGAAAGCCTCAGTTTGGTGCTGCTCTGTCTTCAACACCTCTCTTAACTTTTCCTTTCTCCCCTCTTAACCAAGGATGAGGAGGCCTCAGGCTCAGAGCCTGTGGTCAGCAACAGTATCCAGTTAGAATTTAATGCCACTGCTCTGTTTTCATTGTGTTTAGTTTACTGTTTTATAATTTCCTCCTATTTATAGCAAGAGATATTGGTTTTCTATTGATAAAAAGTTTCTTTTTAAAATAATTTTGCTTAGCTTTTTAAAGGAGAGCCAAGAGGGAAAAAAATCACTGGATGTAAAAAAATTAAGTAAATATTAGGATATGCAAAAACCGTGGCGGTGGCACAGCAATGACTAGAATTAAGGACTGAAATCAAGAAGAAAAAGAAAATAAGGCAAAGAAGAAAGGAGAAAGGCAGCAATAATAATGAGAGAAGAGAAACTGCTAGAATCGTGCTGAGGTGGGGGATACTAGAAAGGCAGAGTTGACCGTAAAGTGAAAAAGAGGACGTCTGAGAGGGACGAAAGAGGGTCTCGCTTTTGCATTTGGGGTCTGAAGCGGAGAGTGGGTGATTTGAGGGTGGTATTGGTGTTGTGTCAACTGTATAATGGCTGTTTAGGAGACTCTGGGGAGTTGTTCAGAAAACTCGAAGTGGTTTAGCATGGCTCTGACCTCTCGGAAAGGGAAAGGGGGCTCTACCATGGGTGGCTCTGTGACAATTTCTACAGCCTCTCTGCCATTAAACAGCGACTTGAGTAGATATCACTCCGTTTTTTCTTCTTTCTTTGTTGGTATGCATTAGTTATTTTAAAATATCTAATTGCAAGAACTCGTTCTGAGCAGCTCAAATTTTCGTGCCGAGGCATGAATTAGTGTCCAGTAACTCAGAGCTTGTCTGCTTCTCTACTTAATTTAGAGATATGCTGGTTGGCACAAGGCTTATGGTGCCAAAAAATCTTTCATTTCTGAAGCTTTCTAGCCAGCTCCATGAAAAATACCACCATAAATACTCAATCCAACAGCTCCCCAGACCATAGTCACAAAGCTTTTACACTGCATTTACCCGGAGCTTCCCGGCCAAGATCATCTCAGCGATACTTCTCCAGGGTCATTGGAAATGTTCGTGTCCTCCCACCACCTACCTGCCTTGCTGTGTACCACCTTCCTTGCACCCCTGGGTGAATAGGCCACGTGTCCAGATGCCAGGTTGAAGCTGTGGGCCTGATTTCCTGCAGTCAAATTCCTGCAGTGGTAAACCTTTGGCTCCCCAGCTTACCACACAGTGATTCCCTGGCCAGGAGAGGTATTGGAGGCTGAATCCTCCAACTTTTGGTGTGGTCTGCAGGGTAGATTTTCTCAGTTGAATTGTGTAGGGGGAGTAGGGAGAGAGGTCTTGGAAGGACATAGGGTTCTTTCCCCCACTCCACAAATTGCCCTATAATCCCCAGAGTTTATTCAGTCCACAGAAGCAAGCCAGTCTTGTTTTCAGAGGCCAGGCATAGACCGGTCACTAGCCAGCCACTACAAGATATATTGTGAGGCTCCCACTGTTTCTCAACCCTGGCTATGTGCTATTAATAAAACTAACTGGGGATCTTTAGAAATCATGATGCCTGAGGTCCGTCCCAGACCATTTAAATCCAGAGTCTCTGAAAGTAAGCCTGACCATTGGTACTTTTAAATTGAGATATAACTTAGATGCAGCAGAATATACAAATCTTAAGTATACAGCCTGATAAGTTTTTGCATATGTATCTATCTGGGTAATTACCACCTAGATCAAGATGTGGATCACTTCCAGTCTCTCTAAGGGCACCTTTCTGGCTTTCTGCAGTATGTGTGTGTATATGTGTATATATACATATACACATATGTGTGCATGCAATACATATATGTATGCACATATTAATATAGCTATATATAAAAATATATATGTTACATGTATATAACTATGTTCATATATGAGGGTAGTCATTTTGGGGTGGTGGTGTCGAGAAGGAAAAATGTGTTTTTCTTTTACCTGGCTTAGGTTCTCTAAGACCCTGTAAAGTTGACTAACAAAAGACATTTTCTCAAAAGAGAAAAATAAACAGAAGTTTATTAGCATGTGCATCCTGCTTACACAATGGAGTGCTCAGAGATGAGTAACTCAAAGGGGTGGGAGAACCCGGGTTTATATAGCATCTTAACAAAAGAACAATAAATTTTTAGAGAAGTGACAAGACAAAGAAAAATAACTTTTAATTTCTAGGGCTGCAAATTGTGGGAAGGCAAATATATGGAGGATCCAATGGAAGATAAGGGCTAGTGAGCAAGGTTTGCTGTGCAGATTCCTCCAGTGCCCTCTCTGGGCTGACGAGCATCTAAAATGGTCTCTGTTGATTAACTTCTGTCTTTTCTGGTAGACAGCAGAGGAGGAAACACCTTCACAAATTATATCCAGCTTTTAGGCAAATAGGGGGAAGGCAGAGGGCTTTTCTTGTACCTGCTTCTTCTCATTTGCCTTCAGCTTAAAATAATCCTTATGCCAAAGTGGCATATTTTGGGGTGGCACATTCTGATCCCCTTCAAAAGTAATATCAGGGCCCACTAGATCAAAAGCAGGACAGCCGACACCTCTTCTTTAGACTTTCCCAGTCTTCCTAACTGCAGGAAACCTATATCAAGCAGTCTGGGTCCATCTCTTGGGTCCCCTGACTAGGCTTGACTGGGAGGGAAATGCCCAGGACTCCAGGACAACTCTCACCCTAGTATTTACACTGTTAGCATTTAGAATGAATCGCTGGAAGGTGAGTGAGTGATGGGTTCAGAAAGGTAGAACTCTTTTTTTAAAAAAAATTGTAAATTTAACAAGTCCTGCTCAGAAGGTCCAGAACCTTTCTTTTAAAAAGGGGATGTTCTTCTCACTTCCCTTTTAAATTAGAGGCCTCAGCTGTACCCAACACAAGAAAAGCCCTATATTACCTCCCTGATATTGTGTGTGTGTGTGTGTGTGTGTGTGTGTGTGTGTGTGTGTGCACGTGTGGTTAAAATATACGTAACACAAAATTTACCATTGTAATCATCTTCTTAAGTTTACAATTCATTATTTGTATATTCACGTTAAGTATATTCACAGTGTTGTACATTAAGTATATTCACACTGTTGTACAACCATCACCACCATCCATCCACAGATCATTTTCATCATCCCAAACTTAAACTATGTACCTATTAAACAATAACTTTCCATTCCCCCTATCCCCCAGCCCCTGGCAACCACCATTCTACCTGAGTCTGTATGAATTTGACTATTCTAGGCATCTCATATAAGTGGAATCATATAGTATTTGTCCTTGTGTCAGGCTTATTTCACTTAGCATAATGTCTTCAGGATTCCTCCATGTTGTAGCATGCGTCACAATCTCCTTCCTCACTAAGGCTGAATAATGTTCCATTACATGTATGTATCGCATTTTGTTCATCTGTTCATCTCTTGGTGGACATTTAGGTTATTTCCACCCTTTGGCATTGTGAATAATGCTGCTGTGAACACTGGTGTGCAAAGAGCTGCTCAGGTGCTGCAGCATTCATATTTTTCCAGTGCTCCCCTGCTTATTCTAACATGCAACAGAGACTGACAACCTGAAATAACTGAAGGATCAGAAGCCGGTTTAAAGAATTGATTCACGTAAAAGGCTGAGATAGTCATTCAGATAACACAGACTCCAGAGAAATGGGGTCAGTGCCCCTAAGTTAAAAGTTCAAATCTTGCTTATATAGGAAGGAAACAAAGAAATTTAACAGGATTACAACATTTTCTATACAAGAATGGTTTATGAATTACGACAATTTAATTTGTCAGTTTTTTTTCCTTCCCTTAGGGCTTGTTTTCATTTCTTTTCCAATTTAAACTAGTATATTTAACAATCCATTTTAGATAATGTGATCACCATGAAGTCTCTGTGTGAGAGAGGTAAGAAGAAAGTTTATCTATAATGAAGACAAACAGTAAGAGGGAAAGGATCTTCCCCGGTGCCCTTTAGTCATTCATAACATTTTACAGAATAATGTAGGTAAGGAAGAAGGCTAATCTGTGATTAGAGAAACATAGGTTACAGCTGCCTAGGTTTCAGCCACCTATCACATGTCTCAGGCCCCATAATCATATTCCTTTAGGCTTAAAATAAAGTTTCAACAGCTCAGATTTTGAACTGGTTGTTTTCACAAGGTCCTCTGTTCTGTGGGTTCATGCCCTGTCACTATTCTCAAAGCCAGGCTTCTTTGCAGGGTAGCTGCGGAAGACTCAAAGTGGCAGAACCAGGCAATCTCTCAGCGTTTCTGACTGATCCCAGGCCATGGTCAGGCACTGCCTCCCTGGAGGTGAACTCCTGTCATCCTTTCTTATCAGCCACATCAGCATCCCCGAGCCCTAGAAGATCCTGTGCCTCTTTGTAAATTGGCCCCCTCTTTGCTTGAAACCAACTCTGCATATCAAGGATGGTAGACAGGCCTTTGTCTTCTACAAAAGATGTTGCCGCACCCTTTTCCCACGGCAGGGAGCACCTTTTAGCCTTCACATTTACATGACTAGAAGGGGCCACTGAAGGTATTGTCATAGAATAAAGAAAATCTTGCCAGGTGAGGTAGTAAAAAATCTTGCCAGGTGAGGTGGTAGCATGACTGTAGTCCCAGCTACTGGGGAGGCTGAGGTGGGAGGAACCCTTGAGCCCAAAAGTTTGAGTTCAAGCTGGGCGATAGAGCAAGACCTCATTTCTAAAAAAAAAAAAAGTATGCTCCAAGATGACTTTCTGCTTCAACCAAGTCCTGGGAGCTGCTGGCAGCCTTTAACTTGATGTTTCTTTAGCTAAAAAATATCAGTTTTGCACCCCGCTACATTCATGGGTCTACACTGTGACAGGCTCTGGCCTGGTATCTGAACCTGAACTGTGCATAGAGTGGCATTGGCAGAGGCTGCTTGGGTACAAAAGGGTCACTGTGCCATGTGGGCTGGGGAGAGGTTCATTTCACCCCCTAAAGGGGTACCCAACATGGCTTGCTGAATAGTGAGGGTCCCAGGGATGATGGCTGCACAGTTGTCATCTCTAAGGCTGGCAGCCCAGGATCCCTGAGTTGATGCCCTGGACTGGGACCTCGGCTTCCTCACAGACTGGTAGAAGTGGACATGCCAATGCTTGCCTTGGCTTCCATGGCCAAGTCGTCTGTGAGCTCATGGTGCACCACTGAGGCCTCCTAAAATGAAAGTGGGAGGTCAAAGTTCAGGGTTATGCAAGCAGGAGCCTAGGCCAAGGAAATTTGAAGTTTTACTGCTAATGGGACCTCCTGGCAGAAGCAGCCTTGGAATATTCTGATTCCTGGATAATCCTCAAATGCTAATCAATGAATAGGGAAACTGATTCTTAGAGGAGTAGTTTCCAATCTGTCCCTTTTCCAGAGCTATAGCCAGTTTAATCTGAATTTCATGCTCCAAAGCTCCCCGTCCCCTGGGGGTGTGATATGAAGTAAAGTGGTCAAGGTTCTGAGAGCAAGCCTGGCTTCTAGAGATAGGTGTACCCAAATGGGAATGGTAACCCCTAGAACAAGTAGCTAGAATTAGCAAGGCTTTCCAATCTTCTGGTTTTCATAGAAGTTCTTGCCTTGAGGACTGAATGGATTGATAGCGAGAGCCTAGAAATTAGGTTTGCCTGTTAGTGGCCAAGCATTTCTGTGGCTACTACCTTCTCTAGACCTCCTTAAGGTCAAAGTCTTCTCTAGTGTAGGGGTGTGTTAATCCGTTCTCATGTTGCTATAAAGGAATGTCTGAGACTGGGTTATTTGTAAAGAAAAGAGGTTTAATTGGCTCACAGTTCTGCAGGCTATACAAGAAGCATGACACCAACATCTGCTCAGCTTCTGGTGAGGGAATCAGGAAGCTTCCAATCATGGTGGAAGGTGAAGGGGGAGCCAGCATGTCACACGGTAAGAGCAGGAGCAAGGCCAGGGGTGGGGAGCAGGGAGGTGCCACCCTCTTTTAAGCAACCAGATCTCATGTGAACTCAGAGTGAGAACTCACTCATTATCCTGAGGACAGCACCGAGCCATTCGTGAGGGATCCACCTCCATGACTAGTGAGTGGACCCACTAGGCCCACCTCCAAACACTGGGGATCACATTCAACATGAGATTTGGAGGGGACAAAACATCCAAACCATAGCAAGGGGTGAAGAGAAAACTTCCCCTTCACCCTCTAAAGGCTTGCTGAAAATCAACTGACCAAAGACAGATTAATAGGAGAAAAGGTATACAAATTTTTATTTTTAGGTGTACAGCTCGGGGGAATTGAAGGAGAATAATTACTCAATAACCCAACAAGGTACAGATGCTTATACACCCTTCTTCACAGGACAAGGGAGATGGGAGAAATGTGGCAATTCGAAGGATAGTAAATAATTTTTAGGGGAAAATAAATGGACTTGGAGAGCATACAATGGCCTGGGACAAAGTCTGTTGAGCCTGCAGAGCAGGTTTGTGACAAAAGTCTGTCTAGGTGTGTTGACAGACATCAGTCTTTCTTCCTGCAATATCAGTTCAGTTAATGAAAACTTGGGAAAGGGACCAGAGGTCATTGTTGTCTTCTTTGGTGAGTCTGAACTTTAGGCAGATAAGTGATCTTTGGAGAACAATTTATCCCGTGCTTTGGAAGAGACAGAGAATTGAGAAACAGGACTAGGCAGGGAGTGGCGGGGAGGTCAGAGAGACCTTGCTGGGCATGGTGGCTCACGCCTGTAATCCCAGCGCTTTGGGAGGCCAAGGCAGGCAGATCACCTGAGGTCAGGAGTTTGAGAGCCTGACCAACATGCAGAAACCCCGTCTCTACTGAAAATACAAAAGTAGCCGGGCGTGGTGGCACATGCCTCTAATCCCAGCTACTCGGGAGGCTGAGGCAGGAGAATTGCTTGAACCTGGGAAGCGGATATTGCGGTGAGCCGAGATCGCGTCATTGCACTCCAGCCTGGGTAACAAGAGTGAAACTCCGTCTCAAAAAACAAAACAAAACCAAACAAACAAAAAAGAGAACTTGAGGCTGCTTCTTCAGTCCAGCATGTCAAAGCACCATATTTTAGAATATCAATTTCTGAGCCCCAACATATTTAATAATGACCATTCAGCTAGACAGCCAGGAGTGGCTGCCTTCTCTTCATCAGAGCAGGAGCTGGAGCTCTGAAGAAGGAGGTAGGAATGGGGACCCTGGCCAAGAATAGGGTGTTAGGGACTCCCATGCCTGCTTGCAATTATCTTCCCCATGCTAGGCTCCGGCCCCCAACAAGCTTTAGTGCAAGTCACACTCCTATGCCCTGAAGGATACAGAAAGGCCACAGGAAGTTTGCCATCTGATAGAGGAGGGAGTCAGGCCTACCTATAAGATAAGGAACCAGTGCCCCAAATAAAGCATGAGCAGGGAATGCATAGTTCTGTTCCCAGAGGAAATAATCCTGAAGCTGTGTGATGTGGTTCTGTTAAGGTTGCCCCATTATTTTCATACAACTTTGGTATTATTTTAAGTAATAGCAGAAACTAACATACTAAGACTTTATTAGAGTCAGATGTGTGCTAAGAACTTTTTAATCTAATTTGATTTTGTTAGAGACAGGGTCTCACTCTGTCACTCAGACTAGAGTGTAGTGGTCTGATCATAGCTCACTGTAGCCTTAACCTTCTGGGTCAAGCCATCCTGTTGCTTCAGCCTCCTGAGTAGCTAAGGCTACAGAGCATGTGCCATCATGTCCCAAATTAAAAAAAATTTTTTTTTTTGTAGATACAGGCTCTTACTATGTTGCCCAGGCTGGTCTTGAACTCCTAACCTCAAGAGATTCTCTCAACTTGGCCTCCCAATGCACTGGGATTATAGGCGTGAACCACCACGCCTGGCCCTTGTGCCATGTACTTTAAATTCATGGAGCTATTTAGTTGCCATGACAACACTAGGAGGAAAGTACTCTTACTATTATTATTTCCATTTTACGGATAAGGAAACCGACCCTCAAAGAAGTTAAATGCTAGTCCTAAAATGGTCCACCTGGTAAGAGGTGGAGCCAGAATTTTAGTCCACTTTGGTCCAATCTTGAAGTTTGAGTTGTCAATGTGATGCTATGCTGGACATTTGAAAGTACCTAGAGGAACATTGAAGGCAGCTCTGAAGAAGTGGGTCCTGATTTTGGCGTCAGTACTATCCAGCTCTGTGGCCTTACAGCAGTCCCTGTCAAGGGTTCGGTTTTCTCCCTGCTTGTTTTAATGGTTGGGCCAAATGACTACAAATGTGCCTTTCATTTCTAAAAATGCTCTCAAATCTAGGATTTTCAAGTTCCTAAAAATGAAACCAACTTATGCTCACTCTTGTTAATGTCTAAATCCGGAAGAACATTTACGAGGCAAATAAGGTACAGTCATACCCACTCACTCTCTGGCTTCCGAGGAGACTGCTGTGAAGGATGAAGTGTGGTGGCAGGGGTGGGAGAGGGGTACGGGGGTGGGGAACCCACAATCGTGTTGACAGGAACTCACTGAACATACTCTAGTATTTGTACAGTGTGTATCAGGATAGACTGCTGTGTCAAACAGCCCCAAAGTTTTAATGGCTTAACCCAAGAAAAGCTTATTTCTAACTTAGGAACAGCCCAACCTAAGTGTCCTAGTTGGCTCTCTCCAAGGGGCTCTTCTCCAGGGAGCGTCTCAGAAACCCAGGCTCCTCCTCTCTCATGGTTCTGCCTGTCTGCTGGGCCCTCAGAGTACTTTGTTTTTGGTTGGAGAGAAGTTTTAGTGTGCAGGAAAATAGCATATTTGACTTCTGTTCCATTGCATGGGCTAGAATTAGTCACATGGTTCCACCTAACTTCCCACAACAAACTGGGACATAGGGAACTTACTCTATCAGTCATAAAGACGCTCCACAGATGTCCTCTCTGGTTGTTGATGACCCATTTTCCCACCATGACTGTTCATGTGACAAACCTGAGTGTCCCTTGGGAGGAATAAAATGACCCCCCTTTCCTTCCTTGATTCTCTAAAAGAAAGTAATGGAACTTTCTTTAAAGAGTGCAAGAACTTTCTTCAGGGTCTTGTCCTGGGATCAAAGGTAACAATAATATTAATAGTAGCTAGCATTTACTGAGCATATATTATACATCAAGCAGCTACATGCATTATCTTAGAGTGAGGGCAAATCTCAAGGTCTGGATGAGAAGTGTAAAATTGAGCAATGATGCAATTGTATTTACTTTTTCTATAAATGACTTTAATTTCTATTTTGAATGTCCATTCTGCTAGGTGGCAGCATCCTTATTTCATTGATTTGGGTCCCTGCCCTATCCCAAGTTTTGTCTAAGTTCCCAGGTGATGGGCGGTAGCTAGGACTTGCTATTACGTGTGCTTATCTACCCACAGTGGCACCTGTCGTTATGTTGCAGTGTGAGGGCTGACATTCTTGCAGGCTTCTGCTTGATGGTCCTCCTTTACTCCATATCTAAAACCCATCACTCTCTTTGCTACCTCAAAACCACTTCGTAGTTCACAGGGAGCAAGCCACTGTTTCCAGCACCTGGTTCTGACCTACAGCCTTTCTGTCTGAGCACATTTTGAAAACAATTCCTCTGCCCTGGGGACAGGAGGCACCAGTCCTCTCTGCTTTCCTGTCACTCATCATTGCAGATCAGGGACTCTAGATCAAGTCCCTGGGCAAGGAGCAAGCTGCAGGCCCCTCTCTCAGGGACCCTGCCAACTTTCTGCCTCGCTTTGCTTCTTTCCTCCCTTCCATAGTCCTGATAATCCCATATTCCTGGAGACAGGGCAATCTGATTGTTTTTCCAGTTCCAATATTTAGGGCACAAACTTGACACCTTCAATTATTTCAGACTTATACTTTTTTTTTTTTTTTTCTGAGACAGTCTTGCTCTGTCACCTGGGCTGGAATGCAGTGGTGCAATCTCGACTCACTGCAAACTCCACCTCCCAGGTTCAAGCCATCCTCTTGCCTCAGCCTCCAAGTAGCTGGGACTACAGATCCTGCCACCAAGCCCAGTTAAATTTTGTATTTTTAGTAGAGATGGGGTTTTGCCATGTTGGCCAGGTTGATTTCAGACTCCTGACCTCAGGTGATCTGCCAGCCTCGGCCTCCCAAAGTGCTGGGATTACAGGCCTGAGCCACTGCGCCAGGCCCAGACTTAAACTTTGCAGTTCAAAAGGCTTTCTTCTGACAGCTCCTAAACTGTTGTGCTGCTTTTCTGTCATGTCATTTGCCCCCTGAGGCAATGAATGCTGCAAGGCAGTAAAAGACTACAGACGAAATGGGAGAAGGCCAAGAGATATAGGACATAAATACAGTGTTTAAAAAAAAAAAAAACTTAAAAATTTCCCAAAATATTTTCCCTGTCACAATCTCACTGAATTCTCAGTGACCATCCTGCAATAGAGGTGCCATTAATATTTCTGTTTTTTAAGAGGGTCACATTGGCCAGGTGCGGTGGCTCGTGCCTGTAATCCCAGCACTTTGGGAGGCTGAGGCGGGAGGATTACCTGAGGTCAGGAGTTCGAGACCAGCCTGGCCAACATGGTGAAACCCCGTCTCTACTAAAAATACAAAAATTAGCTGGGTGTGGTGGCACACGCCTGTAATCCCAGCTACTCAGGAAGCTGAGGCAGGAGAATTGCTTGAGCCAGGAGGCGGAGGTTGCTGTGAGCCGAGATTGTGCTACTGCACTCCAGCCTGGCAGACAGAGCGAGACTCTGTCACACACACACACACAAAAGAGGGTCTCACTATGTTGCCCAGGCTGAAGTGCAGTGGTTATCCACAGGCACCATCCCACTATTGATCAGCCCTGGAACTTTGACCTGCTCCATTTCTGACCTGGGTTGGTTCACCTCTCCTTAGGCAACCTGGTGGTTCCCTGCTCCTGGGAGATCACTGTATTGATGCTAAATTTAGTGCAAACACCTGATGGTCACAGCTCACTGCAGCCCAGAACACCTAGGCTCAAGTGATCCTCCCGCCTCAGCCTCCACAGTAGGTGGGACTACAGGTGCGTGCCACCACACCTAGCTACTATCTCTGACAAAAGAAGACACTAAGCTACATTCTTAAGATACTTTGCAAGGACACTTCTCCATGTACTACGTGTGGAAAAAGTTAAGGTTATTTTGAATTGGCAAAAAGTTAGGATTGGGGTACTTAAAAGGTATTCACTGTTTTTTTTCTTTTAAGGGTGAACATAAACTCACTGATCTAAAATCTTGCCTAATGACAAGTCTTAGACTTCTTTAACAAATTCCTAAGGCACACTTGAAATTTGTAAGTAAGCCTATTATTTGGAAATGGATAAAACAACAGGTTTGTGAACTATCCTCTTAATTAAGTTAAACTCCCTCTTGCAATCTCTTCTAATGATTAGCTTATTAGAAAAATCCTTTTGTTTGCCAAGAGTGTGAATGTAAAGTTTGCTTAATTATTCGGTAATATTGATTGAGGCGATTTTGAGGCCCCTGTCTAAAGAATAATTAGTTTTTAACTCTCTAGTTTGCAGCGTTTCCTCCCCTCAACTTTTGAATCTTTCCCTAAAATTTAAGTTTTTTTCTTTTTCTGTTTTTTTGAGACAGAGTTTCTCTCTGTCGCCCAGGCTGGAATGCAGTGGTGCAATCTCAGCTCTCTGTAACCTCCACCTCCTGAGTTCAAGCAATCCTTGTGCCTCAGCCTCCAGAGTAGCCGAGACTACAAGCACGTGCCACCATGCTCGGCTAATTTTTGTATTTTTAGTAGAGACGGGGTTTTGCCAGGTTGGCCAGCCTGGTTTCAAACTCCTGACCTCAAGTGATCCGCCCACCTTGGCCTCCCAAAGTGCTGGGATTACAGGCGTGATCCATCATGCCTGGCCTGAAGTTTATTGACTGAATACTTGCTGGGCACTGACTGGATGCTGGGGCCTGTGTGGGCACTGGGGAAGCAGGAGGCTTTATGCCCTAAGGTGGGGCCTGGAAGCCTCTCAAAGGAGAGAAGGTAGTGAGGCCATGAAAGAGGTACTTAGAATGAGAAGTTTAAGGCAGTGCCTGCCTCAGACCAGGTGCCAATTAAATGTTTGAGGTATGGATCAAAGTTGTGTTGGGGAAGAAGGAAAACCTTTTTCCTCTACCCTCTTAGGTTCAGTGACTGGGACCCTGCAAAATAAGCTGACAGGTGAACAGGAGAAAAATGTTCATTTGATATGCCTAGAGAAGACCTCTCAGAAATGAAATGAAAACTCTAGAAAGGTGGTCAGACCACAAGCCTTATCTACCATCCAAACAAAGGGCAATGTATTTGTGGAGAAGTGGCAAGACAAAGGAAAAGCGTTTTGAGCTTCCAGGGGTGGTTAATTGTGGGAAGGTGAATATATGGGGAAGCCAATGGCCGATAAGGGTTTTTAGTAAAGTTTGTGTGTGCAGGCTCATCTCAGTGCTGACTTGCCATCTTCTTCATGGCCATAAAACTCCCCTGAAAGGACTGATGGAAACTGTCATTTCTCAGAAGTTTCTGCTCTTAGATAAAGAAAGCTTTGAGAAGTCTTTGTGCATCTGTTGATTCTCAATGGCATTCAACTCAAAATAACCCATACAACAAAGTGGCATATTTTCAGGCAGTATATTCTGCTCCCCTTCAGCTGCAGGGGATGCTAAAAAAAATAAAATAGGAAATACCTTCTATACCTTCTCTAGTCTCTCTTGGGAGAATAACTCAACTTCCCATAGAATGCTCCTTCGCTGACCTGCCTTGACAGAATCTCAGTGCCCCAGGGTGAGTGGGCCTTTCTTATATCCAGTGAAGCACATTCTTACCTTAGTCTCATAGAGCCACACAGCACAGCAGAAAGATTTGGAGCAGCATGGGACCCAGTATCAGGGCTGACCCCAACACAGACAAGCACATGAGCCTTTGGAGAGAGTGGGTTACCACAGGGGCAGTAGCCGGGGATGGGTGTTGGGGAACACGGCTAGGGCTCTCATTTTTAAAAGAAACCTGGTAAAAAGTTATTCTTGAAGCTCACAGAACTTTGCTCGGGATTCCAGACGACACTTATCACAGAGCTTCCAGAGAACTCCTAACCTAGATATCTAGGGGATAGGCTCAAGTATCTCCTAGATGATGGGCCCTAGCCCATCATCTTATGGTGGAAGGAGGGATGCCTGGCACCTCAGAAGTCTTGCAGGCATTTCCAGATCCTCACCTTTTGTTGAAAAGACAACAGCTTCCAGTGGGTAGTGGGAAGATTCAGACCTTCTCAATGGAGCTTGGTGCCGCCTGTACTGGCCTCTTTATTAAGAGGTATCTAAGTGTTGTTGATATTGCCACTTATTTCCTTTGCAAACACTAGAATCAATAATGGCCATTTTTCAGTGGTTAGGCAGGTTCATAATGAAGCCTGGAGGTGTCTCTAAAGGAAGGAGTCAGGCTAACCTGGATTCAAATCTTGGCTTCACCACTTTCTAGATGTAGTAGGCTAAAGAAGGCAGCAAACTCTTTCCTATGCCTTCTCCCATTAAAAGATGAAGTCTGGAAAAAAAAAAAAATCGCTTGAACCCGGGAGGCAGAGGTTGCGGTGAGCCGAGATCACCCCATTGCACTCCAGCCTGGGCAACAAGAGTGAAACTCTGTCTCCAAAAAAAAAAAAAAGTGAAGTCTATTTACCCCTCCTTTAATCTGGGTTAGGCCTGTGGTTCACTTTGACCAATAGGACACAGTAGAAGTGATACTAGGGCAGAAGAAGACTTGTAGCTTCTGGCTGGCTCTCTTCGAATGCTTGTTCTTGGGACATCCCTCTGGGAACACAACCTTCCCGTGGGGAGGCTATGTGTAGGCAGGTGCTCTAGATGACAGCCCAGGTGACAGCCCCAGGTCCGCACTCGTTCAATAAAGTTTTGCTCTACTGTGCTTGGACATCCAGCTCAGTAGAGTCTTCAGAAGACTACAGCCACAGCTGACATCTATCTGCAACTGCATGAGAGACCTCACGTGAGAATCACCCAATGGAGCTCTGTCAACCCTAGGATCACAAGCAACCATAGTAAAGTGTTGTTTTCAGCCACTCTGTGTTGGGATAGGTATAGCGTAGAACCTCAGGTGAGATACGGAACCACTCTGAGGTTTTGTTTTCTTCCGCAAGCTGAGCAAAATAACAGTATCTACCTATAAAGTTATCATGATATGAATGCAATAATGATGGAAGTGCCTAGCATAGTGCCTGGCGCACAGTAGGCCTTCAGTATATGCCAGGTTCCTTCCTGCTCCTTCTCTAGGGTGCTCTGTATTCCAGATGTGTGTGAATCTTGGTTGCTGCTCTGAACTCACTGGGCAAAGATTCAACATCCTCCAAGAGAATGCCTAGAATCAATTTTGAAAATGGGATCGGAGAGTATTTGATTTTTCTTTCTGGGGCAATCTGTTACCCCTTAGGAAAAATATCAAGAAAATTGTATTTTTTTCTTTCTCCTCAATTTAAAGGGTGGAAGAATTAAGTCTTTACCTTTTTTAAAAGACAAGAAACGTGCTTGCTCACACTGAAAAGTACCGGCATGAAATGAAACAACTTTCCTTTTGTTTCACAGCCAGCAGGTTCTCTTCAACACCCCAGCCCTGGAGAGCCGCAGATTGGACAACGGGCAGACTTTGTTGAACAGATGAACAACTGTGGCTAAATCTGTTTTGGAAAAAAAAAAAAAAAAGACCTGAAGCAATTGATAAACAAGAGGCTGAGGTCAGTGTGAAGGAAGAATAAATGAGGCCAGATTGGAGAACGTTGAAAAGTAAGCCCCTTTCATCCCCTGTCCTGAATTGAGCGTGTGAGTAATAGTCAGGACTAATCCTGCTGAGAAAGGGATTGAGAATCTCTTGGATTGCCTGATGCTGGAGTTATGCTTTTTTAATTCAATTTTATTTTATTTTATTTTTGGAAAATTGTAGTGGAGTATAACACAGAAAAACACACAAGTCATAATACAGTTGCATAAGCTTTCATAAACTGAACATATCGTGTGATCAGCGCCCAGGTCAAGAAACAGAATATTGGCTGCACCCCAAAAGCCCCCGGCATTCCATACTCCTCACAGGGAGAATCCTGACTTGTAACCCAGTCCTCATTATTTTTTATAGCTCTCATACATAGAACACATATAAAATACATTCATGTGTTTTTTTCTAGGGACTTTCTATGCACCTGCTAGAATATGCATATGCTATTATATTGCACAGATGTAGTAAAATGTTTTTTGTTTTTTGAGACAGGGTCTTGCTGTGTCTCCCAGGCTGCAGTGCAGTGGTGCAATCACAGCTCACTGTAGCCTCAAGCTCCTGGGCTCAAGCCATCCCCCCACCTCAGCCTCCTGAGTAGCTGGGACCACAGGTGTGCACCACAATTCCTGGCTAATTTTTGTACTTTTTTGTAGAGATGGGGTTTTGCTATGTTGCCCAGGCTGGTCTCAAACTCCTGGGCTCAAGCAGTTGGCCTGCCTCAGCCTCTCAAAATGTTAGGATTACAGGTGTGAGCCACTGCACCTTGTGGTAAAATGTTTTAAACACTATGTAGCATATTACCCAGACTGTTCTGCCTGTTTTTATTTTTCATGTTTATATTGGTGATCATTCCATACCAACACATAGAAAGCAGCCAGATTTCTTTAGTGGTTACCTGTATTCCATTGTCTGAATGGATCACAACTTATTTAATTTTATTCAAAAGCAAAGAGGTTGTGTCCAACCTTTTGTAGCTGGCTTTTAAGTATACATATTCTTAGAGGTACCATTGGTGTCCTTTATTTAAAGTGGCAACTAGGCACTGCTCTCTGGAGGCTCTTACAAACACTACTAGTTCTCACTCCTTTCTGAAATGTGTTGGGTGTGGTGCCGCCTGGGGTGGTCGCCTATTTTATTCCCTCATCCTGTTAGAACTCAGTTGTTCCATGTTTGAACATGTAACCAGGAAGTGGAAATAATGTCCCTGACACCCCCACTTCCTTTTCTGGCAAATTGGTATCCGGTAAATGAATCCAACGACTTTCACCCACCCCTGTCCTTCAGGCAGCTACTTACTCAGCATTGTCCTTGCCACAATTTGGAGATTTCAGAAGATGGACCCCAAAAGCTCTTCCAAACAGGACTAGTTGGAAGAAACAGTGTTTGTTTTGGTTGAACCAAGCCTTCCCTTTCTGCTTGCCCTTTCCTCCTTCTGTGGATTCTTCTCACCCCTCACCACCAACCCCAGCCCTGCTCTCTTGTCTCGCCCTGCTCTGAACTCAGTTCTCAGAATAATTTAGTGTGAGTTCAAGACAGTGTCTACTTCTTTCTTCCAGTGGTATTTGCCCTTTAAATTTCATATCTGCCATAATTACAGAACAAAAGGCTTTGTCTCCTTAAGGCTTTTGGATTGCCTGACAGCAGGAACAGATATATTTGGGGGCTAGGGCAATCTCCTCACCTTTCTCCTTCACTAGCAGAATCATGCCTGTCCTTCTTCAGCCCCCAGAGGATGGGCCAGAAGGGGCAGGCATGGCTGGTTCAGGACCTCAGCTGGAGGTAGGAGCATCTCTGTATCTGTTACCTACAGTGAAGGGGTACATGTCACCAGCTTGTGCAAAAGGGTGCCAAGCCTGAGCTGCAGAAGCATATCCTCCATAGACACGTATCAGGGACCAAGGGCAGCCCTGATTCAACAGAGAAGGGAAGCACACAGGGGTGTAAATATCAGGAGGTAAGAATCACAGGAGCACCTCTGGGAACTGACAACTATACCTTCTCTGGGCCTCAGAGATGGTAAAAATAGCAATCCCCTCACAGGGTTGTAATAAAAGTTAAAGGAATAAATATTTAGTCATAGTAAGCACTCTATGTTTTATTTCTTGTTCATTTTATTATTTATATACATTTTTAGAGACAAGGTCTCACTCTGTCGCCAAGAGTGGAGTGCAGTGGCATGATCATGGCTCACTGCAGCCTCAAACTCCTAGGCTCAAGTGATCCTCTTTCCTTAGCCTCCTGAGTAGCTGGGACTGCAGGCGCTCACCACCACTCCTGGCTAATTTTTTAGTTTTTTATACAGATGAGGATTCCTTGTGTTGCCCAAGCTGATCACGAACTCCTGGCCTCAAACGATCCTCATGCCTCAACCTCCCAAAGCAACACTCTATAAATGCACTCTAATTATTGTGTGAGATGGTCTGGACACAGTGGCCCCAATTCTTATTACCAGTGACTAGATTAGCTGTCACTGCTCTATTTCTTGTCCTCTGACTTGCCCTGCTCTCCTGACTTGGCTATTCTAGCCTGAGCATTTTTCTAGTCTCTGCAGACCCCTTCATTGCCCCAGTCTCATGGTATCCAGGGGCTCCCCCACCTCCAGGTAAGGGGCTCCTCAGAACAGTAGCACATCACAAAAGGCACTGACAAGAACACCAGTGGATAGAAAATGATGTCTCATCATGTGAGCTTCTAAAATGGCTTGAGTGTTTTATTCAAGGTAAGCAATGCTTACCTTCATTGTCAACTAGAGCAATAGCATTCAATAGCATTCTTTCATAGTTCCAAAACTGTCAGAGGTTTATGAAACATTGTCTTAGTCCATTTGTGTTGCTATAATAAAATACCTGAGAATGGGTAATTTGAAAAGAACAAGAAATTCTTTCCCACAGTTCTGGAGGCTGGGAAGTCCAAGATCAAGGCACCAGCATCTGGTGTCTGATGAGGGCCTTCTTGCTGCATCCTCATCTGGCAGAAGAGTGGAAGAGTGAGGGGGGCAAACTGCTTCTGAAACCTCTTTTATGAAGCCATTAATTCATTCATAAGGGCAGAGCCCTCAAGACTTGTTCACTTCCCCAAATGCCCCACCTCTTAATACCACCACAGTGGGGACTAACTTTCAGCATGAATTTTGGAGGGGCACATGTCAAACCATATCAAATGTCTACATGGAGGGTAAGTTTAAATCTTAACTTCTACCTGAGGTCTTCTCAACGTTTTCCCCTCAAGGTTTGTTTATTTGTTTATTTATTTATTTGAGACAGGGTCTCGCTTTGTCGCCCAGGCTGGAGTGCAGTGGCGTGATCCCGGCTCACTGCAACCTCTGCCTCCCAGGATAAAGCAATTCTCCTGCCTCAGCCTCCAAAGTAGCTGGGATTATGGATGTACACCACCATGCCTGGCAAATTTTTATATTTTTAGTAGAGAGGGGGTTTCACCATGTTGCCCAGTCTAGTCTCAAACTCCTGAGCTCAAAGCGATCACCTGCCTCAGCCTCCCAAAGTGCTAGGATTACAGGTGCAAGCCACCACACCTGGCCCCCTGAAGGTTTAAACTCTTCATCCTCCAAGTTTTTGCCTGCAGCTATCATTTGTGCATAGTCTGCCTAATGATATCTCTAGTTTTCTAGTATGAAACAGAGGGACTGTATTGGGTTGAATAATGTCCCACAACTCCCAAAAAATTCAAGTGGCACCCAGAACCTCAGAATATGACCTTATTTGCAAATAGAGCCTTTGTAATTAATTAAGATCAGGTCATACTGGATTAGGGTGGGCCCTAAATCCAATGACTGGTGTCCTTATAAGAGAAATGAGAGAGAAAATGAGACACACACACAAACACACACAGGAAAGAAAGTAACACAGCAATGGAGGGGGAGATTGGAGAGATGCATCTACAAACCAAGGAATGCTAAGGATTTCTGGGAACCCAGAGGCCAGGAAGAGGCAAGGAAGGGAACATGTCCTGCCAGCACCTCACTTTTGGACTTCTAGCTTCTTGAACTGTGAGAGAATAAATTTCTGTTGTTTTAAGCCCCTGGTTTGTGATGATTTGTCATGGCAGCCCTAGGAAACGAACACAGGGACTCTTGGTTGACTCTTTAAAATAATTCTTTATTATGAATATTTTCATGGATTTTTTTTTAAGAGATGTAGTTTCTCTATGTTGCCCAGGCTGGACTACTTACAGGTGTGATCATCATGCACTACAGCAGCCCCTGTTGCTAGGACTACAGGCATGTGGTGGCACTGTGCCCAGAAAGTTTTAGCATATCAAAACAAAGAAAAGGTAATATATGCTGTCAAATTTTGATGGCTGTGACACTACAGTGGCTATGATGTCATTAGGAGATAGAAATTTTTCAGCTCCATCATGATTTTATGGGACCACCATATATGCAGTTCACTGTTGACAGAAATGTCATTTTTTGTCACATGACTATATATATAACTAAACTAGTATAACCAACTGTATTAGGGTTCTCCAGTGGGACAGAACTAATAGGATATATGTATATATGAAAGAGAGTTTACTAGGGAGAATTGGCTCACATGATCACAAGGCAAAGTCCCACAATTGGCCGTCTGCAAGCTGGGGAAGAAAGAAGCCAGTAGGGTTCAGTTTACTCCTAAAGCCTCAAAACCAGGGAAGCTGACAGCATAGCCTTCAGTCTATGGCCAAAGGCCTGAGGGCCCTGGGCAAACTACTGGTGTAAGTCTAAGAGTCCAAAGGCTGAAGAACCTGGAGGCTGATGTCCAAAGGGCAGAATGAACAGAAGGAAGCATCCAGCAAGGCAGAAAGATGAAAGCCAGAAGACTTAGCAAGCCAGCTTATCCCACCTTCTTCCACCTGCTTTGTTCTAGCCATGCTGGCAGCCAACTGGATGGCACTCACACGTTGAGGGTGGGTCTTCCTCTCTCAGTCCACCTCCTCAAATGTCAGTCTCCTCTGGCAACACCCTCACAGACACACACCCAGAAACAATACTTTATCAGCTATCTAAGCATCCTTCAGTTCAATCTAAGTGGCTATGTTGTCTGGGGTAAATACCCAGGGTTCGTCATCTCGTGCCAGGAAAATTTAGGACACAGACACACACAAGGAGTTTAGAAGTGGAGTTTAATAGGCAAAAGAAAGAGAATGAAAGGGAGAGGAAAACAGCTCTCTCTCTAGTGAGAGAGAGAGGACTTCTGAGAGGAAAAGATCGGCAGGTGGAGGATGTGCTGGATTTTATAGTCAGGCTTGAGGAGGTGGTATCTGATTTACATAGAGCTCACAGATTTGTTCAATCAGGTATGACATTTACATAGGGCCCAGGGAAGGCTGGCCACCCCACCCTAATCTTACTATGCAAATGGGCTTTCCAGTAGACCAGCACCATCTTGTCTGCTCCTTACTGTACACATGGCTGACAAAGAGAAGGGAAGATGGAGCCACCATTGGTGGCATCTATGTCTGCAGCTTGATTTTACAGGCTGCTCTTTGTAATTTGGGGCTGCTTTCATTAAAAGGAAAACCTTACCGAGGACTTCCACACCCTCATTATCTGCCTAAATAATTTCTTCTTAACTCCTGTATCACAATCAAGTGGACACCTAATATTAGCCATCACACCAACATTTATTGAATGCTTATTTTATGGCAAGTACCATTCTAAGTGCTTTATAGGGTGTCTATCACAGCATAAAACAATCCTAAGACCAGATGCCATGGCTCATGCTTGCAATCCCAGTGCTTTGGGAGGCCAAGGCAGTGGGGATCACTTAAGGCCAGGAGTTTGCACAACCAGCCTGGGCAACATAGCGAGACCCTGTTATCTATGAAAAGTTATTTAAAATAATTTTTTAAAACAACCATGAAATACAGTGACTTAAAACAACCATTTTTTTTCCCCCGAATGGCATTTTTGTCAGAGAAACAAAACCAAAACTAACCACCATTTTATTTGCTCACAGTTCTACTGGTTAGGAATCCAGGCAGGCTCAGTTCAGTAGTTCTGTGCCCACGCATCAGCTGACATTTACTCAGCTGCATTTAGCTGGTGGCTGGGCTGGAAAGACCAAGGCATCACTCATATGTCTGGCAGTTCAGTGCTCCTCCATGTGGCTAGCTTGGGCTTCCTCAAGGCATGGTGACTCACCATAGTTGGACTTCTCACGTGACAGCTGAATTCCAAGAGGATGGAATTGGAAGCCTCTGATCTCTTAAGGCCCGGCCTTAGATATTACACATCCTAACTCTACCCCATTCTATTGGTCTGTGTTAGTTTCCTACAGCAACTAACTGCAGCAAATTACCAGAAACATGGTGAAACTTTGTCTCTACTAAAAATACAAAAATTTGCCAGGAGTGGAGGTGCATGCCTGTAGTCCCAGCTACCTGGGAGCCTGAGAATCGCTTGAACCCAGGAGGTGGAGGTTGCAGTGAGCTGAGATTGTGCCATTGTACTCCAGCCTGGGCAACAGAGCAAGACTCCATCTCAAAACAAGCAAACAAAACCCACAAATGTATTATTCTACAGGTTGGGAGATCAGAAGTCTAAAATGGGCCTCAGTGGGCAGAAATCAAGGTGTTGGCATGGCTGCATTTTTCGGGGGGGTGTCTACAGAAGAATCCTTTTTCTTGCCTTTTCTGTTTTCTTGAAGCTGCCTGCATTGCATGGCTGGGTCCCCTTTCATCTTCAAGGCTAGCAATGGCTGGTCAAGTCTTTCTCATCCCGTGTCGCTGGACTCAGACTCTGTCCTGCCTCCCTCTTCCACATTTGAAGACCCTTGTGGTTCCATTGGGCCCACCTGGATAATTCAAGATCCTCTCCTCCACCTCAAGGTCAACAGATTAACAACCTTAATTCCACCTGCAACCTTCATTCCTCTTTGCCGTGTGATGTATTATAGTCACAGGTTCTGGGACTAGGACATGGACATCTTTGGGGAGTCAGTATTCTTCCTTTGATGTGGTCAAAACCAGCAACAGGGACAGCCCAGTCTCAAGGAAAAGGGAAACAGACTCCACTATTTGACGAGAGGAAAAGCAAAGCTTTTGTGGCTCTCTAGTGCACACAGCGTGTGTTAACTCACACAGTCTGCAGAGCAACTCCGTGAGGTAGGCACTAGTATCATGCACATTTTAAAGTAGGACTCTAAGAACAGAGGTGTTAAGAACTTGGCTAAGGCATGCCAGCTGGTGAGCAGGGCAGCTGGGGTTCAAATCAAGGCAGAGTGGCAGCAGGGCTGGAGCTCTCTCATGCCTGGCATGCCTGGTGCTCCACAAAGGTTTGTTTTCCCCTCCTCTGATCCCCAGTTTTTCAGCCCCTCAAGGCAGGAAGCCCCCATACCCGTGATTACACACACACACATCTCTCTCTGTCTCATATAAACATTCACATAC
Organism: Homo sapiens; assembly: GCF_000001405.40. Taxonomy (NCBI): domain Eukaryota; kingdom Metazoa; phylum Chordata; class Mammalia; order Primates; family Hominidae; genus Homo; species Homo sapiens. The sequence goes on along the minus strand of NC_000002.12, from coordinate 64,806,272 downwards.
ACATAAGGATTCGTGGTTAAGTCCCTTTAGCAAGTAGAATGGTGGAATGATTGCCATTTCAGTGAATAAATATTCAGCTTTGGTTTTCAGGCTGTGTCCTGTCTGGTTATTAAAGTTTTCTTATGATTTCTCTCTACCTGGGTTCTGATGCATCCACCTAACTGCTACACTCTTTTCGCTTTTTTTTTTTTTTTTTTTTAATAGGTTCTCGCTCTGTCACTGGGGCTGGAGTGCGGTGGAGCAATCATAGCTCACTGCAGCCTCAACCCCCTCGGCTCAAGAGACCCTCCTGCCTCAGCCTCCTGAGTAGCTGGGACCACAGGCACAGTGCACGGTGCCAGCTATTTTGGCTTTTCCACTCAAACCCGCTTGTGGCTACTAGTCCTTATTCTCGGACGTGTCTTAACAATGTGTGGGCCCTCCCCTGCTCTGGTGTGGCTCTGAGCCCCAGCATTCCTCTGCCCTACATACCCCCACCCGACTCCAGGCCCAGCCTCCCAGAGCAAACTGCTGCTCTGCCTCACGTAGTGCAGACCCTAACTGGGAAATGACAGGAGCTGTGCCCAAATGAAATGGAGGAAGCAGCATCCAAAATCAGCCTCTTGTCAGAATACATTCAAATATAGGTGAATTTTGAAATCAAATAGGCTTAAGGAGTTCCTCTGTCTATCCATTTAATAGCTGTTTGTGGAGCACTAGTCCAAGACCTGGAGTACAGTTATGGGTGTGACAGCGCCTGAAAAAGAATTCTTTGGTTTGGGCTGAGATCTGCACTTCCTATGCCAGAACCTGGGAGAAGGGCCCAGTGTCAGGACAGCCTTGCAGACAGAAGTGGACATGTGCCTTGCAAACAAAGTCATGCTTTTAGGCTCATTCGCTTCTCCAACAAAGGTATATTGTCATTTGTTATGAGCTAGTCACTGTACTGGGCACAGAGGACAAGGATGAATAAATTAGATGTGTCCTGCCCTCAAGAAGCCCACAGTTAATTATAATAGTTATGATCCACATTTTATACCTGGGCGTGGAACATCTAAAGATGTTAACCACTATCTGAGTCTGCCAATAAGGCAAGGCTTTTTCCCAAAAAAGTCTTGCTCAAAAAAGAAAGGAGTACTTTATCTTTGAGTCCTTTCAATGTATCTCATGTTACACTAATGTTCACTAAATTACTTCATATTTAGCAACTATGGTACAGTCTGGGAAGACATTAGCCTACAATCACTTCAATTAATGTAGTTTGGGATGCTTAGGGAGATCATTGACTCAGTACAAAAGGAGGTGAGCACGAACACAGATTCGTTAGTTATTCCTGGAGGTGTGACTTCACATTTGCAATGCTGGAAGTTGCTGTAAACAAGCCTTTTATGATGACTTTAAAAAGCAGTACAGTGAGTGGTTATGGTGGGGAGACCAGTGAAAACAGAAACTGACTAATGCTGTGCAAATGGGCACTTAGTGGTTTGGGAGAAAATTTCCAGTGACAGCATCCTATACAGAGTCCGAGACAATCTCCAGCAGTCCAGATGGAAGTGAGAATGCCTTCAAAATGGCTCTAATGATAATAAGAATACTGATGACCAAGGGGCACAGGAAAAGTTTGAATAGATTTGTTTTAAGAAATATGAGCGACCGGGCACAGTGGCTCACGCCCGTAATCCCAACAGTTTGGGAGGCCATGGTGGGCAGATCACCTGAGGTCAGGAGTTCGAGACCAGCCTGGCCAACATGGTGAAACCCTGCCTCTACTAAAAAAATACAAAAATTAGCCAGGTGACATGGCATGAGCCTGTAATCCCAGCTACTTGGGAGACTGAGGTAGGAGAATCGCTTGAACCCAGGAGGCAGAGGTTGCAGTGAGCTGAGATTGTGCCACTGCACTCCAGCCTGGGTGACAGAGCAAGACTCTGTTTCAAAAAAAAAAAAAAAAAGTGAGAGTGGGAAAAAGCAGCAATTATAAATTAATTCATTATATTATAAAAATGATATTAAACATGTACATATAACTAAACTTATACATGTAATAAGCATATCACAATTTCATCTATATCACCTAAAGTTTTATGTGCTCAAGTTGACCAAAACATCACAGGAGGATTTACCCTTTGGAAAATTTAGTGACGACTTGTATTTGGTGCCAACTTCCATTTGGGCATAGGTGGAACTTTTGCCCAAATTCAAACCAGCAGTGGGAGGACAGCCAGGTTTGTCTGATCTACCCATGTGTTTGCCTTAATTCCTCATTTAGACCTGATTTAACAAAATCTAACACAATGGGTTTGTGCTGTATCATCTATTTCATTCCATTTCAACTCAAAGCATTTATTGACCAGCAACAAAATGGAGAAATTGTTTTTCAAGTCTCTAAACCACTTTTAATAGTGAACTAAGAGAGAAGAGACTGCCTTTGAACCGAAGACTACAGAAAAAGGGTGGTTTTGACTAAGAACAGCACTGGATTTGGGTTTTACAGGCCATTCTCCTTGTTAGGCAATGCATCTTTCCTGTCCTCTTGCTTACTTCCTAAGAAGGATTAAAAATGCCAGAAACCTCAGCCCCAACAGGATGGCTGCAGGGAGCAAATAAATGTATGATTTCCCTCTGTCTGCTTTAAAATAATAATTTTTTTAAAAGCCCGTTAGTCTCTTTGGGTAACAAATTTTTATCTTTTCTTTTCTTTTCTTTTTCTTTCTTTTTTTTTTTTTTTTTTGAGACAGAGTCTTGCTCTTGTCACCCAGGCTAGAGTGCAGTGGCACAATCTTGGCTCACTGCAGCCTCCGCCTCCCGGGTTCAAGCGATTCTCCTGCCTCAGCCTCACGAGTAGCTGGGATTAGAGGTGCCCGCCACCATGCCTGGCTAATTTTTGTATTTTTAGTAGAGATGGGGTTTTGCCATGTTGCCCAGGCTGCTCTCGAACTCCTGACCTCGTGATCCACCCGCCTCAGCCTTCCAAAGTGCTGGGCTTACAGGCTTGAGCCACCGTGTCCGGCCCTACTTTTTCTTTATACTTTGCAGTATCATGTGAATTTTCTACATGAGCATATATTATCTTCAATCAGAAAAGAATCAGTAAGCATTCATTTCTGAAAACACACAACTACTAGGCTCCAGAATTTAAATTTTACTTGCCAGATTTGCATTGAGCCCACGTCACATTTAATCTCTTTCCTTACTATTAATCCAGGCCAGAAAACCAAGGCACTTGCCTGTGGGTAATATATACAAGGATCCCTTCTCTCACGATTGGCCTGCCCCCACACCACTTCCCCCAAGATGCCCAGAGAACCGCACACGAAACAAACAGAACAGAAAGATGCCGAGAAGTTTGATTTTGTGTCAACTTGACTGGATCAGGGGTCCCTGGGTGTTAGGCTAAGGGTGTGTCTGTGAGGATGTTTCTAGATGAGGTTAACATTTGAATCAGTGGGCTCAGTAAAGTTGCCCTCACCAGTGTGGGTGGGCCTTATCCAATCTGTTGAGAACCTAAACAGAACAAAAGGTGGAGGAAGGGAGAATCTGCTTCCTTTTTTCTTTCTTTCTTTCCTTTCTTTCTTTCTTTCCTTTCTTTCTTTCTCTTTCTTTCTTTCTTTCCTTTCTTTCTTTCTTTCTTTCTTTCTTTCTTTCTTTCTTTCTTTCTTTCTTTCTTTCTCTCTCTTTCTTTCTTTCTTTTTTTTTTTTCCTGCTTGACTTATTGAGCTGGGACATGGGTCTTTTCCTGTCCTCAGACCAAGACACACTATAGGCTCTCCTGGTTCTCAGGCCTTTGAACTCAGAGGCAATTACATTACTGGCTTTCCTGGGTCTGCAACTTGCAGATGGCGGATCATGGGACATCTTAGCCTCCACGATCTCATGAGCCAATTCTTCGTAATAAATACATGTATTACTTTTATTATATATATCTCCTATTGGTTCTGTTTCTCTGGAGAATGCTGACTTATACAGATGCCAAAAACAGCTGGTGCTATGTCTTTTTGGTGTGTGTGTTCAATATTATGATGTCTCTCCCTGACAGTCTCCTTGTAAGGCCACACTCTCACAGACATATCAAATCCCTAGAAGTTCTGTGAAATAAAGAAGGAGGCCCTGTGAGCCTCAGGATGAGCCATGCTATCTCTCTGAGCTGGAGTTTGCTCATCTGTAAAATCAGTGATTGGATCCAAAAGAGAAAAATGAAAAGGAGCATTGCTTGAGGAGACAGACAGGACTGGATTCAAATCCCAGCTGCTTATCACTGGGCAGGAAGCTGAGCCTCAGTTTCTTCATTTGAAAGCAGGTGATAAAAGCCCCATTTTGCAGCAGCTATTATCTTGTTGTGAAGAGTAAACATAATGTGGATTGTATACTGTATAATATACACTGGTATATCTTATATGCCAAACAAATGGTAGTAATGGTTGTTATGATCATTACTACTATATATGTGAAAGTGCCTGTTTTTCTTAAAACAAAACCATAAAGCACACTCTGCCAGCTCAGCTGTGCAAACTGTGCACTGCACAACTCCAGAGGGTGCCATCCACATGGACCACAATGTCTGGTGGTACCTGAGAAAGCTCTATAAAACTTTTAGTTATTACTTTTACTAAGAATAACAGAGAGATAATATAGGACTTTTTTTGTTGCGGTAGGCACAGCTGAGGCCTCTACATTGATAAATTAGGTGACAAGAACACCTTTTAAAAGAAACATTCTCGGCCTTCTGGGCAGGACTTGTTAAATAAAAGACAAAAACAAAAACAAAAAAACACAACAGAAACGGAGTTAGTTCTGCGATTCATTCTAAATGTTGGTAGTGAAATTTTACTGGAAAGCGATCCAGATCCAGACCCCAAGAGAAGGTTCTTGGATCTTGCACAAGAAAGAATTCAGGGCGAGTCCATAAAGTGGAAGCAAGTTTATTAAGAAAGTAAAGGAATAAAAGAATGGCTACTCCACAGACAGAGCAGCCCCGAGGACTGCTGGTTGCCCATTTTTATTATTATTTTCTGATGATACACTACACAAGGGGTGGGTTATTCATGCCTCCCCTTTTTAGACCACATTGGGTAACTTCCTGATGTTGCCATGGCATTTGTAAACTCTCGTGGCACTGGTGGGAGTGTAGCAGTGAGGACAACCAGAGGTGACTTTCATCACCATCTTGGTTTTGGTGGGTTTTGGCTGGCTTCTTTATTGCAACCTGTGTTATCAGCAAGGACTTTATGACCTTTATCTTGTGCTGACCTCCTATCTCACCCTGTGACTTAGAATGCCTTAACCATCTGGGAATGCGGCCCAGTAGGTCTCAGCCTTATTTTACACAGACCCTACTCAAGATGGAGTTGCTCTGGTTCAAACGCCTCTGACAAAAATACTGGGGACAGAGTTACCCTGGATTCATAGGCATTTCCCTTGCCCTGAAGCCTAGTGAGAGGACCCGAGAGATGGACCCAGAGTGCTTGACATGGGGTTCCTGCACTTGGGAGGACTGGGAAAGTTGAAAGGTGAGGTACTGGCTGCCCTGCTCCTGACAGCTGGGCAAGGAGAATGCTGCAGAGGAAGGAGCCTATGCCCCACAGAGCATCTGGGAGCATCTCTCGGGCAGAATGGACACCTTGGAAAGAGAGTTGGCTTGAATTGTTTTCAAATTTCTTTCAAGGGCAAGAGATCTGCTTGCTGGGGCGGCTGACCACAGGGGTAGGGAACTGTGCATATCAACCTATCAACAAAAACCAAAGTCACGATGAGGTTAAAGTGGTGGGCTGCAGGGTTGCAGCCCTGGCTAAGCAGCAGTTAGTGCATGGCCATTGCCTCCCCAGGTTTCAAAAAAGTTAATGAGGCATGAGGGGTCACCTGGACCACTTCATAATGACTTTTTACAACGGCCCCAGTCAGGTAGGCAGTTTCTGTCCTTTACCTGTCTTTGCTCCCCATGCCACATCCTGGAGGAGTCAAAGGCTGAAGGAGGAACAGAAGAGTAGGGTAGAAAAAAAATGAGAAATACAGGATGGGTTTGGTTGCAGCTGGGCTAGTAGCTGACTGTTGATGAATTTCTGAGTGAGACTGGAAAAGCGGTGGGATTGACCTTCTCATATCATTCCCAGATGGGCACCCAACATAGCAGGTGTGAGAAAAACAAAGCCATCTCTAGATTTCAGGCCCACAGCTCAGCCCAGTGACTCAGGGTGACGACCCTGGTAGTTGACAGTGCAGCTTTGGCCTCTCCCTCTCTAGGTTCTTTCCTTCTGGACACAGGCCAGGAAAACCTGCCCATGGCTCTGAGCAGCTGCCTCCCTGGATTGGCATGTGCTTCATATCTCTCCAGCTAAAATGAAGGTCCCCTGAAGCCAGGGGCTGTGTTTCTTCTCATCCTTAGCCCCTAACACAAAGGCTATTAAAAGTTTATTATTGAAAAGGAGGAAAGACCCTGGGCATCAGCATCAAGGTGTACAGAAGATGATGGAGGAGGGAGAGTGTGGAAAATGGAAGCGACTCATCCAATAGGCAAGGTGCCAGCTCCTTCTCTCCCTTCATATCTGAGACAGCCATCTCTGGGCTATAAGGTCTCGGGGATAAAGAAAACCATGGACTTCCATCATAATCTCTCCAAAGCCACACTTCTCTGACCTTTAAAAATTCAATTTGAGGAGTTGAATGTGGTGGCTCATGCCTGTAATCCCAGTTACTTGGGAGGCTGAGGTGGGAGGATGGATGGCTTGAGCCCAGGAGGTCAAGACCACCTTGGGCAACATAGCAAGACCCTGTCTCTAAAATATATTTATTTTTAAAGAGCCAGGCATGGTGGTGCACACCTGCGGTCCCAGCTACCTGGTGGGAGGACTGCTTGTGTCCAGGAGTTGGAAGCTGCAGGGAGCTATGATCATGCCACTGCCCTCCAGCCTGGGTGACAGAGCGAGACCCTATCTTAAAAAAAAAAAAAAAATCAATCTGAAACTTAACAGAGTTACCGTAAAAACTAAGTTTTTCTGGCCTTCTCGTAACTGGAAATATCTGGTTTACTACACATCTACTTTACATGAGGATGATTTGTTTCTAGTGATGGCCTGAGACCTGAGGCACTGAAAGATTCTGAAGACCTGGTCATCTCAGAAAGTCTGAGTTCCACAGCAGCCAAAATTGGGCTTGAAGTGTGTTTCTGTACATAAAAGTCTTCAAATGGTTGCTTTTTATTGGCCCAAATAATTGACTAACCTGAAGATCTCATTCCCCAGTCATGTCAGAGGATAAATATTGATCATATTTGGTGGTCAGGCTCAACTATGAGAGAAAATTTCCTCCCTCCATTGCTCAAATAAACGTTCATGCCAAATAAATCTCTCCAGGGCCGACTTCAGATGAAGGATGTTCAAGCTGAAAGAAAGTGATGAACCTACATGAAAACATATGTCCCTTCTCTGTATACATTTATGGATGGATGTCTTAGGAACTCAAGAAAATGCCTTTTTTCCCCAAAAAAAGTACCAACTCCCCTACATTTTCTTGGCAGTTCACAATTAGAGTGCACTGGAGAGATTGAATTATTTTACTTCAAATGTGTAGAAGCACACTGTTCTCAGAAAACTGCTGAAGTCTATCTGAGTATCAGCCTGTCTGATCATTTAGGGTCGCAGCTGTGCAATAAATGTTGGTTTATCCTTTTGGCCATTACAGAGACACTAAATCCAGAGCCAGCGTCCACCCAGAAGTTTTGAGTTTATTTGAATAACATTCTTATGCCTACAGGAAAATGAGTGTCCATGGTGAACTGATGTGTAGGAAATTGTTAAATGTTGAGGGGCAGGATGGGGGATGGTAGAAGAGTTAGAAAAAACCCAAAAACCCAGGGAGGTCATCTCAGAGAATTAGGAAATCCAGATCTTTTCTTTTATAAGCCTCAAATATTTCCAGGATTCCATCTGGCTTTCATTTCTAACCCCTTGTCTTCTAACAAAGAGAATAAAGATGGTTTTAAAACTAAATGTGAGCCCTTCCAGAAAAAGACTGAACAGGAGTTTCTCTCTTCCCCTCTTTTGCCTGGTAGCAGAATTTTCTTTTGCACTATTAAAAATGGCGTGGGCCACCTTTTCTCTAAAAACACACGAAGCTGATGCATAACTCTTTTCCAAATAATTAATCTTTCCAGTGGAATCTTTCAAAGCCCCACATTTCCTGTTATTTTATACAACTGCAATTTGTAACTGGAGCTCCTGCCCAGTGTTCCACAGGCAAAATGCCAAATCCACTACATTTCACCTACTGAGGTGCCCTGCACAAATAATCCTTAACCACAAGTTAAACAGTTAGGTCCTGTGCTCGCTTGAAAGAAAAGCCCAAGAAACAAAAGACTTTTACCATACTTCTGTGCTAAAATTTTAGTGGATGCTCACAATGTTTTATTTTCCAACGTCCACATTTGAAAATATCACCAGTATGCCACAAGAAAAGATTTTTCAAAAATGAATTGGTTCTTGTGTTAAGTGAATGTTTGAGAGTCATAAAAGTGACACCTTCTTAGTTATCTGAAGGCCAAAAGCTGTGGCTGTTGTATCAGATCCACCTCATTTGCTTCCTTGTCTTTGAGCTGGAAGGCCAGAGCTAAGGTTGGCTAAAGGGTAAGCTGGGGAGGCAGGATTTGTGGGGTCGGCAGGTGACCCCATCCGATCTTCCCCCTGCACTTCCCCTGTCCATTCACTCAGTTACCACTCCTCCAAGTTGCCCATGAACTGAAGTTCTCTCAAGATCACTAGGTTGGCCCATCTCTACAAAAAACACAAAAATTGGCCACCTGGGACTACACCTGTAGTCCCAGCTAGTAGGGAGGCTGAGGTGGGAGGATTGCTTGAGCCCAAGAGGTTGAGGTTGCAGTGAGCTGTGTTTGCACCACTGTACTCAAGCCTGGGCGACAGAGCGAGACCTTGTCTCAAAAAAAAAAAAAAAAAAAAAAAAAATCACGAGGTTGAGAGTTTCTTCTCTTTCAAATCCTTTCCATTCTCCTTAAACACCTCCCTACCCCAACTTCACATTTCTTTTTTTTCCCCTGTCATAACAGCCTACGATTGAATCACCTCACATTTCTGCATATGACCTGCCTTTACTTTTCAAAAATTGATGCCATAGAGCCAGGCCCCCAGCTTCCTGCTGCAGCCCCACCTTCCCTGGCGCCATCCCCACTTCCTTTCCTCCCATCCCTTGGCGGATGCGTCCTGCCCTTAGGTCAAGCCCTGCACCTGTGTTCTGGATCCCAGCCCCCAGAGCCCCACACTAGAAAATGTCTCCTCTCCCTTCTATTTCCAACGCTTCTCTGACACCCGAATCCTTCCCATTTACACTTAAGCATGCTTGAGTCTCTCTCAGCACAAAACAAAAACACCTCTCTGAAACCACAGCCCCTTCCTACAACTATTCTTTCTTCTCTCCTTCCCAGCGAAACTTCTCAAATGAGTCGTCTATACTCCACTTCAATTTCATCCGCTCCCCTCACTCCTCAGCCTCATCACTTTAGCTAAAATAATTAATGACCACCACATTGCCAGAAAGAACTCAGTCCTTATGTCCCCTAGTCTCTCTGGGACCATTCCCTCCTAAAACCCAAGTCCCTGGGCTTTGAGGACCAAAGCCCTTCTCATTTTCCTCCTACCTCTTTGCCTGTGGTTTCTTTTTCTCCTTTGCAGACCCAATCTTCTCTACAGAGCCATTAAGTGTTTAGGTTATTTAAGCTTCCTTTTCTCATCTATATGCAATCCCTGCTACCCACATCCACTACTCCGATAATCAGGCTCCTACTTGCAGTTGCCTATGCCAAGTCTCCAACTGGGCTTTTCATAGGCACAAGTTCAAATCCCAAGGATCTTTCCTCCCAGACTTGCCTCACTACCTCAGATTCTTATCTCAGCCAATGACACCACCATCGGCTGGGCTGCTCAGGTCAGAAACCCAGACATCCTTGATGCCTTTCTCTATTTCTCAAATTCAACCTATCCCTCAACCCTGGCAATTTTACCTCCTAAAATTTCTGATGTCCATTCACTTTCTCCATCTCTACATCAAATGCCAGCCCCAGACACTGTCTTCTCTCGTCTGGATCATGGCAATACTCCACCACTGATCTCCCTACATCCATTCTCAACCCTCTCTAAGCGGTCCCCCCAAGTGTTGCCAGACCATGTCACTCTCTTGCATGGAGTTCTTTAATGGTATGTTGGACACAAACCCTGTGTGCCTTCTCAGATTCCCTTGACTGTGTCCTTTTTTCTCTATTGGCTGGTCTTCCACCTGCACTTCCACTTCCAGGTTTGGATGAAATGCCACACCGCAGGTACAACCAATGAGAGGCTGGGTGATGCACCCTGGAAGGACATGGGAGTTAGCTTCTGTAGAATTAAACATGAACAATGGGCAATGCAAGATGGGAGAATACCAGGCAGATAAATTATTCCTTCCTTTCTACCTGCTAAGAATTGCTCTGAGATATGATTTTCCACATTAACTTTCTGGAGAAGTCCTGTGTGGTTAACAAACACCTGGTAACCAACCCGCTGTGTTTCCTTGCAGCTGGAGCTCATTGTGGTGCAGTAACCAGAGTGATAACACAGCATTGCCTTGCTCCACATCTTTCCTCACTTTACCTCCCTTTTCCTCACCCTCACTGTCCTGGCTTTTGCCTTCCAAGAAAGTGTCACCACTTTGGTCTTTAACTCAGATTTTACTTCTTAGAGGTCCCAGGCAAGACAAATGCTTAGGATAAAGACCATAATATCTATCCAAGCTTTACAGGAACTGATTCCTGTGTACTTCGTTAGCTTCTCTCGTCTCTTACTTACCACTTTCCTGTCTATCTCCAACTACAATAGAGAGTTCTTTTTTCATGCCAAGTCCTCACACGCCTTCCTCTCCACCATCTCCTGGCTTCATCTGGCTAACTCTTTTCCCACCTGATCTCAGTTTCCACATTACTTCCTTCACTTCCTTTGGGAACCTTTCCAGCCCTCTCCCTGCTTTCTCCTCTCCAAGTCTCCTAAGTTAGGACTGTCAGTGCTCTAAGTCATTATTCCAATAGTGCTGGACCCTCCCGCACTGACGGTAAATTCCATGTGAGCAGGGACAGTGTCTGCTTTTGCTCTCCCTGACATCAACAGCACCCAGCAAAGGAGTTTAAAACTCAACAAATGTATCTGAGTTAATGAACCCATGGGGTTCAACCTTATTGTCTTACAGACGGAGAAGCTAAGATCAAAGAGATTAAGAGATTCATTCAAGATCAGACAGTTAGCTAGTGAGTGGTAGAACTCAGTTTTACCTTCTACTTTTTAAATTAAGAATCATTCTTCTCAATTCTGAAAACGACAGATAACAGACAGATCAATGAAACAGAATGGAGAATCCAGAAATAGACTTAAATACCTGCTTCAACATATGAAAAGTGCTCAGCTTCATTCATTTATAATAAAAGAAATGCAAATCAAAAATAGGAAGTGACTTTTTTTTATCTTTCTGACTGGCAAAATTCACAAAATTTGATAATTGCCTCTCTTGATGAGGACACTCAACAGTAAAGTTCCAAATACATAAAAGTAAATTTATGAGTGTTTACGGAGTGTGTAAATTGTTTTCCCTCACGGAGGACAGTCTGGCAATAGCTATTTGATTGCAACAAGTACCAAATCACAAGGGCACATGCTCTCTGCAATTCAACCCAGCAGTTCAACTTTTAGGTACTTATCCTGTAGATGTATTTGCCCAGGTGGGAAGTAGCGAATGTACAAAGTTATTCATTGCGGCGTTATTTGTAACAGCAAAAGATTTAATGTGCATTATTTAAGGACTTAAGTAAATTATGTTATTTTCATACAATGAAATATTATGTAGCTGTTTAAAAAGGCTAATAAGGCAGTTCTATTCTTTTGAATTCCACATTTCTGTAAATGGAATTTTCCATACTCCTATATATGGAATATTTTATACTCTTGTCGTAGGAATATCCCATAGTCCCATGTATTCCATATTTCTATAATAATATGAAACCCTTTCCAAGAGGCATTAGGTGAAAAAAAGCAAGGTACACAGTAGTTATATAATATGCCACAATTTGGGTTAAAAAATGAACAAAAACTCCAAATAAAATCAATTGAATTGTAAACTAAATTCAGTGAGGGCAGTGCCTTTATATAGTTTGTGTTTCTTACATTGCACAGCAAATGCTTCAATTACTGTTAATTAAATGTCTCTATTAATATTTGTTGATTAATTTCAATAAGAAGAAATGTCCTAAGTGATAAGGGAAGTGAGACAAAGGAAAAATACACAAGTAGTCATTGTGTATACTTGTTAGTCATTTGGGTAAAATATTATCAAAGAAGAAAATGTAATCTGACAGTCAGTATGATGGTTTAGGTCATCTGCAGATTTTTTGTTATGCACCATGAATCAGTTAGCCATTCCCATGAGAACTGAAGAGCTCTGCACTCTTGGTTGTATGAACTCCTTTCTACCTCAACTAGAAAGGAACAGATACGCTATAAAGCTTTCCCTGCCAAAAGCTTATTGAGATCAGGTCTCTGTTATTGGTATGTCCTCACTACTGGATTAACCTGATTTCTCACTCATATGCCACATCAGGCAAACCAAATGAAAAGATGCTTATGTATTGGCAGAGAGCTTTGCTCACACTAAAGAAACAGGTATAATTTGATTAAAGCCAGGGTTTTATATTGCTGTCTGTGTGTTCTTTTGGAAGACGTATGACTATATAGCTTAGACCTGGGAAGTAATAACTGTGAAATCTATCTGTTGCCAAAGTAAATATCTGCGTGTTTTCCTGTCAAAATGCTCAGTGTTTGAGCTTGCTGTGCCTCAGTGGGGACGTTACTGCTACAGAGGCACTTATGTTATTTCTTTTCTGGATTTGAAGGCTTTTTTTCTGAATAGTATTTGAGTGTGTCAATACAAAGGTATTTCCTAGTATGACAAAAGCTCAACGATATTTATAATATCAGGAAGCTGTTGTTTTCTTATCCCGAAATCAGTATATTAAAGGCAGAAAGAGTCACTGAAAGCAGGCAATGTACTCTTTACAGAACTAGTCTTGATCCTTTGGCTTCATCTTAGATAGATAGATAGATAGATAGATAGATAGATAGATAGATAGATAGGGTGTTGCTTCAATGTATAGAATAAAGACTACATTTCTTAGCCTCTCTTGCAGCTAGATGTGGTTGTGCATTGGTAGGTAAGTGGTATTGTATGGGTCTTTCAAGGATTAAAGGAAGCTGAATTGCCAAGATGACCCCCCACCCTCTTTTTTATCCATTGGGGCTTGATAGCCTGTATTAGAATGCTGGAGTGATACTGAGATGAATAAGACATGGTCCCTATCCTTGAGACATTTACAATTAAATCATACATATAGAGGTATAGAACTGCCAGAATGCAGAAGATAAAGGAATTAATCCTGAGTAGAGGAAACTCAGAAAGTTCCATTACACATATTATGTAAGCTGGCCTTTAAAGAATGAGTTTAATTCTTTAATTCCAGATTTTATTGAGGACTTACCGTGTTCCAAGAAGGATGTGAAATGCTTTGCAGGTGTTATCTCATTTATTCTATATGGTAATCCTGTGAAGTAGGTAATATTGTTATCCCTTTTTACAGATGAAGGAACTGAGGGG